>NC_000005.10:61359807-61984807 GCF_000001405.40 Homo sapiens
GCTATCAGTTAGTGTCCAGTCAGGAAAATGGAAAAAAAACAAAACAAAACACCAAAAACCTACCATTAGATAGATGTTTTCAGCAGAGAAAGATTTAATGCAGGGTATTGGTTATAGTGATGTTGAAAGGGCTGGAGGAACAAAAAGAAAAAAGTGTGTGTTGGGAGGGTAATGTTGGACCAGAAAAGCAGAGAGAGAGAGAGAGAGAGAGAGGGAGAATGTGTAAATGAATGTTGATTGTTGAATGAGTAAAAAGGAGAAGAGGATGTTATCAAGTGTCAGGTGTCCACTGCTGCATAAAGTGCATGCCCTGCAGGTCTGCTGGAGATCTTCATTGGTTCTGCTGCTTTGGAGCCACCACAGATGATGATGGAGCCTACAGTTATCTGTTGCTGCTGTTGGAGGTATCGCTAGAACCAGGAAACAAAAAAAGGCCCCTTTTCTTTCTCTCACCTTGCAGTCTGTTGACAGTGTTTCCCATGGGTGGAACCCAACTGGAAGCAAGTTGACAAGGGAGTTTGGAAAATATAGTTTATAGACTTCTAGCCCCTTGTAATGCGGAGAAGAATTGAGAACCAACAGAAAAATAACTGGCAGAGGAAGTAATGTTTTTAAGCTTGCTTTGCAGATGTGGAAATAGGCATGGAGAAGGTAAGTAGTTCTCCTAAGGTCACATAGCTATTATTTGGTAGAGTTGGGATGTGAATCCAGGCAGTGTGGTTTCAGAGCCTGTGCTCTTATCTCCTACTTTTTGATCTTGCCCCCACACATGATAATTGTTTGATTTGTCTCCTTACTGCTGAGCACTTCAAATGAGTGGCTGTTTCCATTGATTTTACTTATCTAGCACTTATTTTTATTTTGACTTCTGTTACTGGCTTTAGTTTTTTACCCTCACCTTTGGAATATCTCTCTTCAAGGTCACCACTGATTTTTATAGCCAATACAATGGGTTATTTAAGCTTCTGTTTCTCTTTGATCTTTTCCTGGCTTTTGATAACAGTAGCCATTTATATGGAATTACAACTTTGACTTCTGTGATGTTGAACTTGCTTGTTTTCGCCTTGTCTCACTGAGGCACCTTGGTTTTCTTCTTTCTCTACGCATTCCTTAGACCATTGCCATCTTTTGGATTGAGTTTGAATTTAGGTGTGTTATATAAGAAGCCCCTTAATGTTAATTTTATATTTAAATCAGGACGAATAAAAAGATGAAATACATATATATTCTTGTGGTCTTTTTCCTTGTGTGTGTGTGTTTGTGGGGGAGGGGGGTAAAGTCACAGAGGAGTGGGAGTAGGTCCCAATGTGGACTTTTCCCTGGGCTGAAGGAGAGGGACTTACTTTTGAATACCTACCATGTGCCAGCACTGTGCTAAGTGCTTTAAACACATTGCTTCCTTTTAATTATCCTGTGTGAGATTGGTAGTTACCTTTATTTTACAAATAAAGGTAACTGAAACTGACTTTGTGTGATGAAAAAGTAATAGAAGTGGGATTGAAACCCTCATCTAACTGCTTCTGACAGCCAGGTTCTTTCCTCTGGATCACCTGGAAAAATCTCCAGTTTCTTATCTGTTAAATGAGGAAACTTGGCAAGATAATTTTTAAGGCCCGTTTTTCAGTATCATCCTCCTGATTCTGTAACATACTAATTGTCCTGAGCAGTAGTTACCTCTTTTCTAAGTAAATATTGAAAAAGAAAGTTAGCATCCCACTACAGAAATGTGCTGTATTATTAAGACCAAGAGTACTGACAGGTTATTTGTAAGAAGTTATGAACTAGACAAAGACATTTAAAGTAGTCATGATACTGGATTTTCATGTTTGTTTCCAGGGAACCCCCCTTACCTCCAACTGAGGCTGCTGCCCAGAAGATTAGAAGCTGTGGCTTGTAACGACAGGGGCTCAGGATAAAGCCTTGGGACAACTCCAGTCTAAACAAAAGGCAACCCTGTTATTCTATTATACTTTATGTTGAAAGCATTTGCTCCCAGGTTATTAACTATTATCCTTTCCTCACAGGAAATTTAGTGTGAAATTTGCAAGAAGATCGTGGAAAATATACTTTAAGGACAAGATTCACTGTGGTGCAGTTTGGCACCTTTAGAACGCTAACAGACAAACCTAAAATGATTAACCATTATGTGAGTCTCCCACATGTTTTCACATATGGAAATAGGTGGTTTAAATGGATACCAACATCCTCTCTTGGTATACAGTACTTACCATAAAATATCAAGCGAGTATTCTTAGATATGTATCAGCAAAGTAAGTAAATTTCCAGGCTCTGTAGCATCTTTTACTGTCTTTACTTTATAAACATTCTCCAACCCTTCCTCATTCATGCCTTATTTTTTTAAAATGGGAAATTGAGATATGCCTTCTTACTCACTTTTTTTTTTTTTCTGAGACAGTGTCTCGCTCTGTACCCCAGGCTGGAATGCAATGGCCCCATCTTGGCTCACTGCAGCCTCTGCCTCCCGGATTCAAGCAATTCTCGTGCCTCAGCCACCTTAATAGCTGGAATTACGGGTGTGCGCCACCATGCTGGCTAATTTTTGTATTTTTAGTAGAGATGGGGTTTCGCCATTTTGGCCAGGCTGGTCTCTAACTCCTGACCTCAGGTGATCTGCCCACTTTGGCCTCCCAAAGTGCTGAGATTACAAGTGTGAGCCACTGTGCCCAGCTTTAACTTTTAGTTTTACAGGTTTTCCCTGCAGTAGAAGAAGCTTGCACAGGGAGCCTCAGCTCATGATTTTCCTCCCACCTCTCTGGCCACTCCTTCATTGAGTTTTGGTGCTTCATCCTCTATCTGCCCTCTAAATGTTGGTGTCCCTATCGTCTAAGGCTGGGCACTTTTCTCCTACCTGATGCCCTTTTCTTAGATTATGCCAATTATCCCAAAGCTTTCTGTGCCATCAAGTGATGACTGCAGTTTTTATTTCCAGGTCTGACTGCTCTCCTGATTGCTTGCTTATCTTTTATATCTGTTTAGGTCTGGCAGGCATTTCAAGCCATTTTTAGACTGCTACCCCTGTAAAGTAAGAAAATTTACATCACAACCCAGTACACACATACGTTACTATAAATAACAGAAACAGATTTTCACAAGACAAGACTTATCCCTAAAACATGCCATGCTTGCTGATGTTCTCAATAATACTGTCTCATTTCCATTAAAAAATGCTTTCTGTGACACACAGCATTGGCCTATGACCTCTTAGTGGTTCAGGAACCCACTATTTGAAAAACACTGTTCTTGAGCCACTGTAGATGTTTTTAGAGATGTTGTAGGGAGCCAGCTTACATATTGGAGACTGTGCCCTCCTTTCCCCACCCCACAGGGGGCACTGCCTGCAAGGAAGGTGTTTGATCTGAACCCTCTGAGGCCAATCAAATGGAAAAGGTTTAGTACAGGCTAACAGCACCAGTTTACAAGGCTATCCATACAAGAATGATTACATCAACTCGTGGAAAGTGTCATCATGGAATCAGAGTAACCTCTTGGTTATTTGAAATTGTTTGTTATATAGAATTGGTAAGAATACCCTGTAATCTAGTGACATATAGAACCAGTTTTGAATAGTAACAGAACTGCCTATAAGATTTTATAGTACTTACCTTGCACACTTCTGCTGAGTTCACAAAAGGCTGACTAAACCCTTGTTCTCGGCAATCTCATCTCTGATCCCAAAGTGTTCTCATACTTATTTTAGACTCAACATATTTTCTAATGAAGCTTCTGGAAATAGCTGGTATCATATTACGGAAACTTATTATTGGCACAGTGCCTTAATGATTAGTTGGCTTGGGGGGTGGGGAGAGACCCTAGCTATCAAGGATGGACGTAAAAATACTTTGCTAATATGAGCACTGCTGAGGTTTAAGTCATTCCTGAGGTAAGCTAAAATATGTTTAAAGGTTATTAAAAAGGCACACAGTTTCTCATTTAACATTTTGGTATTAACTTTAGAGGCCAAGAGTTTTAAGTAGTCTCTGTAGGATAGTTTGTTTCCTTCCTTCCTTCCTCCCTTCCCTTTCCTTTTCCTTCCTTCCTTCCTTCCCTCCTTCCTTCCTTCCCTCCTTCCCTCCTTCCTTCCTTCCATTCTTCCTCCCTCCCTCTTTCTTTCTTTTTCTTTCTCTCTCTCCTTCCTTCCTTCCTCCCTCCCTCCCTCCCTCCCTTTCCTTCTTTCTTTTCTTTTCTTTTCTTCCTTTCTTCTTTCCTTTTTTTCTCTCCTTTCTCTCTTTCTTTCTTTTCTGGGTCTCACTGTTTCACCCAGGTTGAAATGCAGTGGCATGATCACAGCTCACTGCAGTACCAACCTCCTGGGCTCAAGCAATCCTCCCACCTCCGCCTCCTGAGTAGCTGGGACTACAGGCACGCACCACCATGCCCGGCCCATAGTTTCTATTTCAGAAAACATAATAGCATACTCCATCCCCTCTAGATTCAAAAGTAACATAATTCTAAAATTGTAGTTGGTAGGTTTTTTGCATATACATGCTTGAATTAGGGCAGCTTAGTATCAAGGATCAGAAAATTATGGCCCACAGGCCAAATCTGGCCTGCCACCTGTTTTTGTGTAGCCTGCAAACTAAGAATGTTTTTTATTTTTATTTTTTAGTGGTTGGAAAAAAAAATCAAAAGAATAATATTTTGTGATGTGAAAATTATATGAAATTCAAATTTCAGAGTCTATAAATAAAGCCTTATTGTAACACATCTATACTCATTAGTTTATGTCTTAGTCCTTTGGGGCTACTGTAGCAAGATACCATAAACTGGATGGCTTATAAACAACAGAAATTTAGTTTCCTATAGTTCTGGAGGCTGGGAAACCCAAGATCAAGGTGCTGGCAAATTCAGTGTCTGGTGTGGGCCCTATTCCTGGTTCGTAGATGACACCTTCTTGTTCTGACCTCACATGATGGGAAGAATGAGGGGGTCATGCATGCCTCTTGTTTAAGGACACTAATCCCATTCATGAGGGTTCTGCCCTCATGACCTAATCGTCCCTCAGAGGTTCTACCACCTAACACCATCACATTGGTAAATTTGGGGGGACAAAAACATTCAGACCATAGCATTTAATGTATTGTCAATGACTAATTTCATGGTCTAATGGCAGAGTTGAGTAGTTATGACAGAAACTTTGGCCTTCAAAGCCTAAGATATTTACTATCTGGCTCTTTACAGAAAAAGTTTGCTGACCCCTGCCCTATTATGGTTCATAGCCTTTTTGAAATGTGACACATGCCAGGCACAGTGGCCCACGCTTATAATCCCAGGATTTTGGGAGGGGAGATCGAGGCTGGCGGATCACCTGAGGTCAGGAGTTCGAGAACAGCCTGGCCAACACGGTGAAACCCCGTCTCTACTAAAAATACAAAAATTAGCCAGATGTGGTGGCAGGTGCTTGTAGTCCCAGCTGTTTGGGAGGCTGAGGCAGGAGAATCAGTTGAACCCAGGAGGCAGAGGTTGCAGTGAGCTGAGATTGCACCACTGCACTCCAGCCTGGGCGACAGAGCGGGACTCTGTCTCAAAAAAAAAAAATTATATATATATATTTTATCAATCAGCTTCTTGGATAGGGAATGGCTGACACCTTGAATTTTGAAAAATGTTTGGGAATGGCAGTTTCTATGGTGTGACACAGAAATATAGCAGTCCTTGATATAGTTGCTGTAATAAGAATGGAACATTCTAAACTTTGTTTCCGATTTGACAGCTCTTTTATTTTTGAGGTATCTCAGATATATTTTGTATGATCCTTCCATTTCACCCTCCCTTGTGTGCTTTTATTTTAATCCATTGAAGACTTTGTCTCACAGTAAACAGTGTGATTATGTTCTCTTCTACCACTTAGCGGTTTTCAGTACTTAGGTTTGTCTAATGGGCTCATCACTGAAAGATGGAGTCAATTCCCTTTGCTGACTTACTAGAGAGTGTGTGCAAATAGCATTAGGTTGGCATAGTGTACTGAAAAGTTCTGTCAGACCACCATATTTGGCAGTAAGTTTGGTAAATGTGTCTAAAATGGGCACATCTGCCCAATACCTTAGTTCCTCTTCTGTAAAGCACCTTAAACCTCCAAATGTATCGTCTATCAGGTGTCTTTTTTTTTAAGATGGTCTCATTCTGTCACCCAGGCTGGCAGTGATTTTGGCTCACTGCAACCTCCACCTCCCAGGCTCAAGTGATCCTCCCACCAGTAGCTGGGACTACAGGCGCCGGGCACCATGCCTAGCTAATTTTTGTATTTTTAATGGAGAGTGGGTTTCACCATGTTGCCCAGTCTGGTTTTGAACTCCTGGGCTCTCAGCGATCTGCCCGCCTTGGCCTCTCAAAGTGCTGGGATTACAAGCGTGAACCACCACACCCAGCCTAAGTGTCATTTTTAATTTCTTTTAACTCTTAGCCAGAAAAGGTTGCATATGTTTTTATGCATTTTTTGAGCAATCTAATATACCAACCTGTACCCACTTTGCCTCTCTTTGTCCTGTATATTTGATTGGATGGGATAGTGGCCGTGCCACGTTTTAGTGTGCTCCAGCAAGACCAAGTTTATGTGTAGGTCTGAAATGTGTGGTATCCTCAGCATTCTTCAAACCTCACAAAGAAGGTGAATAAGCAACTCAAACTCTAAAAAGACAAAACTAGATGTTACAATGTCCACACACTGAAGTTTTTCTCTTAGCTAATTGGAAAGACCCAGAATCTTCTCTTAGAATTTGATATTCCTACTTAGAAATTGTTTTAGAAAGTTTAGCCTTCTAGTTTGTAGTGTATTTAGCTTTCTAGTTTAGCTTTCTAGTTGATAATGTATTTGAAAGAGGCACATGCTGGGTGTGGTGGCTCATGCCTGTAATCTCAGCACTTTGGAGGCTGAGGCGGCAGATGGCTTGAGCCAGGAGCTTGAGACTAGCTTGAGCAACATGGTGAAACCCCATCTCCACAAAAATACAAAAATTAACCAGACGTGATGGCGCACACCTGTAGTCCCAGCTACTTGGGGGGCTGAGGTGAGAGTATTGCTGGAACCCAGGAGGTCGAGGCTGCATGAGCCATAATCTTGCCACTGTACTCCAGCTTGGGTGACAGAGCGATCTGCTGTCTCAAAAAAAAAAAAAAAAAAGGCACAGAAGGCAATGCCTTATATACAGGCACATCCCCAGACAGTGTCAGCTTGATTAAGTGATAGCATGAGGAAGTAAAACCTTTAAAAAGAAAGAAGACTTAAGAATTCAACAAGAGCAGTTTGAGGCCATTTGGTGTGGAGCCATAGCCCCAGACACCTCACCATCCCCTGAGGATTCACTGTGTTACAGCTGAGAGTTTTGATCCCTAAGCGTGAGCCAGTCACTGTTTTCTAGGCATTACGTTTTCTCTTCATAACAATTCTGCAGTGTAGAAATGCTTACATCAGGCCTTAAGTGCCTTTTTTCTTTTTCTTTTTTTTTAATTGGGACAGGGTTTCATTCTGTAGCCCAGGCTAGGTACAGTGGTGCAGTTATAGCTCACTGCAGCCTTGTACTCCTGGGTTCAAGTGATCCTCCCAACTCAGCCTCCTGAGATTACAGGCATGTACCACCATGCTTGGCTATTTCATTTAAACAAAGGTTTTTTAGAGATGGGGTATCACTCTATTGGTCTTGAACTCCTGACCTCAAGTGATCCATCCTCCTGCCTTGGCCTTCCAGAGTCCTGATTTACAGGCATGAGCCACTTTACCCAGGTCCTTACGTGCCTTTTGTTGTTGAGAAGTGCAAGAACATTTTCTCTAGCTTTCTCAAGATTGCATCTACAAGCACAGGAGCTAGGATTTGAACACAGGTAGTCAGAGTCTGGAGTCTATGCTTTCTCCATTATCTCAAAGCCATACAAGAGAACAGGTAGATCACAGAGGCCATATAGTATAGTGGCTAGACTTTTTACCTTCAGATCCCAGTTTTCTTACCTTCTGATTGGTTAACTAATGTTTAGTGCCTCTGTTTCCACATTTATGAAGTACATTTAAAAGTTGTTTGTGGCTGGGCATAGTGGCTCACACCTGTAATCCCAACATTTTGGGAGGCCAAGATGAGACGTATAACTTGAGAACAGGAGTTTGAGACCAGCCTCTGTAACATAGGGAGGCCTCCATCTCTACAAAAAATTAAAAAAATAATTAGCCAGGTGTGGTGGCACATACCTGTAGTCCCAGCTACTTGGGAGGCTGAGGCAGGGGGATCACTTGATGCCAAAAGGTCGAGACTGTAGTAAGCAGTGATAATGCCACTGTACTCCAGCCTGGGTGACAGAGAAAGCACCTGTCTCAAAAACCAAAAGTTTCTACCTACACGGTAGGATTGTTGTGAGGATTCAGTGAGATTTCATGTTTAAATAGCCCAGTGCCCAGCACATGATAAAGAACTCAAAACATGTTAGCTGCTGTATTTTATATAAAACATAATTATTAGTAATTCATAGTAGATAAACCAATAATTCTCCACACTTAAGATAGATATTTTAAAATTTAGAAACATTTTACTCAGTTGAAATAATTTAAAAGTATTCATATTAATTGGTGTAATAAGTTAGGACTTATTTTAGGACTACTGCCAAATGACTATGCAAAATAATTGGCATAGTTATTCTAGATAATTGAAATGTCTTGCTTGATGTAAACAGTAGAAAACAAGAGAGAAAAACCTCTGAGCAGTCTGCCTTTGGTTTTCCCTTATGTTAGCCCTTGAATTTTTAAATAAATTCTTTTAAAATAACGTTTGGGCTTTGGCTCAGTAGGAGGCTTACCTTTTAAATTATCAGTTTGCCTTTTGGGTAAAAATCTATGGATTTTCTATTATGGGGTGTTAGTAGATGAAACAACTCTTACTGCTGGCCAGCTATCAAGAAAGGACATATATCTGGGATGTCATCAGATAATTTTATTTTGATCACATTGCTTGCACAAGAAGCAAGTCAGTCAGCTCTCTGATGGAGATCTGGTAAGGGGAGGAGAAGCAAATGAGAATGTCCTTCACCTTGGAAGTGTAGTTTCTGCTTTGACATCTAGCAGCTGTATGAACTTCTGTAGCTCACTTAAGCTTACCACTTACCACACCTATGATGGGGTGATAATACCTGCCTTGCTTAACTAAAAAGGCTTCTTTGAATATGAAGTGGCATATAATGTGTGAAGGGAGCATGTTGAAAGATACAAAGAAAGGTCTAGATACATTTTAGTTACCAAATAATATTTTGTATGTGATGTCCTTTTTAAACTATAGAGTGTTTACACACATATTCATTGGTGCTTTTAGTGTGTTGTACATCACTTCATTGGGCACTGGATATAGATTATAAGCTTCTTCCTACTATATTGTTCTAAGACCTGAAGACCCAGTGACTTTAATAGCAAATGTAGCAGCCTTGGTTAACTAAAATGCCTCAGTCCCTATTAGAGAATTTATCTTATATAACATTTATTTCAATCAAAATGATCTTTGAGCATAGGTCAGTGAAAGCCAAGTTACTATATTACAGAATTAACTATGTAATTTGGTCATTGGATCAAACTCAAATACATTCTTTCGACATGTCCCAATAAAAGAGCATTCTGTGTTAACCACCACTAACCAAAAGGCCAAATTCTCAGAATCCATTGTAGTAATGTATACTTTATGGTTGGCTACAGTTGAGTATTCCAGGGCTCAGGCTTAGATGACCTGGGGGCTTGCCTGGACTGTTTTGGTTTGGTGCTTTGGGTACCCACCTCTTCTCTCAGAAATACTTTACTATCTTAGAAAGATTTATTTGAAAGTGGACAGCCCTATTTATGTCTGCTTACTTGAGTGGTGGTTTATGATGATCCTGACTGACGGGGCATTAGTTTTTCCCCTTGTATACCTCCTCAAGCACAGCTCTGTATACTTACGTGAGAACCACCCACCATGCGAAAATAAAATGCATCCCTGCCATACCTCAGAAACTGTCAGTCTAGTAGGGGAGATGTTAAGATTTGCAATATTACTAAAAATGATTTTTTTATCTAATGATGTTAGTTTTTTAGATCAAGAGTTAAGTGGTGTAAATGGTTCTTCCTCTTCCCACAGATATTTCACTGGACATCTGAGATGTCAGATTTTACCAAAAAACAAACTACAAAACAGAGGCTATAGCATAAATCAGATTATGGAACATTCCAACTTAAAACTCAAATGGCTTTCCAATTGTATTTAGAATTAAATAACTTCTGAGATAACTTCTAAGACCCTAAGTGAGATCATAACCATTTTTTCTTTTGCATCCTCTGTACAAAAGAACTTGAACTACATCGAACAAATTATGAAACATCCTTATCATTGCACTGTTATTTTTGATTTTTGAAAAAGTTTCAAAGAACACTCAGATTTGTATTCTATTTTAAATTTGCAAATACCCTATGAAATCCTCCCCTCCCATTATTTAAAAGCTGTATAAAAATAATAGAAGCAATGAAACCACATTTTGAAACATGTGCAAGATACTGGGAAATGGGAAAAGTCATTCTATACCATTGTGTTAACCAACCATAGTCACTATTTTAGTGTTTTTCCTCCTTGTATTTCCTATGCATTAAATGCAGGTTTTCATTATTTGTACATTTTTATATCTAGCTCTTTTTGGTTTGACATTGTATGATAAGCATTTTTCTGTTATATACAAGTTATGTGTAAACATAAATAATTCAGTGGATTTATATTTTATTTGACCATTGTCTTATTTTGGACATTTAAATTTGTTTCCAAGTTTTCATTTTATGCATGAGGCTCAGATGGAGTGTCTTTGTGCATGTGGAGTAAGCACTGCCCTTCACTCTGCCCGTATTTTCTTTCGCCTTTAATATAGACTTCCAGAAGAGGAAATGGTGGGCCAAAGGGCATGTTGGATGTTTTTATGGCACTTTCTATGTATTGCTAAATTGCCTACCAGTTTCACACACCAATTGCCAGCAATGGATATTAGCATAGTTTTACAATTTTTTTTTTGCCAATTAACAGCAAAATAAAAAACTAAAGAACCCCTACAAGTTACCTGTTGTTTTAATGTGAAAATTTAAAGTTACTCACAAAGTTAAGTATTTTCCCATATGTTTGCGTATTCATTGCGTCTCCTAGTTTGTGAACTTTACTCCTGTCCTCTTTTTCATCAGTTGGTAAAGGTTGTGGAGGGCCATAGTGGTGGACAGCACGAGCTCTGGGGACAAACTGTCAGGTCTGCACCTGGGCTCTGCCCCAGGGTGGGGAATATGTCCTGGGGACAGAGGAGTGGAATATTTTTTATTTTTAGGAATTCAATTTCTTTCTATTATTTTTTTTCTAAACTTAGAAAAATCCCTTGCCTTTTTAGATGTTTAGTCGCCAGTTCTGAATTTCTTCAAGTTTAGAAAGTTCTTTTACCTCCTTACTCCACCTAGATTTTGTTTTATATTTCAAACTCTTAAAATTGATGACTTTATCAACTATCTACACTTATTATGAAGATGTAACAGGCATTCCTTAGAAATGAAATTTCTCACTTTGAAATTATAAAATTGGCACTGCATTTATAGTAAAACTAGATGTTCAAAAGTTTATTGGGTAATGATGTTTAAATAATTGGCTAATTTCTTTACCTAAATTGCTTTTATTTTAAAGAGAAGCACGTCAGAATTTTATTAGGCATATTAGCTAGTGCATGGCGTGGTGATTTGTTAGGTTTTGGGTATTGTAAGAGAGTTTTATTTGTTTAGAAGTAGTTGGCAAGATATTTATCTTTTGATTTTTTTTCCTAAAGGTGAGTTTTATATAGGAATCTGTACCTCGGGATCACGTGGCTTTGTGTACCAGGCGTCCAGGGAGCAATTAGGAGGGCAATCTGTTAAGTCTTTTGCCTCAGGGCAGAACCATTAGGTGTGCTGTGTATGTGCCTCAAGGGGTGTAAATAACTAAGCTATTCATGTACTCATCAGTTTCCTTTCAAGGCATCTGTGAAACCTTTAATCTGTGGAAGAATCAGAGAAAGTTGACCTATTGTATTATTATCCTCCCTCACCTGAATATTTTGATAAAGTATATTTTAGAATTTACAGATTGGACATTAAGCACATGAACTTTAAATTCCACTTTCCATTTTGATGTGAATGTTCTAAAAGTTCCCTATGATTTAAATGTAAGCAGATCTTTAATGTCTACAGAAGAGATTTTTTTTTTTTGTTGATTTATTATCTTTCGGAGTGAATAAATTCCATTTACTGATGGCTGAGATTTCTCACTGTCATACTACAGAAATGAGCAGCATTCCAGTTTGTTTCCTATATTAATTTTGGGGCATTATTGAAAAGAAATAATCATTCGTTTCCCTTTCTACCATTGCGCATAAATGCCATTTAAATGTGGAGAAATCTCTTCCACCTTAAAAAAAAAGCCCTCCTTTGACACTGAGCCTTTCTACCCCATTCTTACCCTCTGCCCTATTTTTTTTTTTTCATATCCAAATTTCTTCAAAGAGTGATCACATTCACTTTATTTCTTCACCTTGTACTTCATTCTTTTAACTTTGGTCTGCCCCAGCACTCCACTGAACCTGCTAAAGATGCCAGTGTTGCTAAATTCAGTGGGCTCTTCATTCTTCATCTTATTTGACAACTCAGTAGCACTGAACACAGCTGACCACTCTTTCTCATAACAGTCTTTACTGGACTTTGGTAAATCAAGATCTGTTGGTTTTTCTCTTACCTCTTTGGTAACTCCAGTCTTAGTTAAGCCACCTTCCTCTTCCCGCTTTTTGGACCCTTTTCCTACTCTCCTATACTCTCAAACCACTATGTACCAGGTTCAAGTGTTCACTTCTCCTGAGCTCCAGACTCCTGTAGTCCACCTATTCATAGGACATCTTTATTTATTTGTTACACTTGTGCCTCAGACTTAACTATTTTCCTTTCAAACCTGCTTTTCTCTATTAGTTTCCTAGTTCTGTAAATGACACCATCATTTATATCATTTCTGAGTTGTTCAAGTCAGAAAATTAGCAGCGTCTTATCATTTTTACCTCTTCAATATTTCTTTTTTTCATTTAGTTATTTAATTTAGATATGAATTAAGATTTTTTGTGTTTAATTTGTAGGAACATTTCTTAAAAAATTATAAATTATACAAGTCATACATGAATATATTCTTATAAAAATAAAAATATTACCTCTTTGTTACCCATAATTTTCACTTCCTTTCTCCAGAACTAACCACTATTATCAGTTTGGTTGCATACTTCCAGAACTCTTTTTATTCATTTACGTTTAAAAAATTTTAAAAAATACCTTATAGAGTGGGGTCTTAGTATGTTGCCCAGGCTGGTTTTGAACTCCTGGGCCCAAGCAGTCCTCCCACCTTGGCCTTCCAAAGTGCTTGGGATTACAGGCATGAGCCACTGCACCTGGCTCTATTTACATTTAAGTACTGATTTATTGAAGCTTTGCTAGAATGTGTCAGTCACCACTGGGTCTTTTTTTGGAGGGGGAATATTAGAACATTTTGACTACTAAAATTTCTTCTACTCAGTATTTCTTTTTTTTTTTTTTTTTTTTTTTGAGACGGAGTCTCGCTCTGTCGCCCAGGCTGGAGTGCAGTGGCGCGATCTCGGCTCACTGCAAGCTCCGCCTCCCCGGTACTCAGTATTTCTTAAATGAATCCTTTCTTCATCATACTGCTGCTACCACTGGTACCCTAAGTCTAATAATCACGTCTGGTTCATTGCAGTAACTTATTTTCTCTATTTCCACCCTTGTCACTGTGCAAATAAACTATCTTCTACATTGTTACCAAATGATCTTTAAAAATCATCTAATGATCATAATCTTTTCTTGCTTAAAATCTTACTGATTTTTCACCATTCTTAAGGCCAAAGTCTAAAATTCTTACTGTTGTCTACAAGGCCCTTCATCATCTGGCCCCACCTACTTCTTTAATATCATATCTTACTCCCCCCCACTCGTCAACAGAGAACTTTTTTTTGATATCTAAGATTTTTAGCATTAAAATTATAGGATGTAGTAGAAATGAAAGTTTAAAAATATTGCTTGTAAAATTATTCTTCATTTTAATGTATATTCATAATTAGCTCACTTTATGCATATGTGTCAAATGAGATAGTTTTTGTTAGTGTTTATGAACTGTAAAACATTAATGTAAAATATTGTTTCTCTTTACTTTTTGTTTCTATCTTGCCTTTTGCTTTCATCTACTTGATAAAAGATACTATACATGTGGTAATAATTCTGTAGGAATGTTGGAGTAGAATGGACATGATTTTCTAATTTGGAATGTCCTTTGAATGGAAAATTAGAAAACAGTCCATAAAATAAACCATTATGTTAGGGGTGATATGTTCAAAAGAAAAGATTTTTCCGGATCATCTGTAGAGGTCTTTTTAAATTCTTTATGCCTGTGTCTTTAGCTTCCATTTTAAGAAAACATATGGCCGCCATAGAATTGTTTCTTATTTATATTTAATTTATGGATAAACTCAGGGAATCTGCTATTTTAACAGTACTTTTGGCGTTCATACATTTTTCATATAGCCCTTCTGTCTGTAGGAGGGAGGTTAATGCCAAATACCATTATTGCCTGTGAGGAAGACCATCATCTTGTGATTGGACCCATACTAATGAAATATGAATGCTCTAGTTGAGCCATGAATCACATCATTTGTACTTGGTGGAGCAAAATTGCCAGCTTTTTATTTTATTTTATTTATTTTATTTTTTGAGATGGAGTCTCGCTCTGTCGCCCAGGCTGGAGTGCAGTGGCCCGATCTCGGCTTACTGCAAGCTCCGCCTCCCGGGTTCACGCCATTCTCCTGCCTCAGCCTCCCGAGTAGCTGGGACTACAGGCGCTCGCCACCACGCCCGGCTGATTTTTTTGTATTTTTTAGTAGAGACGGGGTTTCACTGTGTTAGCCAGGATGGTCTCAATCTCCTGACCTCATGATCCGCCCGCCTCGGCCTCCCAAAGTGTTGGGATTACAGGCGTGAGCTACCGCGCCCGGCAGGGTTGTTTCTTAAAGGTAAATAAGCTCCCTAAATTTGTCTGTAAATTGGAAGTAACTCCAGTGAAAATGCCAACAGGAATTTTTTTTTGGCTTGACAAACTAAGGCTAAAATTAATATAGAAATGAGCATACAATAATAGGAACACTATGAAAAAGAAGAGTAATGAGAGGTGGGACCAAGTCTATAAGATATTAAAGGGTAAGTCTCTCCGGCCCGGTTTCCCTCGGTGTGCTACTGTGCGCGCGATCCAGCACCATGGGGAAGCGGGACAATCGGGTGGCCTATATGAACCCAATAGCAATGGCGAGATCAAGGGGTCCAATCCAGTCTTCAGGGCCAACAATACAGGATTATCTGAATCGACCAAGGCCTACCTGGGAAGAAGTAAAAGAGCAACTAGAAAAGGAAAAGAAAGGCTCCAAGGCTTTGGCTGAATTTGAAGAAAAAATGAATGAGAACTGGAAGAAAGAACTGGAAAAACACAGAGAGAAATTGTTAAGTGGAAGTGAGAGCTCATCCAAAAAAAGACAGAGAAAGAAAAAAGAAAAGAAGAAATCTGGTAGGTATTCATCTTCTTCTTCATCAAGCTCTGATTCTTCCAGCAGTTCTTCTGATTCTGAAGATGAGGATAAGAAACAAGGAAAACAGAGAAAGAAAAAGAAGAACCGTTCACATAAATCTTCTGAAAGCTCCATGTCAGAAACTGAATCAGACAGTAAGGATAGTTTAAAAAAGAAAAAGAAGTCAAAAGATGGAACTGAGAAAGAAAAGGATATTAAAGGACTCAGCAAAAAGAGAAAGATGTATTCTGAAGATAAACCTTTATCATCTGAGTCCTTGTCAGAATCAGAGTATATTGAGGAGGTGCAAGCAAAAAAGAAGAAAAGCAGTGAAGAACGAGAAAAAGCAACAGAAAAAACAAAAAAGAAAAAGAAGCATAAGAAACACAGTAAGAAGAAGAAAAAGAAGGCTGCTAGTTCAAGTCCTGACTCACCGTAACATTAAGAAAAATCAGGATTCCCTTATAAAGAAAGTGCAATGTCTGAGGAAATTTCAACTGTGAAAACTACAACATATTTACTAAAATGCATGAATTTTCTTGTTTTTAGAATTATTCCTGGACTATTCAGTAGCCACTCAGATGCCACTGTGTGAAAGGGCCATAAATGTTGCCTGCTGCTTGAACATCTATTTTTTTCTCTTCCAGTGCTTGATAACTCTGGGAGATAATACACTGCAGTCGTACTAGTGGTTAAGATATTTGGGAATAAAATTAATACTTTTGACTAGAAGCGTCTAAGGATAAACCAACAGAAATTGAATCTGGATACATCTTTAAGATGTAATCAGAAATGACCAGATGACTCTAGTTAGAATTTTTGAAGGAGGGATTACATTAATATTTCAAAACCCTTACTCTGTAGATAAGTGTATTTTAATTTTTTCCCCTCGTATACTTTTATTTACCTGGGGAAGGAGCTTTTAGGGTTGGGGGGTGGTTTGCTATCTCTTTAGCTAGCAGAATAGTGTGCCTTTGATCCTCACACATCTGTATTATGGACACAGTAGCCATGCTTCACGGGGAGGTCAGAGCTGGCTACCAGCAGTCTTGCCCTTTACTGAGCTTAGTGTCATCTTTGGATGCTGTCATATGCTGCTTTGAGTGAACCAGAGAAACAGCCATTTGCAGCATGAGAAAGCCCCAAAAGCTCTGGGATTTACCTCCACTTCAGTAATAATGAATATTTTTTAGCATTAGAATGTGTTATGTCATTTGAATTAATTTTGACTACACTTTGGCTTGGGAGAGGAATTATTTTAAATAGACATTGGTACTTTTTGAACTTGATAGCTAAAGATTCTAAAATGCATGTTTTATACTAAGTTTTAACCAGTCAGGAAAATTTTATGTAACTAGTGATAGTTTATTTTTTTGTATGAATTTTGTTTAGGCTGCAATGTTTAGCTTTTGTTAACTCCTCACTCTTGCTGTCTTAAGTTCATTACTATGTTTAATGGCCTACTTGCCAAGATATTTAGCATGTAAAAAGCAGGGTTTTGATTAAAAAAAAAAAAGGCTTCATATTGAAGCTGAGACTTACAATAACAAGTTGAGTGGCAAGCCTGGTATGCTGTGTCTTATTGCCAGAATCTTAGTAAATGTAATGTTTAAAAAAAAAAGATATTAAAGGATAGTAAGCTACAATAATTAAAACTGTGTGATGAAGGCACATGTATAGATCTAGATCAGTGAAATAAAATATGAAGACAGGAACCTGGAGACTGCAGAACACACAGAACATGATAAAAGTAGCATTTTAAATCAGTGAGGGAATTTATTCAAAGGGTGTTGGGATAACTGGGTAGCCATCTGGAAAAAAATAAAGTTGGATCTATAATTTATACCTCCACCAGAATGAAATTTAAATGGATCAAACTTTAAAAGGCAAAGTCACAAAAGAAATAGAACTAAGCAGGGGAGAAAACTTGTATAGTTTAGAATGAAAGTTTTTTTTTTCTTGACATAAAACCCTGAAACAATAAAAAAAACAAGATTCATAAGTTAGATTGTATAAAAAATAAAAGATTTTGCATACTTAAAACTACCGCAAGCCACTTTGGGAGGCTGAGGCTGGCGGATCACGAGGTCAGGAGATCGGAGACCAGCCTGGCCATCATGGTGAAACCCCGTCTCTACTAAAAACAAAAAATTAGCCGGGCGTGGCGGCATGTACCTGTAATCCCAGCTACTCAGGAGACTGAGGCAGGAGAATCTCTTGAACCTGTGAAGCAGAGGTTGCAGTGAGCCAAGATCACACCACTGCACTCCAGCCTGGCGACAGAGCGAGACTTCGTCTCAAAAAAAAAAAAACCCCACAAAGTCAAAAGACAAGTTTGAAAAATGTTTACAGCTCCACAAAGATAGACAAATTTCCTTGATGTATGAAAAATGTCAACAAACCAATAAAAAGACTAACAATTCAGTAGAAAAATGGACAAAGAACAAATATGGAGATTCATAGAAATGAGAGATAAATGTACATGATGAGAAGGTGAGGTGCTCACTTGATTTATAAGAGAAATGAAAATTAAAACTACACCAGATGCCATTTTTTAAAAACCTATTACATTGATGAAAATAAAAATTTAGCAAATTGTTAGCCTGAATGGGGAGATAGGTACTTGAATTTTGTGTGGGAATGTAAATTAGGACAGTCTTTATGGAGGATAATTTTATAGAATCCATCAGATTTATAAATGCACAGACCTATTTGACCCAACAATTTAACATCCAGATTTTTATCTTATGCCAAACTGAAATGAAGAATGGCCAAGTTTTATTGAGGCATCATTTATAGTAGCAAAACACTGGAAACAAGCTAAATGTTCATTATAGAAGACTGGTTAAATAAAAATTTGTCCATCGAAGATGGAGTAGCATGTAGTTATTAAAAAAGAATAAGGAAAATACTGATAGAGGATGATGTAGATATTAAATGGGGAAAAAAGTAAAACTCCACAAGATGTAGAACAGTATATGTGTTTTGCTGCCGTTTGAGGAGAAAGGAGAAAATACAGAAATATTTATATGTTGCTTATGTATGCATACAACATTTGTGGATGGATTCACAAGAAAATGGTAGCCTTAATTTACCTTGAGACAAACTGAGGGACAAGGACACCCTTTAATACCTTTCAGATATTTTTTTTTTTTTGAGACAGGGTTTTGCTCTTGTTGCCCAGCCTGGAGTGCAATAGCGTGATCTCAGCTCACCACAACCTCCGCCTCCCAGGTTCAATCGGTTTTCCTGCCTCAGCCTCCCAAGTAGGTGGGATTACAGGCATGCGCCACCACGCCTGGCTAATTTTGTATTTTTTTAGTAGAGATGGGGTTTCTCATATTGGTCAGGCTGGTCTTGAACTCCTGACCTCAGGTGATCTGCCCACCTCGGCCTCCCAAACTGCTGGGATTACAGGCGTGAGCCACCACACCTGGCTACCCTTTCAGTTTTAAGCCATAATAAAAATTACATGAAATTGGGCTGGGCACGATGGCTCACTCCTGTTATCCCAGTGCTTTAGGAGGCTGAGGCAAGAGGATCACTTGAGGCCAGGAGTTCCAGACCAGCCTGGGTAATGTAGCGAGACCCTGTCTCTACAAGAAGATAAAAAAATTAGCTGGGTGTCGTGGTGCGTGCCTATAATCCTAGCTACTCAGGTGGCGGAGGTGAGAGGATTGCCCGAACCCAGGAGTCAAAAGCTGCAGTGAGCTACTGTGATCATGCCTCTCTACTCCAGCCTGGGCAATAGGGTAAGATCCTGTCTCTGAAAAAAAAAAAAAAAAAAAAAAAAGAATGTAAAAAGATAAATAAAGAATAGTTTGGAAGTTAACATTAAGTCTGTATCTTCAGTTTATTACTTCAGAAATGTTTTTCTTACTGCAATTTCAAGGCTAGACCTCGTGTAGGGAAATCTTTTTGTATCCTGGAAGCAATTTTTTTGATTTGTGAAGTGTTTTATTGCCTCTCTTTTCCTTTAAATCTTTATTGTCTAAACGATTGCACTGAAGTAGACTGTCATTTTAAAATTGTAGGGATTTACTTGTGGTCGAGTAATCCATTGCCTTTTATAGTTTCATTTTTCCAAAGGGTCTTTGGACGACTAGTTTTGAGTTGAAAACTATATGAAGACAAATAATTTAATACCACAAAGAAGTGAGGATCCTTTTTTCTAGTGTGTACTGAAAACAGCTCTTTTAGGAATTTTTCATTTCCATTGGTTTTTGTCTTGTGATATATGTCTTTTCATGAGGGATAAATTTTATTTGCACTCACTGTTTATGGAGTATCGAGTAAAAACTAGAACAAAGCAGAACGAACCTTCCTATACAATGCCTTCCCACAAAAACAAATACCTCCCTCAAAAAATTTCTGCTCTGAACATGAAAATGCTTATCTGCAGCTTGACATTATTAGTATGTCTGAGTCCTAGGGTAGGTAGGAGATCCAGGTATTATCATTCAAAAGGAACTGAAAGTGTGAGCACTCTTTGAAAAAGCACTATTAGCAATGTAAATGCCAAGTTACATCTGATAGGCAAACTCTTAAGCCTGTTTGTGTGATATTTAAGGTGAGAAAATAGTTTTGCCTATTCTTTATGACTTTGAATAGCCTTAGGACTATTTCATTCTGTTTATTACTCTGTCTTCATACTAGATTTCTTTTTTTTCTTTTTTGACACGGAGTTTCGCTCCTGTCACCCAGGCTGGAGTGCAGTGGCGTGATCACAGCTTACTGTAACCTCCACCTCCCAGGTTCAAGTGATTCTCTTGCCTCAGCATCCCGAGTAGCTGGGATTACAGGCACCCGCCACCACGCCCAGCTAATTTTTGTATTTTTAGTAGAGACGGGGTTTCGCCCTGTTGGCCAGGCTGGTCTCGAACTCCTGACCTCAGGTGATCCGCCTGCCTCGGCCTCCCAAAGTGCTGGCATTACAGGCATGAGCCACTGCACCCAGCCCACAGACAGTCATTAGTAAGTATTCTCTTGTAAGTTTTCCTAACAATTAACATCTGTGTACATTGGTTTTCTTGCTAAACTTAACTCTAATTTTTGCCAGTACTAATATGTAGTATCCACTCATAGTTTTTAGGACTTCAAAATCTGAGTGTATTGGGTATATGGTATCAGCGTCAGCATTCATATGAAGCCTGAGAGTCCTTTCTGTGTGTCAAGTCAGGAGGTGTAGGTGTAGGAAATGCTGATCCAGGTAGGACTGTTTGGCACCTAGCAGGTACTCAAGAAATGTTTACTGGAAAATGTTAACTTGAATCAAGGGAGATTATACTGTTATGCACTGGCCATTAAGTCTTCACTGTTGACTTTTGCTCTCTTTGGTTTTTATGCCAGAGATTGCTAACCCCTGGTTTAGAATTGTTACTACAAGCATAAAATCATTTATGGGCCGGGCGAGGTGGCTCACGCCTATAGTCCCAGCACTTTGGGAGGCAGAGGCAAGTGGATCGCTTGAACCCAGGAGTTAAGAAAGCCTGGGCAACATGGCGACACGCAGTTTCTAGTACAGAAAAAAAAAAAGAAAAAAAAAATACAGGCCAGGTGTGGTGGCTCACGCCTGTAATCCCAGCACTTTGGGAGGCTGAAGCAGGTGGATCACCTGAAATCAGGAGTTCAAGACCAGCCTGGCCAACACGTCGAAACCCTGTCTCCACTAAAAATACAAAAATAATTTAGCTGGGCGTGGTGGCACGTGCCTGTAATCCCAGCTACTCGGGAGGCTGAGGCAGGAGAATCACTTGAATCCGGGAGGTAGAGGCTGTAGTGAGCCAAGATCGTGCCACTGCACTCCAGCCTGGGCAACAGAGTGAGCCTCTTGTCTCAAACAAAACAAAATAAAACAAAAAACAAAAATTAGCCAGGTGTGGTGGTGAGCGCCTGTAGTCCCTGCTATGTGTATTCATAAACATTTATTGTTCCTTGTAGTATGTAATATATTTGTAGAATGAGTCATTCTGGGACTTACTTTTTAAAGAGTATTTTCCAAATTCTTTTTTAAAGTGAAAATTATCTTCAGCATTTTTTTCCTTTATGACTCTATTGAATTTAAATAAGGCAAGGTACATCTATCCTACACAAAGCTCAAAGTAACATTATGTGTGTCATGGCTTCATATTAAAGGATGAATAAAAGTACATGCTTGCCTCAGTGGTGAGCAGTTGTCCATAGTTTTTTTTGTTCTGTGACATGTGGCTACTTGGCTATGGAAAACTAACACACAGTATATTACCTCTTTGATCATCAGAGTGATATATTTTTCCCTGTTGTTCAGCTGTAACTCCATATAGTCACCCTTTTGAATGCCACAAGAAGGGCTCTTTTTCCCTTTAGTAATTGAGGTATTCATGCAGTGTGGAGTGAATAGATCCCTCCAACACAGTGCATTATATAGTAGTTTTTTGTGTGGATACATGTAATACAATCCGTTCAAAACAAATGTAAAATTTACTAAGGCTTTTCATGTGGAAGTAGAATGCATATATCTTTCTTGATATAACAAATGAATTTGGTTGTAGCTAACGTGTTGTACTAGTAAAGGTCCACCTGCTAAACTTTTTCTTTTTTGTTGAGGTATAGACAGTAGAGTGATACCGATACATGAGGAAAATGAGAACTGGAATGCAGGCCAAAAGCTGGTCCTTTCCAGATGAATGCAACCAAGACTAAGTAGCATCATGTTCATCTGATAGACAAGTGTGGCTGGTGATGGCTGGTCCTGCATGCTGTGTCATGCATGCCGATTCTCTCCACACATAGCTGTCAGTCATTTGGTGACAAAATAGCCAGAAAATGCATCTTTAATATTTTGGATTAGAAAGAGACAATCCTTTCTACCTCAACTTTTCTCTGATATTTTTTCAAAGGAATTGAGTAGTCTGCTGCCCCTTGGCATGGTACTCTGATCAACATTTATAATCTTAAGATGCATTTTTATTTATGATGAGGGACTCACCTAGAGTTACATAGCAATTAGTAATAAAATTGACTAGATTTTAATGATGCCAACGGTTCTTTCTTTAATAATTTCTTCAGTTTTCCAAAATAACAGCAGCAAAGTCGTGATGCCTTATGTGTAGAAAGAAAAAATTTGGGCTGGGCGCAGTGGCTCATGCCCATAATCCCAGCACTTTGGGAGGCTGAGGCAGGTGGACCACCTGAGGTCAGGAGTTTGAGACCAGCCTGGCCAACATGGTGAAACCCCCCTCTACTAAAAATACAAAAAAATTAGCTGGGCATGGTGGTGCACTCTGGTAGTCCCAGCTACTCGGAAGGCTGAGGCAGGAGGATCACTTTAATCTGGGAGGTGGAGGTTACAGTGAGCTGAGATCGTGCCACTGCACTCCAGCCTGGTTAACAGAGCAAGACTCTGTCTAAAAATAAAAAAAAAAGAAAGAAAGAAAGAAAGAAAGAAAGAATTTGGTGTTTAGAGTGCATGGGGAAGTAGGTAGGAAATTAGGGAGCTAATTTATAGCAGATTAAGATACAGAATGTCCGCAAAGTCAGAGAACATAGGATGCATTTAAATAACATGCTCAGTGTTATTTTCTTTAATCTCCAAACACCTTTCCAGGTGAAGTTCCTTTAATTTCAAATCATCGAATCTCATTCTTAACCTGAAAGTGGTACAATAAATACAGTCTCCAAAAAGTCTGGACACACAGGGAAAATTGTGTGTTATTCAGTGATCATCTTACTTGAAAATGTAACTTACATACTTTTAAAAAATAAGTTTATTGTATGTTTATTGAATTTTCAGATACCCTGTATTTTGCTTCTATTTAGGATTTCCTTTCTTTTTAAGTTTCAGGCATAGTGCTAAAATAACTAGGTACAGTCAACAAAGAGACTAGGCAGCTGACAAGCAGCCCCCACCCCACTGGGTTAAAGATCTAGGCAGCCTGGAGGTGGGAGGATAATGAAAGGCAGGTGATGGGAGTGGAGGACCATGTGCCTGGCTGGCTTTCTCTTTACCTCCAGCAGCTGGCGGTAGTCATAATTGAAATCTTGATCTTATTTTGAGTGAATGAAGACCAGGAAAGGTTGATAAATAACAATATTTGTTAATATTTCTTATTCTAATCTGGTACCTACTGATGTAGAAGAACTTTCTCTTTTTTTTTTTGAGACGGAATCTCGCTCTGTTGCCCAGGCTGGAGTGCAGTGGTGCAGTCTCAACTCACTGCAACCTCCGCCTCCCCAGTTCAAGTAGTTCTCCTGTTTCCTCCTTCTCAAGTCCTCCTGAGTAGCTGGGACTACAGGCACATGCTACCACGTCCAGCTAATTTTTGTATTTTTAGTAGAGACGGGGTTTTACCATATTGGTCAGGCTGGTCTCGAACTCCTGACCTCAGGTGATCCACCTGCCTCGGCCTCCCAAAGTGCTGGGATTACAGGGATGAGCCATCACACCTGGCCAGAACTTTTTCTTATACATGCTAATACCTTTTGGGATTGGTTTAAGTAATAGGACATCTTATTTTTTAAAACAAAAAACTTATGCTAACATCAGTAATATTTCTACTGAGAGTGGCCGGGCGCGGTGGCTCACGCCTGTAATCCCAGCACTTTGGGAGGCCGAGGCAGGTGGATCATGAGGTCAGGAGATCGAGACCATCCTGGCTAACAAGGTGAAACCCCGTCTCTACTAAAAATACAAAAAATTAGCCGGGCGCGGTGGCGGGCGCCTGTAGTCCCAGCTACTCGGGAGGCTGAGGCAGGAGAATGGCGTGAACCCGGGAAGCGGAGCTTGCAGTGAGCCGAGATTGCGCCACTGCAGTCCGCAGTCCAGCCTAGGCGACAGAGCGAGACTCCGTCTCAAAAAAAAAAAAAAAAAAAAAAAATTTCTACTGAGAAACACTACTACTTTACTGACACCTAAGAATTCTGCCAGATAAAATGTTGCTTTCTTTGCTAAAACAGAGCTCTTTGATCTTTGCTGGTAAGAATTCTTCTGAACTGAATAAAAGTTTTTAGAACATGCATGGTGGTGAAAAGTATACATAGCCCTTTGAGTCTGGGCAGGGAAGAAAGAAAGTTTCACAAAGGCTAAAACAAGCCACCACTCTCATAAAACCTGATGAACAGTTGAGTCTGAATTCATGAGATTATGGGGTTTAGAAAGTGTGAAGATGGATAGGCGACCAGTTTGGCTTTAGTGAGATTATTGTTTCTGTTTGCTTGGATAAAACTCAGGTGCTGGTGGGGTGACTTTGAATGTTGATGGAATATTAGAACTTTTGTGTCCCCCAAACTGCTTAAATCTTAGGTCTGTTGGACCATATGTAAATGGCCTTCTTTTCATATTCACTTTTTTTGCTCTGCCATCTTGTAAAAATCTTGGAGGAGGCCGGGCGCGGTGGGTCACACCTGTAATCCCAGCACTTTGGGAGGCCGAGGCAGGCGGATCACGAGGTCAGGAGATCGAGACCATCCTGGCTAACATGGTGAAATCCCGTCTCTACTAAAAATACAAAAAATAATTAACTGGGTGTGGCGGCAGGCACCTGTAGTCCCAGCTACTCAGGAGGCTGAGGCAGGAGAATGGCGTGAACCCGGGAGGCGGAGGTTGCAGTGAGCTGAGATCGTGCCACTGCACTCCAACCTGGGAGACAGAGTGAGACTCCGTCTCAAAAAAAAATCTTGGAGGAAACTCCTGCAGTCCTGGGGTTTGACTAAGTGGTCTGTGCAGCCCCTTCCATCTCTAAGGTGCAGTGCAGTCTGTCATTTCTAATGGCAGAACTCCATGGACATGGACAACACAAATACTGGTTAATGGTGTTTGGTATATTCTCTTCAAGAAGACAAATATTTTGAGAAATATTTTTATCAAAAGTGGTAAAAGGGAAACATTTTAGAGTTTAAAGGAGTTCTCCCAAGCCAGCATGTATTCCTGGGTTGTCCGGGAAATTCTCGGCTCACTCTTGAGTTTGACATCACCTTTATAGATGACCATAGTTGAAGCTTAACTATTTCAGGGCGGCATGATAAATGAGAAGAATAATGAAAGGCATCCGATTTGACAGAAAGAACACTTAATTTGTAGTTAGACCTGAGTTTAGATCCTGGTTTTAGCCATTACTACCATTGTGACCTGGGGCCAGTTTTTAACTCCTGTGGGCCTCAGTTGCATTAATTGAGATAATTTGTTTCTAGTATCTTGGCCCCTGCATTGGCATTCTATCAATGTTAATGCTCTTTTCTCTTTCATTGTTTCATACTAGAATGCACATCCTCTGTATAGCACATACTGTCTAACATAACCAGGCAGCGTAGTTTACTTGGCTTCTTCATTGAAAATCCATTCAGTTCTTTTGGGAGGCTTCCCTCAGCCCCTGTGCCCCAGGGTGTGCATAATCCTGCTAGCCATAGTGATGATGTCCACTGGCTCTCTTGTCTTTCGAATAGAGGCAAACACCCCAGACTGTTGGTGCCTGATTGGATTCGACTCATGGCCAGCTTTGGATGTGGGGTTTTCAGTGGGGTTCTTGCACAGGCTCAGGGGGAGAACCCTCCCAATAGCCACACTTCTTGAGGTGGTGGGCACAGGTAGGCATAGGAGGGAATGGAAACAGTGGCACTATTGCCCAGCAATTGGACTATGCTAAAGATGGGAAATATTTGAGGCCTAATCTGCATTTGGTTTTCATATATTTCATACTAATTAGGAACACATTTCAATGCTTTGAAGTTGTAAAAAGCTCTCCTGCATACATTCCAAATTGATGTTTCTCTGCCCTGGATATGCCATACATTTAGAGTACTACATCAGGGAAACACAGACCTCAGAAAGACCTTTGGTTTATCCCCAGTGCATCTGTGGACATTTCTCTTCCTGCTTCTGAGTTATTTGCCCGGAGTGATTTGCCTTTGCTTTGTACCTTGTTAGTTTTTTTCTCTCTCTGTTTAAGCAAGGATTAATGCTTCCTTTAATTGGGCTGTGGCTGTTTTACATGGATTGGTGATTGCAAAGCTTTTTGGAGCAGGTGTGGAGCAATGAATAGTCTTTTTAATTTCATTTTTTGATTTACATTTTTTTTATAACCACTTCTGCAACAAATGGTGAAACTCCATGGCTACCCTCTTTTTCAGTCAATGGTTAATGGTTTTTCCATACTCCCCAGCTGCTTATCATGGGCACAGCTGACAAAACCAGAAGAGCCTTTCTAGTAAGGTGAGCTGAGCTGGCATTTGTACAGGACAAAGGACTTTGGTAGAATTAGGGCTTTGACAAAGTGAACAAATGTAAAGGCAGCTGGAAACTTGAGTGTTGCTAATCAGGAATATATTTTGAGATTCTGAAGTTTCCAAAACATGTGTGTACTTAAGAAAAATAACCCAACAACGTGTGGGTTAATAGATTTTCCTGTTTTAAAAATCCCTTTGTGTGGGTTTTAAAGATGTTTTTCATACTTTTGAACAGTTTACTGTCTCAGAGAACATTACTAGCTCTCATTTTATTTTTGAGGCTCTTTATCCACGTGCTCCTGCCAAATGCCCTCTACCAACCACTCATTTATGGGCCGGTTCCTTTATCTTTAGTTGTTAAGACTCTTTTCAAGGGAGCCTTTGCCTTTTGTTGTATTATTTATGATATTGATAATGAGCATTCTATAGAGTTCAAAAGGACTTGTTCTGATTATTGAGAGTTTACTTCTCTGCTGGTAGTTGCTTATGTCAGAAAATAGCTTTCTATGGTAGATTGGCCATCTGCTTTTGGGAGAAATCTACACTTTCCCCCAGTCAGCAAATGGATAATATCAGTAATAAGATACAGTAAATTGGCTGCCCCAACCAAACAGCATATTTATATAAGTTGCCTGAAAACTAGGGTTGTGTCCATTCCATGTTCTCTTCCATATTTCATGCTGATGAAACTTACGATTATTTTAATTATCACCCCTGCACTAAATAAAATAATGGGATATTTCAAATGTAAGAAATTGAGAAAAAGGGCCATGTGTGATGGCCCATGCCTTTAATCTCAGCACTGTGGGAGGCTGAGGCAGGTGGATTGCTTGAGCTCAGGAGTTTGAGACCAGCCTGGGCAATGTGGTGAAACCCCATCTCTACAAAACATATAAAAAAGTTAGCCAGGTGTGGTGGCATGCACCTGTGGTCCCAGTTACTTGGGAGGCTGAGGTAGGAGGATTGCCAACTTGGCAAAACTCTGCCTCTACTAAAAATACAAAAATTAGGTTGGGCACAGTGGCTCATGCTTGTAATTCCAGCACTTTGGGAGGCCGAGGCGGGCAGATCACCTGAGGTCAGGAATTTGAGACCAGCCTGGGTAACATGGTAAAACCCTGTCTCTATTAAAAATACAAAAAAAAATTAGCTGGGCATGGTGGCGCATCCCTGTAATCCCAGCTACTCGGGAGGTTGAGGCAGGAGAATTGCTTGAACCCAGGAGGTGGAGGTTGCAGTGAGCCGAGATCATGCCACTGCACTCCAGCCTGGGTGACAGAGCGAGACTCCCTCTTTGAGGGGGGGAGAAAAGCACTTTCCTACTACCTAAGTTTTACAGAAGTGATATTTTACCCTTTCTCTCTCTCTCTCTTTTTTTTTTTTTTGAGATGGAGTCTTGCTCTGTTGCCCAGGCTGGAGTGCAGTGGCATGAACTCTGCTCACTGCAACCTCCGCCTCTCGGGCTGAAGTGATTCTCATGCCTCAGTCTCCTGAGTAGCTGGGATTCCAGACACCCACCATGATGCCCAGCTAATTTTTGTATTTTTAGTAAAGATGGGGTTTCATCATGTTGGCCAGACTGGTCTCAAACTCCTGGCCTCATGTGATCCACCCACCTCAGCCTCACAAAGTGCTGGGATCACAGGCATGAGCCACCGTGCCTGGCTAAGTGCTGCTTTTTAAATCAGTTGTGTGTTTGTAAAAGTCTATACTCTAGAACTGTAAGGCAAAGCACTTAACACATGAAACACTACAAGTGTATTTAAAATTGTTTGAATTAGTGGCCTGTCAAAGCTATCCTTTGAAAAACAAAACAAAAAACCTACAAAACCATCTCTACTTTCTCCTTTTCCTCTTGGAAGTTGGAACAGTTCACATTTCAAAACCTTGCTTGAGCTAAGTTCTTAAAAAACCTTGAAAAGACTTACATCAAGTGCTGCATACTGTTATAAAGGCTTTACATGTATTAATTTATTTAAAACTTCCAACAACCCTGTGAGAGATAAACCAAGGCACAGATATTAAGTAATTTGGCTTTGGCCACACAACTAATAAATGGCAGAGCTAGTATTTGAACACACAGTGGCTCAAAAATATCTATACTCTTAACTGCTTTGCTGTGTAGTGACTGAGAGCTTTGAGTTTTCTTGGATCAGAATTGTGGCTTTGGGCATTTTGCTGCAAGGAAACCTTAAAATGGAGATCCATTCTGTTTGCATCCATTGTTTGAAGTAGGAACAATTATGAAATTCGACAATTTGATAAAATTGTGGAATTTTGAACTTAGTTCATGAGTCATCAGAAGGACTTTGCCTTTAATGTGGTTTTCGAATATTCTAGATCAGTGTTTCTTTATTCTTTGTAACTTAAAGTTCTGTAAATGCATTTTGGTGTACCGGGACACATACCTGCAAACTCATTCAGGGAGAAGAAATGAGAGAAGAGATGAAAAATGCTGAAAGTTACCACGTGCCAGTGGAATTTTGGTTTGTTCTTTCACCTTTGAGGGCACTCTGTAGGGCTTCCTCTCATCTAGTTGGGGCTTATCTTTTTGGGAAGGTGCTCTCTCACCAGAGACTTGTTTTCATGGTACCACATTTGTATCCTGAAGTACAAATATACTGTACTTTTCTTGATGCTTTAAGAATCCTGCAGCTTGGCCGGGCGCGGTAGCTCATGCCTGTAATCCTAGCACTTTGGGAGGCTGAGGCAGGCGGATCACGAGGTCAGGAGTTCGAGACCATCCTGGCCAACATGGTGAAACCCTGTCTCTATTAAAAATACAAAAAATTAGCTGGGCATGGTGGTGGGTGCCTGTAATCCTGGCTACTCGGGAGGCTGAGGCAGGAGAATTGCTTTAACCTGGGAGGTGGAGGTTGCAGCCAGCCGAGATTGCACCACTGCACATGAGCCCAGGCGACAGTGCAAGACTCAGTCTCAAAAAAAAAAAAAAAAAAAAAAAGAATCCTGCAGCTTGACAGAAAAGCTGGGAAAGCGAGAAAGTCTTCAGTGATTCAAGGTCTAAATGCATTTGGAAATTATCACGTGGACCAAAAAATCTTGAATCTCAGAATACAATTTTGACAGATTTATTATGTGTTGTGTGTCTGTTTGCTCTGTCTTTGTGTTGGTCTTCCTGTGCAACTGTCAGTGTTGTCAGTAGAGGTTATAGCAGGCCACAGATATATCTTGATGAGGACATGCTGGGCAGAGAATAATTTCTTAGCCATGTGCTGTATATGCATGAGCCTTGATGTACAAAAGAGTGCATGTAGTTTTTGATCTGGGAATAAAAAAAGCAGGTTCTCTGACCAATCTAGGGAATTTCTGTAATGAGAACGTGTCATTAATGACATTTCCTGAGGGCATCTGCAGCATGAGACAGAATAGAATTTTTCTTTCTTTTTTCCATTTGCTGTAGAGTCCCTTTCTTCATCTTCATTCCATATCTTCTTTCCTTTTCTCTGTCAGCCTGCCTGCCTATCTGCCTGCCAGCCAGTCGTCTGCCTGTCTACGTATACATCACACCTTCGCAAAAGTATTCATGGGCAGCTACTGTGCTGTAATGATATTGTGACATTTCAGAGTAATCTACCATATTTGTTTTTTAAAGTTCATTTTTTTCTGTGCTATTTATTTTGACTAAGAAGGTTGCTGTAATTAACCCATACTTTTTAATCCTCTTGTGCCTTTTATAAGGAATAAAATTACTAGAATTCAGAAATAATGTGACTAGCATTGTACTCAAATCATAATTTTTTAAGATTAGATACCTTCAGATACCTTATTCCTCCAGTATTAAATTTGAATCTATGACAGAAATATTTTTAGTGTTTTCCAAAATATTTTTAAAGTGAAAATGTAAGTTCTCATTTGCTTGTACTGTCTTTTTTCCGCTCCTCCTTGAATTTGCCCCTTGCTCTGGAGAGCCTACAAAAGTTAAAACTTTTGTGAATGAGCATTGTCAGAATGCTATCTCAAAAATGGTATTTTTTTTTTCCAGTGGAAAATAACTTTTAAGACCCCACCAGCTGCAAAAACTGTTCCTGGCATTAAGCTCCTTCTTCCTTTGCAATTCGGTCTTTCTTGAGTGGTGCCATGAATGCTGTCTTCTCCTCCATGGTCTGGAAGCAGCCATGGCCAAACTTGGAGGTGGTGTCAATGAACTTAAGGTCAATCTTCTCCAGAGGCCGCCGTTTGGTTGGCACTGGCAAGGACTTGTGAAGGGTGAGCACTTGCTTCTTGGTGTCCACCACACAGTCTTTCAGCATGACAAAGTCATTGGTCACTTCACCATAGTGGACAAAGGCCCCCAGAGGGTGGCTTGTCAGACAGGTCATAGTCAGTGGAGGCATTGTTCTTGATCAGTTTGCTGTCCCTGACAAAGTATCCCTGGCTGATCTTATAGATCTTGTTGATCTCAGTGCTGTGACAGTAACCTTTCTGCCAAATGCATGCCACAGGTAAGGCCACAGGGGCAGGATGCTGTGTCCCAGTACAGGCCACTTTGCACAGGCCTCGATGGGTCTTGTGGGGTAGCTTCTTGGTGTGCCAACGACTGGTGACCCCTTTGTAGCCATTGCCCTTGGTCAACCTGATGACGTCGATCATCTTGTCCTGCTCAAACACTTGGTTCACAGGTACCTGCTGCTCAAGCCTCTCGTGGGCCCAGTCCAGCTTCTTGGCCATGGTGCCTCCCTTTACCTGGATCTCCATCAGGTGGGCCTTCCTCTGGTGCAGAGGAAGCAGGCACATCTGGGTGTAGGCAATGATGCAGATGACTTGGCGGTACTTCTTCATGCTGCTGAAGTCCTTCTCCAGCTGCTTCTTGCCATCCTCATCCTGACATTTCTTGCAGTACTTGGTAAAGGCCTTCTTCTTAGATTTATGCCGGTTTTTATAGAAATGTCTCTTGCATGCATCGCTGATGTGCTCAGCGAAGACAGTATTGAAGGTCTGGAGGCCTCGAGGGGTTTCCACGAAGCCCACAATGGCCACAACCACCATGGGTGGTATCTCCACAATGGTCACAGCCTCTATCACTTCCTTCTTGTTCACCTTGGATCCTGGCCTGTCGACTTCCCGCATGATGTTGGTCATGCCAGCCTTGTATCCCAGGAAGGCTGTGAGGTGGACCAGCTTGGAAGGGTCATCCTTAGGAAAGCTCTTCACCTTCCCATGATGCTTCCTGCTGCGCTGCTGAGGCAGGAAGCCGAGGGACCCATGTCTGGGAGCGGAGAACCTTCTGTGAGACATCATGCCATCAAATCCTGCCGGTAGAGCAAAAAATGGTATTTTCAAAACTTTTTGAGCCAGGGATCCTCTTTGCCATCCAGTGGGCTTGTACGGGTCTACCTTCATTTTGTGTATATTTTCCTTCAAGATTGTATTTCCCTCATAGATTGACATGCATTCGTGTTTTGACATTGAAAATTTGATGAAGTACTTTTTCCAGATAGAACTAAGAAAACTGTGACATTGATAGGGTGGCTGGAGTGTTATGTGAGATATCTTTATGTATAGATACTCTAACTTTCAATGTTGTGTTTTCTAGTAGTGTTGATGAATTTGCAGTGATGAGTCTATAGCTTTCTGCTGATTTCTCTAGTAGTATTGGAGAAAGACGGAAAGCAACACATGGTAGTTGCATCCAAACTGGCTACAGACATGCATCTATATACCTTTTTCTCCTGTATCTTTTATCCTGTAAAGTGGTGTTTGTGATGAATATGCCTGTTCTGGAATATGTCTTTAAAAATTTTTTTAAATGATTATATGAAAATCTATCTTTCTGTAGGGAATTCAGACAACACAGAAAATTGTGAGGAAGCAAAAATCACAGTTAACAGTTTGGTGAGACAGGAGTTGTCACTCTTAACAGTTTGATAATATGCACGCATGTGTGCTCACATGCACATACCAAAACATACACACGTGCCACTCTCATGATATAATGTGAGTAAAGTTATATAACTTCACATTCTGTTTACCGGCATTTATTTATTTATTTATATTGAGATGGAGTTCGGTGTTTTTACGCAGGCTGGAGTGCAATGGCGTGATCGCAGCTCACCGCAACCTCCGCCTCCCAGATTCAAGTGATTCTCCTGCCTCAGCCTCCTGAGTAGCCGGGATTACAGGCATCCGTCACCACCCCCTGCTAATTTTGTATTTTTAGTAGAGACAGGGTTTCTCCATGTTGGTCAGGCTGGTCTCGAACTCCCAACCTCAGGTGATCTGCCCACCTCGGCCTCCTAAAGCACTGGGATTACAGGTGTGAGCCACCGCGCCTGGCCCATCAGCCTTTATTTTTTAACTCAATACTTTGGCTGTTTTCTCCTGTTAATGAATATGATCTAAAATGGCCATGTTGTGTTCTCATATATATATATAAAATCTGTTTCTCAATACCTTTTTATATTTATTTATTTATTTATTTTTTGAGACAGAGTCTCGCTCTGTCACCCAGGCTGGAGTGCAGTGGTGCGATCTTGGCTCACTGCAACCTCCGCCTCCCAGGTTGAAGCGATTCTCCTGCCTCAGCCCTCCCGAGTAGCTGGGACTACAGGCGCACACCACCACTCCCGACTAATTTTTTTTTTTTGTATTTTTAGTAGAGACGGGGTTTCACCACACTGGTCAGGCTGGTCTTGAACTCCTGACCTCATGATCCACCCGCCTCAGCCTCCCAAAGTGCTGGGACCACAGGCGTGAGCCACTGCACCCGGCCTCTCAATACCTTTTTAATAGGTATTCAGTTTTTCACTATTATGAACAATTCTACAATAAACATTATTGGTGTATTCATCTTGCCCAGTTACATTCTGAGGGCAAATTTCTAGAAGTAGAATTGCTTATATAATTTTATTTTACATATAGTTATGCTTTATAGGAATATATTGAGAAATGTTTAATTTTTTTATAGTCAGCGCTCCCAGAAAGCTGATAATTTGTGCCTTTAAAAACCTACTTTTAGGCCGGGCGTGGTGGCGCATGTCTGTAATCCCAGCTGCTCAGGATGCTGAGGCAGGAGAATCACTTGAACTCGGGGGGCGGAGGTTGCAGTGAGCTGAGATGGCGCCATTGCACTCCAGCCTGGGTGACAGAGCGAAACTATCTCAAAAAAAAAAAAAAAATGTACTTTTAGACGGAATGTACTGTGCATCCAGTAGGGCAAAAATCATTCAGATTGCTAGACTTGAGGGTTCTTGGGTCTGGTTTTTTGTAAATTTTTTGTCTTCTTCTTTAGGTCTTTTCCAGATATGCGGCTTTTAATCTACAGGGGGCTTGGAAACAATATAACCAACCTTATTATATGATGTATAAAATAGAAGCAAGCAACCCCTGAGTCAAAGTATATGGAATGTTCTAGTGCTAGGGGTGGGATAGGAACATTGTTGGCTGGTTGAATTTTGCATAGGTAAGGACTTTGTTTTAGTTTGGGGAATATTTATATTGATGCTCTGTTTGATTAAATTATTTCTATTACAGAGCAGCCATTTATTGATGAATATAGGAGACAAAGCCATATAAATGGAGATAAAAGGCAAGCTCTTATGATTAAAAGAAAATTCCCATCCTTTAGGTTGCACCAGTACTCCCAGGAAGTGCTAGTGCAGTGTCTGCCTCCTCACTCCTTCCTTGTCTGGCACATCCCGCTTGGAGTGCTCCTTTTTGGGAGAGTGTGCCCTTGTCTCTGGGCATGTGCCCTGGGCTGTCAGGCAGTGTCTTCTCCAGGGCTGGGAGTGAAGACTCAGCCAAGTCCTGACTGCTTGCACCCTGGCACCCCCAGCATGGGAAGAATTGCCTGGCCTGCTAAGCAATATTAATTCTTCCTCCAGTATTGACTGTTTGATTTATACCAGCACTGGGTGAGTCCTGGGAATTCAGAGCTGACTCAGACCTTTTCCCCATCTTCTTGGGGCTCACTGGGTGGAAAGTAAGATGACTCACATTAAGTACCCTCTGAATGGTGTATATGATATATATGAGGGGGGAATTATCAGTTCTTCCTGAGGATCTGTGAAGTTGTCCAAAAGAGAAAGGGACACTTGGATTCAGTAATGGCAAATGAAAGGAATTAACAAGGCAAATACTGTTAGGAGGGCTTACAGGTGGTTGGCCAGAGGAGGGGGTATGGAAAGGCATTCTAGGCAGCAAGTAAAGCTTGTGCAAAAATGGAGTGTGAAACAGTTACCCCCTTTTTCCAATTCAGATTCTGCACAGCTGCTACAGGGGGTACTAAGTGTTAGAAGAGGGTAGTGCAGGACCCTCTGCACTATGGCAGGTCAGACCATAGTGGACGTTGTGTGCCGTGTTGAGGAGTTGAACTTGATCCTCTGGGGACAGAAGACTACCATCATGAGGCTTTAATTAGCTCTGTGCTTTGATTTATGGGCACAGTCATGATGAACAAATGAAAGCCCATTGTGCTCATTTTGGGGAGTTATAAAATCACTTTTATAAGTTAGGGGATGTGTTAAGCATTAGTACCAAAGGGGGTACATTTATAATGCAACTCATCCTCCTTTCAGTGCTCTCATGGCCTGGAAGGTGAGCAGAAAGAATCTTTTAATAAAGGGGGCACAATTTCAGTCAGATTGTGTAACTTCTCAGTGCTAAGACAACTTATCTAGGTGGTCCAACTTGGTGAAGGTATAAAAGTGTGTTGGTGGGGGGGCACTGGGTGTGTCCTTGCCCAGTCTTACCTGACAGACCAAGAGAGGACAGACAGCAGGCTATGTAAAGAGTAAGAGCAGTCTTTGTGCAGTGCAAAAAAAAGGCCATTTGCTGTGCATTGATTTTTTTCCCCCCATTCATACCTGTACACAGATATGGATCTATCAGGGTGTCATGTTCGAATACTGAGTTAAGCAATATCAGAGTTAAGATAAAAATCAACGGTTTAATTGATTAAATGAGCACAGGGCTATACACATGATGATAGCTCAGTAACTGATTTTTTAAAAACATGAGTTTAAAACAAAATGGATATCAAAAATTAAAAAACACTTGGTTAAAAATTTCTATGCTGCTTTTTGATATATCAGGAAAGATTAATATTTATAATTTCTAATTTATAAATTAAGACATTCTATTCACTTGACCTTTTAAGCAAAGTTTTTATAAGTAAGCCACAGTAGGCCATGAACTACATTAGTTATCTGATAGTAGAGTGTTCTCAGAGAATTTATTTTTCTACAAAATTATTTAGATGTAGTAAAGAAAATTGCTTTACTCAGTGCAGGTGGGGGTGTAGTGGGCTGTTGACTTTGAATACTTTATTAAGCTCTACTTTTTTTTTTATGGGAGGTATTGATTTAAGGCATTCTAAATCATTTATTAGATCAGTATATTGCTTGGAAACTAAAAGATCTGGAGAGTTTGTGCTTCTGTACAAGTCTACAGATAAACCGAGATTGGAAAGTACAGTCTGGTGTTTGGAGGCAGACGTGATCTTGGGCAGGGCGAACCAGAAGGCTGGGTTTAGCTTCTACTTACACCAGCACTGCTAGCTGTGGGCTTTGGATCTATTACTTTTCTTTATCACCTTCATCTTCCTCATTTGTAAAATTATCCCAGCAACACGTAACCTTCCTGACCATGCATATTTATTTTGAGAATTGAATGTTTTTTGGCCAGGTGCAGTGGCTCACGCCTGTAATCCCAGCACTTTGGGAGGCTGAGGCAGGCGGATCACAAGGTCAAGAGATCGAGACTATCCTGGCCAACATGGTGAAACCCTGTCTCTACTAAAAATACAAAAATTAGCTGGGTATGGTGGCGCACACCTGTAGTCCCAGCTACTCAGGAGGCTGAGGCAGGAGAATCACTTGAACCGGGAGGCAGAGGTTGCAGTGAGCCGACATCGCGCCACTGCACTCCAGCCTGGTGACAGAGTGAGACTCTGTCTCAAAAAAAAAAAAAAAAAAAGAGAATTGAATGTTTTCATTCAAATGTGAATACAACATTGTATTTAACTTGGAAATTCTGAACAAATGTAAGATGGCAGTGTTGGTGGCAGATTCTTTTTTCAATGGCATAGTGTCATATTTTAGTTTCATTCATATTGGCCTGGTTTAAATAGTTTACCAAGGTTGGTGGGTTATCTACACTTTAAAATTAATTAAACATTTTAAAATTAAGTTTTTGGTTAAAATTTTTACCTGTTGCTAAATAAAAAATATACAGAAAACACAGATTTTTTTGGGAGAAAGGGGAGTTAAATGAATTATCCGTCTAATGTCTTCCAAATATTCCTTATTAAATTGTTGAAGTGGACATAGTTATTCTCTTAGGAGTATTATAAACATAATAACAATAAATTTGTTTGCCCTTACAGAGTTTAAAATGACTGTTACCAATTTACAGGTTAGGTAGGGAACTGCTTCTCAGAGAGGGTAATGACTTACCCATGATTGTCCCAATATTCAGCAGTAAGATGTGGTACTAGAACTAAGTTCTGTTGCCATATTGTCAATATTTGCCTGAATTTGTTTGTTGTATGAAATAACCAGGTTTTTCAGTTTTGGACATTGGTTTAGACTCAATCTAAAAACCATTAAATTAGTTCAGGCTGTACCTTCCTGTCCGCCAAAAACATTATCCCAGTTGTGTGTAATACTGTATATATATCTAAAACATCTTATACAAATGTTTTTATGTAATCAAAATGAGTTTTCTTAAATTTAAATACATTGGATTTACCACTGATAAATTAGATTTTAATCAGATTCACCTTGAGTGTTATATTAGGGAGTCAGTGAAGTGCCCCCAGGGGGTGGCAATCATGACTATAAATCCTCATTTCAGGAGAAAAATGGCAGTTTGTTTTTGTTGGTCTGCACGTGCTGTGAATCATCAGCCCTGCAGTAGGGTCCTCCAGGGACTGTGGCATGCACAGCCCATCAGTGACAGCCAAGTAGTTGTGAGTGACTTTTTTTTTTTAAGAGGCAGTTTACTTTGTTTTAAAAACATGAACCTTTAAAAGAATTCCAAAAGTAGCACACACATTGAAAATTATAATCAAACATACTAAAGGAAAATGTTAAATGACTCCTAAAATTTTAGCATAGAAGTAATCTTCACCTAAATTTTGAATTAAATCTTTTGTTGTGAGTGACTTCTGAAGGGGATGGAGTCCTTATTGCCTTTTTAGCTCACTAACTCCAAGTGTAGAGAATGGGCTTTATGGTCCAAATCTACTTAATCCACGTTGAGAGGGAACAGAAAAGGAGTTTGGTCGCAGTGCCTAGCACAGAAAGAAATGAAATTTACCTATTAATGTAACTATTAAGAGACTTCCCACTTTACCTTCAAAACAAAAGGAATATCATTTTCATGTCTATACTTAGTCTTCCCTGCTGTCCTGTAAGCCTCTGGTTGCAAAATAGAATCTCAATAGTATTTCAGAGAATGGGACTTCTTGCCATCTGATACCTGTGAAACTCTTAAGTGATCTTGGGCCCTGCTCTCTTGCTGTGGTTCCAGTTGAAGTGTGGAGTCTCACAGCAGGGGTCCCCAACCCCTGGGGCCATGGAACCCTACAGGTCCCTGGCGTTCTAGGAACTGGGCCACACAGCAGGAGGTGAGTGGCAGGCAATTGAGCATTACTGCCTGAGCTCCGCCTCCTGTCAGATCAGCAGAGATTCTGATTCTTATAGGAGGGTGAACCTTATTGTGAACTGTGTATGCAAGGGATCTAGGTTGCACACTCCTTATGAGAATCTAATTCCTGATGATCTGAGGTGGAACAGTTTCATCCTGAAACTATCCCCCTACCCCTAGTTCATGGAAAAATTGTCTTTCATGAATCGGTCCCTGGTGCCGAAAAGGTTGGGGACTGCCGCCTTTATAGCATCAGCTCTCCTTGAGCAACTAGCCAGGCAATGTTGTATAGTGTTTAAGATTTGGGAGCCTTAAGTTCTGCATTTGAATCCTGGTTCCAGCACTTAGTAACTCTTGACCCTGGGCAAGTAACTTAATCTCTTGGAACCTCGTTTTTCCTTATCTGTAAAATTCAATAAAATATTTATCAACGTGCTTAAAAAATGCATAGCACAGTATTGTGGTACCTGATTAGCCCCAGCAGAGGTTCATTACAATTTTGATTTTAGGATTAAAGTAAACATTGTATAATTTCAGTTCTGAGAATAAATTTCTCTGAGTTATGAAGCAAACTGAATTTGTGTACTGGTGTCATTAGGATGCTTTTTAGTGAGAGAAGGAAGGATGACCTTGAGCTTATGGCGGAATGGTAGGGCAGGGGGCTGAAGGAGAGCAAGTTGTGTATAGTTGTTTTTTTTTTTTTTTTTTTTTTTTTTTTGAGACAGAATCTCGCTCTGTCACCCAGGCTGGAGTGCAGTGGTGCGATCTCTGCTCACTGCAACCTCCGCCTCCTGGTTTCAAGTGATTTTCCTGCCTCAGCCTCCCAAGTAGCTTGGACTACAGACGCATGCCACCATGCCAGGCTAATTCTTGTATTTTTTTAGTAGAGACGGGGTTTCTCCATGTTGGGCAGGCTGGTCTCAAACTCCTGACCTCAGGTGATCCACCCGCCTCAGCCTCCCAAAGGGCTGGGATTACAGGTGTGAGCCACTGCGCCTGGCTGTGTATGTTTTTTTTTTTTTTTTTTTTAAAGATAATCAGTGTCTATTATTTGAAAAATGTGTTTTATTTGAAAACACTGAGTTTGTCTAATTATGGATTAAATCCTAATATGTGACTTCGTTGAGAAAATTACTAACATTGGCATTCCAGTTTGTCTCACATACTGAAATCTCCTCTTTATTTACCAGAACAGATTCCATCTCTGTCTTTTGACTGAAGTGAAAACATAAGACCTTCTTTTGCCTTTTCCACAATCTGTCAACACCTACTGAGTTGGACAGAAGGTTTAAGCACAGTGAGGCTTCATCTTCGTGTTCCTGAGGGACCAGAATCCTCTGGTTACAAAGCCCTCAGAGCTAAATTCTTAGTGGGGACACATGTACAGTATCAGTGTACATTCAGGGTTGGTGTTTCTTTGGCTATCTGAGTAACTTTGAACATTACAAAAAGAAATGAAAAACAATCAAAATCTCTTGTCCTAAACACTGTAATTGGTTTCTCCAATTTCTACTTCCCACGTCTGAATGAACTTGTAAGAAGAAAATACTTCCTCTGTAGGTGGCCTGGTCAGGTTGGCCTGATACCTGGAGTGAAAAGATTGGAACAGAGTAAAGAGCACAAATCTGGGACCCTGGAAAACTGCCCTCTGGTCCTGGTTTTGCTGTTTAATGATTGTTATAACTAAACAAGGCAGTTTGCAGATCTGGCTTTAGTTTTCCTACCTGTACACTCGGGGGTATAGATGATCTCCAGAATTACGGAATCACAGGGTTGGAAGTAGCTTTGTGCAACCTTCCTGAGGGGCATGGACGTGATCTTTGAAGCAGTCTTGACAGGTCGCCATTACATCTCCATTTGTCTGTGTTCAGCCTTTGCTTGGCGTCCACTCTAGAGGTGGGGAACCGTTGGTTTTCAAGGTAGTTTTGAGCAACTTAATATTAGGTAGCTTTTCATAGTGTATGCATTCCTTGCCCTCCTGTAGTCCTAATTCTATGTTTTTCATTTTTTATGTGACAAATCTTTAGATATTGAACAAGAATTATGTCAGTTCTCTTTCCAGTTATGCTGCAAAAGCTCTGTCTGCCCTCCCTCCCTCTTTGATGTGATTTCAGACCCTTCACAATTATGCTAGCTTTCCTGAAATGTTCCAGTTTTTCATTGCCACTTTAAAAATGTGATTCTCAGAAAAGCATATAATACTTCAGATAGGAAGTGAGCAGCACAAGGCATGCTAAGAAGGTTTAAAAACTGTAATTTGATGAGTACAGCCCAAGTTGATTTTTTGTTATTGGTTTCTTTTATAGACAGCATCTGTCTGTGACATACTTGATGTTTTATTTCACATGGATTGATTGCTCATCAGCAAGGCCTCACGTTATAGATGGGCAGCTTATTTTTTTGACCCTTGGCAGTGCTTTATATTTTTTCTTTTGTGGATTATTTTATATCTGCTCCTTGTTCTGCCTGCTGAATCCTTCTGAACCTTTCATCTGCTCTGGGAATTAGTGATCCTGTCAGGCTGTTGTCTCCTTATTATCCTTACTGATCATACCTTTGAGTCCATCCCAAGTGGTTGATAAAAATGTTGACCAGGGCAACATGAAGTAGAGGCTCTTGTGGTAAACTGCTGGGGTCTTTCTGCTGTCTTTACATTTGACTGGTGGGGAACCCTGACAGTGTTTCCAGGCTCCTATTGACAATGTGTTTTTATTCTTGGTTAGATGTAATTTAGATGTAATTTGTCTTGCTCTGAAGTCTTGAACTCAGTTTGTTTTCTCATTAATTTATCGTCTTCTGTTTTGAAAATTCTGTATTTGTTTTTATGTTTATAGACGTTTGGATTAGTGGTGTTAGCTATTTTCCCCCCGACAATTATTATGTTCTCGTTAGCTTTTGTGTTAGTGGTCTTTACTAATACTGCCACCAAGCCCTCACCCATCTTTTCTTTGCTTTTTTTTTGCATTCCTGACCTGGAGTGCCTAGTACTGAGTGATAAATGGGGGTTGGGATGGTGGTGCTGGTGGAGCAACAGACGGAAGAAATTTCTTACATTAAGAAGGCTTCCAGTCTTTTTTCCAGAGGTACTGCTACAAATACATGCCAAGATTTTTCAAAAGACTGTAACTTTAAACAGTTTAAGAATATTCTGTTGGAGGTAAAGTTTAAAAAGCAATTCATAAAGAGAAACATACTGAAGTCTTACTCCAGATATCCTGATGGATGCTGTATGTTGAAAAATTACATTTTAGAAAATAAAGGGTATATAGATACCCTTTATTATGAGGTTTCATAAAATATCTCATATATTATGAGGTATATGAGATAGGTTAAAAAATCTGAATGACATTTACCTGAAAAATAGCTAGTAAAAAACATACTGTATAAGAATGTAATGGGATAATGGTGCATCAGAAATACTACATAAATTATCTGTCTAAAGAGAGGTATCCAGATTTGACATGGAGGTAGTTTATAGGGTAGGCCACATCTGCATTATTGTATTTTGTAACTTGTTCTTTGTAATATAATTTACTTAGTTGCATCAACCTATATGACCTTTTCTTAATTTGATATACTACAAAAGAAGCTTTAGCATAAATGTTTTCAAAATAATATCACTGCCCAAATGTCCCATTAAGCCAAGCATTTTATGAATCAGCAAGACCAGTCTCCTCTCCCTGCTGTCATTTCTTTTGTCCTTCCCCTTTTCTCCCTCCTGCCAAGTACTTGCATATCTGTGTGCTTATGTTAGCAGCATCCACACTGATACCTGTTCTCTTTTTTTTTCACCCTAGCTCCAGGGGTAAAAGGAGAGACTGAAAAAAAAATATTCTGGAAGTCTTAGATATGGGATAAAATTCAAGGAAATGATTTCTTATCATCTTGTCACCTTTAAAATGTCGTTAATGGAACATGTACATCCTGAGTTTGTAGATATTTCTGTGTTTGGGATGCCTTTTAGTGTAAAGTATCAAGCAGCAAATAGAGCACACATTCTGTAGAATTAAAGAACCTTAGAAAAGATGACTATGAAAATTTTAAGTACATTTAGGGGAAGGAATGATTCAATGGAGAGAATGAATTTGAAGATATATCCATAAATGCTTGAAGTTCTAATGTGGTTTTTAGTTACAGCAGATCTTTTAAAACTACAATGGAATTTTGCCATTATGTCACTCATTATAGTTGGAATTCTACTTTAACTAGATTTGTTTTCTGATTTATATGAAACCTTAATTGCTTGAAGTATAGACTTAAGTTAAAATTTTGTAGCATGGATTCCAGAGATTCTAGTTTGTTTTTTTTTTCCCCCCAGGAAGAAAAACAGGAAGTACTATGTCCAGAAACTAACCAAATGAAGGTGTTTTTAATGACTAACTTTCTTCAGAGAATAAGATACTGTATGGTTTCTAGATTACAGTGCTTTAGGGCTAAATGTGGAAACTGGAACTCCAATATAAGGTTTTGCACCTTAAAGGTTAAGTATCCATTTGTATCCAATAACAACTTAGGAAATTTAAAGTTGTTATTCCCACAATAATTATTACTTTGTCCCTATGGGAATATTTAGAATTTGTATTTTTGGGCATAATATCTTATTTATATTTCACTGTATTTATAGTTGAACCTTATATCTAAATGAATGAGAGAAATTAACTCATTTTTGTATGTAATTTAATTGTGTAGCATTCACTAATTGCTAATGATTTGCACACATGAACAAATCAAACAAAAATCTCTGCTCTTATGTTGTACACTTAGGTAATAAGGTGGTAAATGCATGTATCTAACTCTGGATCTCATGGTAAAATTAAGAGAGTAATTGTGCATTACACCAGGAATAATGTGCTGTTTACAAGTGGATGTCACTTGCCAAGTTTACACATCTGATTTAGAAGAAACAAAGATTTCAGACTTAATTGAGGACACATGTCTTTGATAGCTTTCTTGAGGTAACTCTAGTCCTTTAAGACTATCTTGAAACCATCAGCAGGATTTATTTTAAAAATCCTCCAGTTGAGGCAGCCATTTAAAATTGAGTAATTATTCCCTGGGGCCCAGTTCTTTATTACCAAAATTATAGCATTTTTAGGGTTTAGAACTCTCTTGGGCTCTTAAAGCCATGTTGTTTAGAAAAATTAAAATGTAAAAAATGGCCTAAGATTTCTAAACCATGTGACCTGTGGTCAGTCCTGTTCCTCTTGCTATAGAGCAGGGGACCATTGTAAACAGGAAAATTCTAATCCATATGCAGCTAGCAACTTCAGCCTTTCACAGACTAACAACTAAGACCACTATGAGCCCTATAGCTCCTTTATTTCTCGCATGGGTGCCTCATCACATGGAGGCCAGGGAAGAAGGAGCCTGGGAAAAGGAACACTTTGTCTTCAGATTTAGAAAGCACACTTGGAAAAGAAAAGAGAATCTTTTGAATAAAATCAGAAGGGAATACACGCCTGTAAACAAGATTCTGGAATCGTACAAAATAATGTATGCTTAGACTCTGCGTGTGAGTGGAAACCTTTTTTGGCCAGTGTAGATTTTTGTCATAAGAGGAAGCAGTTTTTAATGTGCAGTTCTTAGTTTTCAATCTTGGGAGCTTCTTGATAATTAAGTGATGTTTTTGACAGTGAGGAAATTAAATTATGTGGGAATTCACTCCCTGAAGTATATTTTTGAGTAGCTTTCCTTGGATAGTTTAACTGTAGTCTTGTCTTCCCAGGATGAATTAGGTGACTTATTGAGGTCTCTTCAGTAGCCATCTTGGGAGGTTTAAAAAAGTAATTTTTTTTTTTTTTTTGAGACGGAGTCTCGCTCTGCCGCCCAGGCTGGAGTGCAGTGGCGCGATCTTGGCTCACTGCAAGCTCCGCCTCCCGGGTTCACTCCATTCTCTTGCCTCAGCCTCCCGAGCAGCTGGGACTACAGGCGCCTGCCACCACGCCCGGCTAATTTTTGTATTTTTAGTAGAGATGGGGTTTCACCGTATTAGCCAGGATGTTAAAAAAGTATTTTTTGTACCACCGGAAAACTTTCCTTCACATTTTCTCACTTATCAGTTGCATTCTTAAAATGATTGCATTTTTTCCCCTTGTTCCCAATGGTTAAATTTTTATTTACTTTCCGATCTTTAGGGGAAAGAATGGCATAAATTAAGGCAGATGAAAAATTTCAAAGGGCTGCCATCGCCCTCTTGAAGTTCACATTGTCTCCAGCTCCTCTAAGCCATGGCTACCACCTCTCAAGGCAAACTCCCATCCCTGTTTTGCTGTCTTTGGCTAGGATTTGTTGGTAGGCAGCAGACCTTATGGTAGAGGAGGGAAGATGAACTTTAAAGAGAAAAGTTCTATAGCCACTGTTGCTAAAGCTTTTGCTCTTTCTATTCTTTTCTGCCAGTAGCTGCCTCTTTGTTTGCTGGGAGAGAAGTAGAAGAGAGAAGCTAAGTCCAAGAGAGGAGAGGGATTTCACCGCCTCCTTTAGCCTTCTTGCTCCTTTCATGGCTCTGCCCCATATTCTCATTTTCCAAACATTCCAATCACCTAGAGAGGGTTGTTTTTTTGTCTTCGGGTTTTTGGTTGTTTTTATAAAATAGAGTTCTTGGGGCCCACTTTTAGTTATTATACTTAAGGAAGTCTGGGGCTTCAGTCCTGAGAATCTGTGTATTTCTTGAGTTATGCAGGTAATTTTGATGCCCAGTTAGATTTGAGAACTGTAGGATATGTTTCCCACCCTAACCTTTGGAGGTCAGGGTCCTAAGTTATAGGAGTCAATACCAGTAGCAGAAATGGTTGGGCTTACAATATGACAAATAAGGCCATAAATACGAAGGGTTTCCGAACCAACAGCCAGAGCTTCTAGGAGTGAGAGACCAGTTGAACTTAACTGTAATTATCCTGTTGTAGAGGTTAGTTGCTATAATAGCTATATTTAAGGTGTATTAGCTTTTGTCTTCTTTTATATTCCTTTTCATTTGTTGATAGAAAGCTATGTTTGAAGATATGGTGGGTATACTGTAAACTCCAACCACCAAAGATGGGATTAATCAAAATGTATACTTTGTTCACATAAGTGGAATGTCTTAAGTAGATTTTTTAAATAAATAGGATCTACATTTTTCTTCTTTGTAGTGGCCTGTCTAATGGAGTATAGTTTCTTTCATCTTTTTATTAGTGAGAATTTAAATATATTTTGATGACATTTCTCTTTCAATTTCTTCACCACAACCACCATCATCGTCATGGAGAGGCTAATAGACTTTATGAGGGGCTAACTCCTCAGAGGAGGAAGAAATTACAGAGGTGGCATTTGAGCTGAGCCTTTAAAAATAAGAGAAGATTTGCATTAGAGATTGGTATTTTCTGTTCTTGGGAGGGTATTCCAGATACAGGAAAACTTGAGCAAAGACAACAGGCATGTTTGAAAAACAGTAGGCTTTGCTTCCATGAGGCCAAAGTGTAGGCTCTGTAAAACACAAGAGTAGAAGAGTAGATTAGAGACAGAGTGTCAAGAGCTCTAAAGTCATTTCTGTTTGGACTTTATTCTCAGTGTCATAGTTTCTATATGGAAAGGGGCTCAGAGTTTAAAAGAGTAACTCCATAAAAATAATTGTAGCACCACATCTTTATTTGGAAGATTAAAGTCTTTTATTTGAATTATATTTCAGAATCTTAAAATATGTATATGTATCACACAAAGAAAATACCTTTAAAGACTTTTTCTTTATGTATAGTCTGTGGTCCTGTGAGGTCTGGAGCTTGGGACTACTGTGAAATAAATGATAACCTTGTCATTCAGTAGACAGCCTGAGCTGCATTAGGGTCTTCTGCATCTCAGGGTTGGAGGCTTCTCCCTGCTTTGGCAGAATTTCTCTTCCCTCCAGTCTTGGCCTTCTCCATTAACACACAGGTACTTTGAACTTTATGTCTGCAGGTCTGTGTCATTTTGCTATCTCTTTGGGGAACCACCTGCCTAACCTTATGAGGTCCTGTTCAAAACTGTGGTTCTGCTCTTTTCAGCAACTGATCATTATTGCATATCACTGTCTTTTAACATCTACTAAAGCTGAAAACATTTGTATACTTAATATATTAATAGTATATTACTTGTTTATCAGTATGATGGTTTACATAAATGTGAAGCCTAGAAATTTTATAGGGACCTGGTGTAGTAATCCCTAACAGATATTGAAAGAAAGGTAAAAATTAGTTGAAAGGACTAGATCATCCTCATTCCTCACTCATTTTTCCTTAAAGAATATATTAAAAGGCAAAGTTGTCTACAGTCAGTATCAAAATTTTGTTTTAACAATGTTTTCAACATTTTACATCTTTCTGGTAATTTTATGAAGTCTCTGAAGACTAAAATCTGTCATAATTAGTCAGAAGTAATATTTCCGAGTAGGTATTTACTTTCAAAAAGCCTAAGTCTTTAAAGGTGGCATATGATACTATAATTTATCTCAGAAATCTTTTATTTATTTATTTATTTATTTATTTATTTATTTATTTTGAGACAGAGTCTTGCTCTGTCACCCAGGCTGGAGTGCAGTGACATGATCTCGGCTCTCTGCAGCCTCTGCCTCCCGGGTTCAAGCGATTCTCCTGCCTCAGCCTCCTGAGTAGCTGGGATTACAGGTGCCTGCCACCATGCCTGCCTAATTTTTGTATTTTTAGTAGAGACGGTGTTTTGCCATGTTGGCCAGGCTGGTCTCGAACTCCTGACTTCAGGTGATCCACCCACCTCAGCCTCCCAAAGTGCTGGGATTACAGGCGTGAGCCATTGCACCCGGCCTCTCAGAAATCTTAAAAAGGATTTAGTTTCATTTAAAAATAACAAACACAGTTCCCCAAATCTGAAATTTAGTTATTGAAACTGGACCATGTTGTCCATGGAAAACATATCTTACTTTATACCAGATTTTAAAATTAACACTGGTGTAAGTGCAGCCTAAAATTCCTCTGAGCCCCACTTTTACATAAGAAAAATTATTGAATATGATAAAGGTAGCATTTCCAATCAGTGAGAAAAGATAGGTTATTCAATTTGTGTTGGGACTAGTGGATATATATCTAGGAAAAAAAGTACAGACTCTAAATATTGAAAGGTAAAACTGAAAACATAAAAATATTTGAAGAAATCACTGGAAAATTATTCTACAAACTGCATGGGGAATGACAGTCTGTGATAATAGTAACCAAGAACCATGAAAGAATAGATTGGTAACAATTCAGCTACATAAAAATCCCTAAATTTCTCTATGGCAGAAACCATGAAACAGATAAATTTACCAAACTGGAAAAAATTTTCACAAATCATGTCACAAAGAGCTAATTTTCTTAAAATATATAAAAAAGATCTTTCAAAGTGTCATACACAAAACACTGCTTTTCGAAAAACATAAGCTCCTACAAAGCAGTAAGAAAATGATGAACAAATAGAAAAATGGGCAAAGGTGATGATTTAACAGTTCACAGAGAAATACAAATGGCTTCTAAAATATATAAAAAGATGCCCAACTTCGTTCATAATATGAAAAATGTAAATTAAGACTACACTAAGATACAATTTTTCACAGATCTGTTTTCTAAAAATAAAATAAGCTTGAGAGAGAGCCTCTTATCTGAATTCTGGGACAGCCTGATTTGCATGAGGGAAATAGGCATCCTCCTGCACTGCTGGTGGGAGGGTAAAGGTACAGTCTCAGTGGAGGACAGTTTGCTGTTACCTCTCAGAATTACAAATGCATGTGTTTGTTTTGATGTAGCAATTTCCCATCTAGGAATTTATTCTTGAAAGACAGTCATACAAGATTTTCACACCAGCATTATTTGTAATAGCAAAAAGATGGGAAATTACCTAAATGCTCATATATAGGGGACTGCTAAATTGTGGAATTCCATGCAATTCTAAAAAAGAATAAGGAAGCAAAGTAGAGAACATTATGTATAGAGTTTACCATTTTAAAAAGGAGAAAATAGAATATATGTGTATTTCCTTATGTATCACTAAAATACTTCTGGGTGAATACAAGAGAAGTAACAATTTATCATGGGATGAGAACAGGGCAACTGAGGGACGAAGTTGGAGGGAGATTTTGTCACTGTGTACCCTTTTGTTTTGGACCATTTGAAGCTATTGTCTCTTGACAATAATTTCAAGAAGATAAATTATGAAGGAGGGGGTCTAAAAAAGCTTTAAAATACGTTGTTTTAATAAAATGTTTTAATTTCTTTGCTTGAAAATTAACATTGCTTTAAGGGGGAAACAGCAGTTTAGGGGGAGCAAGTGCATTTAATTAAATTGCCTCTTCAGCAGTATTAAAAATCAGTCAGTTGTAAATTGGTGAGGAATATATTAAAACCCTATGGGAGACCAAGTTCTGAAGTTTGCTTCGAAGTTCGACCAGGAAAAGAAGGGGTTAAAGGTGTGATGCAGGTAAAGGAAGGGTTAAGGGCATTATGCAAGCTGTTAAATAAAAAGGAAGTGCATTACAAAATGCTGAGCTCAGGAGTCTGGCTGCCAGCCAAACCTTTGCTTTCCTCACTACAGCTGAGGGCTTTCGAAGCTTCCCACCAGTGGGTTTGTCTGAACTGTTTAGGAATGCGGCCGCGGTCGCCAGCTGACGTCAGCGCCGCCGGTTCAGCCGCAGGCCAGAGTCAGAGACTGACAGCGCGAGGGGCGGGGTTGGGAGTCAGGATGGGGCGAGGCCTGCGTGTGACTGATGGCGCGGGGGCGGGGCGGCGTGTGTGTGACTGACCCGACCGCGCAGAGGCGGGGTGGCACAAGATTTGCGTTTCCTTGATGACTTCTAAATTATGATTATAGATTTTCTTTGTAATGAGGGGAAAGGTTTTTTTTTTTTTTTTTTTTTTTCCCGTTTTTGAAATCCAGGCCTCTGTATTGCTTCACTTTAGGTATTAAGTATAAGCACAAAATTAAATGTAACACATACCAAATTGTCCAACTTCAAAGGCCATTTTGTTTTTGTTTTTGTTTCTGAGAACGAGGGGGCCACAGTAAAAACTTTGGTGATTTTTACCAGTGGAGGGGCTAGGGAGGTGATTTTTGCTGTTTAAGGAGGTTCTCAAATTTACTTACCTGCAGTCCATTTTCATTTCAGAATTGCTACCAGAAAGAAATTGTAAAAGTTTTCAAGCATGATTTTGTAAAGCAAAAGATCAAAAAAGGAGAGAAATTATGTGGAAAATTGGCAAGATTAATTATATCTCTATTAAGACCACCTTTGCGCAAGATAGTTTTGGGTTATTACTGCTGATTTTCAGCCTTTAAAGAAAAATGTGGGTTCTTGGTAGCAACTTACAAGGATGGTGTTTAGAGCTATAGTTCCCCCTTCTCCACCATACCCTGTTTTCTTGATGGTTAATTTTACTTTTAAAAACATTTGTATTTCTTGACTATTTATTAATTAGATCATTTTGCTTAGTCATACCTAAGAGTTTTGTTAGTCTTCGGTTTCTTAGTTGTATGAGTCAGAGTCAGGAATGCAAATTTATTAGCTTTTTGTGGAGAGGGATATGTGGGATGGTGAGAGCTGCGGGTGGGTAAGCATGGAGTGCAATACCAGTTCATAGACAAGGATCTAAAAGGAGCCATTAAGCTCCATGGAAAACATTGTTACTTGATCAGGCCAGTAAAGGAAGACTATTTTGAGTAGCTACTGAAGTTATCTGATAGTTAATTTAATTGATTTGAGTAACTCTTTCAGGGACCCCAGATTTGTAAAAGTGGCACTGTTGTGACTTTTGATAAAGGGAGTTTTAGCCTTTCATGAGAGGAAGCCTTGGACTTATTTGTCCTTCATGTTGAGAAGCTTCCGTATGATCTTCATGGTTTCCTTAGGCACAATCACTGTGATTTCACCTATGTATAGCAGCCCAACTAAGGTGAAGTCAGCATATAGACCAGGAAGATACAAAACTACGAAAACTCAGGACCAGCCTTGGCAAAAGGCAACATGTGTAGCCCTAAATTACCCCGGTACTCTAGTGCTCAGCCCCACATTGACAATTGCACAGAATTTAAGTGTTCTGAGTTTGTGAATAGTATTGTAATAATGGATGTATTTCCTTTTTTTTTTTTTTTTTTTCAGACGGAGTCTCACTCTGTTGCCAGGCTGGAGTGCAGTGGTGCGATCTCGGCTCACTGCAACCTCTGACTCCCTGGTTCAGGCGATTCTCCTGCCTCAGCCTCCCGAGTAGCTGGGATTACAGGCACGTGCCACCATGCCTGGCTAATTTTTGTATTTTTAGTAGAGATGGGGTTTCACCATGTTGGCCAGGATGGTCTCGATCTCCTGACCTCGTGATCCACCCACCTTGGCCTCCCAGAGTGCTGGGATTACAGGCATGAGCCACCGTGCCCGGCGATTTATTTCCTTTTTAAACCATCTGACTAGATTCTAAAGACTGGTGTTTTTCACTTAGATACCTTTTTGTTGATAGTACACTTCATGCAGAATAATTTTAAGAGTACAGAGTTGTAAACTACTGTTACATTGAACTCAAATATTAAGGTCATTTCATTTAATACATAGAATAGCCAACAGGAATATTTGACAGATTGAACATTGAATTAAGAATGAGGTATGAAGTGTGCTTAGTTTGCTAAGTCACCAGTTATACGACTTTGTCCACTTTTAATCTCATCGTGTCTTAGTTTCTCCAGGGGAAAATGCTTTTTATTAGTTTTCCTATAACAGGACTCAAGGCAAAAAACGCTTTTATGAAGACGTAAGAATATTCTGGTTAATAATACACTATGGTTTGGCATGCTTGGAAAGGGCAGCAGAAGAAATGGCAACCTGGTGTGGATGCTGACTGGTCTCTCCATCTCTCTGCTTGTCTGAAGCACTGCAGCAAAGTCGCTGGGAGGTCCTGTGCTCTAGGAGTGGAGCCTTGAGTGATTTGAGTGTGTATTTAGAATGAGGTTTCCTTTCTTTGTTTTTGCCAAATTAGTTATCAGTTCTTCTAAAATACAGTCCTCTCAAAATATGGAGTGAATGTTTGTGTCTTGTTGGATGAGTCTGTATTTGGACTTAAGTGTGACTCAATTGTTTTTTAAACTTTAATGACAACTAAGGTGAGCACATTTTGAGTTACAAAGGATGGGAATACAGTAAAAATTGCTTCCCTGAAGTCTTGATATTAGTGAAGAAACAACCCCCTAATTGGAAGCTTTTGGACAAAGCTAGAATATAGTTTTGCTTCCTGAATACTCTAAAATGTTTCAGGAAATTTCAACCTTGTCTTTAATAAGAACACTTTAAAATTACTTTTGTCTAGTTAACACATGTTTTGAAATATATTGTCTTCAATGTGTTAATCCACTCAGGCTCCTATAACAAAAATACCTTTAACCAGTAGCTTATAAACCATACAAATTTATTTGTCCCAGTTCTGGAGGCTAAGAAGTCCAAGATCAAGGTGCCATCAGATTGGGTGTCTGATGAGGCCCCTTTTCCTGGTTCCTGGATGGCACCTTCTTGCTGTGTCTTCATGTGGTAGAAGGAAAGGATGAAAGGTCTCTCTTGGGCCTCTTTTTAAGGGCCCTAATCCCATTCATGAGGGCTCTACATCCGTGACCTACTTAACCTTGTAAAGGCGGCACATCACCTTGGAGGTGAGGATTTCAACATATGAATTGGGGTTGGGGATAAGTATGCAGACCATAGCATGCATTTTCATTTTCATTCATATATTGAGATTTTAGGAAATTAATCAAAGACATTATAGCTGCTAATACCGATCAAATAACCAATGTAACCACAATAAATTGATTTAATTTCAGCCCACAAGAAATGAAAAATTGATCTTTGTTATGTTAGCCTTGTAACTTTACTTCTGGTAAATCTACAGTTTCTATTAGATGGTTTGAAACTTTGGACAAAGCACGTGATACCTTATTGCTTCCAATGAATCACAGGGAATTGAGATTGGGACCCTATACTGAGATCTCATGATAAAAAGAGAAAAACTTCACAGGAGAAAGTTGAACTGCTTTTTATGCAGGAATAGAACTTCTGGGTTGGTCAGAGTTGCAACTACCATAATTTAGATCTGGCATCGTTTGCTGGGAAATGGGGTCGGGAGAGAAGCAGCATCCTAGGTTTGATCCCCTGAAGACTGATAGCTCAGGTGTAGTGTGATTTTAGTATGTTTCAGGGCTTGAATTTAGAATCTTCCCTTTCCATTTCCTTGCATATCAGGAATTAGTGATGTGGAGGCATTTATTGTTTATGTTATTTGGGGCAGCTGGCAGCACATTTGTGTCTTAGGTTCTGTTTAGTGTTTTAACTATTTGCATATTCTTTTTATGGGCTACTTCTTGGCTTGCGTTGAGATGGAATTGAAGAAAGCAAGTTCCGCAGTGAAAACAGATTGTCAAAACCAGAAAAGAGGCACATTGTGCTCAGTTTTCAAAACTCTTCTGTTAATCTCTGTATTGGTTCCTAAGAACCCTGCTGAAGAATCTATGTTTTCTTAGGAGTGTCCATCTTGAATATTAATTTAAAATGGTTTATTGTGAATTTCCTCTCATTAAGCCTGGTCTTTTGTATTGTTTTCCATTTTATTGTTGAAAGTGTTTATCATTAAAATTTATTTTCTGTTCTCATTCATTCATTCATTCATTCCTTTTGAATACCTACTGTGTGCCAGACTTAAAGTCAGTTGCTGGGTACATATTGCTGAGCAAAAATAAACTTGCAGTATAATGGAAATTAGAGATTTTTTTTTTTATTTCACTATTGTTTATTTTCTTTTTTTTTCCTTATTTTTTCTTTTTTATTATTATTATTATACTTTAAGTTTTAGGGTACATGTGCACAATGTGCAGGTTAGTTACATACGTATACGTGTGCCATGCTGGTGTGCTGCACCCATTAACTTGTCATTTAGCATTAGGTATATCTCCTAATGCTATCCCTCCCCCCTCCCCCCACCCCACAACAGTCCCCAGAGTGTGATGTTCCCCTTCCTGTGTCCATGTGTTCTCATTGTTCAATTGCCATCTATGAGTGAGAACATGCGGTGTTTGGTTTTTTGCACTTGCAATAGTTTACTGAGAATGATGATTTCCAATTTCATCCATGTCCCTATAAAGGACATGAACTCATCATTTTTTATGGCTGCATAGTATTCCATGGTGTATATGTGCCACATTTTCTTAATCCAGTCTATCATTGTTGGACATTTGGCTTGGTTCCAAGTCTTTGCTATTGTGAATAGTGCTGCAGTAAACATATGTGTGCCTGTGTCTTTATAGCAGCATGATTTATAGTCCTTTGGGTATATACCCAGTAATGGAATGGCTGGGTCAAATGGTATTTCTAGTTCTAGATCCCTGAGAAATCGCCACACTGACTTCCACAATGGTTGAACTAGTTTACAGTCCCACCAACAGTGTAAAAATGTTCCTATTTCTCCACATCCTCTCCAGCCCCTGTTGTTTCCTGACTTTTTAATGATTGCCATTCTAATTGGTGTGAGATGGTATCTCATTGTGGTTTTGATTTGCATTTCTCTGATGGCCAGTGATGATGAGCATTTTTTCATGTGTCTTTTGGCTGCATAAATATCTTCTTTTGAGAAGTATCTGTTCATATCCTTTGCCCACTTTTTGATGGGGTTGTTTGTTTTTTTCTTGGAAATTAGAGATGTTAAAGTGTGTGTGAAGGAAGCTCCTGAGGGCAGGAGTGGGGTGGGGGTGGGGCGACCTGATGTATTCAAATAACTGAAAGGAAGGAACGCAGTGTGAGTTGTAGAGCAGAGCAGTATGAGGAGAGAGTGATACCAGATGGGGTAGGAGAAATGGACAGGGCAAAGATCATCCTGTGAGGTAATTCCAGTACATTAAAAGGAATTGACTTGAGTGTAGTGGGAAGCCATCCTCAGGGTGCTATTTGGAGAATATGTTGGTGAGGGCAAGAGTGGAAGCAAGGTGTTCAGTGAAGAGGGTAGTTGTAATAGTTCAGTATTAGCTTGGACTAGGGTGGGGCAGTGATGGAGAGAAGTGGACATATCAGCCCAATTTAGTGATGGCATTGGATGGGATGGGGAAAAAAAAGAAGAAAGAAGCCAAGGTGATTTTGAGGTTTCTATTTTGAGGATCAGGGGTGGTGACTGTTTATTGGAGCTGGGAATGAGGGGGAAAAGAACAGTTTTGGGACGTGACAAATCAAGGGTTTAGTTTTGGACCTGAGTCTGAGCTATGCAGTAGAGAGGTCAGGTAAATAGCATGGCTGAAATCTTTTTTCCTTTGCCCTGTAGAATTAGGGCAGAGGAAAAAAGATATTTCCTGTGCCAACTATAAAATTAGTTATGGTTTTTAAATTTGAAAATACAGGATTTTAGCTCAGACTGAATTACTTTATGGGAGGAGATGTCCGTCTCCTCTGTGGAAGGGGAAGTATTTTGAAATAGTTATAAGCCCAACAAACATATCCCCAAACTGAGGCAGTCAGCATGAGAGAACTCTGCTGTGCTCATTAAATATGGTTGAGAGGTAAACTGAATAAGATTATTTATGTTTCAAAGGGGTCAGCGTTCAATACTGCTGTTGAGTAATAGATTTTTAAGTTTTTCTTTGCTTACTTTTTAGGTTATTTTTCCTTAAGAGATTTTAGATGAGTTACGATAAAAAATGTTGAACACTGTGCCTTGCACCATCTAATCCCTTTCTCTGTGCTATTTTATCTAAACCCTAATTGTCAGAAGAAAGCTGTGAAATAGATGGCATTTTAATCCTGTCTTTATAGATGAGGAAACTGGATTGCGGGGAGGTTAGTACTTGCTCGAGGATACACAGCCAGCAAATGCCATTCCCAGGTTTGACTGGCACCAAAGCTGATGCTCCTCGTACTGTTCCCTATGGCTGCAACACAGAGCTAATAGTTTTGTTTTTGCAGTCTTTTCGGGAATGTGGTGGAGTTCAAGTAGGCTTTTGCATGTTAGTTTATGATCGAAAATGTATGAAGTAGAGCCTAGAAAGTAATTTAGAGATATTTCATATATCAAGAAGGGAGTGTTATTTTGATGTATGACATAGGAATATTTAGGATAAAAACCCTTGGGCTGGGCGCAGTGGCTCATGCCTGTAATTCCAGCACTTTGGGAGGCCGAGGTGGGCGGATCACCTGAGGTCAGGAGATCGAGGCCATCCTGGCCAACATATTGAAACCCTGTCTCTACTGAAATACAAAAATTAGCCGGGCGTGGTGGCACGTGCCTGTAATCCCAGCTACTCGGGAGGCTGAGGCAGGAGAATCGCTTGAACCAGGGAGTCACAGGTTGCAGTGAGCCGAGATCACGCCACTGCACTCCAGCCTGGGCGACAGAGTGAGACTCTGTCTCCAAAAAAAAAAAAAACGCTACTGATTCCTATGTAAGAATATGTTTGTGTGTTGGGATGGATATGACATGGGGACTGATTGGCCATATAAAGGTTCTGGGCCCCATTTCTCTACAGTTCACAAAGGGCACAGTTAAAAAATGGCATAACCAGTCAACTACAGGCCACTTAGTATCTGCTGCTGGATGAGCTCAAGTTAGTTAATGTATATGCTGCATTCTACCTCAGAAGGAATAATTGGATCTTTAAAACTTTAAAAAAGATTTTTGGTTTGTTTTAAACAACTGAGAATGTTAAGGACAAAAAAGACTTCATGAAACATTTACCAATGAAAGGTAATGGGAGCTTAAGTTATTCAAGATAAGTTTATCAGGGCTTAGAATACCAGCAATCTGATGTTACTATAAAACCAAAAGTGTGGATCGTAATCTAAATCTAACCTTCTTACATTTGTGTTGGGTGAGGAGTATGCAGAGTCTAGGAATCACTGGATACAAAAAGGGTTATATGGAAGTGTTCTCTTTGCATGTGAGTTTGTGGAACGAATGGCATTCCTTTGTTGCTGAATTAATCCAGATTCTTGGAAGGAATAGAGAGGAAGGAGGCAGAAAGGCCGGTTTTCACAGTGTTGTTGTACCTGCTGATAACTCACCAAGGCCCTGTTAAGATGAGTCAATTCTAATAACTCTTGGGATTTCCCTACTAGTGAAGCTTCTTTTACAGCTTCATCTCCCCCTCCTCCCGCAGAAACGATGAGACTTCTTGAAATTTTTAATAAGAATTTTAGACACTCTAGCAGTAGTTTCCAGGAGCCACAGCCTCTGATATCATGCTGCTTTTGATCTTCCTCCTAGCTGATTATATCACCTGTTAGAGCTTATACACCTCTGATCTCCTCCTGGGGGTATGATAGAATCCTGTTTCTTGATTCTCTCAGAAGTGATGAGTGACCAGCAGGCAGGCTTTTTAGCCAGGTGCTTAGGACCTCATGCCAATGAGATGAATCAAAGGTTTGATCCCTGTAGGTCCATCCCTCTTGGAGTGATTTAGTTTAGCTCTGCCCCTTCCTTTGGCCTCACGCAGTGCACTAGCCCCAGCTAGCTGCCTTGCCAGCAACCACCATTAGATTGCAAGACAGAATTGAAACACAAATAAGTTGCTAAGACTAGAAAACACAAAGCCTATTTGAAAGAACAGAAGTTGAGGAAGGTAGACAGGGAATGAATGAGAAGTATGAACAGAAAGACAACAAAATAGTGCATAAGGCCGGGCACAGTGGCTACGCCTGTAATCCCAGCACTTCGGGAGGCCGAGGCAAGGTGGATCACCTCGGTCAGTGATCAGGAGTTTGAGACCAGCCTGACCAACATGGTGAAACCTCATCTCTACTAAAAATACAAAAATTAGCCAGGCGTAGTGGCACATGCTTGTAATCCCAGCTACTCGGGAGGCTGAGGCAGGAGAATTGCTTGAACCCGGGAGGTGGAGGTTGCAGTGAGCCGAGATTGTGTCATTGCACTCCAGCCTGGGCAACAAGAGCAAACTCCGTCTCGAAGAAAAAAAAAATAAAAGCGCATACCTTTGTTAGCATCTGCCTGTAGACTAATGGAAATTAGGTTGGAACTGTAGTTGCAGAAATGAAAAGGACTTTGAGTTCACAAAGGAGTTCACTGCCTATATCTGTTAGAAGATCCTGCCTCAATATATATTATCTACATTAAACAGGTTTAGGAGATTATTAAATGAAAATCACTCAAGCGTGCCAACTAAAATTATTCAAGTTCAGTTTCAAAGTGGATTTTTTTAGTATAAATAGATGCAGGTTCCCAAAGAAGCCTTCAAATGGGTAGAAATGCTGTTTTTTCTTTTCCTATGGGTACTGTTTTTAGGTATGGTTAGAGGACACAGTTTCAGAACTGTAGAACACAGTAATTAGAAAGGCTGCCTAAGGGGCTGTGTGGATTGTGTGAGTAGAGTCTGAAACATAAATGAAAAGCAAAAGCTAATCAAAAGAGGTTCATGTTAGCATGTGCTTTTCTTGGTGCTCCATCATTACTGTAGCTAATCGGATCCTTACCACTGAAGTGCATACTTTTAAATTTGTACAGTTAAGGACTTTTGTTTTGAAATACTATAAGCGAATGCATGTCTTTTTCTATATTTAAATAACTGATATACTCAAGAGTTTTGGAGAATGGGTAGATTGTTTATCTGTGAATTTTTAAAGCAGATTGTACATATCACAGTTTTGCTTCATAAGCAAACTGTGTGGTTTTTCTTATTAGGAAGCTTCAAGAAAGACCTTGAAACCAAGTGAAAACCATTGAGGATATCACAGGATGGTAGAGTTTTAGAATTCGAAGGTACTTTATTGGTGATCTAATCAGTCCATCAATTTACATATGAATAACTGAGGCAGTGAGAAATTAAGTGGTTTGCAGAGGTCTAAATATCTAGTAGTGGGAGAATCAAAACCAGGACTACAGGCTTTTAACTTGCAGTCCAGTCCTTTTATCAGCACCAAATATGGTGATTTGAATGTAGATTATGCTAAAGGAATGGGGAATGATAACTGCTTTGTTCATAGCACTCATAAAACCTATCCAGGGATTTTGAAAGGCTCAATAATTTTAACACAAAGAAGGATTCAATACAGAACTAGTCTATGATTTATTTATTTATTTATTTATTTTTTTGAGGCGAAATCTTGCTCTGTCGCCCAGGCTGGAGTGCAATGTTGTGATCTTGGCTCACTGCAACCTCCGCTTCCCGGGTTCAAGTGATTCTCCTGCCTCAGCGTCCGAAGTAGTTGGGATTACAGGTGCCTGCCACCACACCCGGCTACTTTTTTGTATTTTTAGTAGAAATTTTCAAGACCTGGTTGGTCTCGAACTCCTGACCTCAGTTGATCCACCAGCCTCGGCCTCCCAAAGTGCCGGGATTACAGGTGTGAGCCACTGTGCCCGGCCTACTCTATGATTTTTATTTAAATGAAACCTTCTAGTGACTATCTAGATGAGTGAGGGGTCAAGACACAGAAACAAATGTTTCCAAGGGAAGTGGTAGATGGCGATAGAAATATGGATGTGGTACTTTAAGGACAGAGACAAGGGAATGGTCTTTAAGATGCTCTTTAAAATTTTTCAGTGCAGGGATAAAGTGTTATTATTAGAGAAATAATGTTTACTTTACGAGACACCTTGCTTTTCACATCCCTCAGCTCCTGTTTATAACTTACTATTATTTTTTTGAGACAGAGTCTTGCCCTGTCGCCCAGGCTAGAGTGCAGTGGTGCAATCTCGGCTCACTGCAACCTCCACCTCCCAGGTTCAAGCGATTCTCCTGCCTCAGCCTCCTGAGTAGCTGGGACTACAGGTGTGCGCCGCCATGCCTGGCTAATTTTTGTGTTTTTAGTAGAGACAGAATTTCACCATGTTTGCCAGGCTGGTCTTGAACTCCTGACTTCAGGTGATCCCCCTGCCTTGGCCTTCCAAAGTTTTGGGATTACAGGCATGAGCCACCACGCCCGGCCTCCTCTTTATAACTTAGTTGGGTTAGTTTCCATGTATAGTAATGAATTTTCTCTCAGGAAAGCCATTGTGGCCTATAGATTAAAGTTATTTGCCCTTTGTATTTGATACTATCAACATGCCTTGGTGTCTTTAGTCACTCTTTGGATTTGGCTCACCAGAGAGGTTTAGAAAGATTGAAAGATAATTCTACCATTATCTCACTGGTTATATTACTGTTGATGGTATCACATCCATTACAGTTCTCATGAACCACTGAGTAAATCAGTGCTGTGCTCTGGGCTCACTATTAAGTTGATTTTCATTTGTACTCAAGGCTATACCATTTGGATGTTAATATTAAGCTCTGCTTCCAGTCTTCAAGGTCTAGAACTGAGCTGCCCAGTAAGGCAGCCACTAGCCACATGTGGCTATTTAGATTTACATTAATTATAATTAAATAACATGGAACATTCATTTTCTCAGTGATGCATTTCAAGTGCTCAATAGTTACATGTGGCTAGTGGCTAATATATTGAACAGCTCAGGTATAGAACATTTCCATCATTGTAGAAAATTCTATTAGACAGCACTGGTCTAGAATATCATGCCTTGTCCACACAATGCAAGCCTCTCCTGAAAGGCTTTTTTCTTCTGAGGGATGTGCCCTTCAGGACAATGGTAGTTTGTGGCCCTTGCCTTCTGGTTGTATGAATTACAGAACAGGATATACAATAGGTTGATCTGGGCTGGAGTTAGGTGTGCAATTGTGTTAGAAGTAGTTGTGGTTTCATCAATAGAAATATCTTAGAAATTGCAATCAGAAGGTCTGGGTTGAGATCCAACTTTGCCCTTTACTAGAAACATGGATTTGGGTTAACCATTTGACATCTTTGAACTTCAGTTTTTTAACCTGTAACACGAAGATCATATCTCACAGGATTGTTGTGTCATATACATTAGAAAGTACTTTATAAACTGTAAAATCTATTCAGATATTTTTATGGTTATTTTAGGAACACCAAACATTTTAATTTGCAAGAGTAATCTTTAAATTCTTTCATCTTTGCCTGGAGGGCATCACATTGAATTAATTGATAAAGAATGAAAAAATGACTGTACAAAGAACCTAACACATGCTCTAGAGACCAGCACATTGTCTAATGACAGAATAGGATTAAGTGATGGAGCATGTGAAAGACCTACAAAATGATACTAATGTCCAGCTTTTTACTATATATCTGAAAGTTTTAACAATATTGTAGACATTTCACTTGCTCCTAGACCAGTAGATGACTCATTTAACATCAGATAGGAAGAAAGATCACTTATAATAAGGTTTTAAAATGTTCTCCATACAGAAGTTTCTAGTATTTTTTTTACCAGAACACAATTTTTTTTTTTTGATATCACAGTGAATTGGGGCATGGTGTTAAGCATTATCCATGTTTTATACTGACTAAGTAGCAGTAGAACAGAGGCTGCCGGGGAGTGGTGGTAGAGAGTGTGTAGGGAGGTGCACGTTAGAACAATTTGATTTGATAATTGATTATAATGATGATTAATTTTTAATTTTTAATTTTTGTGGGTACATAGTGAGTATGTATATTTATGGACTATATGGGATATTTTGATACAGGCATGGAACATGTAATAATCACATCAGGGTAAATGGCATATCAATCACCTCAAGCATTTATCCTTTGTGCTACAGGCAATCCTGTTATACTCTTTTAGTTATTTTAAAATGTAAAATTAAATTATTTTTGACTATAGTCACCCTGCTGTGCTAACAAATACTAGGTCTTATTCGTTCTATTTTTTTTTTTTCCTTCTTTTGAGATGGAGTCTTGCTCTGTCACCCAGGCTGGAGTGCAGTGGTGGGGTCTTGGATCACTGCAACCTCTGCCTCCCAGGTTCAAGCAGTGCTCATGTCTCAGTCTCCGAGGTGGCTGGAATTACCGGCGCACCCTGCTCAGCTAATTTATTTATTTATTTTTTATTAGAGATGGGGTTTTGCCACGATGCCCAGGCTGGTCTCAAACTCCTGGCCTCAAGTGTTCTGCTGGCCTTGGCCTCCCAAAGTGCTGGGATTACAAGCTAGAGCCACTGTGCCTGGCCTCATTCTGTCTTTGTTTTTGTTTTTGTACCCATTAACCATCCCCACTTTTCTTCCTAGCCTCTGGTAATCATCTTTCTACTCTCTTAATGAGTTCAGTTGTTTTAATTTTTAGGTCCCACAAATAAGTGAGAACATGCAAAGTTTGTCTTTCTATGCCTGGCTTATTTCACTTAACATAATGACCTCCAGTTCCCTTCATGTTGTTGCACATGATAGGATCTCATTTTTTCATGGCTGTATAGTATTCCATTGTGCATATGTATCACATGAAAAAAAATTTTAGGTTCAGGGGTACATGTGAAGATTTGTTACATAGGTAAACTCATGTCATGGGGGTTTGTTGTACAGATTATTTCATCACCCAGGTATTAAACCCAGTACCCAACAGTTATCTTTTCTGCTCCTCTTTCTCCTCCTACACTCAAGTAGGCCCCATTGTCTGTTGTTCCCTTCTTTGTGTCCATGAGTTCTCATCATTTAGCTTCCACTTATAAGTGAGAACATGTTTTATTTGGTTTTCTGTTACTGCATTAGTTTGCTAAGAATAGTGGCCTGTAAGTCCATCCATGTTCCTGTAAAAGACATGAAGTTGTTCTCTTTTATGGCTGCATAGTATTCCATGGTGTATATGTACCACATTTTCTTTAGCCAGTATGTCATCAATGTTGCCCATTTTTTAATCGATTAGATTTTTTCCTCTAGGGTTGTTTGAGCACAGCCTTGTATATTCTGGTTATTAATCCCTTGTCAGGTGGGTAGTTTGCAAATATTTTCTCCCATTCTGCGAGTTGTCTCTTCAGTTTGTTGATCGTTTCCTTTGCTGTGCAGCAGCTTTTAAATAATAAATTGATGTGATCCCATTTGTCCATTTTTGCTTTGGTTGCCTGTGCTTGTGGGATATTACTCAATAAATCTTTGCCCAGCCCAGTGTCCTGGAGAGTTTCCCCAAAGTTTTCCTTTAGAAGTTTAATAGTTCGAGGTCTTAGATTTAAGTGTTTAATCCATTTTGATCTGATTTTTGTATATGGTGAGAGACAGGGGTCTAGTTTCATTCTTTTGCATATGGATATCTAATTTTCCCAGCACCATTTATTGAAGAGACTGTCCTTTTCCCAAAGGATTTTCTTGGCACTTTTGTCAAAAATGAATTCACTGTAGATATATGGATTCATCTCTGGGTTCTCTGTTCTATTCCACTTACTAAGTGTCTATTTTTATGCTGGCACTGTACTGTTTTGGTTACTATAGCTCTGTAGTATAATTTGAAGTCAAGTAATGTTATTCCTCCAGTTTTGTTCTTTTTGCTTAGATAGCTTTGACTATTTTGGGTCTTTTGTGGTTCCATACAAAGTTTAGGATTTTTTTTTCTGTTCCTGTGAAGAACGTCATTGGCATCTTGATTGGTATTGCATTAAGTCTGTAGATTACTTTGGGTAGTGTGGACATTTTAACAATATTGATTCTTCTAATCCATGAACATGGAGTATATTTCCATTTTTGTGTGTGTCTTCTTTTATTTTTTACATTAGTGTTTTATAATTTTCATTCTAGAGATCTTTCACTTCCTTGGTTAATTCCTAGGTATTTTATTTGTAGCTATTGTAAATAAGATTACTTTCTTGATTTTTCAGATTGTTTGCTGTTGGCATATAAAAATGCTACTGATTTTTGTATGTTGATTTTGTATCATGCAACTATACTAAATATGTTTATCAGAACAAATAGTTTTTTAATGGAGTTTTTAGATTTTTCCAAATATAAGGTAATTTGGAAACAAGGATAATTTGACTTCTTCCTTTCCACTTTGGATGCCGTTTCTCTTCTTTTCTTTTCTTTCTTTTTCTTTCTCTTGTCTGATTACTTTAACTAGAACTTCCAGTATTATGTTGAATAATAGTGGTGAGGGCCAGGCGCAGTGGCTCACGCCTGTAATCCCAGCACTTTGGGAGGCCAAGGCAGGTGGATCACCTGAGGTCAGGAGTTTGAGACCAGCCTGGCCAACATAGTGAAACCCCGTCTCTACTAAAAATACAAAAAATTAGCAGGACATGGTGGCGGATGCCTGTAATCCCAGCTACTCGGTAGGCTGAGGCAGGAGAATCGCTTGAACCTGGGAGGTGGAGGTTGCAGTGAGCTGAGATCGTGCTATTGCATTCCATCCTGGGCATCAAGAGTGAAACTCCATCTCAAAAAAAAAACACAAAAAAAAAACAAAACGGCAACAACAAAAAACAGTGGTGAAAATGGGCATCCTTGTTGTTGGTCACTGATAATTAAGAAGCAGTTATAGATGTTGCATTTGTGCTAGTTTCTTATCTTAGGTGATCAGAAAGGAAGTGACAGAGGCAACCACTTTTAGTGAAGATACATGTAGAATCTTCAGCAAGTGATATTGCTACAAATCAGATGGCACCACCCAGATGGTAAGTTCACTGTGTTTATTCCAACTCTGCATTCCACTGTCAGTAGGATGGTTATCTATGCATTCAGCACTGCACAAATTGTACAAGCCAGTGAGCCTTCTGCCCAGAATCATAAAATGAAAGCAAGAATATTGGAAGCCAAAAAGACTTCTTCATATGTTTGAAAGTTCAGCTTTTCCTTTTCATTAAAAATTCACTTCCCCCCACTCCCCATGCAAGAATTTCGATACTGGCTGACGACATTTTATCCCTCAAAAGCCACCTCCTCAATGAACCTTTAGTTGCCTCCTCTCCCCCGTAAATGAGCAGCCCCTCCTCTGTGTCCTTAAATTCCTGTGCCTGTGTTACTGCCAGCAATTTGTGCCTTGATCACTTCTGCTGATGGCCAGTTTTTGAAGCAAGGATGCCTCTGAGTTGCTATCTCAAAAGTACAGTTCTCAAAGAAGGGGACAAAGACTGTGAGGAGGAAGAGGAATTAAAACTTGCTGTGCAGGCTTTGAAGGAACACATAGGAGCAGAAGTTAGAAGGAGATGGACTTTAATATAAGGAGTATCTTTTTCCATCTTTCTAAAAATAAAAGGAACTGCCTAAGTGTTTGAGGTGAGGCTAGGTAACTATTTACCAGAGATGATGTTACAGGGATTAGATATAAGGTACAGGGCTCGATTAGGTTATTTTTTGAGTAGTTACTAGCTCTGAGAGAATTATAATTGCACTTATTGGAAACTTAAGGGCAAACATAAAGGAGAAAATAAAGATGTAGAGAATGTCTTCTGAGGTGGGAAATAGAGAAGCCGGGGCTCAGACCCTGGTCTCGCCTAGGGAGAGCAGACGCTGACAGATAATCTCGGTTTTTTCCTCAGGCACTTCAAGGTCCATTTTAGTTCACTGCTTCTAATCTTGGGCTTCACCTCAGCTGTTTCCCAGAATCTTTCGAACCTCGAAGAGCAAGCTTCACTTTTGGGCTGTTCCAGCTCTGGTGCCAGTAGCCCACTCATGCTATGGAATTACTTTTGTTGAGGAGCTATTATAATATGTAGTTTAAGAGTGTGAGTTCTGAGCCGGTCTACCTAATCTTGGCTCTTTTTTTTTTTTTTTTTGGAGATGGAGTTTTGCTCTGTCACCCAGACTGGAGTGCAGTGGTGCGATCTCGGCTCACTGTAACCTATGCCTGCTGGGTTCCAGCAATTCTCCTGCCTCAGCCTCCTGGATAGCTGGGATTACAGGCGCCCGCCACCACGCCCGTCTAATTTTTGTATTCTTAGTAGAGACAGGGTTTCATTATGTTGACCAGGCTGGTCTCGAACTCCTGATCCACCTGCCTCGGGCTCCCAAAGCGCTGGGATTACAAACGTGAGCCACTGCGCCCGGCACTAATCTTGGCTCTTATGTGTAAACTTTAGCAAGTTAATTAAACTCTCTTTTGTGCCTCAGTTTCCTCACTTGTAAATATTAGGGAATATCTGGGAATAATAACTGGATTTTATCAAAACCAAGACCATTGATTGTAAAATGTGTCATTGCTTTCTGTACCCCTAAGGAAGAAAAAATATTGTCCATGGAACTATGATAGACCACTGAATATTAGTTACATCCCAATTTCAGAGAGGTTAAAATGGAGAAAAAGGTGTATATTCATAGAATTGATGAAATATAGCAGTGGCACATCTACATTTTAGGATTGTTATGAGGAATAAATTGGCATTTGTAAAGCATTTCCACTGGTATCTGGCATAAAATAAATGCTGCAGGGCTGGCTGTTTTTTGAACCTGTGCCAGTTAAAAAAGTTAATTTAGTCATCTAGTCAGTGTTTATGAAGCACCATGCTTAGAAGACACCGTGGTTCTAGACTATAATTCATGCTCTGAGAGTTCTCATGTTCTAGTTATAGGGAAACTCACAAAAAGAGAGAAATCCCCATACAACCTGGAAATGGGAACACAGTTATTTGGGAATTGTATAAGGAGCATAAGGAGTAAGATTAACTTTTGTCAGAGGAGTCAGGAAAAGCTTCAGAGGGAAAGAGGCATTTAAGGTTAACCAGGAAGGAAGAGAAGAGGAGGGTTCATCAGAAAGAGAAGGCCATTGGTAAAGGACATTTTGGGCAGAGGGAACAGAATGTGCAAAAGCACTGGGCTTATAAAAGGGATCAGAATGACAGGAATGTTGAGAGTATATGGGCCTGGTGGCAGCAGATAAATCTGAAGTGGTAAGCTGCCCCTGATTGTGAAGGGTCTTATGTGCTCAGCTAGGAACTTCGAACGTTATGTTCATTTAGTAAGAAATGGGCAGATAACTGGATTTCTTAAATAACGGGGAGTGATGTGAGCAGGATAGCTATCTTTCTTCCTATTTTATTATTATACAATAACAAAATGCCTTCTAGAAGCAGGATCTGCTCTTTTACACTCAGCTATGGAAACCTGGAGGCTGCTTTTAAAACATTTGACACAGTTAAATCCTTCTCTGACATCATGAGGCAGTTTAGGCCATTGCATGATTTGCAAGGTTGTAAAGTGATATTGTGATGAAGTACTATTTTCACAGTACTATTTAAATATAAACACTATACTTATCAAATTAAATGGCAGAATACTGAGTTGTGATACATATAAACCTTCTATATTAAAATAATTTATTTGATAATAATTTCAATGTATAGAAGTTGTGAGAATAATTCAGAGAATAACTGTAAACATGTTACCTCCATTAATGTATTTTTAACATTTTACACCATTTGCTTTACCACTTGATACATTTTTTTCTCTCTGCTCACACATACATACGCACTTATATATGCAAGCAATATTGTTTTTCCAAACCATTTTGGAATATTTTCTTACAAAACTACATACAGACAGCACAGCTGTCACCTTCAATAAATTTAACATTGGTAAAAACTTTTAACTAATCTGTTCATATTCCAGTTTTGTCAATTGATTGAATAATATTCTTCATGGGATTTTTTTTTTCCTTCACAGTAACAGGATCCATTCTAGATCCAGTTATGCATTTAGTTCTCAATGTCTCTTTATCCTCCTTTACTCCGGAGTACTTTGCAGACTTTCTTTATCTTTTATTACAACTGACATTTTAAAGAATAGCATGCCCACCTTTTTCTAATAGAACATTTCTTATTTGGGAATTTTCCTTATTTGAGTTTTTCTTTTTTTTTTTTTTTCTCATGATTAAATTCAGGCTGTGGATTCTCTGCCTGAATACTGTGTAAGTAATGTGTCCTTCTCAGGGTATCACATCTGGAGGCACACAAAATCCATTTGCTCCTTATTGGTAGTGTTAATTGTGATCATCACTCAGTCAAAGCGTTTTCCAATTCACTATGTAGTTACTCTTTTTTCTCTTGGAACTAATAAGCAATCCATGGGGAAACACTTTAAGACCATGACTATATCTTGCTCTTTATCAAAATTTCCCCCTAGACTTGGCATCTATTGATGGTTCATGACTGAATTATCTTTACTACAATGGCTGCAGAATAATTAAATAGCCTACATTTTAAAGTTTTTTGGTGTTTATATATACAGTCATCAGTCATCCCTTTGTATCTGTGAGAGGTTCATTCTAGGAACCTTGTGGATATCAAAATCCTAGGATGCTTAAGTCCCTTATATAAAATGGCATTTGGCTATTTTATATATTGCATATATATTTGCATGTAACATATGTATATTCACTTTAAATAATCTCTGGGTTACTTATAATACCTAATAGAATGCCTACACATAACTTCATTCACATGAATTCAATGTAGTACTCTGTACATGGCAAATTCAAGTTTTACTTTTTGGAACTTCATTGAACTTTTCTCCCCCAGATATTTTTTTTCTTTTTTTATACAGTGTTGCTCTGTCACCTAGGCTGGAGTGTAGTGGCATGTTTGTAACTTATTGCAACCTTGAACTTATGAGATCCACAGATCCTCCTACCTCAGCCTCCCAAGTAGGTGGGACTACAGGCACAAGCCACTGTGCCTCGTTAATTTTTATTTTTTTTTTGTAGAGACAGGGACTCACTTCATTGCCCTGGGTGGTCTCGAACTCCCGGGCTTAAGTGATCCTCCTGCTTTAGCCTCCCAAAGTGCTGACATTACAGTTGTGTGCCACCATGCCAGGATCCCTCAAATATTTTAAATCTATGGTTGGTTGAATCTATGGATGTCAAAGACCAACTGTATTCTAGTGTATATGTTTATTTAATGCTAATAAAACAACTCAAAAAAATCTTAAATTGTCAAACTTCTTATATTTAACATGATTTTTTTTTTCTGACAGAGTCCATAAAAATGGGATTTTATTGTAGGTACCACCTCTTCCATATTGAGAATCCGTTTTCCAGCTACTGGAGATGGCTTTCTTAATTTCTGCTTACTTTGAAAATGGCTCTTGGACAGGTTAGGTATATGCCCATTAGATCTCAACATTATCTATGGAGGGGACCACAGAGAATTTTATGTCTACAGTGGACAGTACACAAGGGAGCTCTAATTTATACAGAACTTCCTTAATCTTTTAGTTTCTGGCAAGAAAGACATTTGTTTTGACTTAAAGTTAAGGACTGTCATATGTTTTTTTGCAAAAAGAAAACACAGTCATGAATACTATGGTGAACTAACTCACTTGGCCTGCTTTGGTTCTCTTAACTGAAGTCCGTGCTCTAGTAATTTTCCTGAGTTTTAAGAGCCATTTTGGTGATTCTCTTAGGCTGTTTTATTTTAGAGATGGGGTCCCACTCTGTCACCCACGCTGGAGCACAGTGATGCAGTCTTAGCTCATTGCAACCTCAAACTTTCAGGCTCAGGTGATTCTCCTGCATCAGTCTCCCAAGTAGCTGGGAGTACAGGTGCACACCGCTACACGCAGCTAACTTAAAACAATTTTTTTTTTTTTTATAGACAGGGTCTGGCTATGTTGATAAGGTTGGTCTCAGACTCCTGACCTTAAGCCATCCTCCCACCTTGACCCCCTAAAGTGTTGGAATTACAGGCATCAGCCACTGTACTCAGTCTCTTAGGCTATTTTATTTTTTAAAAATTACAGGGATGTCAGAAATATTTGAAGGGATACAGAACATGGTCCCATTTCATTAGATATCTTCATATTATAACAACTTACATTGTTTGAGCTTTTAGTTTTCTGTTGTTTTTATTATTTTTTTCTTTCTTTCTGATCTGCTTTCAGTAGTCTTTACATGTTTGATTTCTGGGTAGTTTTGTGTTATTTAATAGCTGTGGCCTGTGCCCCTCACCTTGGCTGTCACTCTTATTGATAAGGCGGGGAAGAGGGAACACTGTAAATTATTTACTACAGGCCCACTACCATTGTTATAAAACAGATTCTCAATGATTTAGAGAAAAACTTACATTTCTTGGGAAATCTTCCATTACATTTTTATCATTTTATGTAAATGGCAGGGAAACCTCAATTTAAAACGAAACCTCTGTGTGTTGGGGGGACAGTCAAGTGTTGCTACTCATTTGAGGTTCATATTCTGACACATTCATTGAGTGCCTGCTTTGCATGGAGCATTGCTCTCCCCTACAGGGGGTAGGGTTTGTTACAGAGAGAATGATGGTGTGCTTCTTGCCTTAATCAAGTGGAACGTTTATCTTGCTTTTGTATTAAAATTTACCTGTATTGTAGTGGCGATGCTTAATTCAAGCCACAAGATGGTAGGGGCAGAGAGCCTATCTGTTTAAGGTAAGAGGTGAGGCCTAATTTAGAGAAGGGCGTTGGGAATGAAGAAGAGGCAGTAGATAAAGAGAAAATTTAGGGGAAGGCCTTGGCAAAATCTGCTTTGGCCGAGATGAAGGAAATGAAGGAATCTGGCATGGCCTGGAAGTGGTGCAGGTTTTGGCGGAAGATAAATTCAGCTATGTACATATCAAGTGTGAGGCGTTAGAGTGCAATATGAGTGGATGTAAATATCTATTTTCCCTGTGGAGCTAGCCAGCAAACATTTGGTCAGGAAGGATGGTGATAAGAAGAAAATAGGGATGAAGATGTAGACTTGAGAGCCGTCCTGTGTGTGTATGTGTCTATGTGTGTGTGTATTGTAGTGCAAGGTGTGGGAATGAAGGCTACTGTCTAGGAGGAAGAAGCATGTGGTAAGGCCTGAGGACAGGGACATCCAAGGACAGGGACACTCCATTGCTCAGCTCCAGTGGGTACTGATCACATTGTCTTTTGTGTGAACGGTATCCCCAGGATTTGTACAGAGGGGCAGATCTGCATGAAGTGAATGCAAACTTGAGAATCATTTAGATACATGAATGGTAAGTGAAAGGTACTGAGAAGAGATGTTCTGAGAGGTCAGTGGAAAATCATGCCAGTGCAGTGTTGCAGAAGCGAAGTCAAAGGGTTTTATGTTGTATTGTCAGATGCTGTAGAAGGGTCAAGGAGAATGAGGCCTGAAAGGAGGCCTTTGTGGTTTGCATTTATGAGATCAGTAATTAATCCTGAGAGAACTCTGACCATGGGATGTTTGGAATGGAAGCCAGATTGAAAGGGGTTAAGCAGGAAGAAGAAAGGTGGGAGGTGGCCTGAGGAGAGTAGCACTGAGACATGATTTTATCAGCTAGTTTCATGACATTGTAGAATATTTCTAGTGAAGGTAATCATATCAAAATGATTTTCCATTTTGGAGTTTGTTTTGAATTGTTGATAGTAATATTCTATAATTTTCCTCATATTTAGGAAAATTTCTCAATTTTCTATAATATTTTGGGAAATTAGTAAGATTCTCAAATTTGGTTTCCTGTTATATTAAATCTTATATTAATCTTAAATCTGATATTAGATCTTATATTTTACATAATATTATAGAAGCTGCTTGTGGTACAGTTGACCTTTATCACAAACCCATTCAACACAAGTTTGAACTGTGTGAGTCTATGTATACGCAGATTTTTTTTTCCAACCAAATGCAGATTGAAAATACAGCATATGGGGGTTCTGCAGGGCTGACTGCAGGAACTTGAGTGTATGAGGATTTTGGTATACTCAGGAGGTCCTAGAACTAATCCCCTCTTATAGTGAGGCATGATTGTATTCCCAGTATACATCTGTAAAACATAGCTATTATGAAAATGAATGATTTTTAAAAGGCTGTCTACAGTGAATTTCAGACTCCAGATACCTTGATCATTCCAATGAAACCGAAGTATTTTCTGATCTTGAATCAATATTTGTATAGTTGTGAAAGTTGCAGTTAGTAATGATGGCTTATGTTTTAAATGTTTAGATCATAGACTTGTGCTACGAAAATAAGAACTTTAAGGAAAAAACTGTTGTATTTGAATCCAGACAGTATTAAATAGGGAGTATACTCTATACAGTCATTACTGGTGTTGGGGCAGAAGGGATATGTATGAGAGGGAAAAGCTTTATTTAAAGGTTTTTATGATTTGCCAAAATATCATCTTATGGGTCGGGCATGGTGGCTCACGCCTGTAATCCCAGCACTTTGGGAGGCCGAGGTGGGTGGATCACGAGGTCAGAAGATTCAGACCAGCCTGGCCAACATGATGAAACCCTGTCTCTACTAAAATACAGAAAAAAATTAGCCAGGGGTGGTGGTACGTGCCTGTAGTCCCAGCTACTCAGGAGGCAGAGGCAGGGGAATCGCTTGAATCTGGGAGGCAGAGGTTGCAGTGAGCCGAGATCGTGCCACTGCACTCCAGCCTGGCGACAGAGCAAGACTCCATCTCCAAAAAAAAAAAAAAAAAAAAAAAAAATCATCTTATGGTAAATAAATCGTGATCTTTTTTTTCTTCCTGTATTGGTTAAAAGTTTGACTACTGGCTGGGCGCAGTAGCTCACCCCTGAAATCCCAGCACTTTGGGAGACCGAGGCAGGCAGATCACAAGGTCAGGAGATAGAGACCATCCTGGCTAATGCGGTGAAACACTGTCTCTACTAAAAATAAAAAAAATTAGCCGGGCGTGGTGGTGGGCGCCTGTAGTCCCAGCTACTCGGGAGGCTGAGGCAGGAGAATGGCCTGAACTCGGGAGGCGGAGCTTGCAGTGAGCCAAGATGGCACCACTGCACTCCAGCCTGGGCGACAGAGTGAGACTCCGTCTCAAAAAAAACAAAACAAAAAAACAAAAAAAACTTTGACTACTTCACCTACCCTCTTAATTCTTCATTAAAGAATGAGGCTTAATTAAGGCATAGCTTGTGTTGACATGGGTATAAAGTCAATGCTTAGTTTGCCTGAAGAAAGTTTCGGGTTTTCTTTTTTCTGTTTTTGTTTTTTTTCTTTTTTGGTCTTTCTTGGGACTGGGCTAAAACTGTAGTGGGTTTTTCTCCTTTCTGTTTTTTTGAACTACATTAGCCATTCACAGAACAGAAGCAAATAGCCATTTTTAAAATTCATGTCTTCAAATGTTAATTTGATGCTTTGAGGCATAAATGACCTTTCTAGCCAGCCCAGACTTGTCAAACAAAGGACTGATAGGAACAAGCTGCTGTTTGTTCTAATACAACAGGCTGTTTTTCATAGAGAATTTCAAAACAATTTTGCTTCCCTCTTCTCTAAAACATTAAATTAAACTTCGGCTTGTGCTAGGTTTGAATTTAGAAACAATTGTGTATACACAACCGTTAAATGGAATCCTGACCACCTGTGCAAAACGAACTGCAGGATTCAGCTTGTAAGCCAAGCCACAGAGTACGTAAGAGTGTTAAAAGAAAGAGAGAAAGAAGACCAAAAACAGTAGATGAGCAGAGTGAGGCATTGTTACATAGCTTCATCTTGTTATCCTTGCATATTAATTGAAACTGGTGAAATGAACTGAATCCGTGTTGTGGAATGACTACTGCACTGGGCACCAAACGATTTGGGTTTTCATCACAGCTTCACAGCTGGCTTATTAGCCTTGGGCCCCAATGCCCCATGTAATCTCCATGAGTTTCTTTATGTCAGATGGGAATCATATTGCCTATCCTGCCCCATGAACAACTGTTCAAGCCTGTTTGTTGTGAGGCACCTATGAGATAATATTCATTTGTCTTAATGATGATGTTGTTAACTTATTCCCAGTTTGTTCCAGATACTGTCTACTGACAGTGATCGTTCTTTTCTTGGTTATGATATAAGGAAGTAGATAAAAGATTTTAGTTTGGGTTTTTCATTGGGTTCTCATGTTCTAAAATAAATGACCAGGAATCAGGAAGCCAACAAAACAAAAAAAACAGTCCACCTGTAAATATTACATAACTCACACCTTCCATACCCTTACCCTCATATAATTTAATGTTCATTTATTTGCCTTGGTTTAGTACTCCATATAGAAGGAAAGAACACATGCTTTGTTTTGGTGGGTCGTTAAATTTTTTCTTCTTCGGAACATGAAAAAGGAAGGAAGGAAACTGTATTCATTTTTGTCTAAGCAAGGATAATGGCCTGTTAATGCAAATAAATGGAAAATATTCTCCATTATGTCTTGAAAATTTGTTTTTCTTAAGTTTTATTACAGAAAGTTTTAGTGCTATCAAAAAAGATTTATATGGAGTACGTTTGGCTTACTACCTTTCATTCCCCCTCTAAGCAAGACATAGAAAATTTCTATATTAATTTATATTTGGGGATTAGGTTTGTTTCTTAGGAGAAAAGGGATCATTTCAAAGTTTGATAGTGTCAAAGAAGAAGTTTCCTATTTACAAGAAGGCATGCGGTGTGGCATTTAATTGTGTGTGCATGTGTGTGTGTGTGAGATGTGTGTAGGAGCAAATAAATTAACTTTGGATCTGTAGTATATAATAGCTTAGCCTCTTGACCACAGAAATAAGATTGATTTATAGACTTAGTTGTTTTTTTTTTTTTTGAGACAGAGTTTTGCTCTTGTTGCCCAGGCTGGAGTGCAATGGCGTGATCTTGGCTCACCGCAACCTCCGCCTCCTGGGTTCAAGCAATTCTCTTGCCTCAGCCTCCCAGGTAGCTGGGATTACAGGCTTGTACCACCATGCCCGGCTAATTTTTTGTAGTTTTAGTGGAGACGGGGTTGCACCATGTTGGCCAGGCTGGTCTCAAACGCCCGACCTCAGGTGATCCACCTGCCTCGGCCTCCCAAAAGTGCTGGGATTACAGGCGTGAGCCACCGTGCCCAGCCTAGACCTAGTTTTTTAAAAAGTACATTTAATTATGTAAATATAAAGAAAACTTGACAAATTTTCAATATTGATAGAAATATATAGATCTTTTTTTCTGATACAAATATCAAACAAAAAATATAAATAAGCAATAAGAAGGAACAATTAATTGATGATCATTTACATAATCACATAACATGCATACATGGCCATGTCCATGTAAAATATCTGTATAATATATATGTATAATAAAAATATATGTATAATAGAAAAATATAATAAAAAATATATGTGTAATAAAAACATATAATAAAATATATGTATAAAATATATGTATTATATATACTATATATAACATCTATAAATATATGTATAATATATACTATATATAACATATATATAAATATATGTATTATATATACTATATATAACATATATAAATATATGTATAATATATATAAAAATATGTATAATACATATATACACATAGTAAAATATGTACATTTTACTATGGAAAACTTTTTAATACTACAGTTACTTAAAGTTTTTTTTATTTCAATAGTTTTTGGGGAACAGGTGGTTTTTGGTTACATGGAGAAGTTCTTTAGTGGTGATTTCTGAGATTTTGGTGTATCTGTCACCTGAGCAGTGTACACTGTACCCAATGTGTAGTCTTTTATCCCTCACCCCCCTTTCACCTTTCCCCCACGAGTCCTCAAAGTCCCTTATATCATTCTTATGCCTTCGCATCCTATAGTTTAGTTCCCACTTGTGAGAACATATGATATTTGGTTTTCCATTCCTGAGTCATTTCACTTAGAACAGTGGTGTTGAGCTCCATCTAAGCTGCTGCAAATACCATTATTTCGTTTCTTTTTATGGCTGAGTAGTATTCCATGGTGTCTATATACCACATTTTCTTCATCCACTTGTTGGTTGATGGGCATTTAGCTTGGTTCCATATTTTTGCAATTGCAAATGGTACTGCTATAACATGTGTGTGCAAGTGAATAGACTTAGTTTTTTTATGGGAGGGGTGGAGTGGAGGATGTGAAAAAAAGAAAATGTTTGTAAAATTAAAATTCTCATAAATTTCACAGGATGCTTTAAATTCTTTATCACAGTTACGAAACAAATACAGATCATTTTATAATTTATGATGAGCTGATAAGGTTTATGAAAATACAATATGCCCTTAAAATACATTTAACCTGTCTTTAAATGCTGTATTCCCTTGACACAATTTAACTCCTTGTGAAAAGACCCTTGTACTGGAAACCGAGAGATATAGTACCTGTGTTCTGGACAGAGTCTAACTACTGGCGAGTTGTATGACCTTGGGCAATTCACTTGACTTCTATGGACCTTCTGTCATTTGATAAATGATTGAAAATATGAAGATGTCTTAAATACTACTTAAAATCTTACTGTTTTTGTCTTTGGGGAGTACTAAAGGCAGTAATGGAATTTATTTTAAGTATATATTTAAAATATGATATTTGTTTTTCCCTTGAAGAGTTTTCATTTAGCCAAATGGATTGATTTAAAGTTTTTGACCACAGCTGCTAAAGAAATGTGTGCACAGCTACTGTTTTGGTAAACACAGACAAGTAACCAGATGGTAGTAATACTTTAAAAAGTTGGTCTATATGGGCTGGGAACCATCCAAATGGAATTTTTAGTGTTTCGCCTAGGTACTTTAGATTTAGTACACACTAAATGAGTTTGAGTGTGTTTTACTACTGCAGTGGCTAGAAAGAACAAATAGAGTATTATGTGGAATACAAATAATGCTTATTAAGCTTGCAGTTGATTCCTTCTGATAGATGTTCCAAATTGCTGTCAGACTATATTTACTTACTCATAAACAGATGTGGTTTTGCTTTAAATCAGGATAACTATTCCAAACTGAGTTATGCATATTTTAAACAACTGTTACGGATTACATTTTAAAATTATTGTTGATTAAGAAGCTGATTTATTATATTTTATAAGGTTCATTTTTGGTGGTAGTTTTAGATGACAGAGAGCTTAGATTTTTTTTTAATTTTTTGAAATCTGATTTAAGGTGGGATATCACCAGTTAAAAATTATTTTCTGGTCTGTAGTCAAGAATTGATATTTAAGATGAGCAATTTGTTATAATTTTAAAATTTTAGTCACTAGGCTGGGCGCAGTGGCTCACGCCTATAATCCCAGCACTTTGGGAGGCCAAGGCGAGCGGATCACCTGAAGTCGGGAGTTCAAGACCAGCCTGACCAACATGGAGAAACCCCGTCTCTACCAAAAATACAAAATTAGCCGGGCGTGGTGGTGCATGCCTGTAATCCCAGCTACCCGGGAGGCTGAGGCAGGAGAATTGCTTGAACCCAGGAGGCAGAAATTACAGTGAGCCGAGATTGCGCCATTGCACTTCAGCTTGGGCAATAAGAGCAAGACTCTGTCTAAAAAAAAAAAAAAAAAATGTAGTCACTAATTATCACTAAATGAGATGTTGGTAGCAGCTTGAACATCAGCTGGCCTGTGCTTTAACTGAACAATACAGTAGTAGTAATCTTAGTGTTAAATTTTACATATTGAAAGTATTAGAAAATATTTCCTTCACTTTAACTTAGTTTTTCCTCCTGGATGTGTTTTTTTAGTTTATTTCTTAAGATCTTTGCTAGGTAGGTGTCACACTGTTCATTAAATATACAGAACTTATATATCCTGCAGATCCTGACATTAGACTGTGAACTCACTTATTTATGGAAGCCCTATTCACTACCAGCTTTTCTGGTCTGATGATAGGTTCTGGCTACTTCCATGAATTTGTATGAGATTACTTACTTCTAGCATTCATGCTCACATGTTTTCACAACAAATACTTATTGAGTTGTTATTACTAAATATTAGGCAATGTGCTGGGGCAAATGGATGACCCTGGTCCTCAGAAGTGTACCTTCTAGTGGAAAGGTAAATGTTAAGTATCTGACAAATGTAAAACTGCAGCTGTGACAAAGTATCAGAAAGTAGAGCAAGATGGTTCTTGCTCCTCAGAAATAGAGCTAGTTCTGTTCATCAATATGAAAACAATGAAACTGGTCTGTCTTTCCAGGTTATAATGATTTTCAGCCTGAAATATTCTTGATGATTTTAATTATGTCGGCCTGCAGTCATTTCCACTGCCCATAATCTAATGTGTTTTGCCTGTTGACATGTTAAAGATGGGAGCCACTTAGAGCCATTCTTCGATCTTGCCCTTCCTACCTCCTCAAACTGAGAGTATGAGCATCTGCTTCAAGGCACACACGTTCCCAATTAGCTGGTGTAAAGTCACACTAAAACCAAGCAAAAAGGGTTCTGCAACATAAGGGAAAGGGAAGTGGAGGCACTAAGATTGCTTCGGCAGCCAAAGGATTCCTTGGGAACTTGTAAAAGGTAGAGTGGGGTGGGTGACAATGAACATGTACTTGTGGGTTTGTTTTCTGGGAATAGTGGAACCTAAACTTCTACATCTGAAAGGAAAATAGATTAACCTTTTTAAAGTTTATTACTGAATTTTTAGGCCTCGTGTTTTGGACATGTGAGTACAAGCCAGTGGTACAGTGCCAGTCATTTACTGCGGGCACCTGAGATTGCTACTGATCTACATCACATCAGCAAGCCAATAGTTGGCATTAGACTATGTAAAAAAACAAAATCCAGGCCGGGTGCGGTGGCTCACGCCTGTAGTCCTAGCACTTTGGGAAGCTGAGGTGGGCAGATTGCTTGAGCCCAGGACTTCAAGACCAGCCTGCGCAACATGGCAAAACCTGGTCTCTATAAAAAATACAAAAATTAGCTGAGCATGGTAGCGTGTGCCTTGGTCCCAGCTGCTTGAGAGGCTGAGGTGGGAGCTTGAGCCTGGGAGGTTGAGGCTGCAGTAAGCTGTGATCATGCCACTGCACTCTTGTCTGGTTGACAGAACCAGACCCTTTCTCCAAAAAAAAAAAAAAAAAAAAAAGAAATCCACTAGTTGACTCCTAGAACCATGAGTGTTCACTAACAAATGTAGATTTATAAAGCCAGAATAATCTTATTTATCTGAATGTCATTAATTACAGCAATAGTAACTATGGTTAGTAACTTACTAACTATAGTAAAGCAGTTCAAACTATTGTGCCAATATGACATTTTTAATTTTCTTAATTGTTTATTGTTAATCTAGTATCACTTAGGTTTGATTAGTGTAATATTGCCATTCAGGGTGTTCTTAAATACTGAACACTCTCAGTTTCCTGCTGAGTATGAAGGTTCATGAACAAAATCAATTATAATTTATATTATGAGGACCATATAACTTAAAGCTGGCTTAGCATATTATTTCTTTGCTATACATCCTATTCAGCTACACCTTCCCCCCATTCAGTAGCTCATTCAGTAACAAATATTGTCAGAGTTTACAGAAAAAAATTACATCTTTAATATGGAATGAATTGCTGATGAAAGATAGTCATGTTCGAAATATGACATTTAACATAAGTGTACAGATTTCCCAGTAAAAGAACAATTCCAGTATTATGGATTTACTAGCAGCTGTTGAAAATTTAACACCTCTTCTGCTTTCTTCCCCCACCTCATGACAACCTAATGTAAAACTATATTCAGGAGTAAGGAATCTAGAATATAAAGTAAATTGTATTAGTAATTGCAGGTCAGAAACTTATATTTAGTTATCAGACTCTGAGTCATGAGTTTTAGTATTCTGTGTGCTGTTCATGTGTGCCTTCTGTTACAGACAACACCAGGGAAGAGACCTAATAAAAAGTCTCATGTTCTTCAAAGAGAATAATTGAGAATAATGCTACTTAAGAGCACGTAATATCAGAGCAAACAGGCAATGAACAACATATAATTCTGTATATTATGCAGAGATATTAAATATACATATTAGTAAGGTAGCAGATGCTGTGGTGCTGAAATTGACATGTAAAATAGTACGCTTTCTCTGCAGGGCTCTGTTCCAGCCAGCACTCCTTTACATGTAATGAATAGTTAATTTTAGTCCTATGGTCCATAGGAGACTGATGGGGGACTGTGAGGAGGAAAGCATTCCAACTCCAAGAACAGCAGGTTGTGCTGAGATGTGCTTTTTAATGGAGAAACATTTTATAACTCTTGGGGGTAAATTTATAAAGACGGTTGTGCATGTGTTTTTGTATTTAAATTAAGGAATTATTAATACAGTTAGACAGCCAGGAGTCTGGCAGCTATATTGCAAAAGGGAAAAGCAGAATTTGTTGACTGGACTGAGCTCAGGAATATCTTGCACTTTTAAGAAAATTCCTATTAAACCTATCCTTTGTCCAAATGGAGCAATTCATCAGAAACAGACATTTGAGAATGTGTTTAGGTAGTTGAAATTTCAGGCTGACTTTTTAAAACTAACCTTTGGCTATATATAGGAAAAGGCAAATGACTTTTATTTTTCTGCCTCACATGGAAGTTCCCTTGCCATTTGAGATTTCCCTATGTTCATAATTCATTAATCCCATCTATCCAGGCAATATCTGGTGAGCATCTGTTATGTACCATTATGTTCTGGGAGCCAAAAATGAATAAAATCAATCTACACCCTCAAGCAGTTTGTAGTCTGCTGGAATGACAGACTTAAAAATGCTTATAACTAAAATATTTTATGTGCAGGACTAGGGTTTTTAAGCTAAAAGGCTGCTTTTTAAATTGTGAAATATAAAGTACATGTAGAACAATGCATAAAACATGTCAACAGTTAAACAGATAGTTATGGGATTATACTTTGTGTATTTTTATGTTTGCTTCTTTTATTCAACATTCTGTGGTTCATCTGTGTTGCTTGTAGCATCATCATTACTGTAGCATACTTTATTTGTTCTACTGTTGGTGGACATTACTGTTGCTTCCAGTTTTTGGCTATCATTAACAATGATGCTAAGAGTGTTCTTGATTATTTGTCTTGGTATGTTTGTGCACGCACCAATAATATATATCTAGGAATGGAATCGTTGGGTCATAGAGAATATACGTAGCTTTTAAGTTTACTAGATAAGTGATTTTCCAATTTAAAAAGACCTTTGAAACGTTTTTCTACATTGGTGGTTTTTAAAGTTATCTATTTTCTCATGGAATTTGGTTTTCTCATGAGAATAAGGTAGGAATGGTTGTATGTTGCTAATATGTAGTTCAAGTGCCCTTTCTACCTAATCTGGATTGCCAGGAATATGCTTGAAATGCCAAATCATGACTTAGTATTTTACTGTGGTAATTGGAGTAGTCTTTGACACATCAGGAAGTATGGGAATATGGGAAAGATCTTTGAGAGTGGAAACTATACCACAGTTTTGTTTAGTGCTAGGTAGGAAAGGTGAAAAAAAAAGCGCGAGAGTATATTAAGTATACAAAAAGCTTAGTGGTTTTAAAATGTTAAGCTCACATTTGGAAGTGTAATTCTATTTTAATCTCTTTCCTAATGGAGGAAGAAAGATGACTGATGTGGTAGGGTAATCTTGTTTGAAAAATTGACAACTCTGGCATACGGCCCAGATCTCTTTTCAGATTTTGTGTGAAAAAGAAAAATGGCAGCCTCTTAGTGCTATTCATTGGTGTAAAAAAAAAAAAAAAAAAAAAAGATATGGTTGAACCTAAGGGTGAAGTGCTAACTCTTCATATAGTAGGAGAGTAGATTAAAAGAGTTAGTGGATATTTCACATAATCAATGTCTCTTACCTTCCCAGACAGGAGAAAGAATGTCATGAGTATTAAAATAATTAGCAGAGCATTAAAGATACCAGGGACATTTAACTTACTTCTTGGCCTCCAAATTCATAAGAAATATGAAGGGTTAAATAAACCTTGCTTTTAAAAATACCTTTTCCCCACAGGTCTATGTGAGAACTGAATTTACAGGGTGCTTGGAGTTTCCTTTTGCTATTCAAAACATGTTAGAGCATGAATGTTTGGGGCGTTCAGGCCCTAAGCTATGTTGGTTGAGTGAAAGGGGAATTTTCTGTTCTATTCAACCAATTCAGGGAACATTTAATGCGTGCCAGCCATGTGCCTGGTCCTGGTAGGTACTGGGGACACAAAGATGAATAAAACAGCTTACAGTCCACTGGAACAGACAGGCATATAAACAATTCACTATAGTGTTGTGTGCTAAGGGCTATAATAGCGATCTGCAGAAAGTACTTTGGTCCACAAAAGAGACAACAAATACTTTTTTGTGTGTGGGGCTGATGAGGTTCTAGGTAACAGTGGCCTTTCGCTGTGTTGAGAAACAAACTTGAAATAGATCATACAGGTAACTAGGGACTTACAGAGAGAGGAGAAGGGGCATATTTGGCAGAGGAAATTGCATGAGCTAAGAGATTTATATTGTTCATCTAGATTAGAGATAATCTACATGAGATTATATTATGTATAAAAATTAAAATCTCCGGCAGTTTAGGCAGTGGGTCAAAGTTCGAAGTTGATAGACTTGATAGCTTTTCCTTTTTTTCTCTCAGCCAAGGATTGGTAATTAGGCAGACTCAACTTGAGCCTGTCCTGGATGTGAGGATAGCTTTATGGTTAGTCTCCGGCCAGTTCATCTCCCTTCCTTTAGAGCTACTTATTAAATGCTTAAATATAAATCATCTGTGTTTAGGAGTGATAAGGAAGAGCTTAATAAGCTCAATCTTTGCCTTATAGGGTGGTGGTTTTCAATCCTCCCCCTATATATTAAGCACAATTGCAAAAAATAAATGTATACATTTGAATATTACTATCAGAAATAAAATAATGGTGGACATAACCTTAAAAATTATCTAGTCTGTCTCCTGCATTCCTATATGTAGGAAATTAAGGCTTAATTGGTTAAATGACACAGCCCATCTTGTAGCCTAGGGCCAGGTACGGATGCGGAGTGTGCAAGGGTTCTGTGACTGCCCAGGCTTATTCCTGTAGTTAAGACTCAATTTCTATATGCCCATGGTTTGAGTATATCACAGGTTAGCCTTCTCACATTTACTGCAATTATGGTTTAGCGAACTTATCTGTTTGACTGAGTTAGAGGCAACATGGTATAGCAGAGTCCGATGAACTGCCACCTTACAGTGTTTGGTCTAGGTGCTGCTGCTGTCCACACAGAAAGCCTATCACTGAGACAGTAAGTATTACGAGGGAAGAAGACTTTATTTGGGTGCTGCTACTGAAGAGATAGGAGATCAGTCTCAAGTCCACCTTTCTGATGGACTAAAATTAAGGGTTTATGTAGCAGAGAAGAAATGTAACCATGTGTGGGAAAATAGGAATTAGCGAGGGGTAAGGAAGAGGAGTTGGTCAACAGAAAGCAGGTGGTCAGTTAGCCAATCATGGTGGGTGTGGGGTCTGATGTCTCATTATTCAGATGTGGTGATCTGGTTAAGTTTCAGTTCCTTGAGACTGTTTGGGAGGTCTGATGGTTGGTTTCTTGAGAAAGGAACTCAAGATAAGAAAATTTTAACTTTCTCAAGTTCTAAGACTGGGAGGGTCAATTTCTGTGTTTATTCAAAAGAAACTGTAAACGTCAGTTCTGTGGGACAGTTGGGCCAGTTTCGGTCCCACCCTTTTTATTGATCAATTCATCATTCATAGGGAATCTGTCTTGTCAGTCTTTCTGGCTGCTTCATGCTTAGGAGGGGTGTTTTGGGCAGCTCCATACCATGGATGAGGAATCAAAGTTTAATCTAATACATAGTTTTCTTCTGAAGCACAATCTTTCTCTCTCTAGTCCTTCACTTCTATCAAAGACAGATCACAGCAGGACCAACCTACCTGCAAAATAAGCTTCAGTCCCATATACTTGGCCTGATTAGTCATGTGAAATGCAACAAGAATCATTGTCTACACAGGCTCTCCTAAATTGGCTTTGCTGGAACCTATCACAAGGCCATTTCAGTCAAAGCCCTGGGAATATGACCAGTTCCTCCAACTGTGTCCTGTTGTGAAGGAAAACAGTTTCTCATTGAACTTATGCAAACAACCACATTACAGTGAATTAAGAATATTCACAAATAGTTTATGAATTCTGGAGAAATTAGGCAGAGGGAGAGAAATGTGCCTTAAATTCTATTTATAAGAGTATACTCTACTCCATTGTTTAAGGCTATAAAAAGCTCAAGAAAAAACGTTCTCCAGACTGAACAATCAGCAATGCTTCAAACAAACAAAACCCATTAAAAATTATTTCAGTCTTCCATTAGTTCAGTGCATGCAATCAGCTCCTACTCTGCTTCATACTAGGTTAGCAATCTTTATGAACACACCAGCCTTTCACTTAGTGTCCTGTAAGATTTCTCTCTAGTCCAATGGCACACTCTCCAAAGTTATCAGAAACCTGTATTCAAGAGTCTTTGTCATGAACTCCCCCAAAGAAGCAAGCACTGGACTGTGGCTGATTATAAGCCACTTTTTGAGAAGAAGCAAAGCAAAACAACAATTGTGGATGAGAAAGACCTTTGGAAAGCCATAAATACACAGTTGATAAGGAAATCTGGTTATTTCTGTGGCATACAACAATTTAGCATAATAATCATAATCATTATAACAACCTAAATGAAGACATACCAGAATTTCAGGAATCACATTCAATTCTGGAATACATACTCATAACACACCTATATAAATATAACCCAAAGAAAGTTAAACACCACTTCAGATTTGAAGTCCATCCTGTATAATTCTAACATAACAGATAAGCCTAGTACAGTTCTCTTGAAGTTCAGGGGACCCAATATCCAGAAAAAGTTAGATTGAGGTCAAAATGACTGAATTTAGAACTTGAAATCTTGCCTTTGGAAAAAGTTTGTCAAATGTCAGAGGTTTACACTTGATATCACAAAATAGGATCATTGGTGTCCATAAAATAGTCATTGATTTAGCTAAAATGATAAGAACATTTACTCTTTGACAGGTAGGAGACTCAGTTTCCCAAGCAATAAGATGTAATGAAGACAGCATGAGGCCAACCACATCTGCCTCTCCTTCCTACATTTTTTCCCTGCAGTTTACTTGAAAAGTAAACAAAAATCTTTTATTATCATTACATAAAAATTTTATTTGAAAGAGAAAACCAATTTTACCTTTGCATGGTACATTATTAATGTTAAAGTTAATTTTAATGAAACATAAATCTAATTTTAATCAGTTTGACTATAAGCTAAGACTTTTTAAAAAATTTTATTATTATTATACTTTAAGTTTTAGGGTACGTGTGCACAATGTGCAGGTTTGTTACATACGTATACGTGTGCCATGTTGGTGTGCTGTACCCATTAACTCGTCATTTAGCATTAGGTATATCTCCTAATGCTATCCCTCCCCCCTCCCCCCACCCCACAACAGTCCCCAGCATGTGATGTTCCCCTTCCTGTGTCCATGTGTTCTCATTGTTCAATTCCCACCTATGAGTGAGAACATGCAGTGTTTGGTTTTTTGTCCCTGCGATAGTTTGCTGAGAATGATGGTTTCCAGTTTCATCCATGTCCCTACAAAGGACATGAACTCATCATAATTTATGGCTGCATAGTATTCCATGGTGTATATGTGCCACATTTTCTTAATCCAGTCTATCGTTGTGGGACATTTAGGTTGGTTCCAAGTCTTTGCTATTGTGAATAGTGCTGCTATAAACATACGTGTGCGTGTGTCTTTATAGAAGCATGATTTATAATCCTTTGGGTATATACCCAGTAATGGGATTGCTGGGTCAAATGGTATTTCTAGTTCTAGATCCCTGAGAAATCGCCACACTGACTTCCACAATGGTTGAACTAGTTTACAGTCCCAAGGTAAGACTTTCATAAACCTTTTTTAATATTTTATAATTTTCTGTTAAAGAGCAGATCAGTGCTCCAAGAAAATCCTGTTATTCCGACATAGGGGCCTAGATGTTGGCCTTGCATCAGTGTGTTTTTGATATTAATGTTTAATTTATAGAAAAACTTTTTAAGTAACCTATTCCCTCAAAATCAGCCCTTACAATCTCAAGTACCCACCTCTTCTGTGATACTCCCTGGGCCTAGAGGGATTGAATAGCTTTAATTTTTTTGGCTGTGTGTCTCATGAGAGCAGTACTTTTTGTGTACTTCTCCCAGGTTTGAAGACGAGGCTTTGAGTAGTGTCAATATTCAAGATTTAGCAGGAGTGGGTACCTTTTTCGGACCTACGAGTCAAAGCCCTGTAACTTAACAGCATATGGATTAGTTAATAGGACATTTATTCTGCAGAAACCCTATCATTCTAACATGTCACAAATTAAAACACTGTGATTTGGTGTCTAGTAGTTGCTGCCTGCAGCATTTCAAACCACTGTATTAAAATAGTTTATGCAATACTCATTGCATATGTCTAATTGCTGGCATTCTAGTGACAGAATTGTGACCAAAAGCGTCAAAAATGTGATAGGTCCTGTGCCAAACTTATCAAAGTAAGACAATTAACTTTTCTCTCTGTCATTTAAAAAAAAGTTTAATGTAAATACCAGTCTTGGAAATTCAGTATGAAGATAAGTGAACCATACAACAAAACAAGGACAAAGAACAAGCAAACAATAATTTCTTTTCAGCTATAAAAAGAGCATCATCATACATCTCCAGGATTGGCTTCTAGATACAGTACTGACAACTATTTAGGTAACTTTCACCATTAGAATCCTCAAATCAGTGCAACATTTGTATATATTTTGTTATAAAGTGTACACCTGGAGTCCCAACAGTGATAAAACGCTTGGGATAAAAAAATCATTGGAAAGTACAAAGTCTCACATTTTTATTGCTACTTAATCCAAGTGAATGTTACTTAATTTTGATAATGGTGAACACAACTAAAGTTTGAAAGCAAATGACAAATTGTTGGAAATGCAGAGGAAACAAAATGACTATTTATAGAACCAAATACAATCCTTCCATTAGAAATTGAAAAACATCATTGGTTTCATACATGTGTGTATGTGTAAGTAAAACCCAAAGAACAAACAGCAGGTAAATGAAAATTGAAAGCAAAAGTAAATAGAAAATGAACCCCAAATTTTTTCTCATACTCAAGGTAAAAAATACTTTACCTTGGGGGTGACAGTGTTATCCAGAGCCTAGAAACACAAATGATGGATATTTTGTTCCTGGTATGCAAATTAATGTATTTAAATCCACCAGTAACACTATACATTTTGTGCAATTAAGGCATTGACTTAAGGTACATGACCAGTAAGTACTTTAGTGCTAGTACTATCTATGCAGAATAGCAAACGTAGTATGAAACAAAGCAATGCAAACATTTATCACATTTACATGTACTCTTGTCGCCAGGCTGAGTGGCATGATCTTGGCTCACTGCAACCTCCACCTCCCGGGTTCAAGTGATTCTCCTGCCTCAGCCTCCTGAGAAGCTGGGACTACAGACGCTCCACCACTCCCAGCTAATTTTTGTATTTTTAGTAGAGACGGGGTTTCACCATGTTGGCCAGGATGGCCTCAATCTCCTGACCTCATGATCCACCTACTTCAGCCTCCCACAGTACCTTCATTTTTAAAAACAGTTTATGTAGACTACTTCTGAAAACTGAGGTATTAGACAAAGCTAGTCATCAGTTCCTTGCTAACTACTTTGTGATCTGTGAATATCAGATGTTCACCTAAGTAAGAATGTTAAAATTAAATACATTGGGCATTTTCATCAATAACTCAGAAAATTCAGGCATTTTCATTAAACCAACAACATTAAATTAATCTTATTTATCAACAAAATCACACAAAGATCATTTTGATTTTGGCTGGGTTTATAGTTTTATAACCTTCTGTGCCAAACCCCAGCACCTCAAAATATCTAGCAGAGACAAATATAAAACCCAGACAAAAATATATACTAACAATTCTGAAGACATTTCTGTTTTTATCTTACAAAAATTTTAAAGCCAGTTCATTTATTAAAGATTTACTTAAGTCACATGAACTTGGAAAATGCTTGGATGTATTTACTTAATTTATGAGTGCTCTTTTATTTATAAGCCAATTTGGTAGACAAAACATAATAACATAAATGTACATACACATAAACACTTCTAAACATGTACACGCACACACACACATGCACACAGAAAGATCCAATAGCTTTTACTTCAGAACCCTAGCCATGCAATAGCAATACCAACTCACTGGTCTACACACATGTTCAAATGGCTAAACCTCATTTGCACTGATAGGTAATCCTGTGAAGGCTATAAACCAAAATTTTGGGTAAAGCTGTTTCCATAGGTGTTTGATTTTTAAAGGCCAAACCCCCTCAGACTCCAAAGAATTCTGGGGCCAAACACAGCACAGAAGAACATCATGTACTAAGCAGGCCCAACCCTGCTTAGAACAGCAGCGTGAAAGCCTGGATACATGGAACTCCATCCTGCTTTCCTGTTCAACAGCAAAATGAGAAGTTAGGAGAGACCTAACTTATGCAGATTCCAAAGAATATTGGGGCCAAACAGTATTAAAAAAAAGTCAGTTTATCAAATTCTGATTTCCCATAACTGTATCAACACATATACAAACAATTACTGAAACACAATCCAACTGCACTGAAACACAATCCAACTGCTGCAGCAACAGACAAGCCCCAAAAGTGTCCAAACTGAAACAGAAAGGTTGCTTTCCTCTCTCAGTCAGTTGGGCTTGTTCAACCTGCAAACAGAAATTCCTTCAGAATTTCTTAGAGGAGCAAATCCAGCTGCTGGTATCCACAAAGGACACTCACTCATCTGAACATAGATGTCAGATTTCAAAGGCTGTTTTTTTCTAGGCAGTCAGGCAGCAGCGTGGCCAAAGAGAGAGACGAAAACCCACCTCCAGCCAAAAAAGGGTCAGGCAGTTTCTTAGGAGGGCTTCTAAGAATTCTCCTGGCTTGCAGCAGCTGACCGGCAAGCAATGTGTTCAGGTCAGGGAATCAAAATCTGTTACTGACATGCTAGAGGTTTGTTTTAGGTCTTGCAAGTAGCTGCACAGAAAGCCAATCACTGAGACAGTGAGTATTGCCAGGGAATAAGGTTTTACTCAGGTGCTGCAGCTAAGGAGATGGGGGAGATCAGTCTCAAATCTATCTCCCTGATGGACTAAAATTAAGGGTTTATATAGCAGGGAAGAAATGTAACCATGTGTGCTAAAATAGGAATTAGGGAGGAGTAAAGAGAAGTTGGTCAGCAGGAAGCAGGTGGTCAGTTAGGCAATTGTGATGGGTGAGGGGTCTGGTGTCTCATTATCCAGATATGGTATCTGGTAATTATAGTTCATTTGAGACTTTCTGGGAGACCTGATGGTTTCTTGAGAAAGGAACTCAGATAAGACAGTTTTAACTTTCTCAAGTTTTAAGACTGGGAGGATCAATTTCTGTGTTTATTCAAAAGAAACCATAAACATCAGTTCTATGTGACAATTGGGCCAGTTTCCATAGTGCATTAGCATCATAGCCTCTCTGAGTTTCCTATTTTCCAAAGGGGGAAAATAATACGTATTTTATTGAGTTGTAAAACTATCAATTGTGAAAAGCACTTAACATAGTACATGACTCTTGTCACTTTCTTCTTTATATATTTGGATTTGTGGGTCAAGTGAGATCATAAAAATCACTTTTCAGAATATCACGTTCTATACAATTGAACATAGGCCTATATTAAATTAGTTTCCTTCTCATTCATTATTTCATTTTCTTCCCTGTAACTGGTTTGTTGAATAACAATGCTACTTCATTAAAATGTTTTGCAAACTTAATTTTTCTTTTTATCAAATACTGTAGTTTTCTAGTAAATGAGATAATGTATATAAATATATACATGTTCTGTTTGGGGGAGGAGGGTAGATGATAATGGTGTTGCTGTGCATTCTGAAAGGATTTGCAACCTGAGAGAGACAGACTGGTTCTGATCTGATACACTTAGTGTCAGTACAATAAACACACTGAACCAAGAAATATATGGGGGTATGATAAGAATATGTATTTGCTATGCAGAAGACAAAAGCATGTTTTAGGAATGAAGAGAAAGGATAAGGCCATAGATGGGAGTGGAAGTTAAGACTAGCCTTGACTAGAAATACTGAAGTAGTCTGAAAAAAATCACAGTTGCAGTAGGAATAGAGAGTAATAGGTATATGTAGGATATTTTGACATTTTTAGTTGTAATGCTGCCTGCAAGGAGAACCTGCTGGCAAACCTCACAAAATTGTAGCACTGTTGCCCTGGTAGTCCTTGTAACCAAAGCATCTCCGTTCCCACTTTAAAGCCCTTTGGCCATCCTATACAATTCCTGTTGGGCATTTACACCTAAGAATGTTGACTCCTGGTAAGTGTTTTGTATAGTCCTGGGTTCATCCTAATGATAGAATAGAGCAGTAATTTAGAAAGTACCTACACCAGTAGGATGCCCACTATTTTATAATTACATTGGTTTCTCATACTATTTCTCTGAAGCTGGGAAAACCATTTATTTTTGTTTGAGTTCTAGGCCCAATTTTTTGCTTAAAGAGGTCACACATTGACTTTCATGTTTAATATTACTGAAAGGTATGTAATGAAGCATTCTTTATTAGGCTTATAAAACTTTTTTAGCAATTTGTTTTTTAAATTTATTTCCAGAGTTTTAATATTTTTAAATTTATTGTTTAGGGATGGGGTCTTACCATGTTGCCCAGGCTGTCCTTGAACTCCTTGGCTCAAGCAGTCTTCCTGCCTCAGCGTCCTGAGTAGCTGAGATTGCAGATGCACGCTATTGTACCCAGAAATACTTTTTTATTTAATTGTTAACAGCCTAGGTTTGAATAAGGCCATATGTACCACTTCACAATTCTCTGGTAAAATTATATCAGTCTGCACCTCAAAAGGTATTTGGTAGTTTGGTTCTACTGAGATTTTGTTGTCATAGTTCCAGAAGTCACATGCCCGGCAAAACTGGGGTTGACAGTATACTGTAAGACTGACTGTACAAAGCTTGATGGGGCACCCATTCCATCACTTTATGCTCTTTTCCCCTCTCCTTGTAAGGGTGGGTACTTTAGGACAGGAACAAGGAGAAGCAAATGGGAAGGCACTCTGAGTGAAACACCTGTTCCCAGTTGATCTCCAGGTGTGACCAGGCAGTAAGCTAATAAGGAAGGATGACTGAATGTATGAATAATCAGTCACCTCACTGCCAGCTTAACCAGAAAGACACAGAGATGGGTTGGGGCATTGAACAGTTTTGGACTGACCCTGCTGAATACAGTATTTCAGTGGAATGAAAGAATAGTTTCCTTTTTAGGAAAATTACGTGTTCCAAATTGATATATCCCTGTCACCACCTCTCAACCTCTTCTTAGAAATTCAATATAATAACAGTCCAGGAGCCTCTTGAGCCTTTCAACATCCTCAGCCCGCTTTTTCCATCCTGCCTTTCTTTCTGCCCTTCTTGGATAATCTTTCCCACTCATTTTTCCCCTCCAACAATCTGGCAGTAGTAGGAAAGGTAGGAAGAAGAATGGTGATTTGTTCAAATTCTTCTTTGCCCCACACATGAAATGGGTACTGCTGAAGGCAGTGAAAAATAGATGGCTGTGGGTGGTTTGTTAGTGACTCATCAGTCTTTCCATTCTGCTGGGAAAGGGAAGGGCTGGGACCAGATGGGAATGCATTCCAGAGACTCTTGCTTTAAATGATTTCTCATTTATGTGATTTATTTAAAAATAAATAATTGCTAGGCCAAGTAAGGGCCACAAAAAAGTATACACTTCATTGAATTGCCACATTGCCACATTTTTCCTAGAGTGGGTTAATAAAGCCTTCTGATAGGGTAGCCACTGGTGGGGATTTTTTTTAAATCATTTCCTGGTGGTGAATTTATGATTATACTTCACTGTACTATGAATGCTTGATCTACATAATCAAGATTAGTATTATTGTTACTAAATACAGGACTCCAAATTTGTGAGTAGTATACAAGACAAATACCACTCTTACCCTCATGAAATAATAAACAATGATTTATGAAGGTAAAGCTTGTGGCAGGGATAAGCCCGTGCTCAATGGAGAAATAAATAAGTGAGTATAGGGAAGAGGAACCCCAGGAACATTTGCCATGGTCATTTTGGGAATACTTGAGTAGTCAAGTGTATTTCTTAGAGCTATCTGTAATTTTTCTTTATTAAATTGAGGTTTGTTTATTTATTTAAGGATAATGTGGTTCCAAGAAGTCTGTTTCCAAGGTCTGTAGTTTGAAGCTCCTTTTACCTTAAAAGTATGTCCTGAACCCTGAAGACTGACCATCTGGCTAGTGTGGTTGTTGTCATTGTGATCAATAAAGACAGCTTTGATTTATGAGCAATTTATCCTGCTTACAACTGCACAGAAGAGGCAGTGGTTCATATTTTGGCTCCTGTTCAGCTGGGGGAACTTGAGCTCCCTTAGTTCTTTCAGAAAGCCTGGCTAGGAAGCTGGCATCATGGCAGGAATGTTTTAGTTAGCTTCAGGAAGTCAGGATACCAATGTCAGAGTAATTCAACTGACAGAATAACTACTTTTTATTTTTTTAATCCAAATTATGCTTTAAATTATGATCCTATTTAAGTATATTATTTAAAAGTTAAAAATGTTATTTAAACATTTCTAAATTTTGAGGGCTTTTTATGAATAACTTGGGGCTTTTGAAGACAGATGCATAAGATACTTCAAAATCAGAAGACATTTTTACTTGGAGTACTAAGTTAACATTGGTCCTGTAAGGGAGGCAAGAGTATTCATGATTATTTGAGGCAGCTCAAATGGGTTTCTCTTTTTTATCTTTCCCAGCATAGACAAACTTCTTGTTTTTGTGAAGGGAAAATACTTTACCCCAGAATGGCAATAAAGATAGAGGAAAGGTTCTTTCTTTTAAATGGAGAAGGCAGATTTCTCATTAGACTTCATTAATTAGTGAAGCTTGTTTTACCCTATAGATTCTGAATGGGTGTAATACTTTCTGCATTGGTTTTTAGAAATTGCTATTTTCTAGATTCATTCAAGAAAGATGAATGTAACCTTCTAAGTTTGGAATTTATAGAGATGGAAAAAATTTTAGCACCTAATAAATTGTTTATTTGTCAGGATGTGCTATAAGTTAAAAGGTGAACTTCTTCCTTTACCCTTTTAGTAGTTACAAATATATATGTAGTATATATTAAAGAATATGTAAGTATGTATGAGTTATAAAACAAAACAATACAAGGAACACTTAGTACCCGCTACTCAACCTTAACAATGTAAGGTTACTGGTACTCTTGGAGCCTTTTGTGTGCCTCTCTCAGATACCTTTACTTCATTTCCCATTTCCCACCCACTGCAGAAATTATCCTGAGCTTTGAGTCAATCATTTTCTTGCTGTTTTAAGGAAAATAATTTCCCACTGAGTGTCCTGTTCCTTTATATACTGTAACCTCCTACTTTTTTCTAGTTTTTCCCCTTAAAAATACTATATTCTGAGATTCATCAAAAGGTTGTGTTTATAGTTCATTCCTATTCATAGCTATATAGTATTCTATATGAATATATTACAGCTTATTGAATCTGCTGCTGGTGGATATTTGGGTTACCAGCTTTTTATTACAAAAATGTTATGAACATTATTTTGCATGTCTCTTGGTGCACGTGTGCAAGTATTTCCCTAGGGTCCTCCTGCCCGTTCTCATGGTATGAAAAAATTCTCTTAATCATTAAATAAAAATATTAGGAATATACTTTAAGTGACCCTGCAGATGTTTGTGGCTTAGATGTTTGTGACCTTTTTGCCACAACTAAGTAACCATATCAAGATTGTCTCTTTTTAAAACTTTGTATTTTGAAATAATTTCAGATTTATAGAAAAGTTGCAAAATAGCACAGAGAGTTCCCATATACTCTTTAACCAACCTCCCCTAATGTTAATATCTGCATTACCATTACCTTGGTACTTTCATCAAAACTAAGAAATAACCTTGGTACAATACCATTAAGTAAACTACAGACTTTATTCAGATTTCCCCAGCATTTCCACTAATATCCTTTTTCTCTTTGAGGATTTAGTCCAGGATACCATATTGTATTTACTCATCATGTTTCCTTAGTTTTCTCCAGTCTACAACAACTTATCTGTCTTTCCTTGTCTTTTATGACCTTGACACTTTTGAAGAGTACTGGTTAGATGCTTTGTAGAAGGACCCTCAATTTGAGTTGTCGATGCTTTTCTTATGATTAGATTGAGACTGTGTGATTTTTGCAGGAATACCACAGAAGTGATGGAGTGTACTTCTCATTGCATTGTATCAGGGAAGTACATGATAGCAACATGATATATTATTGGCTATGCTAACCTTAATCACTGGCTCATTTAAGATGATATCTGCCAAGTTGCTTCACTTTAAAGTTACTATTTTTGCTTTCCATGCTTTTTTCTTTTTCCTTTTTTTAGTTTATTGTTTTTAATCGACATAAAATTGTATGTATTTTACTATGTACAACGTGCTATTTTGAAGTATTATATACATTGTGGGATGACTAAATCTAGCTACTTAACATATATATTACCTCATACAATTATCACTTTTGTGTTTTGTGGTGAGAACACTTTACGTCCACTCTCTCTCTCTTTTTTTTTTTTTTTGTGCCAGGGTCTTACTCTGTCACCTAGTTTGGGTTACAGCGGCGTGATCTTGGCTCACTGCAGCCTGGACCTCCTGGGCTCAAGTGATCCTCCACCTCAACCTCCCAAGTAGCTGTGACTACAGGCATGTGCCACCATGCCTAGCTAATTTTTGTATTTTTTTGTAGAGATGGGGTTTTGCCATGTTGTCCAGGCTGGTCTCAAACTCCTGGGCTCAAGCAGTCCACTTGCCTTGACCTCCCAAAGTGCTGGGATTACAGGTGTAAGCCACCACACCCAGCCACTTTTACTCTCTTAGCATTTTTCAAGAATAACCATGCCTTTTTTTTTTTTAAATTATTATTAGAAGGGAGTCACCAAAGTCCAGTCCACACACTGGGAGGAGAGATTAAACTCCACCTACAGGAGGAGGAGTATCAAATAATTTGTATATATATGCTAAAATCACCACAGTTATTAATAAAATATTGGGGGGGGGAAGATACTTTGAGGCTATGCAGATATTCTGTTTTTCTTTAAAGCTTCACCCACTAATTTTATCATTCATCAGTGAATCTTCTTTGCAGCATTATTACTATGTTATTCTAATGATTAGTTTTATTTCCCTCATTCCTTCTACATTTATTAATTGAAATTCTTCTGTAAGGAAGTTGTGTCCCTTCCCCCATTTATTTATTCAATACTTTATTTATATCAGTATGGTCCATAAATGCTTATTTTATTCTTTGAGTTGTAATCTAACATTGTCACTATTGATTTTGTTGCTCAAATACCTGCAGCCTGTTTGTTGGCAGCTCTTTCAGATTGGGAGAGTTCCCTAAATTTTATTTTATTTTATTTTATTTTATTTTATTTTATTTTATTTTATTTTATTTTATTTTTGAGACGAGTCCTCACTCTTGCCTAGGCTGGAATTCAGTGGCACAATTATGGTTTACTGCAGCCTCAATCTCCTAGGCTCAAGCTATCCTCCTGCTTCAGCCTCCTAAGTAGCTGGGACCACTGGCACATGCCATCACACCCAACTAATTTTTAAATTTTTTGTAGAGATGGGGTCTCCTTATGTTTCCTAGGCTGTTCTTGAACTCCTGGGCTCAGGGCTCACGTGATCTTCCTGCCTTGTCCTCCCAAATTGCTCGGATTATAGGTATGAGCCACCGTGCCTATCCCTAAGTTTTTTTTTTTTTTTTTTTCTTTTCGAGATGGAGTCCCGCTCTGTTGCCCAAGCTGGAATGTGGAATGCAGTGGCGCGATCTTGGCTCACTGCAACCTCTGCCTCCCAGGTTCAAGCAATTGTCCTGCCTCAGCCTCCCAAGTATCTGGGACTAGAGGCATGCACTACCACACCTGGCTAATTTTTTTGTATTTTTAGTAGAGATAGGGTTTCACCATGTTGGTCAGGCTGGTCTCAAACTCCTGACCTGAAATGATCCACCCACCTCGGCCTCCCAAAGTGCTGGGATTACAGGCGTGAGCCACTGCCCCCAGTGAAGGTTTTTTTTTTTTTTTGCACCTCCTTTCTGGCACCATCACATTCTCCAGCTTCATCTTGTAGATTCTTTGTCCCAGTCCTAGAATCAGGCATTCCTTTAAGGAGCTTTGGTTCCCTTTCTTGGGGAGTAGTATTGAGAAACCAAGATCTGGGTGTGTCTTTTTTAAAAAATAGGTATTTGTCTTGGGGAAAAAAATAGCTTTCCTGTGTTAGATTTAAATAGTTTATCCTCAAAGTCATTTTATTTTTGAGAGAAAAGTAATTTATAAAAAAAATAGTTTTCTTCCTTGTTAATATTAGCAGTAGTAATTAAAGATGTTACTACATCATATATTTCTAGTAATAAGTAATTTTAGAATTTTCCTTTTCTAGTTCATGGCACTTTTGTGGAAAACTTGAAAAAGTCCATTCATTTCCTCTAATGATTATTTTCTATGTGGGGTGCAATTGAGAACAATGAAACAAGGACAAAGGAAGGGCCTGTGATGCTGCTGAGCAAAATTCACCAATATCCCCGCACTGAAGCTTAAGCCTGAACTCAGAAGAAAATCTCCGACTTGTACTCGGACCTCATTTACTCTTATTTACACAAAACTCCAAAAACAGTGGTTATCTGGTTTCCAAACTCCTGGAAGATTTAAACCAGCATTTTAGAAGAACCAGAAGGATGCATCTATTAAGTAAGATGTCAGCAATGAGAAGGGGCACCTGACTTCCGCAAGGAAGGAGAGAGGGAGCAGACGGAGCACTTGGCTAGCGGGGCAGTGCAGATCTCTATAGCTAAAGGACTGGTAGCCCAGCTTAGTGAGGCAGTGAGGGCAATACTGGGAGCACCTAGTACAGTAAATTTGTTCATAATGATAACTTTGTGTCATTAAGCAAGTGTTAAGTTAGATTCCCCGCCCCGGCCTTCTCCTCCACCCCCGCCTTCTCTCCCCCCGCCCCCGCCCCCACTGTTAACACTGTTAAGGAAGCTAGGGAAGTGTTGATAAGTTTTCAAAAGACTTTCATCACCTGGTAAAATGAAAATGCTGGTTTCAAGAATAAACCTTTCCTCAGTTATTCAGGCTGAACCTTTTATTCTTTAGAATTATCGAGAGGTGAAGTTTTTGCCTATTTAGTACTACTGTCTGTAAAGTCACAGTCTTGAAAATCGGATCCTCATTTAATCTGATTATGCCAGCATAGTCTTCCCTTAAGGTATCAATCTTTTATTTCTGATTTTCTCCCTTAAAATTATATCATTATAGGGCTGTCATTGTTACACCAGGAGAGTTCAATTTCACAGAAAGATTTTATATATTGGAGGCCTTCTCAAAAAGAATATGAATATAGTTTTCATATATTTATTTAGAAAAAATCTGAAACCAAATTTGTTTTAGGAGAATCATCAAAGGGAATTAAGTGGGATTTCTTAGTTTTTAAGATAATATTTTAAGGCTAATACTTCTCAAATCTGGCTAGATTTTTTACTTTCTTGGTTAACAAAATGCTGAATTTTGATATATAAAAAAGTATGTAAATGTAGACTTGTCCTCCTAATAGACCGGCAGAGGTGACCCCACCAAGGAAAAAAAAAGAAAACAAAAACCTTATTCTTAGAGTAACTGCAGATGTCCCCAGCTAGTTTATAAGTGGTCCAGGTAGCGTTTACAGTTGCTGGGGAATACAGCTGCCACAAGAAATGATTCTCTTAGCCTTTCAAATGAATTTCTCCTGCTGTGCATATGTATATAAAGGTAACTTTGATAGCAGAGTGAAGGATAAGGGAAAGAGGCAAGGTACAAATGTGTTCAGTAGAGGTTGAAAGTGTGGAAAGAATTTGAAAGAATAAATGTTAGGAGGAGAGAGAAGTGAAAGAGAACCAGTTAGACCAGTAGTAAGATACAGCTGTAGCTATCATTTATTGTATCTTTTCTTCTATCATATTTTACAGTACTAACATTTATAGGTTTCTGAAGCAGGGAAATCAATTTCTGTTGAAGATTAAACCTTATCCAATTTCTTTTTTTTTTTTCTTTTTTTTATTATTATTATACTTTAAGTTTTAGGGTACATGTGCACATTGTGCAGGTTAGTTACATATGTATACATGTGCCATGCTGGTGCGCTGCACCCACTAACTCGTCATCTAGCATTAGGTATATCTCCCAATGCTATCCCTCCCCCATCCCCCGACCCCACCACAGTCCCCAGAGTGTGATATTCCCCTTCCTGTGTCCATGTGATCTCATTGTTCATTTCCCACCTATGAGTGAGAATATGCGGTGTTTGTAAACCTTATCCAATTTCTGATTACCTGTCTACTTTAGAGAAAAGAAGCAAATTCATTTTAACCTCAAGTAGCAGGGTTCGTACTGTGCCAAAGAAATTAGTTTGAATTATTATGAAACGTTTGATGAGCTGATGTGTTCGATTTATACATGAATAGCCATTTCCCTTTTCCTCAAAATTCTGGAGCCTGAAAACTAGCCATATATTTCAGTTCTCAGGCAGTTTTCATTTTGTTGTTTTTGTTTTTATTGAGGAATTTTCCTTGACTGTATATCCAATATATTTATATTTTAGGCAAGTAAAGTATCCTTTGTAAACATAACAATTGTGATTGACTAAATAAGTGGCCCCTCTATCTTTTTTTTTATTTTTATTTTTTGAGACAGAGTTTCACTCTTGTTGCCCAGGCTGGAGTGCACTGGCGTGATCTCGGCTCACTACATCCTCTGCCTCCCAGGTTCAAGCAATTCTCCTGCCTTAGCCTCCTGAGTAGCTGGGATTACAGGCACCTGCCTCTATGCCTGGCCAATTTTTTGTATTTTTAGTAGAGATGGGGTTTCACCATGTTGGCCAAGCTGGTCTCGAACTTCTGACCTCAGGTGATCCACAAGCCTCGGCCTCCTAAAGTGCTGGGATTACAGGTGTGAGCCGCTGCACCCAGCCCCATATATCTTTTGACTAGTATCTGATGATACTGAAGTACTGTGTTTTTGTCTGCATTTAATCTGTATGTTATTTTAGTTTTATAATGAAATAGGGCAATAATCAGTCATTGAATCATATATATTATGCCAGTTATTTCTCAAATTTCCCCCTCTTTAATTGCCATTAAAAATCTCTTCTAGAATTATTCTTGTTTTATCATTTGATGCCCCATATTATGTGGACTATATTTAAATCATCACCTATTCTCAAGAATGGATAATAATATAGTCTCTTTGAGGTTGGATACATATATTTGCCTCTGAGTATGTAGATGCTTGGATAAGTATTCTAGTTACCTCTAAATGACTTGAAATATACCAAAAATACATTTTTAATTACAATAAAATTCTTAAAAAGCATCCTCAAAAGTATTTATTATAAACCAAAGAAAAAAATAACGAGGCAAAAGTCTAGGTTTTCACCATGCATTTTGACTATGAGTATATATATTTTGGCTGCTTTTGACTTACTTAGAATCTAAAAATTTTACAGTTTGAGAATCTATGAGGAGATCTGCAAGAATGCCCTTAACCTAAATAAATGAGTAGATAACAGAGATCCTAAACTTTGAAATACTCTACATAATTTTGTGCATATTTGGAGGGGAACATCTGTTGCCCTTTTTCAGATTCTCTAGTGATCTACGCTCCCTCCCAACCTTCTGAAAAAGAAGGTAAGAGACCACTGATCTAGTCCTTCAGCTTTCTTTTTCAGGTATACAGATGAGACCAGGCTGGACGCCGTGGCTCATGCCTGTAATCCCAGCACTTTGGGAGGCTGAGGCAGGTGGATCACTTGAGGTCAGGAGTTGGAGACCAGCCTGGACAACATGGAGAAACCCCGTCTCTACTAAAACTACAAAAATTAGCTGGGCATGGTGGCAGGCACTTGTGGTCCCAGCTACTCGGGAGGCTGAGGCAGGAGAATCACTTGAACCCATGAGGCGGGGGCTACAGTGAGCCGAGATCATGCCACTGCCCTTCAGCCTGGGCAACAGAGCGAGATTCCTTCTCAAAAAAAAAAAAGAAAAAAAAAAAAGGAGGCCAAAGACTCGAGGTAAACAGCTAATTGGTAGCAGAGCTGGGATTAAAACTCAAGTCTCTTTCCCAGGTCAGTTCTAATTCCATTTATACTACCATTCCTCAGACACATATTTGATTCTGAAGCCTAAGCCACTATGTACATAATTGCTACTTAATTAGCACTCTTTCACATTTGAAACCATTTGGGTTTACATTTCTTGTTAAAAAAGAACAGAAGTCAAAAATTTGGCAGTGATTCATAGTTATCTGTTGTAAAATTTATTTTAAATCCTAAAGTTTAGCAACATAAGATAATCATTTTTCATAAATAGCTTTATTTAACAGTTATTTGATATTGAAAGGAAAATTGTAGTTAGATCCCTGGGCCAGTAGCTGATTTTTTTTCTGACTTTTTTCTATAGTGTTGTTATCAGTATCCAACAAACATGCTCTTTTGGGCTAATAAAATGGAATATATCTGTTCCTTTATATTATAGATGCTTTGCTTTCAGAAGAAGTAAGTAAAAACACATTTCTATTTGTGTATAGTAGTATAGTGTATAGTATTAGTGGAATTTTTATGAGATTTTTGCAAAAGTCACACTTTAATCAAGGATATTATCTACAATAAGAGTTTAGTTCTTAGTCACAACTCTTTCATATATGCATCATGGGCAAGATACATAGATCGTTTGCTTTCAGACTTTGCTATCTTGAAGCTTCTCACAATAGAACTCTCTGGTAGAGTATTCAGATTTCATTTAACCTTGTATTAAATAAAAGCTTTACATTTTTATTTATTCATTCACTCAATAAGTATTCATATGTCAGGCACTGTTCTAGGTACTTCTAAGTGCCACCAGATCTTAGCAGTCTTTTTTGCATATAGCCATGGATCTCTGTTGTTGTATTATAGAATAAACTCCAATGCAGTATTTTCATGTTAGACTCTTTCAGGTCCTCCCGCAAAGGGAATTTGAGCTTTGCCACTCAAATTTTAAGGATTTGGATATAAAATATTGTAAACACTTTCTCAGCCATGTGAGTCAAGAGTGTGTGGTATTCTGTTTACTCAAATATTAATAGATATTTCTGGTTGAGAGTATGCCAGATGAAGTTTTGACTGTGCTGCAAATAACAACAGCATTGGTGTATTTTCTTTTGTCTGGCATTATAAGAAGGTTGACTTTCAACGATGTTTACCTTTTCCATTAAATACTTGTTCTTTGGTTCTTTCATAGTGGATGAGGGATATTGATGATGTGGCATCTCCAGCCTTTCAGCCATACATGTCCAGGTAGTCTTGAACTCCTGGAGAAAAATCACAAAATCCTTTCAGTTGGCTCATGCTGATTGATGATTCTAAACTCAGTTGAGCCCATAGTTCTGTTTATCAGCTCTACTGCTTATACTGAATTATGGTTTGTTTTTTTTTAATATCTTACAGCAGTTATTGTAGACCTTTTACTAGTAAATAGAGCTCATTAGGTGTCCTGTTACTGTATGAGTTCTTACAGCGGTTACCATTTTCATGTGCTTTTGAATCTTCAAAAGGTGGTGAAACTTAATCCAAACTTGTAAGACCTTGGGAACCCTTCCCTCTTCTGTTAACATACATAGAACATGGCTTCGGAAATGGGGTCTGTACTGTAGTTTCTCTTCTTTCTAAAATTTACATTGTATTAGATATTATCTCTTCTTATTTCCAAATCCAACTTAATCTGTCTTGTTAACTCAAATTGTCCAATAATGCAGTGACTTCTCAGAACTGGAACCCTGTGTTATTCATGGATGCCTCCCGGGAGACTTGTATATTTCCTGTTACAAAGTAGGGGATTAAGGAAGTGGTTGTTGAGTATCATAATATATAATGTTCATAATATATAATAGATAATAAGAGAAAGAATACATCCTTTTATGTAGCAGACAGACAAGATGATCCATAGGTTTCATTCCGTTTTTTAATGGGTTTTATTTTATGTTTCTATATTATTTATTCTATATTTTTATATATTTTGCATAGATAAACCCTACCTATATTTATGTATTTTGAGATTTCTTTATACAGCTGGAAATTTTGCCAGCTGTATAGAACACAACAAAAAGATATAATGCCCTAAGAATCTCACTTTCAGGCAGATGAGTAAAAATTATGTTGGTAAAAATTAAACACTTACTTGCTTTTGTATTTAATTTTGGAGTTTTTAAAAAATTTCCCCCCAAATGCCAGTGACACAAATGTGACTGCAGCTATTGTCATATTTATCCTTTCTCTCTCCCCTTCCCTGAGCCAAAGCCACCAGGTCATTTGAGATGACCATTGATTCAACCCTGTAGTAGCCAGGCAAGGTCAAAAGTCTTATGCTATATAAGTGAGTATAGCAACTACCACCCCATATCTTGTCATGGTTGGCTCTCTATTACTGCTGCCTCCCTCCATAATTTTTTAGAAATCATTCATTATCTATTTCCCTTATTTAATAAGTGAGAGAAAAAGAGGGAACAAGAAATAGATATTAAATAACTTGCCAGTGGGGCTAGAATTACATAATGGCTGAAATTAGAATCAAGAGTCCCAGTCTCTCTGCCTTGTCTTACTTTTGAGTTGTGTAGCCGGTCCTCTTCTGTGGACTGTGGCTAAGCCATAAGGTGGGTTCAGCATCCAGTGGAAAGCTTTGGAGTGCCCTGTTGCTATAGTAGGCTGGACCAGTCAGTAAGGCAGAGCTGTACTGATGACTGTCAGTGTTTGTACTGGGGGTGTGGTTATTACCAGGCTCTCAGAACAGGTGCTGGAAATCATTTATTAAGTCAAATTCTTCACTCAGGAAGACTTTGAACAGTGAAAGCAGTTTTTTTTTCTTATAAGCAGTATGTGTTCATTGTAGAAATTTCAGGAAAAAACACTCCCCCCAACCAACTAAAGCAAGGAAAATAAAATATTACCTGTAATTACAGTGCTCCAAGATATGGGTGGTAATGACTTAGCCGGTTTTATCTGCCTTTTGAACAGATGACCTCTTTGCTTATTTTTCATCATTATGTATTTAAGAAAAAATGTGCCATTTAGCCAAGGTAAAAATATATCTACCTCACTGTTCTTAAAGCGTACAAATTGGGCAGAGAGGATTTTCTTCCCAGCTGGCTCTCTACAGTAAGGGAAATGACAGTAACTTACAGTCCTTGCAGGAGCTAGTGTTCCTTGAGATTCTTTGAGGAGAGCTGGAGCTCTGACTTCACTTTGCTTGTCAGGCTATAAATTAGTGAAGATGAAAAGCTGTGGTCACTTTTTCTTCCCAAAACAAGAATTACTAGTCTCCTTACTCTTGCATCCAACTTTGAATTAGTTTTCCCCTCAGGGACAAGATAGACTTGAGCTGTAGAAAATAATTTTATATACCTCACATGGAAGGCAAACATTAGGGATAAAAGGGATGTTTTATATTTTAGTAGAGAGAAATCTTCAAAGGGAAGAGTGAAACATTTCTTTAACTGATTAAAACTAAAAGTTATTTTGTGGAAAAATTAAGTCTTCTAAATCCTTTTCATTTTCCTTCAAATTACATTTTTAAAATGTGCTATGTAAAATTGGAACAACAGAAAAAAATGACGGCAGTTCTATTAGTTTGGAAGTATGGATATATTAGCTATGGATTAGCACAACAACAAACCATAGTCCATTATTGTAGTAGAATGCCAGCATGCTCCTGGGAGCTTGGCATTTCCAGCAGCAAGTGCACTTACACTAACGGGCTAGGGTTTTAGTGCATGTGTTGAAAACGCCAAGCTTCCCAGAGTATGTGGCATTTCTATTACAATAATGATGATGGCAGGCATTCCATAAAAGGAGTTGTGATGGTTTGTATGTAGTCAGTTTTTGTCCTTACAGCTGTCCTACAAAATAGGTATTATTATCCCTTTTTATAGATGAAAACATCAAGGCTAAGTTCACCAAACTGAGATAGTGATGGAGCTCGAAGGAAGACCGATCTTGTTTTAAAAAGTGCTAATTCTCTTTCCAGTCCTACCCCACCTTGTGCCATCCTGCATTCTGTTGCCTCTGACTTTCTCATATAAGGTGTACTTTGCCTCAGGTGAAAAATGTGTTACTAAAATAGCTGCCTATATATTTTTTTCATTAATTGAATTGCTTCTAATATACAAGTAACTCCCAATTATGAGGAATCCCAGGGATGTTGTAAAACAGTCTCTTTGCAGAAGTAAATACTCTCTGATTATTTAAAACTTTTAGTATTTTAATTTAGATTTTTAATGAAGATTTTACTGAAAAGATGATCTAGCTTTAAGTATTAATAACTATGATAGTAACAGCTTTTGTTATTATGTTATTTTTACTTTTATTTTGTAATGCTCAGACCAGTTTCTGACTTAGAATGGGAACATTTAGGTTACATAAGAAGCAAGATATTGTATATATTTTTAATATCATGAGTTATACATTCTTCACTGTTCCATTTACTATGTTTGCTCAAATATATCTTGGCTAGAAAAGACTTGTTGAGGCTGTAATTCTAATCCTCTAAGTCAGTGGTTCTCAAACTTTGGTCCCTGGACACCAGCATTATCAGCATCACCTGGGTTAAACCAGAAACCCTGGACATATGGGGTCCAGCAATCTTTGTTATCATATGCACATTCCAGTGTGAGAACCACCGATCTATATGTTCCACATGCCAAGAGTGTGTGTGTGTTCTTTCATCTTAACAAATTCTTCTGGAGTACCTCCTCCAAGATAGTCCTCTGTGATGGGGATTCCACAGACCTCTGCTATCTCTGAGCTTCCCGTTTAGCTTGAAGTATAGAGAGGAGTGGACTCTTAAAAATAGTCTTTCATGAAGTTAAAGTATCCTGGGCTTGGGGCCAGAGCATTTAGTTATTTGTGACTTTTACAGTGCAGGGTGGGCATTACTTGGAAGAACCCCATGAGTTCTTTCATTTGATGTACTTTCGAGGGCCTGGCCTATTCTAAGAACTGTGCTGGATCCTTGGGCTACAGAGATGAAAGAGCTCTGCCTCCAAGCTTCTCAACCCTAGCAGAGTTTACTCAAGTGTCTGGATCTGTTAGTTTGCCTCTCCTTCATCTATCTTTTCTTTTCTTTTCTTTTTAGATGGGGTTTCGCTCTTGTTGCCCAGGCTGGGGTGCAGTGGTGCAATCTAGCTCACTGCAGCCTCTGCCTCCTGGGTTCAAGCGATTCTCCTGCCTCAGCCTCCCAAGTAGCTGGGATTACAGGTGCATGCCAACACACCCGGCTAATTTTTTTTTTTTTTTTTTTTTTTTTTTTTTTTTGCATTTTTAGTAGAGATGAGGTATCTCCATGTTGGCCAGGCTAGTCTCAAAACTCCTGACCTCAAGTGATCCACCTGTCTCGGCCTCCCAAAGTGTTGGGATTACAGGCGTGAGCCACCATGCCTTGCCTCCCTCATCTTTTAAAATCATTTATGTGTTGGAGTAGAAAGGTTTTATTTGTGTAAGTTTATTATTCGAATTGTAGAAACCTTATGTTCCCTTCAGTTCTACTTAATCCAGAGTGTGTTCTACCACGGCCTCTCCTAGAGAACATCAGTTTCTTCACCTGTAGAAAGGGGAATATGATGCCTGCTTTGCAGGATGGTTGTGAGAATTAAGTGGGTTAGAGCCTGGGCATAGGGCAAGGCATTAGGAATGGTTAGCGCCAAAATGTGAGGACTCATGTTGGGGTGAGGGATCAGGTGAGAGCTCCAGAGTGTGGGTGGAAGAATTTGGCTGCCAAAGGCCTACATTTCTCCCCTCCCAGGTCTGAGCATACTTTCCCCTTCCTCTTGGCCCTGGTAAACAGAATTAGTCTCCTGTTTCCTCTTCACCACCACTCCTAAAGCAAACAGCCAAGCATTTCCAAAGGTTGTTTTGCTGTGAGCAGCAATGGGAAATAAATAGGTAAAAGGATCTTCTGCTTCCTCCTCGTTTACACCCGGTCCTTGGGAGGCAAGATAAAGTACGCAGAGATGCCAAGAGTTGCCACTTGGGCACCAAAGGGCTCTAATAAACTTCATCTGCACTTCAGAATTTTGGGACCCAGGTGAGAGGCCAAAGTGAGCAGTGAGAGGAAGCAGCAGTGAACTGAGGTGGGGGCAATGTGGGGTGTGCAGGTGACAAGGGATCCTAGAGAGGAAGGGCTGCAGGGCTGTCCCCACCTTTAAGAAGGGTGGAAGGCCAGAGCTGCTTTCTTTGTATTAGAAAAGGTTGGCATCAGAGAAAGCAGCTTATGTTTAAAAGATTGGGGCAAATAATTTACATTCCTAAGCATTTTGCAGAGTTACAGTTGTGAAAATAATTCAAATTCCACCAATTTTTCTTTTAATCACAACCCCCTCCCCAACTGCCCACCCAGAATTTGAGGCTAGACAATGATTGTTTCCCTTAAGTATGCAAGTTAAAATACAGAAATACATCTTGAAAAATTAGTTGATAGTAATTTGTTGTTGGTGGTAGGGAACCCTTATGTGCTTCAGGATTTGGTATGACGGAGTGATATGACTTTTTTTTTTTTTTTTCTAGTTCAACACTTCCCCTTAAACTAGTGGTACTTCTAGGTGCCCACTGCAGATATCCAAATTAGTGGATGAGAGTCTTATTTTCAAAAATAATTTTAAATAATTATCTAATGCCACTCATATCTAACACAGGTATTCTGATCACTTGGATTCTTGTAAGAAAATGGTGTAAGAATCTACATTAATGAGAAAACAACCAATACTGAGCAGAATGCTGCTGGGAACTCTTAGTTGGGCCCATCCAATGCATGCTCCGTAAATTTTTATGTTGTTTGTATGGTATGCTGTGGTTTACAGTCTGGCCTTTGCATTAATTTGCCATTGTTTTTCTCTCAAATATTAATGAAGTGTAGGAGTGATTGAGTTCTAAATAGGCATTTTTAAGGTAGTCTTAAAATAAAGCTTTTCCTTTAAAAAATATTTTTTTCAGAAAGATGAAAACCACTTCATTAGTGATTGCCGGCAAAATCTCCTAATGTCTTTCTATAAGCTGTTTAAGCTTAGCATTAGAAATTAGTGCTAGAGGATTTAATTAGCCAGCTCACAGGATGCAGTCCCTTTAATTTAGGATTTCCCTTTGAGAAAATTATGGAGTTGAAAAGGAATATGATATTTCATACAAGTTTCCATCTTGGGCCCTTATGTTGTTTGTTCTGCTGATCTGGAAATTGTACATGATTTACATTAAAACTTTTTGTTTTTAATATCGATTATTGTAGTGTGGGGTGTTAGATTATGTGCAATAGTTCTCAGAGTTGGGAAAGGTAAAAGGGTTTTTTTGGGCAATGATTAACTCATCTACTTTACCAGGGTTACATAATCAAGTATTAGTTACTATACATTTAGCTAATGCAGTGGGTTTAGTTAAGCAATGAATACATTATCATGGGAGCATTAACACTTTTGCATTTTTAGACTTGCCTTTAAAAAAATTACAGAAAAACTCCTCACAACCCTTGCCACCCTTTCAGCCATAACATTACATTGCCTTGGTTTCTGCCTTTAATTTCCCTGGGGGTTCTTTTTATTTAGGAAAAGGGTGAAAGATGTATTTGTGTAAGTACTACACCAGTGCTTCTGTTAAATTCTTTTTCAACAAAGAATATGTTACTTGGGTGCCTTGTACACAGGGCGCATATTTTTTTGGAAATAATGTGCCATGAAAGCAGTAGTTTTTAGTGTGCATGTTTATTTCATGTCTGCCAGTTTATTTTAGCTTAGAAATTTCCTAATGCTTTGAGTTTATAACAGTCTTTCAGTTTATAACAGTCTTTCAGTTAACTGAGTGCATATACATAATATGCACAAAATGGCCAACTTTTAGAAATTGTGTATTTTAAAATCCCTTTTTTTTCAGTCTGATATCATGTGTCTCCTTGTTCCCTTTAATATGCAACTAAAATTTAACCTAAGATATGAAAAATATGTTAAGAAAAGCTTAATTTCTTAAGCTTAATTTGGAACGTCAATGAAGAATTAAACATTTGCTTTCTAGAAACCTTAATCTTTGTTAATGTGAAATTAACATAGATGATTTGAATATGTGTTCATGTGTGAGGACTTTGCCCCTTCAGTGTTTCTCTACTGAGTCTTTTTGACCTACTATAAGAGCTAAGTGCAAATAATGCCACATCAATATGGCGTAGAGAAGAGTTCTTTCTTCCGCCTGTTGGCAGTGCATTATAAGAGCAGTTCTTCAACTTTCTGGTATCACTCTTAATAATGGAAGTGCCCATAGCGCTTTTGCTTATGAGAATTATATCTAGTGATATTTACTATGTTTGAAATTAAAAAGAAAAAAATATCTATATCAAATAACAGTAATAAACTCACAACATAATATATCTTTATTAAAAAATCTGCAGTTCTCAAAACAAAATATTTTAGTGAACAGGGTGACATTGTTTTATATTTTTGCAAGCCTATTTAATGTCTGTATCAAAAGAGAGCTGGACTTTGCTGTCTGTCTCTGTATTCAGTTTGTAATGATACTGGAATGTGATATCATTACATTACACATTGCGTACTAATGTGATACTGGAAAACTAAACATACATTAATGAAGAAGATTTTAAAGGGTTAATAATGTCTAGATGTAAGTATTTTTTAAAATATTGATCTTGTGGACCCTCTCAAAGAGACTTAGGGACCTCTTAGGGGTCCCAGGACCATACATTGAGAATCATTGCATTATAACATTTTAGAATCCTATAGTTACTAGAAAAGATTCTCCCCTAATACTTTCTAGTTTCTCTCTGTATGAAAGTAACACTCTTTTACAAAATCAACTATTTGTGAGTTGACAGAACTTAATAGGAAAATGGGGAAAGAGAGCTGGGTTGAGTAAAGGTATAAGTAACTCTTTGAAATACTTTGGTTTTGCCATCAAATAGCAGTGATTCTTCTACTATTGTCTGACTCACTTAACTGAGACATTCTCAGTGATCCCTCTCATTTTCCAAGCCACCTCCACGGGCTAGACCCCTCCTCCCCTCAAGATTCCAGTAGCTTAGAAAAAGAAAGTGTTATGGGTGAAAGGGAATGTGTCCACACCCCTCCCCTGTTTCTCCAGCTGGGAAGGGAAGGAAAGGGAAATAAAATTTAATGAGCACTTTTACTATGTGCCAGGTGCTTTACATATGTTATTTCATTTTAATTCCCCAAACAACCCTAGGAGGTATTTCTAGCCACATTTTGCACACAAATAAAGCAAGATTCAGAGAGGTTAAATATTTAATATAAGATATGTAGCATTTAAGTGGCAGAACCTGATCCAAACCAAAGTCTATTCCCAAGGACTATACAACACCGTGCCTTGGTTTGTGGTTTGTTTTTCTTCAGTTCCTGCAGATTAAAAATGGGGATTCTAACATTTTATTGGGTTCTGTGACAGCATGATGATAAAACAGTTTGACTGCTCTGTGAAGCTCTTGTGGAATTAACTGTCTTTCACAGATTATGTTTTATAAAGTCAAATAAATATTTTAAGAAAAGGTTTATATAATTTATGTTTTAGTTCTACAGTTAATTATCTGTGTTTTTCCACAGAGCGCAGGATTGTCCCTTTTTGTATGCTCAATTCTGTTATATAGAACAGCTAACTATCCTAGAGGAAGATTCTGCATTTGCAGCCCTAAAACAGCTGGTCATCATAGTTTGTCAAAACTCCGGAAAGGCAAAATCAATTCTCAGGAACATTATTTTGTCTTGAAACAAAACCTAAGAGGTATGACCAGCAGGGGGATGTTTTACAGCCTTCTTGGGATTATTGAGGGAGGAACAGTGTCCTTGTTTGTCCTGTGGGTTCTCAGGTATGATTTAGGATCCACAGAGAATGAGTTGGTAGAATTTCAAAGAAGATTTCTCAAATTGGAGAGGCCAAAATACACCACTATACAAGGCTGAAGTAGGCTTGGTTGAATTCCTGCATATTGACTGAGTCAATGTATTGCATAGTCTTATAAAGTAATATACCAGCTGCCCTTTATGTGTATATGTATAATTTTCTGTATTTAAGGTAAAACTTCTCTACTTTAGCATGCTCACCTAAAGGTAAGGGGAACCCCCAGCCCCCGCCCGCCAAACAAAACAAAACGAATAGGCCTCAGAGCATTAAATAGCTGCCACAAAGCTAGTCAAATTAGAGATGGCATTAACTGAGGAAAAGAAGTTTCTATAAAGAAAGTTAGCAGTATAGGAGAGGAGTCATCCTGGTAGCTGATGGTGAAGAAAGGTAACAAAAAGAGCCAACTTTAAAAATACTGCCATCTGCAGTTATCTGTTAGAGTTCTTCCTCATTCAGTAACACCCTAAATGGTCTCCTGATTAGGCGGGCAGAGTAGAATTTGTGACATTTAGAAATATTTCTGTCAAAAATGGTTGAAATTTTTTGGGCATTTGAAAGATAATCTAGAATTACTTGGAAAATGAACATTCATAAAACACCGTAATCTTTGATGATCTCAGAATAATGAGTGTTATGCTGTAAGACATGTATATGTTTATTTGTGCCTTCACATTTCTCTTGGAATTTAAATTGTTTTGGAGGTCACAATATTTTATAGTTTGCTTTTTAAAAAACTTTACAAGAATAGTAAATTTTAAGTAACAAAACTGTATAATATGTGGGATCCCTTCTGCATAATTGTATAATGTCAAGATTCAATATACTTCTTTTCTGACTTGTACTGTATAACTCATGTGAATAAAGCAGGTCATTTTTGCAGAAACCATTTGAGGGCTTCACCAGTTTTTATAAGGCCTCCCCCCAACCTTTTTTTTTTAGACAGAGTCTCACTCTGTCGCCCAGGCTGGAGTGCAGTGGTGCAATCTTGGCTCACTGGCTCACTGCAAGCTCCGCCTCCCGGGTTCACGCCATTCTTCTGCCTCAGCTCCCCGAGTAGCTGGGACTACAAATGCCTGCCCCCATGCCTGGCTGATTTTTTGTATTTTTAGTAGAGACGGGGTTTCAGCGTGTTAGCCAGGATGGTCTCGATCTCCTGACCTCGTGATCCGCCTGCCTCGGCCTCCCAAAGTGCTGGGATTACAGGCATGAGCCACCACTCCTGGCCAATAGTTAAATCAGTCTTTTTTGAAGCATCTGTTATCTCCTGGTAGACTCTTTAAATACTAACTGGTTTAACGCTTGGATCCTTAATTGTCTTGGCTTTGCCTGTAATTAGAATAGTTCTCCATCTTCAAGGTGTGGGGATGGGGAAAAAGTTATCTCCAATATCACTTTTGCAGAGAGACAAAGACATTGAGTTGGTTGGTGAAGAGAGATGTGATAGTGTTAAGTGGGAAGAGACTGATTTTATAAATGGTCAGTTTAGGATAACTGTTTTCCTATTAAGATAACCGGTTTCCCCGTGCAAGTACATATATGACAGGTGGAAAACAGAGTTTGCCTTGAACTAAATGTACAGAATGTGCTTGGGAACTTTCCAGACTCTCTCTTATGCTCCCTTGGTAATTTTTTTGTCTTGATCTGTGCTGTCCCATGAGTTTTTAATTATTATAGGTTTATAGTACATCTGCATATATTACAGCAAGACTGCCCTCATTATTCTTCATTTTTGAGATTTGCTGGGGTGTTTACTTTTTCATGTGACTTTTTCTTCATCGGAACATAGATATTTAAAAATTTTAGAATATATACTATGTACTCTTTCTTTAATTGTGGTTTTTCAGAAAAAGTTGTTGATTAAAAGAGATAAAGGAGACTGGAATATCCATTCTGAAACAGTGAGAATATTTGTGAAAAAAAAACCAAAGATTATTATATGACAGTTCTCAAAATTTCTTATCGTGAAGCAGTAATAGTGACTTGTTTTTAGGGAATGCTCTTTTTTCATTGTTTCATTGGATAAAGATTATTGCAGCACCTTTCTCCTTTTACTAAATGTTGCTGACTAAGAATGATCAAGGTGAAATTATATTACCTCTGAAAGATTTCTTAGGAGTAGCATTTCTTTCAACTGTCTGGCCTGGGTGGACTCTGCATGGGAAGACAGTAAGTGGGGTTCAGATGTCCTGTGTGTAAACTCTTACCATTGTCTGGCCATCATTCTTGAGTTTTACATCTGCAGCTCCATGTGCACCACCCGTTCCAGAGTCCCCACATGGTAGCAATCCTTTTCTTTGTGAATGAAGGGGAACTGGAAGAAACAGTGGCTAGCTAGATGAATTTTATTAAAGTAGCATCAATAGAGGAAGACTGGGAGAGAGCCCAGGGCTTCACTGTGTAGCATTCAAGTTTCTGTCAGGTACCTGAAATCCTGAGGTCAGTCTGAGTCGTGGAGGTTCCCAAAACTATATTCTTCTTACTCCCTTCAGGCTTATCCTTGGCCACTGAATATGGCTTTGAGAGAGAGAGAGAGGGTGGAACTGAATGGATGCTCCCCCTTACCACCCACCCCAATTTAGGATAGCCTTCCTATGCAATGTAGGGAAAGAGAGCATGGAGGAGTTGTCCTCTGGCCAAGCTGGTCAGGACTACCTGGTGGGCACTGGTGGTGGAAGGCAGTTTGCAGTTGATAGTAAGCTGTAGCTAGTGCTATCCAAGGGGGATTGGCCCCCAGGGCAGGGTGAGTGCCTCATGTGTGGACCATTATAGGCAGCAAAATGGCCATTGGTCATGGAGCTCATAGAGCAAGGGTCCCTCAACCCTGGGCCGTGGACCAGTACCAGTGGCATTAGATTCTCATAGGAGCACAAACCCTATTTGGAATTGTGCATGTGAGGGATCTAGGTTGCATGCTCCTTATGAGAATCTAATGCCTGATGATCTGAGGTGGAACAGTAGAACAGTTTCATCCTGAAACCATTCCCTTCCCCCATCCATGGAAAATTATCTAATTGTCTTCCACAAAACTGGTCCCTGGTGCGAAAAAGGTTGGGGACCACTGTCATAGAGGATTTCTGTGTGGGTCTAAGTTTAAGGTATAAGGCCTTTTAAGGCTTTTTCCACCTTGGTAACTTTGTACCGTGTATTTGTGTGTGTGTGTGTGTGTGTGTAATAACTGTACATCTGTATAGCTTTCCTCTGTATGTGACATGGAAGAGAATCATCATTATGAGTTATTTAGGTGGTAGTGTATATGAGATTTGGTGGGCCTTGCAATTCTATAAGCAGTTGCTGCTCATAGACATTGCTGTATTGGGGTATACATTATGCATGTTGCAGAAAGGATTGTCAAATTTAAAAATTTATCTGATCAAAGTTTGTGGAAGGGACTCCCTTAGAGTTGCAGTATTGGTTGGTTGGAGCCAGCTAGTGGCTGCCTAGAATAAAGGTGGGGAGAGTTAGTTTGTTTTTGAGAAGAAAGCTGAGCTAGGTGACTCTGCTTAAAAAAGGAGTAGAAAAAAGAAGAAACCACTGATCCCACTGATCTAGGGGATTATTGTGTTGTATACCACTGATTCAGAGCAGAGTAATGATGGCCTCTTAGTGCGTGATCTAACCACTTCCTATAGGTATGATGGTGTTGTATGGCAATATATGTTTTCATATGGCTGTGTAAAATACTTCAGCATATCAGTTGAATACCATTTATTTATTTTTCTTTTTTTACCTGTAAGGGGGTGGTGGTAGTGGTTAGTGGCCTGAATGTTTTTACTTGAATATAGAGGCTGTCATATTTTTTTCTTGCTGCTGTCAAGTCCCACACATTTCAAAGAATTAGAGCATTTCATAGCATCTGAATGCAGAAGCTAAACCCTCCCTTTCTTTCTTTCACCCTCAAGGTTTCCACTTGAGCGGCACAGTGACAGAACCTGCAATACAATCGGAGCCAGAAACTGTTTGCAACGTGGCCATCAGCTTTGATCGTTGCAAGATTACCTCAGTGACCTGCAGCTGTGGAAACAAGGACATATTTTATTGTGCCCATGTTGTGGCACTGTCTTTATACCGCATCCGCAAGCCAGATCAGGTCAAACTGCATCTTCCTATTTCAGAGACTCTCTTTCAAATGAATAGAGACCAACTGCAAAAGTTTGTACAGTATTTGATCACAGTGCACCACACAGAAGTTTTGCCAACTGCTCAAAAATTAGCAGATGAAATTCTTTCCCAAAATTCAGAAATCAACCAAGTTCATGGTGAGTATAGACATTGACTCTTTAAATTTCCTCTCTGGATCCTTTTTCACTTATAAATTCAATTCTTCTGCATAAAAGTGAATTAAATGTGAAATAGATCATCAGCATTGCTCTTAGTTGGTCAAAAGAGATTTTTACATTTGTATTCTAAAACATTTCTTTTGAAGTGTTTCGTGTTAGGTACCAAGGCTTTTGTGCTCAGAAAAATCATACATGTTAAAGCTTGGTTCTTATACTTCCTTTAAATTTGTCACATTTCATCAAGTACTAGATATTAGTTATGCAGAACACTTACTTAATTCACCCTTGTCAATACACTGACTTGTGCATATTGTGAATTTTTTCATTTTCTTTTAAAATTTATTTTCCAGTGCAGGAAAGCCTCTGACCGGTTGCCTCATATTAGGAAAATAAATTATTTTTGGAAAAACATTATAGCTTGTTTAGAGAGAATTTAGAATATGAATATTTTGTATAAGAAAATACAAAAAGTTTTCTTTTAAAACTTTTATACATTGAACATGTTTTCTCATTTATTTGTGAACGTATTTATCGAGTATTTATTTTATGCAGTGCAAATATGTCAACTCACAAGAATATATAGGTGCAACTTTTCAGAAATATACTTACCACTTATTTCATAGAGTACATTAATATAGGACAAGTAATGTTGCCAAACATAGGTTGCTTGTGCTTTTAAAACATTTGGACATAATTTTAAAAATATTTAAAAATATGTTGAAAAAAGTAATGCAGTTTTGACTAAACAGCTCTGGGACCTAACGTTACATTTCTTTATTTATATTGATTTGAAATCTAGGACTAGTCTCTCAACCCTATTCTTTTAGGTTTTCTTTAGTGGTTAGTTGACAGCAAATAAAAATGTTTTCAGAAAAGCAATTTGAGGTCCTTTTTTGTAAACTTTAAAAATTATGAGATGTAAAAATGTAGAAAAGTACATACAATATGAATGTGCAGATTAACAAAGTGAACTGTCACCCAGGCCAAGAAATAGATGGCTCTTATCACTTGAGAGGGCTCCAAGTACCCCCTTTCAGTCACAAGTTCCTTTCTCTTCCCTTGGTAACCACTGCCTAGTTTTATAGTAATCACTTCTTTGGCGGTTTGTGTTTTGTTGTTTTTGACATTATTAAACATTGGTTTAGTTTTATCTATTTTTAAACTTTGTGTAAATGGAATAATACAGTATGATTCTTGTATTACCTGACTTCTTTCACTCAGAATCATGTTAAGGTTTACCCATATTTTTTCACATACCTGTAATTTATTCATCTGGAGAAGCACTGTCTAATAGAAATATAACATGAGCCTTCCCATAGAAATAGAATATTAACCACATGCATAGTTTTAAATATTTTAATAGCCACATTTTAAGAAGTGAAAAGAAACAAGTAAAATTAATTTTGGTAGTATGTTTTCTTTAGCTCAATATATCTAAAATATCAATCCAACACATATCATAATATTCATAAATATTCAAGAAAAATGTTGTTATTTTACTTTTTTTCATGTTAAGTCTGTGAAATCTGGTTACTGATTCACACGTCACAACATAGCTCAAAACACTAGTAGCCACACTGCAAGTGCTCAGTAGCCACATGTGGCTAGTGGCTGCCATATTGGACAGCACAGCTCTAGAGTCTTCTGAGTATGAGAATACTGCTATTTATTTGTCCTTGTTCATTTTTGATAGGCCTAGTTTTGAAAGGAGCTGCTGTAAACATTCTTTTATAAGTCTCCTGGTGCTGTGAGATACTTTTAATGTGGTTTCTGTGTCAGAGGAAATCTACATAGTTGTATTTCTTCTAGTACTCCCCATATCAGGCTCAGCTTTACTAAAGTAGCTATCATAAGGTGTGTAAAGCGTTTGACTTGGTAGAGTCTGCCAATGTTAAATAACAGGAGTGTAAACAACGCTGCCACAGAGGTACCTTCAGCCCTCCAAAAGCACATGTATTCAAGGACTTTTTCAAGTAGGCTTCTGCTCTGTCATATCATCTGCCTCAAATCTTGCTGCCGTGTGAAAATTCGGGCAGCTAATGGTCATCCCAGAGATTTCTCTGTTTGTGGCTTCTTATTAAATTGTTCAGTGGAAGCAGAGAACAGAATATACCATTTCTTCAAACTTTTATGCATTCTCTCTTTTCCCTCCTTTTTTCCTTAGGTCATGTAATCTGCTAGCATCACTTTGTTCTCTTGAGTTTTAGTAAAACCGAAAGCCTCCATCAGTAATCAGTTGCTTGTTCTGCATTTGTCTTGCTTGTTTTGAAGGATAGTAGCCCCTAAAGTTTCTTATCAGAAAGATTTTTCAATCTATTTTGAAATAATGGAACCAATGAAACAATGTAAACTAAGGTTGGATGAGAGAATGTGTTCACGTGATGTAGTTCTTTCATAGTTTCTAAAATAGGAAAGCCTATCAAGGATAGATTGTAGGTTACCTTTAGACTCAATATGATTTCCTAATAACTTGTGTATAGGAACAGCTTCTCCAGAGCAGCAAACTTGAGCAGTTTATCCCGCCAGCTTTCTCTTCACTTAATTTATCATCAAATTTGCTCCCAGCCTGGAAATGGACCAATTACATGAGCTGCCTTCCTGCCTTCCATTCTAGTTTGACAAGTGGTAAAAAAGAAGAGAGGTAGGAAGCAAGCCACGGTGACCTTAAGTGATGAAATGGGAAATCTGCTCCCTGGAGGGTCTTATTTTAATTGTTAATGACTTAATAGGTGGTGGGATTAAAAATGTTTTGCAGTTACTTGACAACATGATCCCACCTGCCTATAAAGATCTGTATGTAAGCCACTCTCTTTTAAGAAATCTGTTTCTAAAGCAGTACTTTCTTGTGTGGTTTTGTGGATACACTTTTTCTTTGAGACAAAAGTCTTGAACATTAATATTGGGAGGATTTAATTTTTCTCTTTGGAAAAGCATCACTTTTACCTCGCATAGATAAAAGGGTTAAGATATGATTTAGACTTGATTAGTTGGCATCATAAAGACAAGATTTAGCTTATCCAAATCTTTTTTGGAAGAAAGACATAATTTATGAGTAAATACAAAATATGTTGATAACAGTAGGTTTTTCCCCTTTTTCCTTGTGAACTTATCCTATTAGTTGTTCTTAGTAGTTGTTTTTCTTATTATTTTGCAATATTTTATTTTTTAAAGATTTTATCCTGGGGAATTAAAGTTTTTCAAGCCTATTTCACACACATTGTTCTTCACAATTTCCTTGTGAGCAATTTTCTTGTAATTTATAATTGCAATAGTGTGTAGATAAAGAAATCAAGGAGAATGAGTCTACTGACTTATCCAAGGTCACAGATTTAGTGAAGGTTGTTGGAATATAGTTTGTCATCATAATAGTTCAGTCCTTGTCAGTGGACCTTTTAACATTTCAATATGTTTTCATAAAATTTTCCACATAATTTTAATTAGATTATAAAATTAACCACTACATGCTAAAAGAGGCTGTAAGATAGTTAATGTTAATGGCCCACCAAGGAGATTGCCAGTTGTAGTTCTGTATTTTTAAAGCAAAATTGTTTGCTCTTGGTTTTATATTCTAATAAAACTTTCTAGCTTCCATATTCTTAAAAAAGAAGCTGGTATCTTTGCTAAGTACTTTTCTAGAGTCTTATAGATTTCCAAGTACTAACCCCACCCTCGTAGTTAATTAACTTCGTCTTTTCTGTCCTTTATGCTTCCTATTAAAGGAGACGTATTGTAGATTGGTAAACTGTGGTATAGAGACAGAACACTGAACTTGGAATCTAGAGGCCTAGAATCCAATATTGTCTCCACTACATATTACCTGTGTGACCTTGAATGGGACCCATTTTTTCTCATATTTAAAATGCTCTTAATCATCTCTAACAGTGTTGGGATAATTTTAATCATACAATGGATAATTATAAAAAAAGATAACTGACCTTACCTCATGTTGGGGTATCCACAAGTACTCATCACAGTTAAGAAGAGAGAAGCCAGTAAAGGGATGGATAATACTATAATTGGAGGTCAGATTGCTTTCCCTGACTTTCTGGCACATATTTCCTCTCCTACGGCTTTTCGTACACTAATCTTCCTATGGGCTAGCCTGTACTGGGTAGACTACCACAAAGAGGGACAGTCTGATGGGAAACTGTGGCCTTGACCCCAACCTAGAATAGAGGAAAAGAGGAAAGGATCATTTCAGTGGCCCTTTTACTCCCAGGAGCTGGACTAATCCTGAAAGTAGCCTAGACTTACCCCTCACTTCCCTGTCATGTGTCCAGAGATGCCATCTCAGCTAGCCAAATGTAGAAGGCATTTATTCACATATTGGATGAGGGTTGGCACATGACATCTAAGATCTCTTCCAGCTCTGTGTCTTTGCTGGTGGTTATCTACAGAGGCATAGGAGGAACCTAGGCTCCGTACTGCAAAGGCGTACCTTCTGTAGCTTCACCCAGGTGTGCATTCATGTGTTGTTTTTCCATTTCAATTTGTTTGAGCATGGTTCTTATACAACCAAGACCAAGAATTCCATTTAAGTCTGCCTGTCCTGCTTAACCTTGCCTCTGAGTGCCTTTGTGTCCTGGCCGCCTTGTATATCAGTCTATTCAGACTATCTCAGATATTAGCAAACAAACAAGCAAATCTATTCAGCAGTCCCATCTTCATTGCATAGCTCTTCATTTTCATTTGATTATGAGATTTATCAGGCTGAAACTGTGGCCTCTGTATCCTGATAGCTTCTCTAAGCACAATACTTAAGATGTAATAAGCACTCATATTTGTTAAGCAAAAAGTATGACTGTCATTGTTCGTTCTGTTTTGTTCTTAGTAGGAAGTTGGGTATTTATTCTTTAAGGACATGTACACTTTTATGTTCCAAATCTACCAGTGAGTGACAGCTGGAGTCATCTGATGGAGGACTCATGTCACATTTTCCTTCCTTTTATTTCCCTGTGGATGGTTGTGTTTATTGTAATTGGGCTTGCCTTAGCAACCAGTTTTTGCAGGTATCCTAGGGAGGTAATTTGATTATTACTATCATACCCTTTCTATTGTATAATAGAACATTCTGGTGTTGACGGTTGGTAAAACAAAGGTAGGGTCTCCTGATGGTCTATATAATTAGCAAATATATTCTGTAGGAGATAGTTAAAGTTGCTTTCACTATACTATCTTAAAGTGCAGTAGAGTGAAACTTAAAGAAAATTTATAAAAGAAGAATTCATGTAGTAGTATTGAAGTATCTAAAAAGGCAAGTCCTCATTTTTTCCCCATTCCCAACAGCTCCCTTAGTCTCCAAAAGCACCCTTATTCTCACAAGGCAGCCACTGTGGACAGCGTGGTTCATATTCTGAGACATTTTTCCTCACGAACACACATGTGCAGACATGTGCACACATATATATGAAGTTTTAAAATAAATAATTCAGAAAATGGTCTTCAGTTTTTTTCTCTTAATATATCATGAATATCTTATGTTAGTACTGTTATTATATAGTTGTTTTAATTGTAGTACAATATTTCATAGTATGGATATATTTAGCTTTTAACTCACTGAATGACTTTGAGGAGGTTGTTTCCATTTTTCCCTGTATATACACTGTTGCTGTGACCATCTTTATGTGTGAGTGTGTGTGTGTGTGTTTGTGTGTGTGTGTGTGTGTGTGTGAATTTGTATAGATATAACAGATTCTTAGTAGTAGAAATGCCAGAATGAATGATATATGCATTTTGAATTTTGTAAGTACTGCTGAACTTCCCTTCAAAAATTACCAGTTTTGCCCTTAAGTTATAAGTAAAACTTGATGTTTCTATAAGAATGGTTTTAGGCTGGGCTTGGTGGCTCATGCCTGTAATCTTGGGACTTTGGGAGGCCAAGGTGAGTGGATCACTTGATGTCAGGAGTTCAAGACCAGCCTGGCCAACATGGTGAAACCCTGTCTCTAGTAAAAATACAAAAATTAGTCGGGCATGGTGGCGTGTGCCTGTAATCCCAACTACTTGGGAGGCTGAGGCAGGAGAATCACTTGAACTTGGGAGGCGGAGACTGCAGTGAGCCAAGATCGCACCACTGCACTCCAGCCTGGGTGACAGAGCAGGACTCTGTCTCAAAAAAAAAAAAAGTGTTTTAAAAAAACATGGATAGAATCTCTGATCATGTACAGGGGATCCTTTTTTTTTTCTTAATATGAAAAGTTTTTACATTTCACTTTAGTGCCAAAGAAGTAGTGCCAAAGAAGTAGTCTTTGAACTTATGTCTCTTAATTAGGAGGAATTACAAATCTCTAGCCCATGAGGAATTTGTTGGGGAATGCAAAAACAGCCAGGTTACTTTTAGCCCAATACCCTTCATCCTCTCTTCACCTCCACATCTTGCCTTCCCTCACACTCTTTGGTCATCTCTGACACCATCCCAACCCTCATAATTTAAAAAGATTGGTGCCAGCTGTGATCAGTTTCCTCGCCCATCCCTCTCTCATTTAACTGGCCTCCAATCTCTCCAGGTTGACTAGAAGAGCTTATTATTCCCATCTCCCCCACAATGGCGTTTCTCATACCTCCCACTGTAAGGCTATTCAGAGTGTTTAAGAGTTCCAGCTTTGAAGTTGGACAGCCTAAATTAGAATACTGGCCCTTTGCTTTCCAGCTTTGTTAACAGGGCCAAGTAACTGAATGTCTTCAGGCCTCAGTTTTCTTGGTTGTAAAATGTGGACAATGAAGAGTGCCCATTTCATAAGGTCAGGATGGTCAAGGAGTAAAAGTGAGCTGCTATTACCATCATCATTGTGATGTGGCAGTTGATAGGAGTCCTTAAGGGCAGCGGTAAATATTTAAGGAAAATATTTGTGAACCAGCTTTTTTTTTTTAAGTCTTTTAAAAATAATTGGAGCCAACTATTCTTAAAGCCTGCAAACATAGTTGATCTCTTTTAATAAATCTGAAGAGTTGGATTATGTAATAGTAAGACTTCCTGAGAACTTTGCACTTAAATATTTATATTTGTGTACTGAGTAATCATTAATACATTTATTAGATAAGTAATGGAAAATAACTTACCTGAAAAGCACTGTGTTTTTACTCTGCATTTTTTAATGAGCATTGGAGAATGTACAAATACTTTATTGCTTTTTTCCATATAAAATACATGATTATTTCTGTACATGAATACGTATACTATTGAACTGCTGAAGTAAATTAAATAATGAGATGAATAATAAAGTCAGAAGAGAGGAAAATAATAGAGGAGGGGCCATAAACCCTGACAGGTCTATTTGAGTTCCCTGAGATATATGCTGATGGCAGTGCTGCTTATTTACTTCCTTGGCATTTAGCTAAAAGGAAGGTGGTTTGTTGGGGGAGCAGAACCCGGTGCACATCAGCCTTTCCTCTGTCATTAGCCTCCACGGTGAGGAAAATGGCTTGTCCTCTGACAGCTCCTGGAGAGGACACCACACTATATTATGGCAGTAGAATTATGTGGAGTGACCATAGAGGATGGAAGGTGACTAAAGATCTGGCTGTTTCAACTACAACAAAATTGTAAATTGAAATAAAGGCATTACTTACCCCTTTGAAAGGAGACTTTAATTCAGGATAAAACTTAAATCTTTTCTAAAAAGTATGTTTATTGAGTGTACATCATTTTTCAGAGGTCTTCTAGTTCTCTCCTCTCTGCTGTAAAGAAAGACATTTTTTTGAGTCTGAGTCGCTAAAGTTTGTTGTCTTGCCTTTTCCCTCTCAGTGCCAATGGTTGATGTCAGGATTTTGCCCGTAAGACAGGTCGACCAAGGCCTTTGTAAGCCACCGATTTAATGTTTCCTAGCTTTAACAGCAAACACTAAAACTGTAGGAGATGGCCTTCTCTAGGTCCCCAAAAGTGGCTGAATTAATCACCTCTGCAGTGTAGACATCTGCTGCCTAAATTCTGCCTGAATAGGTTGAATTTGAGAAATCAATTTTAACAAAAAGGGACACTGCTACATAAATATAAATTTAAAAGCATTATTTGGAAAACGGTGTTACTGTGGCAGTTGGGTCACAGTTAAGATGAAGATGTTAACTTTGTAAACAAAAGACCTTCACTCTTTCTTGTTTTGAATTTGTTTTCCAGCAAAATAAAATAAAATAAAGCACTAAGTCTTCAATTAGAAGTCAAAGCTGTGAATAGCTCCATGCACCAGACACAGCATAAGCCAATTATAAACGTGTCTTCATAGCCCAGTTTAAAATCTGCATAATGATATGGTGATATCTAACACCTATAAGTAACTGTATCCATGGTGTGAGACAGATACCTCATTCGGTATGGCGTATATATGCTTTATTAGATACACTGGAGAGGTGTCTGTCTGATGCCTCAGGATCATGAATACTTTTAATTATTAAGATCTAGAATGTGCCACCCTGCTTAACATTCTCTCCAAACAGAATTCTACCGCTCCCACCATTTTTATCCCCAGCAAAGATTCTGATTCAGTGGGTCTGAAGTGGTATCTCAGCATCTGTTTTTTACAATATCTCTGGCATTTTGATATGCCCTTACTTTTGAGAACTACTGGGGCAAGCAAGTTTGATGTTGGGATAAATCACAACTAAATCAGAACCAAATCAAGCAGTAGACAGGGGACGCCAAAGACTTAGATAGTGGTCCTTCATGTCCATGAATTCTCCTTTGCTTTCTGCCTGTGACATTACATTACCAAGGTAGGCGGGTAAATCAAATTCACACATCCATCTCTGGGAATGAGAGACCAAATTGTTCTACTTCTTTTTCCAACAGATAATTTGACTTTCCCTGAAGGCCTGAAGAATTAAACTTCAGTAATAAAATGCCCACAAAGATTAATTATACAGTTGTAAATATTATAGCATTTACTATTATAAATAAGAGTAAAAACATGATAGACTTTAAAACATTTTAATGGACCATTTAATTTACATACATTCAGATTCTGGTTCCTGCCCAACGGTGGGAATATCTAACAGCAAATGTATAAATACATGAGTTATGTTTCTTTTTGCATTCCCTTCTCAAAGCTAAATGTTGAGAGGTTTGTCTTTGATTATAGACAGCCGTTAACAAGTAGACATAAATTTTGCAAATCTTACATTTTATATAAGGCTTAGGCAACATTGTAATGCATGTAATCAAGACATGTTAGGATTTAAATAGTTAAAACTATAAGAATAGAAAACCAAATACTGCATGTTCTCACTCGTAAGTGGGAGTTGAACAATGAGAACACATGGACACGGGGAGGGGAACATCACACACCGGGGCCTGTTGGGGAGCGTGGGGGGTTAGGGGAGGGATAGCATTAGGAGAAACACCTAATGTAGATGACGGGTTGATGGGTGCAGCACACCACCATGGCATGTGTATACCTATGTGCATGTTCTGCACATGTATTCCAGAACTTACAGTAAAAATAAATAAATAGTTAAAACTTAGCATTACAGTTAAATACATGAATTTGCACTTTTGGGGGAAATTATTGTTGTAGACATTAAATTTCCTGGTCTATGATGTATAGGGTACATGTCTTATTCCTAAAATGTTGAGTTGTATATAGAGTGAATTTATGTTTTATCTATCTACTAGTTATCTTTGCTTGCAGTCTTATGAGTAAGTCAGGAAGATTTCTGTATCACATGAGCAGATTTCTAATTTTTATTGCTCAGTTAATTTTTTTTCTTACATTATAGAATTTTAGAGTTAAGGAAATGGAGGCCCGAAGAGCTTAAGTTATTTGCTGGAAAATGCATAGTTTTTCCAGACAGTGCCTAGAACTGAAATCTTCTGAATTCTAATCCATCCTCTCAACTGGTATGTAGACTTTGGGCCATTTTTTTTTTTCTCCAGTGCATTTCCCTCTTGCCCAGTACTATCAAGAAGTAAGTTAATTCTAATACTAGCTTACCCCAAAAAAATAAAAATAAAAACCCCAACTTAATGTATCCATTCATTTTTCTGTTGCTTATAACAGAATACCAGAAATTGAGTAATTTATAAAGAAAAGGAAGTTATTTCTTATAGTTCTTGAGACTGAGAAGTCCAAGGTTGAGAGGCTGCATCTTGTGGGAGCCTTCTTGCTGGTGGGGACTCTGTGGGCACAGGGCGTTGCGTGGTAAGGGAGCTGAGCATGCTAACACGCTAGCTTAGGTATCTCTTCCTCTTCTTATAAAGACACCAGTTCCCTCCCATGATAACCCATTAATCCATTAATACATTAATCCAAGAATGGATTAATACATTCACCAGGGCAGAGCCCTCATGGTCCATTCACCTCTTAAAAGGCCCCACCTTTCAATACTGCCACAATGGGGTTTAAATTTCAACATGAGTTTTGGAGGGAACAAGTATTCAAATTTTCTTAAAACTTGAGAAAACATAATTGATGTATTTATACATTTGCTATTAGATTTTTCTCCACTTGAACCAAAATCTGTATCTATGTATGTATATATGTAAATTGTCCATTAAAGCAATTTTAAAATCTGTCATATTTTAAAAATATATAATAGTGTCTGGGTATGGTGGCTCACACCTGTAATCCCAGCACTTTGGGAGGCCGAGGTGGGCAGATCACAAGGTCAGGAGACTGAGACCATCCTAGCTAACAGGATGAAACCCCGTCTCTACTAAAAATACAAAAAAAAAAAAAAATTAGCCGGGCGTGGTGGCGGCTGCCTGTAGTCCCAGCTACTTGGGAGGCTGAGGCAGGAGAATAGCATGAACCCAGGAGGCAGAGCTTGCAGTGAGCCGAGATCGCACCACTGCACTCCAGCCTGGGCAACAGAGCGAGACTCTGTCTCAAAAATAAATAAATAAATAAATAAAATAAAATAAATATATATATAAATAGTGTATTTAAAACCTATCCAATTTTAAGGAAAAATATACATTGTGTAATTCAAGTTAAGAGTAATTTATGTATTCTTCTATCACTTTTCACTATTAGCATGAAAAAAAATAAGTGGATTATATTCTGAAGTTTTTGGAGGGTATCTGAATGGTGACCCCTTTGCCAGTTCAAGCAGGCCACAGAAGACTGGACCAAATTCAGGTCTACTTAAAATATTTGGCTATTTCTGTGGCAAACCAAGCCCCCAAGTCTTATGTGGATATGACCCAAGCAGCTGAAATGCCTTCAGTCATGCCACAGCAGACAACCCCCATCCAAGTAGTTCTGGGGCAGATCTCCTTGTGGATTTTGGCCTTTGGTGATCATAGAGAACAACTTAAAAAAATGACAAAAATTGAGAGAAGTAACCACTGTGAGGCTAGATGTTTTTCGAGATGGAAGACTGTATTATTTAGCTCAGTTTATCAGAAGGAACAGTGGAAATGGATGGTCAGTAGCTAATTAGAGTTTTCCCTGTGAAGAGGATAAGGAGGGATATGTCAGATTTCAAAGGAGGACGTTGGGAAGAATTTAAAAATAAAAGTCAAGATTCTATAGTTGTTTGGAAAGTCTCTTTTGATACATTTATGTAAAGAATCTATAGGTATTTTGTGCAGGGGTGTGTGCATATGTGTCTGTAGAATCAAAAAGATGGGATGGATTAGGGTCTCTGAATTTCTGTGGGATACAGTTATAGACCTAGTAGTTAACTTCGCATCATTGTGTGTCCTTAAAGCTTTCTGTAAAAGAGAGGCATGCTAACAAATGCCTACAAACACACCAGTACCCTTCCTTAAATATTTCTTTGCTTTAGGGTTGACAGCCCCTGCCCTGATGACCTCGGGGCTCAACATCAGCTCTAGGATCCTGGAGTATGTTCATCGGCAGAAAAAGAGAATCTGGAGACTGGATTTAGCAGTGTGGCTGTGTACAAGTCATAACCAACTTGGAACCTATTTCTCCTGTAGAATGGGGATCATGATCTATACGTGCCTCCAGGGGACATTGTGAGGAGAAAATGAGATAATGTTTATGAGGATGCTTTAGAGTGGTTCTTAACTTTTTAAGTAAGAATTCTTTTTCCAGGGGGGAAAATGTATATGTGCATTTCTCCCTCCCTCTTTTCCCCCTTCCTCGCAGTACTTGATCTCCTGATAGTGGCTGGGTGTTAGGAAGCAATGGTGAGCAGGGCAGATACAATTCTTGCTCTCATGGAGCTTCACCTCTATATACTTGTCCAGTGCCTACTTGGAATGACTTTCTCCTTCTTCTGGAAGACTTGGTCTCTCCAACTCTTCCTAAGAGGCCACTCATTTCCTTTGACATCCTTGCTCATTTACTTATGCAGCCTTTAAATGTTGGCCTTCCTTAGGATTTGGTCCTAGATGCTCTTAAACAGTTTACTGCTTCCCATAGTATATCCAGCTTCCTCCTTGAAATCCTCTTCCCTCTTCTCCACTGTCTCAAGGGTATGTCAAATTCACCATATCTAAAACTAAGCTCATGACCTAAACACTGCCCCTCCCGATTTCCAAATCTTGTCCTTCTCTGGTGGTCTGTGTGTCAGTGAGTTTTTCAGTATTCCGTATGGTTGTTTAATCCAGAAACTCATGTCTCTCTCCATCCGTTCATCTCCCGTGCTTCACATATCCACTTACTCACCAAGTTCTTGTTGCATTTATGAAATCTTGTCAGCTTCTCCATTTCTGCTGTCATTGCTGTTTTTCAAGCAACTATCATCACCCTGTGTGCACACCATCAGAATAGCATTATGTATTTTCGCCCCTCAATTCATCCTCCGTATTTCAGATAAAGTGATTTTTTTAGATACGTAAATATATTCACATTGTTCCAAAATTTTAAAAGATGTTTCCTTCCCCCATGTAACTAGGTTACTTGTACTCTTTAAAATGTCCTTCCAAAATATTTTAGGCATGCATAAGGATATACTGACATGTAAGCTCTTTTATAAACCTCAATATTTATATGTATTTTGTTTATTATCATTTTTTATTTGTATAAATTTTGAGGTACAAGAGTAATTTTGTTACATGCATAGATTTCATGGTGGTGTGTAGTCTGGGCTATAGGGCATCCATCACCTGGATAATGTACATTGTACCCATTAAGTAATTTCTTGTCACCCACCCTCCAACTCTTCCAAGTCTTCATTGTCTATCATTCCACACACTCCATGCCCTTCTGTACATAAGCTGCCACTTATCAGTGAGAATATGTGGTATTTGTCTTTCTGTGTCTGATTTGTTTCACTTAATATAATGATGTCTTGTTCCATCTATGGTGCTGCATGGATGTGATTTCATTCTTTTTTTTATGGCCAAATAGTATTTCATTGTGTATCTGTACCACATCATTCACTGATAGACACTTAGATTGATTCCATATCTTTGCTATCATGAAAAATGCTGTGATATAACGTAGGAGTGCAGGTGTCTTTCATATAATGTTTTCTTTTCCTCTGGGTAGATACCCAGTAGTGGGATTGCTGGATGGAATGGTAGTTCTATTTTTAGTAATTTGAGAAATCTCCATACTGTTTTCCATAGATGTTATACTAATTTATATTCCCACCAACTGTGTATAAGAGCTCTATTTTCTCTACATCCTCACCAACATCTGTTATTTTTTGTCTTTTTAATAATAGCAATTCTGACTGGTATAAGATGATATCTCATTGTGGTTTTGACTTGCATTTCTCTCATGGTTAGTGATGTTGAGCATTTTTTCATGTGCCTGTTGGCCATTTGTATGTCTTCTTTTGAAAAATGTCTCATGTCTTTTGCTCACTTTTTAATGGGATTATTTGTGGGGTTTTTTTGTTTGATTTCCTTGTAAATTCTGGATGTTCGTTCCTTGTCAGGTGAATAGTTTGCAAATATTTTCTTCCATTCTGCAGGTTGTCTCTTCACTCTGTTATTTCTTTTGCTGTACAGAAGCTTTTTAGTTTAATTAAGTCCCATTTCTCTATTTTTGTTTCTGTGCTTTTGAGGTCTTTGTCATAAATGCTTTGCCTAGACCAGTGTCCAGGAGAATTTTCCCTAGGTTTTCTTCTAGTATTTTTATAGTTACAGGTCTTACATTTTATGATGAGACGTAGGAGTCCAGTTTTGGTCTTCTGCATGTGGCTATACAATTTTCCCAGCACCATTTATTGAAAAGGGCATCCTTTCCCTAGTGTATATTCTTGTGAATTTTGCGGATGATCAGTTCGTTGTAAATATGTGGCTTTATTTCTGAGTTCTCTGTTATGTTTCATTGGTCTATGTGTCTATTTTTATACTAGCACCAGGCTGTTTTGGTTACTATAGGCTTGTAGTATAATTTGCAGCCAGGTAATATGATGCTTCCAGCTTTGTTCTTTTTATTTATTTGGATTGCTTTGGCTATTTGGCCTCTTTTTTTGGTTCCATATGAATTTTAGGATTGTTTGGTCTAATTCTGTGAAAAATGTCAATATTTGGATAAAGATTGCGTTGAATCTGTAGATTGCTTTGGGCAATAGGGTCATCTTACCTATATTCTTCTGATCCATGAGTATGGGATGTTTTTCCATTTGTTTGTGTCATCTTTAATTTCATTCATCACTGTTTTATAGTTTTTTTGTAGAAATATTTTACCTCCTTGGTTAAATTTATTCTTAAGTATTTTATTTTGTTTTTTGGTACTTACCGTAAGTAGGATTTGGTACTTAGGTAGATTGTTATTGGCGTATAGAAACACTACTTTTTGTATGTTGATTTTGCATCCTGCAACTTTACTGAATTCGTTTATCAAATTGAATCATTTTTTGATGGAGTCTTCAGGTTTTTCTAGATGGAAGATTGTATCATCCGTGAACAGGGATAATTTGACTTCTTCTTTTCCAATTTGGATGCCTTTTATTTATTTCTCTTGACTGATTGCTCTGAGTAGGACTTCCAGCATTATGTTGAATATGAGTGGTGAAAATGGGCATTCCTGTCTTATTCCAGTTCTTAGAATGCTTTCAACTTTTCCCCATTCAGTATGACGTTGGCTGTGGGTATGTCATATATGGCCTTTATTATTGTGAGGTATATTCCTTTTATGCCTAGTTTGCTGAGGGTTTTTTATCGTGAAGAGATGCTGAATTTTACAAATGGTTTTTCTGTCTATTGAGATAATCATATGGTTTTTGTTCTTTATTCTGGTATCACATTTCTCAATTTGCATGTTAAACAATCCTTGCATCCCTGGTGTAAAACCCATTTGATCATGGTGTATAATCTTTCTGACATACTGTTGGATTGGGTTTGCTAGTATTTTTTAAGGAGTTCTATGTCTGTGTTCATCAGGGATATTGGTCTCTAGTTTTCTTTTTGTGTGGTGTCCTTGTCTAGTTTTGGTACCATGCTGACATTAGCCTTGTGTAATGAGTTAGGGAGGATTCTGTCTTCTGATTTTTTGGAACAGTTTCAAGACAATTAGTATTAGTTCTTCTTCCTACGTTTGGTAGAATTAGGCTGTAAATCCATCTGATCCTGGGCTTTTCTTTGCTGGGAGATTCTTTATTACCGATTCAGTGTTGCCACTCATTACTGGTCTGCTCAGGCTTTTCTGTTTCTTCTAGGTTTTCTAGTTTTGGGGCATATAGTTGTTCATAATAGGTCTCTGATCGTCTTCTGTATTTCTGTGATATCAATTTTAATGTCTCTGTTTTCATTTCTGATTTTATTTATTTGGATCTTCTCTCTCCTTTTCTTGGTTAGTCTATCTAGCACAAACATCATTAATTGCCTGAAAAGTGGTACACTGTGTATACTTTTATTCTCCTTGATTTTTTTTTTCAATCAACAGTATGTCCTGGATATCTTTCCATTGTAATGCATGGAGAGTCTCCACATTCATTTTTATGGCTGCATAATATTTCATGGTAGGAATGTTGAAATTGATGCATATCAGGACAAAACATCTTTTATTGTTTAGAGTATTTCTTTCTTCCACTTTGGATAAGTTGTCATGAATTCCCATTCATTACTCTCAGGGAAAAAAACTAAGCTCTTTGCCAACCAAGGCACTCAGTCTGATCCTGCTTCTTTTCTCCAGGATTATCTTGTATTACTCTTCCTCTCATCTTCTATTCTTGGGTTGCATAGACTGCCTTTTATTTCTTCCATGCACCATGTTTTTTCCTGCCTAAGGGCTATGCTCAAGTTCTTCTCACATGCAGACCCTTCTCTCCTTTCCTGACCTTTACTTCATTTTTAATTAGCTTTTAATCCACTTAAGGCAGATCTCAGCTCAGTGCCATTTCATCAAGGTATGCTTACCCTAGCAATCCAAGGCCCAGTCAGAATTCTCTGATGATAGAGTCTTCCATCACCCGGCCCTCTTCCTCTGAGCAGTTATTACCATTTATTATACATTTATATATATGATTATTAGATTGATATTTATCTCAAAAACTTAAAGGAGAGTTTTTCAATTAGTGGGTGGCCACCTGTTATAGCTTATAAAATCAGTTTTAAAAATTGTGACAAGCCCTCTTTAAAAAATGAAATAGAGTAGAAAATATTGAGCCTTTGCTTATAGTAAGGACACTTGCATCAAATTTTTGCAGATTAATCATATGAACACACAGACACATAAGCATATTAGGCATGATGTAAAATATATTTCTTATTGTGGGTCTTGTTCAGCAAAATTTGAAAGCCCCTGAACTAAGTTGTAGATTCAGTGAGGACAGGAATTCTGTCTAGTTTGTACCGCTATTCTATCTCCAAGTCTAGCAGAGAGGCTGGCACTGAGTCAGGCACTCAGTAAATATGCTGACTGGCTGAATGAATGAATGAACATACACTTTTTCAGGCAGGCTCAGGGATCCACTGCCTTCCTCTACTAGGGACTAGTAGGCCTTGGTTCTAAGCAGATGTTAGTGATTATTTCTTTGGTTAATTGAGTCTGCTTTAGATCATTAGAAGACAAGAAAAGTAATACAAAACCACACCTACAGATGTATTTTTTAAGGGTTGATAAGCAGATGAAACACTGAGGATGAACAGTTTTTAGATCTAATTTTTTTTTGTATTACTTATGAATCTTAGACCTTAAAATACCATTTTATTTTATTGGCAAATAATGAAACAATCTTTACCTCCCTAAATATCTGGGTAGTTTTTTAATTTCTAAGGTAGTCTACACACATAGGGCTTATTACTTAGCTGCTATCTTTGTGTGTACTTCAGCAATAAAATATTTATGCAGTTTGGCAAGGTGATACTACAACCTGGTTTAATACAACAGCTGCACTGCCTGTTCCCATGTGGCTTGATTTCCCTTTTTAATCTTCGGTTTTCTGCAACTAAAGACTTATGTCAGCATGTAGTTTATACAGCAGCAGATAATGGTGAAAACTTATTGAATTAACATAGTAAAGAGAGAAATACTCTGCTAAGTTTACTTGTCTCATATTTTTCTAAAGTCTTTGAAAGACATTTTTTCCAGCATGGCCTACACAGCTTTATAAACATCATGTATTTACAATGAAACACTTTTGTGAATTTGATTTTTTAGAGAACCTATAAACTCATCTCCAGAGATAATAGTCTCTGAACCTAAAAAATAGAAATATCTCAATTCTAAAGTAATCTGCATTTGACTTAGCACAAATCAGGAAAGTTCTGGAAATAAGAGTGATCCTTGTATTTAGTTTGTCACAAATTTGTATGTATAATTGAAATTGAGATTGAATTAAAAAGTAGGCAAAAAGAGTCTTAATTAATCCTTTTAGCACAGAGTTTTTATCTAGCCTGTGTGTTATTATTTTTCTTTCTATTTCTAGGTGCTCCTGATCCAACAGCAGGTGCTAGTATAGATGATGAAAACTGCTGGCACTTAGATGAAGAGCAGGTTCAAGAACAGGTTAAACTGTTCCTTTCCCAGGGCGGGTACCACGGATCAGGGAAGCAGCTTAATTTGCTCTTTGCAAAGGTATGATTGTCTATTTCTAAAGAAATATTCTAAATATATACATATATAGGGACTATCTGAATATGATCATGTCTACAATAGGATAAAGACTTTTAAAAATTAAAGAACAGGGTCTTAGCTGACCAATAGAAACTTTTGTATTGTAATGCAAGCTATTTTTTCCTTAGGTGATCTTAGACAAGATATGGGATATTTTTGTCTCTCTCAGTTCCTATCAATAAAATGGTGATAATTTATACAATTTTGAAAAACCTCTTACAATAATAAAAGCAAAATAATTAACAGTGTTATTCAAAATGCCATTTTTTTCAAGTTTTTCCCTTTCTAGTTAATTTTCCCAAGAGAACTTAGTTTTATAATCCCTAAAATGTGCTTTAATTATTTAGTTTAATAATGTCAGTATCTGTAAGTTAATTTCAAAAGCTTGAGTTTTAGAGTCATATAGATCTCAGTTTGAATCCAAGTTCTAGATCTTTCTAAGTATATAAACCTTGGCAAATTATTTGTTAATTTTCTCATTCAGAAAATTAGCTAATAATAACATATCTCCTAAAACTGTTGTGATAATGGTGTTAAATGATGCTGTCTACTGTTCATCTTCATCATTAAAAATTGATGGCTCAATAATTTAATTTATCTGGGTCATAAGTTCCTTGTGAGCGGAAGCTGTGTGTTTTGTTTATACAGAAGTTTCAGTACCATACACACATTTGTAAATACTGGATAAAATGCTTTTTGAATAATATTAAATCATTATATTTTCATTGGGGGTATAGTCATCATTATGATTAATGTATTAACATTGGTTTTAAAGGAACAGATAGCTGTTCATTGATGCTTTTGTTGAATATCTTCTCTAATATTTGTTATAATTAAAAGTTTTTTTTTTAGTTCAAAAGAATTAGAGTAAATCCTGTTACTGGGTATGGCCAGGAATAGTGTATTCTGCTTAATCAATACCATGTTCATAAAGATTTTTCCTGTATACCATATGTAGATTGCAAATTTCCCCAGAATTAGATTACAATAAAATACATTTAACTCTAATACTACTTTACACATGATTTAAGCATTCTTTGGTGATTCACAGGCACTTCAAACTCATGTCATGCCTCCGTGTCAACAGTCTGAAAATTAATTACCATTAGGCTATAGATGTACATGAGTGCTGGTTAAATAGAGAGTTCTGTTTTATATACTTAAGAGTAAAGTGTTTATTTTCATTGCTGTTGCTGTGTAATAGGTTAGAAATCTACCAGAAAAAATAAACATTAAATCAAATCCATAAATACTAATAATGTAAAAGGTTTAGTATATTTAGACACACAGGAAGTATTTCATATATTCTTATGTTAGAAACAGTTCAAAAGATGTATTATTAGCCTGGTGTGCAGTTGTTCTTTTTATCCCTATATATTATATACACATTATGTATGCCATATGAAGTAATAGCAACCTCTAATTTTGGAATTAGCTTAACTTGAAGTTAAGACAGATACGGGTTCTGATCCAAGCTGTTCCCCTTGTCCATTGGGTGAGTTATTTTACTTCTCTGAGGCTTGGTTTTATAATTCATAAAATGGGGATTATAATCTGGCCTATTTTACATGGTTGTTGTGAAAATTAAATAGTAAGTATCAATGTAAAACTCTTTAACATTGTATCCAATAAATGGCAACTCCTTTTCTTCCTCCATCTTCACCTGTTAATGAGTTTTTAGTACTTTGATATTGGGAACAAACTCCTTTATAGGAATACTGAAGTAACGCTCTTGTAAGCACAACCTTTGTGATTCAGGGTAGAAGTGCTTTTGAGTTCTTTATAAAGCTCAAATTCTAAAGCAGGTGAGGAATTTCCATTTCTTGAGGGTGCAGACCTCAGGCAGGATCTATTCTAGATTTGGGCTGCTTTATTGAAGATCTACTATTTTCTCCTTTCCTTGCCTTTCACATAGAGAGTCCTGAAAGAAGGACCAACCACCCCACCTTTTCTACTGCTTGTGACCTTGCTCCAGTAATTTCTTACGGGGAAATTACAGCTGAGATTCTTACTTATTGAATACATAGCAGTATACATTTTTGAAGTGGATGGATTCATTTAGGGCTTGCTGCAGAGAGGCTTACCCTTGTGTTTCCTTTTTCCTTTCTTTTATTTGGGAAATGTAGCATAAGAGTAATGGACAAAACTTAAAGTTCCAACTTGAGAGGCAAAGTTAACTTATTAGATCTGTGGTTATTATTCTGCTTCATGGATCACCCATATAGAGCAGGAGAGTTCTTGAACCTAACAGGCCTGTCCATTTTCTTTTACCATTGCAAAAACAACCCCATCTGAGTGAGTAGAAGTATGCTGCTGCTCTTTATATAAAAAACTTAAGTGAGAGAGAACCTTTATGCAATTACTAATTTATCTCAAAAATTGAAGGACTTGCACAACTGCGAATATACTAAAAACCATTGAATTGTACGTTTTAAATTGGTGAATTGTATGGTATATGAATTATGTCTCAACAAAGCTGTTCCTAAAAAAACTAAAGGCCAAGTGTTATTATTATACACATTATCAGATCTACTTAGAAGATTTCTTGAGTTCTCAATGGACTCTGCATTAGGCTGTGCTTCTCTGATGGTAAGTACAATCAGTTGGAGAGTCAGGAAGGTGCCAAACTGTTTGTCCTGTTTGTTTTGATATTGTATTTCTTTAGGCTAGCAAACTTATGGCATCTTACTAAAATTATGGCATCTTATTTTATGCAAGGAAACAGCAGCACCTTGCTTAAATCTGTTTTGGTATACTAGGTAGGTTCAGATACCTGTTCCCAGTGCCAGATTTTACTTCTGTGGTTTGTCAAAGCATGAATGCCTACTTTGTTGGATGTAATCTTGAATCACAAAGTGTACTTGGTTTAGATAAGAGAGATACTTTGAAGGAGAACTGGAAAAAAAGTTTCTACTGGACATATGAAACACGATTTACTCACCTTAATCAGTGTGTAAGACCCAACCAGAACATTTTTGTAATTGAGAGCATTTTTTCTTCATATGGATTCTAACATATAATTCAAAATAATTAATGGTCATTTCTTTGATTAAATTGCTATTTAGGGTAGGGAGTGGTTTTAAATTTTATATTTTGTTTGCTTAAGAGGGCTGGTGTGAAGGCTTGACATCTCCCCGCCTATCCTCCACCACACACACACACACACACACACGGAGAGAGAGAGAGAGAAACAGAGAAAAGTGGTGGTTTGTCTCTTGTGTTGCTGTGGGGTTTTGTTGTGTTTTCGTTTTGAACAATTTTCTAAAGGTCTGTTTTTCCCCATTAGGTGCGGGAGATGTTAAAGATGAGGGACTCCAATGGGGCCCGCATGTTGACCTTGATAACAGAGCAATTCATGGCTGACCCTCGCCTGTCACTTTGGCGGCAACAAGGCACTGCAATGACTGACAAATACAGGCAGCTCTGGGATGAGCTGGGTAAGCATGTTTCCTCACAAATTACCATTGATTTGCATATGGATAAATACCATAGTCAGATGTTTCAAGAACATGGTCGTAGTATTGCTGAAGAGAGAGCTGCTCATGCATGGAACGTGTTGCCAATATATAGGTTAGAAGCATAGGAGGATTTAGAACTTGGGCTGGCATTTACAGAAAACAACCTTAGCAGGGTTTTGGGGGAATTGCCTGATCTTGAGGAAAGTTAAGTGCAGGAATCTCCCTTTAAGTATTTGGAAAAAAAAAAGCTGTATTATTTTTAAATAGCAGTTTTATATTGTAGAGCTGATTACTTATTTCTAGATTAATATTGTAATTGATTCAGCTAAAATTTAGAGTCTTTCTTCCCCCTTCTCCCCACACTGGAATTATTAAAATTAGTTGGATATTCATTTTATTTTTGGCTGCTATAGATTTAAATGAACTGTCGATCCTCAGAATGGAAAAATACAGCAAATTCTAATATTTATTGCTTCCTAAATTCCTGGTGGTTAAAGATACAAATATAGCAAGTGTTCAAAAAAATGAGAAATCCACTAGTCATGTTCATTAAAAGAATACTGGGAATTTTATTTGGATGAGTCTTGGTACCCAATGTTCATCGCTAGGGAAATAATGAATGATGTATTTATTATCTTGTCTTTTTATTAAGAAATCTATAAGTGACACCTGAAATTTTGACAAATATATCAGTACCTGTATTAATTTTATGAGAAGTAATGTTGTCTATATTTACTAGAAGATCCTAGTCTTAGTGAAATTTTTCTTGGCTAATGATGGACCACATCATGCTGATTGATCCCAGGTGTAGTCTAAACCAAACGATGCTGTTGTCCGTGAAGATACCAAATGACCATGACTGGAAGGGGTATTTGAGATTAGCCGTTTTACAAATAAGGAAACAAGTCCCGAGAGGTTAGGAGACTTCCACAACATGACACTGTGTAATCTAGGGTTATGCAGCAAGTTGGTAAAGGATGTGATATCAGTATTTTCTTTTTCCTATTAATAGGATATACGTTCAGAAGTTGGCTGTGGACAAGTTTGCTACTTGTGAACTATTAGATATTTGTTGACTTTTTCCCTGGCAATTTTCTTAAGTATCTTGTAATAACTTAATCTTGCTGCTTTCTGTGAGTCTCCTGAAATAATGGTAGTGCCCTTCCCCCTAATCAAAATGTAAATCAATCTGTAACTACAATAGATAGTTTCGATGTATTAGAATGATGTTTGGGGGGCACAGTGTGGTGGTTAAATAACACAAGTATAATGCATGGTTTAAATAAGTATTTTCATAAAATCCTAAATGTTTTACTTTTTAAGTAAACCTTTTTCAATTTTGTAACTCTAGTATAGACTTGATTGGTTAGATGCTTTATAAAGTAAAAAGGATTAGCATTAAGAAAACTATAATGAAGGGGATCATTTAAGGAAAAATTATTGAATTAATATTAAATGAATGCAATTTAAAGAGCTTTGGTACTTAGAGAGACTTAGAATTACAAACGACTGTTTAGGAAGAAAATACCAACTAAATTTTTTGGTTACCAAAAAGGGTACTGGTGGTACATACAGTCAAATAAAATTTGCAGTGTTCACATTTAATTCATGGTCAAATGTCACTTTTCCAAGTGGGTTTTGAAAATTACGTACCTTAACCCTCAATCAGAAATATAAATTTTTATTAGGTGGAAGTTTCCACCAGCTGATTCTAGTTATGCCCTCTTATGGACTACTTTCTAATTAAGGACCAGGCTTTATACAAATTCTTTGATTTCAGTCCAGCGTAAAGACCACAACTTCTCGTCCTGTGTGCCCCCCACCCACTGCCCAATCATTACTAGACTGCTAGAAATTCTCCTATGTACTCTGATGGCAAGCAGAGGTCACTTGCCATTTTAATGGGGTCTAAGTTCTGTGAAGAATCTCACGTAGAAGTAACAGTAAGTAGCACATCTTAATATTCATTCACCAAAAAATTAACTGAAAGTTGCTTCTGGACTACAAAAGGAAAGGCTTTTCTTCTTAATAAAATGGGGGAATTTGACTTTGTGCCCCTACACAGGGCTCACATTGCTTCAAGGCTCTGCTTTGGAATTAAATGCTGAGCACTGCCAGATGCCAGACATTGAGAAGAGGCTGAGTTTTGTCGGCAAATGGGATCTGCAAGTTAATTGGTGTTTTCTGCAGGCTTCTGGCTGTGAAATGAAATTGGAAGCCCTTTAGCCACATGGATAATACAGGACCTGAATACAAATGTCACATGTCACCATCAGGACCCACTGTGAGACAATAGTGTTCCCACTCCAACACCGCGCCATTACAGATCATTTAAATATGGGGATTACATTTAAACTAAAAGCCCCATTTGCCTTTTACTGCAATTTAAATGTCCTCTTAGCAAAAGCTAAGTGACAAATTAAATGAAAAAAATGCCCACATTTTTAAAGTTGTAATGCAAAACAACCTTTTATTGCTTCTCATGTGCCACGAATGAATCATTATACTTGTCAACCCTAAACCAAGCCATAATTGGAGCAGCTACTGTTATCAAAGTGGGGCCGCTCTGTGACAGCTTAATAAAGCTGAAACTGTTAAATTAAATCTCAGATGCTTAACTCCTTAGCACTGGTGGATTCGTTGGGTCCATTTCTGGCAGTGACCAGTACACCAGGAAAAAAAAAAAAAAAAAAGATTCCTGGCATGAAAGCCCTAATCTGATGAAAGTGTACAAGCGAGAGTATGCTAGCCAAGTAACTCTGCTTCTTGGCAGATGGATTTGGAGCCATCAGATTGTCAGCCAGAAGATTACAAAATCTTTTTCATATGGCCCAGTGTCCCCCTCCCCAAGATTTACAATTTCCTGCTTACATGTGATCTATGAAAATTTAAATGTTGATGTTTCAAAATTAATTGTAAAAGTAACATTTATTTTAACTTTTTCTTTCTTTCAAGTGAATATATGAAAACTTATTTGTGGTAGCCACAGGCCCAATTTCTTCCCCCCATGCTCCAGCTAACAAAGGGACTGATTATTCTGTTTTTCTTTTCTAATATAAGTGCCTATGACATTCATTTGGTATGAGTTAACTTTTGTGATTTACTCCCTGATTTTCATAATGTAGTATGAAATAGGTACAGATGCATAGTCTTAAGATCCTGTTTATTGCATCTCATTTACAGATACATTTATCTTATACATGAGTCAGTTTTTCAAATATTAATTTTACTTTCTCTACATGGTGTTTATTTTCCCAAACATACACCAGTGTTCTCAAGATGAGTAATGTTGTATCATAATCAGCTATAAGAAAAGGTATATATTAAAATAGAAAGCCCCATTGCAATGGTAGAGGTTGTACGTTTGATAGAAGCTACATATTTAGTAGAATCTATAGAACACACACCTCTTGAATTACATTCTTTATTCTGTGACATGCAAATTTTCTGGAAAGCAGATCACAGAAATAACCTCTGGATTTCCAAGAACAACCCAGTGCTGATTGGGGGTGAGCACACCTATTGTTAGCTGTAATGGCTGTCTGTTCAGCACACTTAATTACTGTGGGGGTCTAGGGATGAGGGGATACACTGTAACCTCGCATCTGTGTTGATGGCTCTCTTTTCTTAAATGTATTCCTAGACTGCAATTTTACTTTGCTTCATAAAACTATAGGTTGTGGCTGCCAGTCTATTAAAACCTAAATAAAATGATGTCATTAGAGGAAACAGTTAAATAACACTTAATTACAGTTTTATCACAGGGAAATATTCTTAAATTTTTATCTTCAACTGTTACATAATATGTTTTTCCCCAAGTTTTAAACACTTAACTTTCTCTCGGAGCTGAGTCACGCGCTTTGCTTTCTAGCATATAAATCCTGTTTCTTAGGGAGCGGGTGGGCTGCCATTGCAAGAGCCTTGCTGCACTGAGCTTTGCTCATTCAGTTCACAAGAACAAGGTGGCATGTCTCAGAGTTCTTTTCACGGCTTCTCATCTGGAGACCTAATTCTGTGTGAACAGAAATAGCCAGAGTTAGATTGTTTTTCTAGTTTGAATTTCATTGTATGATTAGTTTGACCACTAGTTATTAAGCAACAGCTATAATGTTCCTTGGTAGGGTGCTAGATAGATTGAGTGGTATACAGATTCAGGACACTTAGAATTAGAGTAAATCTAACTATGTTTGGCAGTAGAGAACACAGCCTACCCTTTGAGACTATATTTTTTGAATTAACCTGCTCCATGGACCCAAATGCTGTTCCATCTTCCATCCCAGACTCAAATAGTGATTTTTCTGTAACCACCTACATTATTCTTGAATAAGGAGAAAAACATATGCTTAAGTCACACATTCAAAATGATACTTTTAAGTAATTTAGGACAATCTCTGTGTACCAGAAGTAAGATTCTAAAGGCTCTGCTTTACTCTGCTTTATAGGTAATTGTGGAGAAATTTCTGGGGAATGCTGTCTTACATCTTTGAAAGCAGTAGGCTTAATAACTGCCCCCACCAACACCCCCATCCCTGTTTTGAGCTTCTTACTTTAGTTGAGTTATTCAAACTAACTCAAGCTTGCCACATTTTATAGTTGATGGTGGTTAATTAATGGCTAAGGAGCAACTGCTTCTTTTTGAGAACTGGAAAGCTTACCAAAATGGTTCCCCATATACATAGTTACCTCTTTGCTAGTACCATGAAGAAAAAGCAATTCCAAGAGTTCCCTTGCAGCAAAAAGATGTCGGTACACACTTGGTAACTTCCAAATAGCTGGAAGTATAGAGCGTAATTCTAATGAACCACATATCAGGATTGCTTGTCATCTACCTGTTTGTCTTCCCTGGGCATAAGGAGAGGACAGCTTTCCCACAACATAACACTGTCAGTGCTGTGTTGTTAACCTTCTTTCCAGAAGTCTTATTGTGGTCTCTCTATCAGTGTGTATGAAGCACTTGCTATGTCTAGAGGAACAGATGTATTAGATATTTGATTTTGGGGTAGGTGATAGTACCAGTAGCAAGGAGGGGGTAGAGAGATGAAACATTAGGAGATGTGATAAATAAGAACAGCCAAGAATGGATGAAGGAGAACTTTGATAGAGTAATTTCATTACAAATTAGTACAAAGGTTTATAGAAACCAAATTTAATATGGTTTTATAAGATGTTTATGGAGGTGTGTTGCAGGGAAGAAGCAGTGTGAATACTCCAGAAAAAAGAAACAACTTGAACAAAGACAGCAGTGGGCTCAGTGGAGGAGAGTAGAGAGCCTTCAAACTCATTATCAAAACTGTTGAGATTTTCAATCCAACCTTGCTGTTCTGTATTGTTGCTTAAAAGCGGAGAAGAGGGAGATGGTAGACAGGTATCATAAAACCTGGATTTTTGCTTTATTTCTCATTTTGGTCTAGCTCCTAATGATAACATAGTTGCCAACATTTATTTGTCAGGAACTGTGCTAAGCACTTAATGCATGTGTTGTTTTATTTAATCCCTGAAACAATCCTGTGAAATAGGTCCAATTATTTGCCCTCATTTTACAGCCAATAATACTGAGGTTTAAGGAGGCTTGATAACTTGCCCGAGGTCACAGTAGCAAAGCAGGAATTTAATCCCAGGTGTCAGTGACTTCAAAAACATAACCACCAGTCTAGACAATGTCCTCAGCTTTATTATTATTATTATTATTATTATTATCATTATCATTATTATTTTGAGACAGAGTCGCTGTGTCGCCTAGGCTGGAGTTCAGTAGTGCGATCACGGCTCACCACAATCTCTGCCTCCCAGGTTCCAGTAATTCTCCTACCTTAGCCTCCTGGGTAGCTGGGACTACAGGCGCTGGTTGCCACACCTGGCTAATTTTTTGTATTTTTAGTAGAGATGGGGTTTCACTACGTTAACCAGGCTGGTCTCGAACTCCTGACCTCGTGATATGCCCACCTCAGCCTCCCAAAGTGCTAGGATTACAGACATGAGCCACCGTACCTAGCCAGCTTATTGTTAAACACTATTATATGCCTCTCTTCCAGGTAGTCTCTCTACTCGGAGCAGAGCAAGGTCAAAGCGAAGCTCACCTAGTGGGGAATAAACCCTGTAAGAGCTGCCTGGCCTTGTCTGCCTACCCATGGTACCACAATCCTGACTACCATAGTCCGCTGAGCTTACCTAGTCTAGTCGCTAATTTGTACCCATGTTTACAGGGACCCTCTAACTTCAGGTTCTTTGAGAAAACAAGCACATGGATCCAATAGCCAAATACGTGCCATTGACTGAGAACTGTATTAAATAATAAACTTCAGCTTATCATAAATATAGGTACTACATGCTGTAGTATGGGGTACTACTGTAGGATAGAATACAGTGAAGTTTGTATCCCATTTTCAGGTCCCCTTTGGTAAGGAGCCGGTGAAGACCCTTAGCTCATTGTCTTTGCCCTGGCCTGAACTAGGCGCTGATAATGACCACAGAGTTGCCAGCACTAGTTTATCTCATATGGCTCTGTAGGCTCTGCAGACCCCTTCCTGACATAAGCTGTCCTGCTGGGATGGGGTTGTATACTCTGGTCTCAGTTTCTGCTTCTCTCTGCCTTGTTCAGAGTTTCCTGTAAATACAGAGGATTGGTCAATTGTATTGCTGAGAAGGCTTTACTTCCCTCCAGCACTGTTCTCAGAAGGCTCATCTGCTTCTAGGTCCTCATTACTGGGGCATGTTTTCTTTCCCTGTGCTGTCCTACTGCTTTCTGTCTCTTAAAACTCAGAACTCTGTATTCTTGGGTCATAGACCTCGGAGTTCTGCCCTGCTGTGGGGGTGGAAAAGAGGGGTTTATTTTCTGCTTCTTTAAGTAAACAGAGTAATCTCTAGTTTGGGTCAGAAGTAAACCAAAAGAGAGAATGTATGGGCAAACCTAGGATAAATACTTGCTGTGTACTGCTATCAACTATCCTCTTGACTGTGGCTGCTAGGGTTTAATTATCCATTCAGTTACCTGTATAGGGAAGAGTGGAAATAAAGAGAAAAACTTTAAAATACGAATTAAAAAAATAGATTTTCAGGATTAAAAGAGACTTTACAGGTCATTTGATCCTATTGTCTAACCAATTGGAAATTCTTAGTAGTATCCATTGTCTAAACTGTTTCTGTATAGAATTAGATAATTTGTAACAACACTGGAGATTCACCTCCTTGTGTGTTTTTATGAAACCATATGCTAAACATGGAGATTTGGTGAGGAATTAAGATGCTTTAAGGCTCATTGTAATACACTTGAGTGTTACTGTCTTATATATGTTGTGTGTTAGTAGCTTTATTTGTATCAAGAATCGATTCCAGTTACTTTCTTTTATGTCATCTTTCTACTTACAGCATTAGTCCATTGGTAGTAGATACTCTTCTCACATTAGTGGTTAATAGGAATGTCATAGCGTTGGTATAAGGTGTCCTCTTCTTTCTCATAATTCTTAGAAAGGTTCTCTCCCTACTTTTCCTGTTTCCTAAGAGATAGTACTGACCGCACTTGCCTTCAAGAAATGTCCACCAATGGGAATTCTGGCTAGGGAAGTCTCCTTACTAGGCTGTGGATCTAGAGAGTACTATCATGGTAGGGTGGAGGGGGAGAGCGAGAGTGAAAATGAAGCAAGACAAGCTGGGGAAGAAAATTTCCTTTCACCATTTCTTACCCTGAAGTGGCAGCATAGAAAAATTAATGAGGTCTGAGAAGCTTCGTTTTAAGCCATCTGGGATTCCCAGGGGCTTCACAGAGAATCAGGGATGCCAGGAGCAGGAAGGAAAGAAGTGGAAGCAAAGGGAAGGCTGAAGCAGCTCCTTAGGCAGCTCTGTGTATGTGCCAATATCAAGCAAGGTGCTTTATACATGCTATCATAGTTAATTTAAGCTTCGTTAGGCTCATGATGGGGAGGAAAACCCAAGGAAGTTAGAAATGGTTGTCCTTAGAGGGGGGTGTTCAGACACTGCCCTGCAGAGCCCCTAGGTTTGGGGTCAGGGGGAAGCGAGTGCTGAAGGGACGAGGCAGATCCTTCTCAATCAGAGCAGTGTGACTTTACCACATTACTACTAGGGTTTTCATCAAGATTGTTCTGGAGGAAAGGATTCCGATATTATAAATGCATGCTTGATAATCACTATCTTCAGTAGGCTTTTAATAGGTACTCTTGTTAGACATGTACTAAAACAGGGGTTCCCCCATCCCCGGACTGTGGACCAGTATCAGTCCGTGGCCTGTTAGGAACTGAGGCACATAGCAGGAGGTGAGTGGTAGGCAACTGAGCATTACTGCCTGAGTGCTACCTCCTGTCAGATCAGCAGTGGCATTAGATTCTCATAGGAGCACAAACCCTGTTGTGAGCTGCACACATGAGGGATCGAGGTTGCGTGCTCCTTATGAGAATCTAATGCCTAATGATCTGAGGTGGAATAGTTTCATCCCAAAACCATGCCCCGGCAACTGCCACCCCGCCCCCGCCACCAGTACTCATACGTGGAAAAATTTTCTTCCACAAAGCCAGTCCCTGGTGCCAAAAAGGTTGGGGACTGCTGTACTAAAGGATGACTTTTAAATTTATATAAATAGCTTTTTCCTATATACTTTAGGGGAAGGCAAGATGGCAGATGATTTGCAGCAAGTGAACTTTTGTGAGGCTGCTTGCAAGCTTGTCTGATAATTGTATAACACTGTTTTCATGTTTTATTTTAAAATTCCAAAATTAATATAAGAAAAAGACTCTGTATAGTAAAATGCTAGAGCCTTCTGATGTTAATTTGCTTCAGGGAGTTAATAACTGGTCTTAGGGCTATTTTCTTAGACTTTGATCTGGTTGACAGAATACCCAGGGTAATGATACTAGTTGTCTGAAAAATGTAGGTAACTCACTCAGTTCTCTGTGCTTTCTGCTGCAAAGATAACCTTTGAAATAGAAAGCCAAATCTCTGTGATTTTAAGCTATGACTAGCTAGATTAATAAATTTCAAAATTTGCTTCAGCAAACCTGGAGAAGAGAGTGAGAAACATTAATAAAGTAGGAATCAGAGAGAGACCTTGAAGTGGCTTAGATTGGAAGCCATAGTCTTCCTTTGTGTATGATCAAGGGTGGAATGAGTTGAATGGAAGAATCCCAAACAGGGCACTTGGGTCAAATATAAGCTTGGAATGGAGAGAAAATCCTGTTAGGAGGAATACTTCCAAAATGCTCCCAAGAGCACAAAGTCTGTTTCCCCCCGCCACTTTGAAGATGAGATTAATATATCCAGCAACCTGTTCACCAGAACAGATTGACCATGCACTAGAAGATATTCTTTGCTAAGCATTAGGGTCATATGTAGACCACATAATTTGAAAGATTTGCCTGTGTGTTTGGAAACCATTAACCACTCACTGTATTTAATAGTAGTATCGTCAGTTATTGTCTTTATTGGCAAATTTAAACTAATGTCATACCCATCCTTTCTTAATCTTCTTTTTATTCCTGTATTAATGTCTATTTGATAATCTTACCCCTTTTTTCCACTCCTTCCCAAAAATAGTGAAAGTAATTTTTATTTTTCCTATAAAGGTGAAAATATGTGCCTGATATTATAATTGAAGCTCAGTAAATATTTGTGAATTAAAAAGTGAATGAATAATTGAAGTGTAATGCTGACACTTACTTAGAAACATCAAGAAGCAGTTATTTTTGATGTACTGAAAACAATGATTGAAAGGTATTAATCTTTACTGAGTCCTCCATTTTCTTCTTCTGCTTTATCTAGCCTTCTCCACCCATGTGCACAATATTCATGGGTGCCTGTGTGTGCCTGGACACACACACATGCACTCTGAAATACAAACAGTTTAGAGTACAGAAGGGCAATGATTCTCCCTTGCCATCAATGCTGCAGGTAATCTATTGCATTAATCAGCCAGCCAGTGGGAAATGCATGGGGAGTGATTATACTATCATACACAATACAATCAGCATGAAGCACTTGTCAAGACCAATACATCAAAGTTTAATTCACTAATAGAATGAATTAGAGCAAAATGAAACATTCTGTTCTCTAGGAAACCCAACACCCATCATAAGTTCTTTCTGAACTCCACAGAAAAGTCAGTGCATTAAGAAATTGTTTTTTTGAATAAAATTACAGTTCCAATCTGATGAAATATTACAAGCCAGTTTTCTTAGAATTCTTACACAAGTATAGTGCTTAAGTGTCTACCGGACCATCAGCACTCTATACTAATCATCATTGGTAAATATGATTATATTTTAGTGGACTCTTGATTGTCTTTTGTCCTAAATTGGTTCTTCATGGCAAATGAATGGAGGGGCATTGTATCAGTGGCTCAGGGAAGCACTTATGCGTAAATATGGATGGTGGACAGTTGAATAGGAGACAAATTAACAAGAATCTGCTGTTTATAGTGCCCTCAATTGTAGGCTCTGCTACTGTGGAGCTTACAGTCTAGTCAGGAAACAGAATAAATAAATGGAAAATAAAAAGCAACCCTGGACAGCTTAAGACAACTATAGAAACAAGGTTAATATAACGTAGGACATGTTTCGGAAAATTTTGGCAATAGATGTAATATGTTTTATGTATTAGAATAAAATAAGTCACTATTACAAGTCACTATTATGTGTCAGTTGAGTCTTCTGGAAATAGAGTTATATAGACTTTGGAGTCAGGACTATTGGATGAGCCATGAAACTGTTTATGAACGGTTTTTTATGTTTCTTATGCTTAACTGGCTTAGTTGAGCAGCCAGTGCAGAACACATGGAAAATGTTCTTGCAGCTTACCACAGTTCACATTCCTTCAGCTATTGACAGTCCTTTTTGCCTTTTTGTATCTCAAAATAAGAAAGCATCTATCATTGTGCCTTTTTTTCTTTTCTCTGATTTAAAACTTTTTAGTTTTTCCTTAACTCTCTCCTTCCCTCTCTTGAAAAGGAGGAGGGTTAGTGAGAGGTAGAGGAGGTGGCTCTGGTGACCTCCTACAGAACCTGGCTTCCAGTGAGGTTGGGCTGTTTTTGATGTATCTTTCATGTTGACTGACTGCACCAACAAATCAAATGGAATGGGAAGACTACATATCAGATAAGGGCCACAGGTTTATAGGGAGGAAAATTATCCAGGATACCAGTTAATTGTTTTGGAATATCTATGATTTACCTTCCTTCCTTCCTTCCTTCCTTCCTTCCTTCCTTCCTTCCTTCCTTCCTTCCTTCCTTCCTTCCTTCCTTCTTTCCTTGCCTCCCTCCCTCCCTTCCTTCCTCCCTTCCTTCCTTCCTTCCTTCCCTCTCTCTCTCTCTCTCTCTCTTTCTTTCTTTCTTTTTTTGAGACAGTCTCGCTCTGTCACCCAGGCTGGAGTGCAGTGGTGCTATCTGAACTCACTGTAAGCTCCACCTCCCTGGTTCATGCCACTCCTGCCTCAGCTTCCTTAGTAGCTGGGATTACAGGCGTCCACCACCATGCCCAGCTAATTTTTTGTATTTTTAGTAGAGATGGGGTTTCACCATGTTAGCTAGGATGGTCTCGATCTCCTGACCTCATGATCCACCCACCTCGACCTCCCAAAGTGCTGGGATTACAGGCGTGAGCCACTGCGCCCGGCAGATTTATTTTCTTCCTTGACAACAAAAATTTGGTTATTTTACTTTAGAATTTTGTCAGAACTTGGTTAAGTGATAACCAATTGTGTGCCATTTAGCTAACAGTTTTGCCATGCTTGACCGGAGCAATCTCAAAAATTATTTTTGCTGTATTCCCGAGGTTTTATTTTAAAATTTTCCTAGAAATGTTTTAGTGAATTAAAAACTGGCATATCAAATTTAAAGGAGAATGTTTTCCCCAGTTAAAAGTTATTTTCCAGGCCAGGTGTGGTGGCTCACGCCTGTAATCCCAGCCTTTGGGAGGCCGAGGCGGGTGGATTACCTGAGGTTGGGAGTTTGAGACCAGCCTGGCCAACACAGTGAAACCCTATATCTACTGAAAATGCAAAAGTTAGCTGGATGTGGTGGCGCACACTTGTAATCCCGGCTACTTGGGAGGCTAAGGTAGGAGAACTCGAGAGGCAGAGGTTGCAATGAGCCAAGATCACGCCACTGCACTCTAGCCTGGGCAACAGAGTGAGACTCTGTCTCCAAAAAGAAAAAAAAAAAAGTTATTTTCCAAACATGGGATGACTGACATATTAAGACAGCATTGTACTGAGAACAATACTATAATTAGGGTCACAATTTTAGTGTGATTTGACCCAAGAAATTTTGTGACTATAGTTTTGCTAGCACAACTAATTATGCCAGTGATCTCCTATTTGTGACTGCAGTTAGGCATTTCATGGCCTCTAAATAAGTATAATTAGTTAATTGGATCATGCATGAAATTCTAGACTCTTATAATAGCCTCTGAGAACAAAAATAAATATGATAAATATTATGAATTGTTTAATAGCCGTGGAAGCCTGGGAAATACCAAAAGTGATTGTTTTACTTTGCCTGCCATTACTTCATAATGATAAACATAATAAAAAGTAGAAATTAAACTTTCCCTGTAATAACCTTTGTTTTTCTGAATTTGAGACAGAAGAAAGGGAGCCACTGGACTTTCTTATTCACCTTTAGAGAAGGTGATGCTGGTTGTACTGCTCCTCAGCCCCCACCGGCTTCTCCCCAGTCCCCACTGTTAATGGCCCTGTGCTTTCTCCAGTGATATTATACACATAGTTGTTTTCCTGGGATATATGGAGAAGACCAATATTTGTCAAAAATTCCAATGGTATCTTTTATAGAAAGTGCATAGCTTTTACTTAATCAATTCATTGTTCAAAAAACCCCACAAAAGGTACAGCTTTTATTTTAATTACTGAGATGATTATGTTAACAAAAAAACCATGAAGGAGAAGGAACTTGAAAAACAAGTTTTATTGGTGTTGGGGGGTAGCAGTGAACAGCTGATGTATTCAGTCACAAATCCTGATGCTCTACCCAGAAACACACCCCAGCAGGCAAACAGCATACATGTGCATTATTCCAGAAATGCAGACACTGACTTAACTCTAACAGAGCCAATCTCAAGGTTTTCAGAGAAAACAGATTTCTTCTGACTTGAATAATCAATCTTGAATCATAAATTGAGCTTTTATTTATCTACTGTTTCAATCTACAATGAAATTACTTATTTGCTTTGCCTGTCAGTCCTGAAAAATTGCAGTTTTCTTTTGTTAATTTAAGCTATTTGTAGATGGACCTGTGTAAGTTTTTGTTGGATATGCTTTCATATATATGGGAGAGACATGTTCTAAGTACATAAGAACATGTGGTTAAAGTACAGAATTTATTAGCTGTGCATTTAAGGATACTTCATAATTTCAGATGATAATATACTATTTACATTATATGCTGAAATATGAGGAATGGAATGATGATTCTGTCAAGACTAATATCATTTATTTTGGAATTCATATATACATAACTATACATACAAATTCCAACTTACAGAAGAACCTTCTGACCACGTAGCTAGATCGAAGGTTAAACACCATAGTGTTTAAGAATATTGGTTTTAGGGGAACATGAATCTTAGACCAGATCCTGGCTCCCTTAATAGCAGCACAATTTTCTACTTCTCTCTGCACATCAGTTTCCTTATCTATAAAGCGGGCTTCTTTTTCATGTGAGGGTGAAATGTGAAAATACGTGTAAAGCATTCAGTACAGGGTTAGTGTGAAATAAACATTCAATAAATGGCAGCAATTATTGTCAGGTGGATAAGTGTAGATGCCACTCACTTTTAGAAGTATGTTAGCGGAATTAAGTGGAGCAATCTTTGCACCCTAAAGACATTTAAAATTTTAAATGTAGAATCTAATTAGGAATCCAAAATGTGTTACCCGATATTGTTAGGATTTTCTTTGAAGTGATAAAATTAGCATACAAACCAGCATTAAATATTGCAAGGTATATTGAGATACCTTTTATACTATTAAATTTTCATAATGACTTCTTTGTATTGCTTGACTTACAGCTCTTCTCATATGATGAATGGTTTGTTTGAGTTTGATTATTTTAACTAATGACATTCTTATACTCATTTGCAAATAATTTAGTTTTCTATTTTGTAATCTAGCAGATTTATAATCTTTTTTGGTAACTGTGATAGGTTAAAGATGGCCACAGATTCTTTACTACTGTCTCATGAAAATATGAAGTCTTTGTTCCCTCCTCTAGAATCTGGGTGATTTTTATACATGTTTGATCAACAGAATATATCAAAGGATATCTTGGGCCACTTCCTGGGCCCAAACCTTACGTGACTGGCAACATCCACTTCTCATCTCTTCAAAGATCTTGGAGCCCTGAGTTTCTATATATAAGAAGTCTGGCTATCCTGAGTCGGCCTTGCTATCAGAAAGTCCATGCTATCCACATGGAGAGGCCATATTGACACAGGATGAAAGGGGAGAGGAGAGAGAGAATTTCTAACTTACAGAATTGTGAGATACAACGGTGTATTGTTATATTAAGTCACTAAGTTTTAGAGTAGTTTTTATTAACAAGAACAGTGGTTATAAGTCTAACAACACTTCATGCCTTCTTCTAATGGTTATTCTCCAAATGCTAGTAACCCCAGAAATGTAAAATATGATGATGTGTAAGACTGAAGTTCTGTTATTTCACTTAATCATATCCCTTGAATTGGACTAAGTTGGATGTTTGTCAATATTATAGGAAAGAGTATAACACAGTCTTAGAGTATTATACATTTTCATTTTTCATAATATTTCATTTGCAGTAATTCATCATCATCTTCAAACTCTTATGTAAGATTTCACATGGTTTGGCTTCTGAGTTTTTTTCCCCAAAATAAGTTCTGATAACTTTTAATTTTAAGTTTCTATAGAAGACTATGGAACCTGGGCATTAAAACTAAAATGGCAGAGTGGATGGTAGACTAGAAGTGTTTTGGCAAAGATACTGTGGGAGGTGATCCAGAGAGAGGGAAGCCGAAGGAAGAGTACGCACATAGAGAAAATGTTCAGTAACCCTGTTGGGTTGGGGATGTGTTTCAGAAATGCCTCCTGGTGGGAGTAGGTAAGGATGCAGTTGATAATCCAGAAGCTAGGTGATGCACACACCAGTGATTTGAAAATTGCCAAAGCATCTCAGACCTTTAAATCACTCTCTTTGCCTATAGGCCCAGACTGGAGTCCTGGGAGCTAGAGAGAATAATGTCTACAGGAAAACAAAACACATTTAAAAGTCGCTTATTGAAACCAAGGGAAAAGGAGAAATTGAAATGTGTTTCAATGCCAAGTGGAAATTAATTGTTCCAAGAACTCATCATTACAAGTTGCAGAAGTATTTCAAGTTACTGATTTTTGTTTAATATGTTGTCTTGTTTTATTTTATTAAATGTAAAATACTTATAAGGGTATTCAGAGTGATTTTGAGTGATTCTTTAGTCTGAGCACTCCAATTCTGTTTTAACTGTTGATTCTCAATTTCTTCAACATCCAAGTCTTTCATCACAATGGTTTGCAGGAGTGCACCTTTTGAAGCTGTGTGAATTCAACATTTAGCAAGAACACTCAAGTCTAAACAACCCGATGAGGTTAGAAATTATCGTTCCTATTAGTTAAATGAGGGAACTGCCACCACCGAGAGCCTCAGTGTGCTTGCCTAAGGTCTTATGGCTGGTAATCCATATCTTAACCTTTCCAGATCAGACCTTGTTCATCAAAAACTTCTTCTGCTTGGAAACATAAAACAATAAGTGTGTGAGGTGGGGCAAAATGGTGGTGATAATTTGTACATCTGAATGTTTGGTGGAAAAGATTGGCTTTCAAGGAGAAGAGTTCATTCTTGCCACCCACATTTGCCGAGTATGGGTTCTTGTCCACTGGCACTCTGCTTTTGGGGGGATGCAGAAGTAACCAAATGGCTTGCCATGACTATTAGTGTTCTGCCTCAGCAACATTCTTCCCACATTCTCTGACTGGCTAGGTGTAAGATGGGAATAGGTTTAAGACCACTAAGTGGATTGGAACCATTTACTTTGTGTGACGAATGCTTTTTTTTTTTTCTTCCCTGGGGGATTGCCTCCCTAGTTTTGGTTTACTTTGCCTTATATGTTACAGTGCCATCTTTTTGCTAAAATCACTGAGTATGGAATAGGCAGTATTAGAAAGGAGAGTAGAAACATGCTGGATGTTAGAGAAAAGCTAGAGCTGGTATGTGCCAGATGATGCACACACCAGCAATTTGATAATAGCCTTTATGTGCTTTGATGCCTTGAAGCCAGGAAAGTAATTTAAAAGTATTGAACTTGCTTTTATTGTAATTCATAGCAAATAATTAAGTGTTCTTTGTGAAAGAACCAGTAGTACCTGACTAGGTGCCAGGTCCTCTGTTAGGTGCAGAAAATGATGACTTTTCTCACTGAGCCTTCTGTCCTGGTTTGGGCCGAGTCCTTAAAGGGTTACTATTTCAGAGGGACAGCAGAATGAAGTGTTTAATCATCAAATAGCTTTATTTTTAAAGCTACAAATGTTTCAGGCGTATTGAAGGGAAAGGAGATAAATGCCCAAAGTGGGACTCTGAATTAATAAAATTTGGAGAATGACTTGCTCAATTTGGTTAACTTGGTTATTAAGGCTAATTACAGCTTTGTAGTGATGACTGTTAAGATAAAAGACCATATCTATTATAGCTTTGAACTTGAATCTAACATTAAGAACATCTTTTAGGATGAAACCTCTCTTTAGGGAGGTGAGCAATAAAAGAATGTTGCAAGCAAATTAATAAAGGCTTGGTTTTTAAAAAATTTCTCATTCTGCAAAATGGAAATTTTCTAATTAGAGAAATGTAAGCATGCATTTCTGTAAGCATCTGAGTTTTATGGAGTTCTTTTTTCTTCAAAATCATAGAACTCATTGTTTAAAGTTGCCAAGAATATTTAGCATCTTGTTTTTAAGGACCTCAACCTCTCTGAGTTTTAGTTTTCTTATCGCTATGGTCTGAATGTTTGTGTCCTCCCCAAATTTTTTATGTTGAAATTCTAACCCCAAGGTGATGGCATTAGGAGTTGGGGCCCTTGGGAGGTGATCAGATGATAAGGGTGAAGCCCTCGTGAATGTGATTAGTGCTATTGTAAAAGAGGCCTCAGGGAGCTTGCTTACGCCTTTCCCCATGTGAGGACACAATTAGAAGGTGCCATCTATGAGGGGCATGCCCTCACCAGATGCCAAATTTGCACCTTGATGTTGGACTTCCTACCCTCCAGAACTGTAAGCAGTAAATGTTTGTTGTTTATGAGCTACCAAATTTATGGTATTTTTGTTATAGCAGCCTAAATAGACTAAGACACTTACCTTTAAAATAGAATAGTAATTCTGACTGTGAAGGGTTATTGTAACAAGTTAATGATAAATGATTGTAAAGCCCTAAATATGATGCCTCTAGCCTATAGTGGGCACGCAATAAATGGTGACTATTAATGGGAATATGATTATTTAATTTTTAAGGTTGTACAAGTCTTACTATACTATAAAATACATACATACTGTAAGTACTATAAAAATACATACACTAAAATTTTTTAGTGTACAGTTTTGAGTTTGGACAAATGTATATCGTCATGTAACCACCACCACAATCAAGATAGAGAACAGTCTACCACCTCCCAAAAATTCCCTCATGCTGTCCCAGTCCCTAGCAACCACTGATCTGTTCTCAGTCCCTTTAGTTTCGCCATTCCAGAATATCATATCAGTTGAATAATAAGCTTGTGTGTGTATACCCTTTTGATTCTGGCTTCCTTTATTTAGTATTGTATATTTGAGATATTATGTGTACATCAGTGGGTTTTTGTTGTTGTTATTGCTGAGTGGTATCCTCTGTATGAATGTACCATAGTTTGTTTATCCATTCACCAGTTGAAGGACATCTAGATTGGTTCCTGTCTTTCACATTTACAAATTAAGCAGCTATAAACATTCTTGTACAAGTTTTTGTGTGAACATAAATTTGTATTTCTCTTGGGCAAATCCCTAAGAGTGGGATTGCTGGGTCATATGGTCAAAATACATTTAACTTCATGTGAAACCGCCAAACTGTTTGCCAGAGTCTGTGCCATTGTAAACACTCTTCAAACAGCAATTTATGAGCATTCCAGTTGCTCCACATCCTTGCCTGCAGTTGCTGTCAGGTTAAAAATTTTTTTTATAATTGTAGCTATTATAATACGTATATAATGGTATCTCATTGTGATCTTAATTTGTATTTTCTAATGATTAACAATATTGAGTATGTTTTTTGTCTGCAATTTGGCATCTGTGTATTTTCTTTGGTAAAATGTCTTTCTGAATTTTTGCCCTTTTCTGAAAAAATGGACTGTGTGTTTTAAAGCAGTTTTAGATTCACAGAAAAATTGAGCAGAGATTTCCCATATACCCCTTCCCCCGAGCTTATGCATATTCTGTCTCATTATCAATATCCCCCACCAGAGTCATACAACTGATGAACCTACACTGACATTTTATTACCACCCAAAGTCCATAGTTTACATTAGAGGTTCGCTCTTGGTGGTACGCATTTGATGGGTTTGGACAAATGTATAATGATACATGTATCCACCATTAAAGTATCAAACAGAGTAGTTTCACTATGCTAAAAATTCTCTATGCTGTTCCTATTCATCTCTTCCTGCACCCAAACTCCTGGCTACCACTGTTCTTTTTACCATCTCCATAGTTTTCTCTTTTCCAGAATGTCATATAGTTGGAATATTATAGTATGTAGCCTTTTCAGATTGGATCACTTAGTTAATATGCATTTAAGTTTCCTCTATGTGTTTTCTTGGCTTGATAGTCTTTTCTTTGCCCAGTTTTATTGAGTTAAACTCCTTAATGAGTTTTGAGAGGATTTACATATTCTAGATCCAAGTCCTTTATCACATGTACAAGTTGCAGGTATTTTCTCCTAGTCTGTAACTTGTTTTCTCATTCTCTTAACAGTGTCTTTTGTAGAATAAAACTTTTAAATTTTGATGAAGTCTACTTTATCAATTTCATCTTTTATGGGTCATGCTTTTGATTTTGTATGTAACATTATCTTTGCCTAAATCAAGGTTACAATGATTTTCTCCTAAACTTTTTTCTAGCAGTTTTATGGTTTTAATTTTTTTATTTAGGTTCATGATCCACTTTGAGTTTTTTTATAAAGTATATAATATGGATTTTGGTTCATTTTTTTACATGAATATCTAATTGTTCCCAACACCAGTTGTTGAAAAAACTTACCTTTTCTCCACTCAATTGACTTTGAACCTTGAATTGACTATATTTGTATAGGTGTATTTCTGAACTCTATTCTGTTCCTTTGATCTATGTGCCTATCCCTTCATCACTAGTGCAGTTTTGATTACTGTTGCTTTATAGGAAGTCTTAAATCTTTTGTCTTTGTCCTTCTTACAACTTTGCCCTTTTTAAAAATTGTTTTGGCTATTCATTCTATTGCATTTCTTGTCACTATACACACAAACACTGGCTAGGATTTTCAGTGAGGTTATGTAGAATATATAGATCAATTTGGGGAAAATTGACATGTTAACAGTATTGAGTTTTCCAATCCATGAACATGGTAACCTCCCACTTTTCAATATTGTCTTTGATTTCTTCCATCAGCATTTTGTAGTTTTTAACATAGAGACTGCACATGTTTTCTTAGAATTATAAGCCAAGATTTTTTGGTGCTAAGATAAATAGTACTTTGTGGGTAAGTTTTGATTTCCAGTTGTTCATATTTAGCATATATATCTACAGTTTTTTGTTTGATTTAAGTGTTTTTTTTTTTTCATTTGAACTTATCTAATATGACCTTCTTATACTTACTGGTTCTAGGAGCAATTTTGTCCTTTCCACTTGATGTCTTTAATCCCCTTCCCTTGCTTTATTGGCCTGTCTAGAATTTCCAGTGTGATGCTGAATAGAAGTGGTAAGAGCAGACATCTTTGCGTTGTTTCTATCTTAGGGGAAGAATATTCAGTCTTTTGCTATTATTGTGTTAACTATAGGATTTTTTGCAGATGCCCTTTATCAGGTTAAGGAAGTTCGCTCCTATTCCTAGTTTACTGAGAGCTTGCTTTATCATGAAGGAATGTCAAATTTTGCCAAATGATTTTTCTGTATCTGTTGAGATTATTATATGGTTTTTCTTCATTAGTCTAAATATGGTGAATTATACTAATTTATTTTTGAATGTTAAACTAGCTTTGCATTCCTGTGATAAACCCTATGTTGTTGTGTATTTTCCTTTTCTGATATTGCTTAATTAGATTTGCTAATATTTTTGTGGAGGCATTTTACTTCTATGCTCATGAGGGATATTGATCTGCAGTTGAGCCTACTTGTAATGTTTTCATCTGGTTTTAGTATCAGGGTAATAATGCTGGCCTCATACAGTGGGAACCCTTCCCTCCTCTTCCATTTTCTGGAAGACATTGTGTAGAATTGATACTATTTCTTAAATGTTTGGTAGACTTCTCCAGGGAAACATCTGGATCTGTATTGTTAGAGATTTTTAACTGCAAATTTAATTTCTTTAATTAATTTACAACCATTTAGATTATCATATCCTCTTGAGTGAGCTCTGGTAGTTTGTGACTTTCAAGGAATTTTTTCATTTTATCTAAGTTGTAGAATTTATGAGCATGAAGTTGTCCAGAGTATTCCCTTAGGATCCTTTTAGTATCTCTGAGATCTATAATGATGTCACTGCAACCTCCACCTCCCTGGTTCAAGCAATTCCCCTGTCTCAGCCTCCAAAGTAGCTGGGTTTACAGGCACATGCCACTATGCCCAGCTACTTTTTTTTTGTATTTTTAGTTGAGACAGGGTTTCACCATGTTGGCCGTTGGAGTTTCTCAAACTCCTGACCTTAGGCAGTCCACCTGCCTCAGTCTCCCAAAGTGCTGGGATTACAGGCGTGAGCCACTGCCTTCTTGCTGCATCATTCCATGACACAGGACAGAAGGGCAAGACAGTCATGCATGCAAGAGCGTAGGTTAGAGGCCCCAAATCATCCTTTTATCAGAAACCTACTCCTGCGATAACTGACCCACTCCCACCATAACAGCATTAATCCATTCATGAGAGCACAGCTTTCATGACCTAATCACTTCTTAAGGACCTCACCTCTCAACACTGTTGCATTGGGGATCATGTGTCTAACACATGAACTTTGGGGGACACATTCAGACCATAGCAGTATTCAGGTATTTGATAATTTTCTGGCTACTTGTTCTGTTAGTTACTGAAAGAAGAATGTTGAAGTCTCCAAATATAATTGTGGATTTGTCTGTTTCTCCTTTAAGCTCTGTCAGTTTTGCTTCCTGTATTTTGAAGTCTTATTGTGAGGTGCAGCCGAGTCATCTGGGATTATGTCTTTTTGGAAAACTGTCCGTTTTATCTTTATGTAATGCCCCTCTTTATACCTGGTATAGTATTCCTTGTTCTAAAGTTGGCTTTATCTGATACTGATATAGTCATACCAGCTTTATTTTATAGTGTTTTTTCATGGTATATCTTTTTTCTTCCTTTTCCATTTAATCTATGTCATTATATTTACAGTGGATTTCTTATACACAGTATAAGAAAGATTTGGGTCTTGTTTTTTAGCCTGATTTGACCATTTCTTTTAATTTATATGTTTAGACCATTTATATTTTATATAATTATTGATGTGGTTGTTGAATTTAGGTCTACCATTTAATCATTTGTTTTTTGTTTATCCCCTCTGTTTCCATTCATCTCTTCCCTCTCTCTTTCTTTCTTTTGGATTATTTATTTTAAAATGTTTTATTATAATTTAATTTCTATTATCCTTTGTGTTTGTATCTCCTAGAATATTTTTGGTGGTATCAGCATTGTAGTAAACAGACCTAAGCTTTCACAGTCTACTTGAAGTTAATATTTTGCCATGTTAAATGGCATGTAGAGTATAACAAAAATATACATATATATATATATAAAAACTATATATATATATATAGTTTTGTGGTTGTTAGGCTCTACATGCCATTTAACATGGCAAATATATATATATCTTATATATATATATAGTTTATAGATACAGTTTTTATATATATTTTTCCTTTACTCTCCCTTTTTTATGTTATAGTTGTCATGTGCAGTACCTCTATGTGCATTTAAAACTCCACAAAATGGTGCTTAAATTCTTGCTTTTAACCATCATACTTTTAAAGAACTTAAAAGTCAAAAATAATCTATTTACTGAGATATTTTATCATTTCTATTGTTCTTCCTTTATTCCTGAACTTCCAAGTTTCCTTCTGATACTATTTCTCCTCGGCATAAAGAATTTCCTTCAACATTTCTTTTAGAACAGATGTCTTGGCAACGAATACTGTAAATTTTCCCTGATCTGGGTATGGTTATATTTCATCATCACTCCTGAATGATATTTTTGCTGGATATAGAATTCTCATTGACATTTCAGTTTCTTTTAATGCTTTAAAGATATTGTTCCATTGTATTCTGTTTCCTGATGAGAAATTTCTAATTATTCAAGTCACTATTCTTCTATGTATGGTATTTTGATTTTCTCTGTTTTCAAGATTTTTTTTCTTCATCTTTGCTTTTCAGCAGTTTATGATATGTTTGGGAATGGTTTTCTTTGAGTTTATCTTATTTGAGGTTGGCTAAGCTTCTTGGATCTGTAAGTTCATATCTTTCTCCAAATTTGGGAGGTTTTCATTCATGATTTCTTCCAATTTTTTCTTCTCCTCATCTTTTGGGAATCGAAAGACATAAATGTTAAACCTTTTGATATTTTCTTACTTGTTTTTAAGGCTCGGCTCATTTATGCCTAGTTGTTTTTCTCTCTTTTCTTCAGTTGAGATCATTTCTAGCTTCACATTCACTGACTTTTCCCTCTGTCATCTCCGTTCTGCTATTGATCCCATCCAGTTAATTTTTAATTTCAGATATTGTTTTATTGGCCCTAAAATTTCTGTTTAGTTCATTTTTTTATAGTTTATATTTCACTTCTGAAAACTGCCTTTCTATTCCTTTCAATAGTGTTTACTTTCATCTCATGGAGCATAATTACAGTAGTTGGTATAGAGCTTCTGAGTGATAATTCTAACATCTAGTTCATCTTGCTTGGTATCTGTTGACTGTTTTTTCCCCTTGAGAATTGGTCACATTTTGCTGTTTCTTTGTAAGTCACATAATTTTGAGTCCTGGACATTTTGAATATTGTATCATGAGAGCCTGGGGATTGTTTAAAGAATTGAAATCCTCAGGAGATTTTTTTTTAATTATTTAATTATTTATTTATTTATTTATTTATTATTATTATACTTTTAAGTTTTAGGGTACATGTGCACAATGTACAGGTTAGTTACATATGTATACATGTGCCATGCTGGTGTGCTGCACCCACTAACTCGTCATCTAGCATTAGGTATATCTCCAAATGCTATCCCTCCCCCCACCCCACAACAGTCCCCAGAGTGTGATGTTCCCCTTCCTGTGTCCATGTGTTCTCATTGTTCAATTGCCATCTATGAGTGAGAACATGCAGTGTTTGATTTTTTGTTCTTGTGATAGTTTACTGAGAATGATGATTTCCAGTTTCATCCATGTCCCTACAAAGGACATGAACTCATCATTTTTTATGGCTGCATAGTATTCCATGGTGTATATGTGCCACATTTTCTTAATCCAGTGTATGATTGTTGGACATTTGGGTTGGTTCCAAGTCTTTGCTATTGTGAATAATGCCGCAATAAACATACGTGTGCATGTGTCTTTATAGCAGCATGATTTATAGTCCTTTGGGTATATACCCACTAATGGGATGGCTGGGTCAAATGGTATTTCTAGTTCTAGATCCCTGAGGAATCGCCACACTGACTTCCACAATGGTTGAACTAGTTTACAGTCCCACCAACAGTGTAAAAGTGTTCCTATTTCTCCACATCCTCTCCAGCACCTGTTGTTTCCTGACTTTTTAATGATTGCCATTCTAACTGGTGTGAAATGGTATCTCATTGTGGTTTTGATTTGCATTTCTCTGATGGCCAGTGATGGTGAGCATTTTTTCATGTGTTTTTTGGCTACATAAATGTCTTCTTTTGAGAAATGTCTGTTCATGTCCTTTGCCCACTTTTTGATGGGGTTGTTTGTTTTTTCTTGTAAATTTATTTGAGTTCATTGTAGATTCTGGATATTAGCCCTTTGTCAGATGAGTAGGTTGCGAAAATTTTCTCCCATTTTGTAGGTTGCCTGTTCACTCTGATGATAGTTTCTTTTGCTGTGCAGAAGCTCTTTAGTTTAATTAGATCCCATTTGTCAATTTTGGCTTTTTTTGCCATTGCTTTTGGTGTTTTAGACATGAAGTCCTTGCCCATGCCTATGTCCTGAATGGTAATGCCTAGGTTTTCTTCTAGGGTTTTTATGGTTTTAGGTCTAACGTTTAAGTCTTTAATCCATCTTGAATTGATTTTTGTATAAGGTGTAAGGAAGGGATCCAGTTTCAGCTTTCTACATATGGCTAGCCAGTTTTCCCAGCACCATTTATTAAATAGGGAATCCTTTCCCCATTGCTTGTTTTTCTCTTTCCCCATTGCTTGTTTTTCTCATTGATTGTTTTAAAAAATTTCTTAAAGCATGCAACAAACCAGGGTAGATTCAGACCATAAATTGTTTCCCCTCCATTGGGTGATAGTTCCAATGTCAGTTAGTTTTCAAAACCTTGGTTATGCTGCCTTGGATCTGTCTCATGCACATGAAGTGTGACCAGGACTTCTACCAGTTTGTACACAGAATTCAGAGATCCCCGTTTCCACCTCCTGGTTTGGGGGTCCTTTTTCCCTGTGCTTACACCAGCTCAATAAGCGTTCTCAAGTTTTTGCTGCATGTGTCGTTTATAAAGTTCCCTGGATGGGGCTAATTTTATTTCAATGCTAGGAGAAAAAAAAGAAGGGGAAACATAATGGCAAGTCACCCCCATCAGGATTGCTTCTCCAGGTTTTATTTTCTCTCTCCAATCTGCTTGCTCTTACTTTTCAGAATCCTCAGGTTATTAGTTTTTGTATTTTGTCCAAAGTTTTTGTTGTTATCATTGGGAGGGACGGGTGTGGACTTACTCCATCTTCACTAGCCATGTTGTGTTTTTAATTGGCATTTTAAAATATAGAAATGCAGATTGTAAATATCTGTGGCTTAGATGGGTTGTGGCCCTTTTTGTTTTCTGTTGATAAAAGCTATTTGATATTTAAAATAATAGATACTCTTACATAGCAGTCCCCAACCTTTTTGGCACCAGGGACTGGTTTCATGGAAGACAGTTTTTCCACGGATGGGGGGTGGGAGAGGATGCTTTCGGGATGAAACTGTATCACTTCAGATTATCAGGCATTAGTTAGATTCCCATAAGCAGCATGCAACCTAGATCCCTCACATGCGCATTTCACAATAGTATTTGTGTTCCTATGAGAATCTAATGCCACCGCTGATCTGACAGGAGGCAGAACTTAGATGGTAATACTTGTTCGTCTGCCATTCACCTCCTGCTGTGTGGCCAGGTTCCTAACAGGCCATGGCTCAGTTCCTAACAGACCACAGACTGGTACCAGTCTGCAGCCTGGGGGTTGGGGACCCCCGCCCTAATGGAAGAAGCTTGTTTATTTTTAATGAGGAAGAATGTACGCCCTATCTTTTGGATAAATAAAACATAAACAGTTTTCATTCCTACCATTATTATGCATTTAACAAATGATTAAAACATAAACAGACATGCACACATACCTTTTCAAAGAAGTAGTGTTGTGAAAAGCTTTGGAATACTGGTAGCTGTCTTGCTTTGAAATTTAAGTAAAACTTGAACTTTTAAAATTTGTGAAATATTTGCTTGAATTTTCTACTTCTTCGAAGAATGTAGAAAGGAATAATTTATCAGACCTTAATTATTCAAATTATGAATTATGCCTTTATTCTAAATGTATGATTGCCTTTCCTTTGAAAAACTAGGGAAATTTTGATTATGGTTTAGTAATTTTACTCATGAACATATAAATTTAGTGATTTCAACTATATTTTTAAAATCAGTTCCTGATTAAATCATTTAGGGAAGTATGTTTAAATGGATTTTATTTTTGAAAGACGTATTTTACTGGCTTTTTTTTGCCCCAAACTATTCATATTTTACTGACGGATAAATATGCATACTAATTAATAAACATAATAAAGTTTGAAATTATAAGGAGAACAGGAAGTTATTTGTGTCCACTATATGCCTTAATGATTTTATTGTAAAAAGTAATTTTAGAAAGTAAATTCAATTTTTGTGCAGAACCATTTGGAGTGATATATTGCAGTATCCATGTATAGAGTCTGTAAATTGGACACTGGGATTGTATATGTTATTGGCATTTTTGTCTAAAATGTCATACAAGTAAGAAGTTGATTACTATTGGCATTTGTGAAATATGAAGTATATTTTATTATGTAAGAGTATTTGGATATTTGGTTCAAACTTTGGATCTATTGTCCTCCTTTCAATAAACTCTCTGTGGGATTTGTGGCTTATGTTAAGGAGAATTAAGTTATAAAAATGACCGACTTGGATCTCTTTTGAAATTGTTTAAAATTTATAATTAACTTGATAATTTAAAAAATTTAAATTTAAAATTTTAAATATATAAATTACATTTTTAAATTTTAATAAATTTAAACAATTTAACTTGATAAAATTGGATGTTTTTATAATTTTTGAACATTTATTTTCCTTTCCTCCTTTAAATTAGGTGCTCTGTGGATGTGTATAGTTTTAAACCCCCACTGCAAGTTGGAGCAAAAGGCCAGTTGGCTAAAACAGCTGAAGAAATGGAATAGTGTTGATGTCTGTCCATGGGAAGATGGAAATCATGGCAGTGAATTACCCAACTTAACCAATGCTCTGCCTCAGGGTGCAAATGCCAACCAAGGTGAGTCTACCATAATGTTCTGCTTAAATTGTAGCTACTTAATTATGCATATGTGCTTATAATAGTAACTTACAATGTATATGGGAAAATGATTTTACCAACTTAAGAACTTACAACTCCAGTACTTAATATGTGTTGACTGTGAGTGTATGTGTGTCTGTGTGTATGTTTTAAATTTAACTGAGATATTTGTATACTTTTTTATATTCTCAGAATATGGATGGATATAATACTTATTTTATATACTAGTATGTGTTAAAATGGCCTATTAATGATTTATTATGGACATTCTTCTCTAATTTAAAAAGATCATGGAGTAGGATGGTTAATATATTACTTTTAAAACAAACTGTCAAGAGGCTTGAGGAGCTATATGTTTTTATTTTTCTTGATCAATCCATGTTTGATCTATTGCATAATTTAGTCACTTAATTCTTAGTTTTAAAATGTAGTAAGGAAATATTTTATGACTCGACTGAAGGACATAGAATGCTGTTGACATTTTACTGGGAAATTTTTTTATTGTGAGGGGTTGTCTAGCCCACCTGCTGTAGGCTAATAGTGCCCTCCAAGTTTTGGGACAACCAAGAAATGCTCCCAGACATTTCCAAAAGAACCTCTGTCTCATTTCTGTCCTGTTTTTTTTGTTTGTTTTTTTTTGTTTTTTGTTTTTTTTTAGCTTCTCCCTCTCTATTGTACCTATCTATTCAACCCAAGTCTCTCCCATCTTTAAAAAACTTCCTCCCTTGGCCCCATTTTCCCTTCTACCTGCTGCAGAATGTTCTCTTCCCTTTCAAAATGAAATTCTTAAGTAATTATTTCTTGCCAATAGAAATTTTATTAACTAATTCATGACACTATTTTTGCATGATTCAGTGCATTTTTTGGGAGAAAATTTGAAAGATTTTAAAGTCATGATAGAAGCAAGGTGGGAATTAAATAACATTAGGATTCAGAGTCAAGACTACATTCTCTATGTACTAGCCACATGCTGAATTTGTACTACTAGAAATAACTGGAACAATGTGCTGAGTTTGAATGTGATGTTAGTATAGTGTTTTTAGTCTCTGCAAAGAAAGAAAATGATATGTATTACTCCATAGGGACTTTTCCAATCAAAAAGAAGTTTTAGGACTTGAGAAAGACAATTGTCTGACTCTGCCTTGTCTAGAGATATTTGCCATGGGAATTCAATATTTGAAGTCTGTCATATCTTTATTGCCCATGATGATTGTATTTAATAACTTCGAAGAAAATAAATGTATCCCACATACCCCCAGTTTTTTTCCAGGTGCTCAGAATTTTTAAGTTTAATTGTTCAACATTTATTCTCTTCCGTTGCTAGGAAAGGGTATGCCTACATCTACATAGGTAATATCCTTAATCCCCTTCTATTTATACTATGTTTCATTCCCCACTGCTTTTGGGGACTGCTACTCAAACATTTTACATTTTACTTTTTACATTCCATTTATTCTGTTACCCTTGATTAAGCATGAATATTTCATGGCCTTAGAAAGCTGGTAAGAAATGGTCCAGCCTCCAGACTTAAAGAGTTCATTTCGCTTATGGTTTGGCCTAGGTGATACAATTTGGGACCTTGTTTCTAAGGGCAGTGTTTATATCTGTTGGACCGAAAGGCACCAGGGTACCTACTTTTAGCAGAATACCCCCATCCTTCTGAGGGGCTGTCAGAAGAGACATGCCTACAGAGGAGGTCTGGTGTTCATACCTGTAGTGCCCTTCCCTGTAAAGCTCAGCTGGCTCCCCAGGGTAGAGCTTGTGGTGGCCAATAGAGTCCAGCAGCTGTGCCATTGCAGCTGGACTGAGTGTGCACACAGTATAGGCCATGGACGGAATTTCTTGTGTTTACACATTAGAGTGCATGTGAAGGGCTTATCCAGGCTCTGCCTCTGCTGAGGTAATTTTTTAGAATTAATGAATAACAACATTGCAATCTATACCCTTTGAAAGAGAATAATTTTTTAATATACCAAAAGTATAGCCAATTTTATAATTTTTTTAGTAGAAGAACAAAAATATCTCCTTTTTACTTAATTTCCCAAGTTTTCCTTAATCAGCATGTATTACTATTTTGTGTACTTTATGAAAAATTCTTACAAATATGTGTATTTATCATTTAAAAAAATTGCTCAAGATAATTATTTCCCTTTTTTCAATCTTACTGCACAATTGAATAGCCACTGACATTCAAGATTTTAAAAAGTTGACTAATTTTGATACCTAGTCAAACCAAATTTTTAATTGTATATCTTCTATGTCCAGCTACATACTTAATTTTATGTGTTTCCCATATTATTACAGGACTTGTCATTTAAATTTCATTTCATGAGTATTTAGCCTCTTTTGTTGTCATTGGTTTTATTAGAGCTAACCATGTTAAAAGCCTAGTGTGTGTACGCAACATTTCTCTACACTTATATAGTCACATATAAACATGTGAAAGGTTCAGGTATCTATTAATGTTTTATAAAAATGGAATCATGTTAACAGCTTGCTATTTGAGCCAAATCAATAGGCAGACCTCTAACTCACTCTTTTAATACATGCATAATACTAAGTTGCTCTTTTAAAGTCTCGTTTTAGTTTTAAATTTTGTTTCTATGATTTCAGCTTAACAAAATAAATGAAATGACAAAAGATACTTACATGAGGCTAAAAAACACTTATGTGAGGCTTGGACTTTGAAACATTTGATCAATTGACTGTGAGAGGTCACGGAACCAATTTCTTGCTGGGCATGGGTATGTTTATTCTGCTCAGCAAAAAGCCCCAATAGATTCAAAACGTCCTTAAATGTAGGACTTTGCCTTCTCCCTTGCAGTTTCACTATCCATCCACCTCTAGTGAGGAGTCTGGGTGGGAGCCATAACAGATCATCATTATTTATGCCTCTCAAATGATCTATCACACATGCATTTTGATATGTCTACCATTCAGGTACAGATAGCTAAGTTGACCTGAGACCAAACTGAAGTAATGTCTCTTTGTTAAAGACTTGTCAAAAGCCTTTCCAAACCAGCTGAAGTAGCTGAATTTTCAGTAAGGATATCTGTGTTTTAATCTCCACTGTCACTGCCTGATGGTGTGACCTTGGCAAGTCACTTTACTTCCCTTGCTTTTCAGTTCCATCAGCAGAGTAAAGGGGTTGGCGTAGATGAGTTCTCCAGTCTCTTCTTCTCAATTCAGTTGTCCTTTGATTTTTGTGTTTTCCCTTATGTCTGTGCTCAGCCAAAGGTCCGGTGACAGGAAAATGAAATCTTACCAATTAAGGAAGCTCTAGATTTTGCTTCTCATTTAATTAAGTCTCAGAACAATGAGAGGTTATATTTGAACTAGGTTAAGTACACATAAATAAAAATAGTTTGTTAACCTGATTTCCAGTTGAGGATTGCTAAAGTTTGTGCCACAGTTGAAGGTAAGTTTAGAGTGGGAACCCAAGGGGTGGGTGTGCAGGTAGAATTTGAACCATATAATCCTTAGGAATTGAATAATCCCAGGAGTTGAGGTGAGAATATCCTTTATTCCCCAAACATTTCTTTTCTCCGTCAGGTCCTGAAACTTGAACCCTCTTCGGAGTGTATGGCTCTGCTCTTTTGTGATGCCCTGGCATACACTATGCTGGGGACATCACACCAGTCATGGAACCTGCCCAGGAGTCAGGAGGCAGCCTGTAGGGGCAAGGTAAGTGCGCTGGTTTGTTTTGTAGCTATGTTGTGTGGCTTTGTGAAATGTTAAATATATGCATTTATGCCCTTTGGGATATAAAGTGATATTTAAGCATTATATCCCAAGAAGCATAATAGTTTTAATTGTGCAAAACCGCACAATATAGTTAAAAAATACAACCAAAAGCACAACCCTTATGCATATCTTTAAAGGCTGACTGCATAATCCTGAAAGGTTCCATGGCTGGTGTCGCATCTCTTGCATAGTGTTTGTGAGAGCTGTTGATCCCATAAGGGCAGCCCACCACAGCACCTCAGAAGTGGGGAGCAGTGAGTTTTCCTGTGACTTTTGTGCTGAGTGGCTCCTTTGAGTGTATTTGGCATGGAAACTAGACTTGACAATTCTTTTTGCAGGACGCCTTTAACCTTAGCTTTAATGGCTGCAGAATGTTTGTGTTTGATAAACAAGTGAGTGAATGGTGGCTCTTGGGCTGACCTGCCTCTTAGTACTTAGGATGTGAGAGTATTCACCCTTCACCCTTCTGCTTAGGGGGTGCAGGACAATGTGTGTGGGTGTGTTCATGAACATCTGGCCACAGAATGGTATGACTGATTTATTCACATGTGAATAATAGCTGACACGGCTTTCTGAATTGTGGAAAAAACAGATTCATCGAACAGGCCACATCGGACAGTGTTCACCCGAGCCATCGAGGCATGCGATCTCCACTGGCAGGATAGCCACTTGCAGCACATTATCAGCAGTGACCTATACACCAACTACTGTTACCATGACGACACTGAAAACTCCCTCTTCGACTCCCGCGGGTGGCCCCTCTGGCATGGTAAGTGACCAAACCGGAAAGACATTTCCATGACTTACTTCTTTGTTTAGTTTCTATAGCATTACTGGAATGGGAGGTGGAGAACTGAAGGATTCAATGGGAGATGGATGAATGCTTGGCAATAGGAGCTGAGATTTTCATTCAAATCCAAGTTCAGGAATGGTTTCTTGTGTCTTTTTAATAGTATTTTGGGAGAAACATCTTACTATTAAATTCTTTTTTTATGGATATATCTGACAGTGGCAACTTTACCCCCTTGACTTTCTGTTTTAGAACATGTTCCTACAGCCTGTGCAAGAGTGGACGCATTACGTTCTCATGGGTACCCCAGAGAAGCACTGAGACTAGCAATAGCTATTGTTAATACATTAAGACGACAGCAGCAGAAACAGTTGGAAATGTTCCGAACCCAAAAAAAAGGTGAATGTGAAGGAGTTTGTTTCCATTGGAATGGGATTCTTAGTGATGACATTACTAGGTTTTGTGTTCTGGGAGAGATGGCTTTTAGAACTAAAACCATAGATGATGGCTTTACTCGCCATTCATTTAAAATAATGGCTGATCTGTGAGAAATTTGGGGCATCTTTTTCTTAGTTGAATGTTGTAAGCAAAGATTTTTTTTTTTAATCTCTCAGGTTAGTTACTTTTTTAAGGGGGATAATTTTCTTTATTGTTTTAATGACTATTTAGTATGTCTAAATTATTTAAAATGCATGTTAGCTAAATGCCTTATTTTGTGGAAGTGCATTTTAATTCTAACAATAAGGACACAGCCTATGCTTGAATCCCGGCAATCCTAACGTCCCAAATGGGTGCCTTAGGCAATCAGTTGACGTCTCTGTGATTTTGAATTCTCTTCTGTGCAATGAGGCTCAGTAGAGGGCCTATCTCTTAGAGTTGTTGAGAAGATTAAACCAAGTTAATTTCTGTAAAGCACTTAAAGCAAAGCTTGGCACAATGTGTAAGCATTCTAAAACTTTTTAGCTGTAATAATTTGTACATCAGGACATGTTACTATATTTACTTAAAGTGACCAGAATAGAACTGGATTTTTCAAATTCTGTAAATGACATTTGATGAGCTGTCAGCTGAAAGAACACATTTAACTTCTCTTTATCTCAGTTTATTAATCTTTTAAATTTTGAATAACTATTACTGAGTAATAGTAATTGCAAAGGGTTGAATTACATGCACAAGACCCTGATCAGATAAAGAAATGTATATGCTTTTTCTGATTAATCCATGTACATCTTGTTCCTTCTATAGGTATAAATTTTATTTTTATGTTTCTTTAGCAGGTTCGTTTTCACTCTGTGATTTTATTTTTCATTAAGAGGGATAGTTTTAGTTGCTGGGTTTTTGTTTTGGTTTTGGTTTTGGTTATATTTTTGTTTTTAATGCTTGGGTGATTATACACATACTAGAGTATAACTAAAAATTATTAAAAGGCTAGAGGTTGGAGCAAGTGTCTATTGTAACTTTTAACAGTGAAAAAAAGTCAAAAGTTACAGTTGAACCAAAGGAAGAGGGAAGCTCAGATGGGATTGGAATGTGAGAGCCCCGATTGTCGTGACTTTGTCCAGTTCATGATGTTCTTCATATCATCACTGGTGTGTGCAAAATACATTGCTAGGTACTTTGGAAAATTTTTCTGAAATCCTTCTTCCTTCAACACATACACAGTCTATGGTGAAAGGAATTTATTTCTGAATAGTATAAAGGATAATATTCAAACAAAGAGTGCAGGACTTGTTATACTGTGCAAAAAGAGAGCCAGTTCGTGATGATCATCTGATTTTTAAAAAAAATCATATTATACATTTTATGAATAAATGTTGACTTTTAAAATTTGTTTAAAATGTTGTAATAAAAAAGGAAAGTGTAAAAATGTTAGTTAGTTTCCTAACTAACTAATGTTCCTAAACATGTTTACATTTAGGTAAGTTACAGAATATGTTAACTTAGACTCCTTTGATTGTCTTTGAGATAATTCTGTAACCTTTAGGTCTAGACCATTCTTAGACCCATTTCTCTTTTATCTTGCAAGCTATGAAAACTTTTATTTCCAACCATTCTTAGGTATTGCTAGGATTACATGTCTATACCTATGTCTTTCCCTACTTTATTTTTGGTAATTGTTTTTCCGTATTTTAAAAATAGGCTTTTCCATAGCTGTTACAAGTCTAAAGTACCATAACAGCTACTTGTTATGGGCCAAGATTAGTAAATGGAATATCTTATACATTTTCAAAATTATTTGGCATGATGTGTTAGCTTATTGATTCTGAAAAAAAACAGATTTATTTGATTTATTTTTGATTTCTCATATTTCCTCAGTTTCTATCACTTGACAATATATTTGTTTATATAAGCACAGCATTTCCTTTAGCCCCATCCATATATACATACACATATATATACATATATATATGTGTGTGTATATGTATATATGCAAACATATTTATTTGGTTGTTTCCAGGAGTAGTGCTCATGTTTCTTTTTTCCTACTAATTATGTTTATGAAAGCCAGCAACAGAAATTGAATATAAGGACCTTTTCAAGGAATCTAGGACTCGACTTAAATTTCAATACATTGTGCCAAACCGTTTTTCCTCTTTTTTTTTTTTTTGACATGGAGTCTCGCCCTGTCCCCCAGGCTGGAGTGCAGTGGCGCAATCTCGGCTTACTGCAGCCTCTGCATCCTGGGTTCAAGCGATTCTCCTGCCTCAACCTCCCGAGTAGCTGGGATTATAGGCACCCACCACCACGGCCAGCTAATTTTTGTATTTTTAGTACAGACGGGGTTTCACCATGTTGGCCAGGCTGGTCTCGAACTCCTGACCTCGGGTGATCCACCCGCTTCAGCATCCCAGAGTGCTGAGATTACAGGCGTGAGCCACCACGCTGGCCTGTCTTTCATTTTTATGTACTGATAGTTGATTGCTTAAAACCAGAAGACTTGTGAAGGAACATTGGATTCATGGAATGGCTCTTCAGATATTTACATGGCAATATTTTTCTTGTATATTTTATATTGTATGTAAATTTTATTATGTTTTCCTTTAAGAAGGAGCTACTAAAATTGGCCGGGCGTGATGGCACTTGCCTGTAAATCCCAGCTACTTGGGGCTGAGGCAAGAGAATCGCTTGAACCCGGGAGGTGGAGGTTGCAGTGAGCCAAGATCGCACCATTGCACTCCAGGCCGGGCAACAAGAGTGAAACTCCATCTCAAAAAAATGAAAAGAAGGAGCTACTATTATTTATTACTTTAGTAAACACTTAGATGTAAAATACTGCATTATTTACAACAATGGAATATATCTTAAACATAGCTTTTTTTCCCAGCATTCTGCGGTTTAACTTGAAAGCATTATATTCTGTGAAGAAAATGAAAAGGATTATTTCGTTCAAATTATATATAATCGTCTATTATCATTCCCCTTTATGGCAAAGGTTCTCTCTTAAATGGCTTACAGATTCACACTAAGGAAGATTTTCATAAGGTGATGGGGGTAATTTAAGGATATTCATGTGGGAATACAAGTCTAACCCAAGCTACAGCTGCCTTCAAGTCCTCAATTTACATGACCCAGTTAACACTGATTTAGAGAGGTCTCTTCTGCATATCGTGGTAGAGTTACCAATTGATAATTCCAGTGGGACTTCTTAGTCCTCTCTAATGCCCCCTCCTAGGGAAGTGGGGGAGTTGTTCCTAATTTCTCAAAAGAAAATTTGGAATTCATTTTTCCCTATACAACATAATTTAATAGTGTAAGTAGTAATGTTGACTCAGTACCCTAGACACATGAATTAAATAGATGTTTGGGAGCTGTCCTGGAAATTCAGTACCATTTATATTGACTTACAGATGAACCTTTAGAACTCAAAATAGTTGACAAGTTGGGGATTATGGTACCTTTTGATTGGTTTCTTAATTAAAAGAGAATTTCGAACAGAATTCAGAACTGGTTTATCAGGATGCTGCTATTAAATGGTAAAGCCTCTGTTTTCCCCACTTCTTTCCCTTCATCTCCCTTCTACTCCCCCATTTCTCAATTCCCTTTCCTTACACAGAGCTACCCCATAAAAACATAACCTCGATAACCAATCTGGAGGGCTGGGTTGGACATCCCCTGGACCCTGTGGGCACTCTCTTCAGTAGCCTTATGGAAGCCTGCCGCATTGATGATGAGAACCTCTCTGGGTTCTCAGATTTTACAGGTAAAACCATTGACATTTGTCTCATGTGCTTTTCTTTTTCTAAACCCTGAATGGCAGTAGTCATTGTTTTTCTTTACATTATGTTTTATGGAACCATGTAGTTAACAGCACCTTTGGTTAGCAAGAGAGCAAGAAAATGGGCACTGTCATGCTTTCACGCAGGCTGCTACAAAACTGGGAAAAGTCTTAGAGTTGATAGTTGGCAGCCTGTTTCGAGAATCTTAAAAATATTTATTCTCTTCTAACCAGTGATTCTGTATCTACGAATTTATCCACATTTATGACTACTTCTTAGCATAAAGTTATAAAATAAAGATGTACATCTTAGCATTTAGAACTAGAAAATCTAGTTTAGGTGCTTTTCAAATTTGTCTTTGCATTGAAAGTGACTTGTCACTTAAATATTTTAGTCTACTTTAAGGGGGAGTATTAAATGTCATTTAAAACTGTTTTATATCATACATTCCTTGAAAGCTGTGTTTTGAGATTTCACTTTGGCCCATTGAAACTTAAGAATCTTGACTAAAAAGACTGCCCAAGGGCAGTGGGTGGAGGTAAGGCAGGGAGTAACGATGTCCCTTTGTTGCTTCCATGGCTGGATGAGCTCAAGTCTTGCCCCTTCATAATTTGCCCTGTGATAGTTGCCTTCATGGACTGTGGGTAACCCAGACACTGTCAGGAGGGTGAAAGGCATGAGTCTGAATTCACTTTCCTTGGGAGTTTGATGGTTGAAGTTTGTTATAATTTATAATAGAAGCACTTTAATGGAGACAAGAGAATGTTCAAAGAATCATTCCTCTTGTGATAACTGATGACTCTTGGATAATAAAAAGGACTTGAAATTGGGTTATATATGTTATGTTCCCTACTGTTTTTATTATGGAAACGTTTTGAATGCCAGGATTTAAAAAGTGGTGAGTGCAAGTCATCGTGTAATTTTACTATTGTGTAATTAAATTTTGTTTTTCTCTTAAGTATTCTTAGTTCATATTTTCTTAGATTTATAGTTTTCTTTGGTGATTTATTTTCAAGGGAGAAAAGTATTTGTAATGTTATATCCCCCAAAACGTAAACATTTAATCATTCATGGTCATTTTTAAAAAGATACTGGAAGACTGCACTTTAGCCTAAAAAACATGTTTTCTGGCTTTCTCAGCATTAATCCATAATTCATTTGCTTGTACGGGGAAGTATAAATATTTGTACTTATCATATCATCTGCAAAAGTAGTTTCTGAGCTCTGATTTCTTTTGTGGCATTTTGCAGAGAATATGGGACAGTGCAAGTCTCTGGAATACCAGCATCTACCTGCACACAAATTCTTAGAAGAAGGGGAATCCTATTTAACGCTGGCTGTGGAAGTAGCCCTGATAGGGCTAGGACAGCAGCGTATCATGCCTGATGGGCTGTACACACAAGAGAAAGTTTGCCGGAATGAGGAGCAGCTCATTTCTAAGCTTCAGGAAATTGAATTGGATGACACACTGGTGAAAATTTTTCGCAAGCAAGCAGTCTTCCTATTAGAAGGTAGCCTGATACAGAAGTTTTCCACTTATTTAGCCAATTTGACTTAGGTGCTAATCTTTCTTATGTTAAAAGTGCTATCTGAATGCATTTAATATGGTAGTTATCCTGATTGCTATAGTCATGGGGTATCAAAGACATGTTCGCTGTCTAAAAAATAGTGTCACTGAATAAAAAAGCATGGATGTTTAGATTTGTATCATTTGATTTAGGTGGTTATATATGATAGCCTATTACAAAACAGCTGCATTTAATGCCTCAAACCTTGAAAAGAACCTATTTCATTCAGACTGTGTTGTTCCTGAGATAAATGCAATTTTGATATTTAGTGCATTATTATTGGCAGGCATGTTCCTATTTCCTTGATCAATTAAATAATAAAACAGTAATTGGCTGGCCTTCCTCCAAATTATTGGCGGTTACATGACACCTGGGTTTTGAATGTGTCATACGCACACGCTAACAAACGACTGAGGGCTGTGCGAGTGAATTTCTGCTGCACCAACTAGTTATTTCAGAGGATTCATTAGGCACAGATTCATCAAGGAAAAGGTTTCATAGAATCTGAGGCACGGTCTAATTTCCTTCTTCTCATAAAGTTAAGTTTTAAAGGGCCTAACAAATTTTGGCTGACACTATTTTTCAGATTTTTTCCCCTCTGAAAAGGTAAATGTAATTCATGTGGTAGTGTGATCTTTCGTGCAAATTTAGGTGGTGTGTAACTATTGCTTCTGTCTCTCAAGTATATGTGTGTTATTAGTGTGTTATTATGGGATTCTCTGTGATTGATAGCCTCATAAAGTATGTTATATTCATCTTATGTTCAGAACTACTACATATAGGGAAGGGATTTAGATTTTCAGCACCCCTTTTATTTGTCCAAAGCAAAAGATCTACTTAAAAGAAAACATTTTCTTCAAACATACTTTACTTTTATATGTTTTAGAAATGCATTTTAAAGGGAAAATGCTCTTCAGGTAAACCTTCTTAATAGCATGCTTAATTTTGGTAAAAATTCCCAGTGGTAATTTTTTGAAGCACTCTCCTGAACCTGTTTTTTTCCCTGTAAAGATAAAAAGCCCATCTTGACACTTGACAAATTTCAAGAGTGATCCTGATTCTTCAGTTACTGTTTTCTTTCAGTTTTCTCCCATATAATTCCTTATGCTATAAGCAATGTCATTAGTCACAAGCATTTTTTAAATGCTTTCTGTCACTGACTATACTGACTTTTGATTTCTCTTATACTGAAGTTTAGAAAGAAGATCTGTGATTTTCAAAGTTGATAGTGTGTGGTATCTGTATTTACCTTCCTAAATATGTCTCCATGTCCATTTTTCATGAATATTTTTGAACTTTGCCCTAGTCTTGATTCGTCCATCCCTCCCGTCAAACATTTTTATGAGTACTGTGCCTGAGAAGGAGCATTGTTGACTCATCTCTGCCTCTTCTCCTTTCCTGGCCCTGCAAGGCCCACAAAGAGTGAATAGGTGCAGGACAGGAGGCAGTCCAAGGCGGGGAGGCCACAGGGCCATTACTGTAAATGCTAGAAGATTGAGAACTCCATGACTGAATTGACTACACCAGGGCACCAAGTTCTTCGTGCAGTTATACTCTTTGCAAATGTCAGAGGCAAATTAGTTAGCAGGCCCAGATATCTGGAAAGAGGAAGGAGTAACCCAGTATTGTTGCTAGTATTAATCCCTCCTGGCCACAATATTGGATAGATAAATTAGCATATTGAACAAGCACCTCTGGGGAAACTTGGTGCCAAATATCAAGTTGTCATTATTCAGTAGTACACTAGAGTCCAGGAATTACACTAATTATTAATCCACAAATAATTATTGGATACCTGACTGAATGTTTTACTTGTTGAGTGGTATCATAGCAAATAATTGATTATGTATCCTGGATCTCCTGAATAGTACAAAAAAGGTAATTTGGTGGTTTAAGGGGAAACAGTGAAAGAAAATGAAGGAGAAATGAAGACTGTGGCTAATCTATAGATTTGCTATAATTAGTCCTTAAGTAAAATAGTTAGTGTGTTAGATTGGGCTGCCATAACAAAATACCACAGATTGTGTGGCTTAAACAACAGAAATGTATTTCTCACAGTTCTGGAGGCTGGGAAGTTTAGAATCATGGTGCCAGCCTCATCATTGGCTTCTGATGAGGGCACTCTTCCTGTCTTGAAGACAGCTACCTTTTCTCTGTGTCTTCACATGACAGAGAGATCAAGCTCTCTAGTGTCTCTTCTTACAAGGACACTAATCCTGTTGGATCAGGGCCCCACCCTTATGACCTCATTTTACTTTAATGCAGGCCCCAACTTTGGATACAATTACATTGGGGCTGGGGGCTTCCAAATGTGAATTTTGGGAAGAAATACATATTTAGCCTGTAACAGTTAATAACTTAAATAATGTAGCCTTGGTATATGAACAAAAGGTGCAGTCATAATGCTATATGAACTTTTGAAGAATATCAAATCACTAAAACATTTAAAATTAAAGATTAATGGATTTGGTAAAATTAGAGATTTAGATGTTAGTTTAGGTGAAAAAATTTGTATGATTTTAAAGTACTTAAATAATGAATAATTCAAAAATACTATCAAAAAACTCAACTGAATTAAAATAACCTCCATTAAAATGACCTAGAATATATTGTGCTCATAACCAACCACCAGTTCAGTAACTGCTCTTACCATTTCTTCTGAACTGCATTTCTTGCATTCTAAACTCTTCACCACACTGGTTTTTCTCATGGAAAACAAATATAGCATGTCCTCTGAGCAGTGGTGTCATGGTTCATAATTCTAGAAATCATGAAACAGATGTTACCCGAAGGTAACATGGAAACTAATTTATTAAAAACTTTACAGTAACTAAACCTCAGAGTACCTTAGTGCAAAGTGGTTGAACTAACCACTGTGGTTTCCTTTCAGAATTTATTTTAAAAGTCTATGTTGCCGTTCTCAAAGCAGCATTCAGGGAGCACACAGGGGAAGTCAGCTCTGCCACCACGCCTGTCAGAATTTACTAAGAAATGAATTTTGACAGCTTAAGTGTAATTTTGCTTTTAAAATTGGCTTTCAGGAGCCCAAAGAATAGTAAACTTCCAGTTACTTTAATTTTTTTCTTTTGCCTATGATGCGTATGAAATGGGTAACTATTCTTTTTATTAATAATCACTTTCTAGGAATTAATATCTGTTGCCACTCATTAGAGGCAACAATGTGTATAGTTAGAGAGCTGTGGTTCAGAATCCTCCCACACCTCTCACCCCTGATACAGAGCACCATTTTCTGGAAACCTGGCATATTTGTGTCCCTAACCCTTCTTAGGTCCAGGGGTAGTTTCCATAGTTAAGCTGTGGTGTCATCTGTGCATTTACAAATCAAGATGCTCTGATGCCACACATTGAGAGAGGATGTTGCTCAAATGCAGCAAGGTTTTACGCTATAGAGGGTTCCTTTCTCTGAGGCACTTGTATTGTGAATGCTGTCTGCCCCTGAGTTCTGGGTTTTTCATCTAGCTGTGGGACAGTTAGGGGTTTGTTTATGAGGTGAAATCTGTAACGGATGCTATACCCTGAAGAATCTTTTTTGATTAAGGATTATATTCCTTTCTATATCATTTACTTGAAATTCTTATTTGTATATGTTATAACTTTATGTGACATTTTAACAATATGCTTTACAAGAAGTGTTAGTTCATTTTTTAGGAACGTAAAATGTGTATGCTCTCTTCCCACAGCCGGACCATATAGTGGTTTAGGTGAAATAATCCATCGGGAGAGCGTTCCAATGCACACATTTGCCAAGTATCTCTTCACCTCTCTCCTACCTCACGATGCTGAATTGGCATACAAAATTGCACTGAGAGCAATGCGGTATGTATTCACAGCCCAGCTGGGCAGAGGCAGGCCACATTCCCACTGGGAAGCATGGCTGTTAACTGACTTACTCCTTCATGTTTCTTATAGGCAGCAGAAAAGCTAAAGAAACTATGTATTTATGCTTCCTGTATTGTTGTGGAGGTGATTTGCTTGTTGGCTTGTTTTGCTTCTGTTTAAAGTAAGGGAAGGGTTATCCTTGCTGCTATCAGACTCAAGCACACCGTGGCTTTTTCCTACTTTTTCGTGAAGCACAATTCAAGCCAAGTTTAATCATAAAACAGCAACAGTTGAAACCTTCATAAATGATTAATTGTTTTGAAAAAATTGATTTTTGAAGCAGTAGTAAATAGTAAATATACTGGCTTGAATATAATTGAGGGAGACCTTCACACCTGCTGTAATTCCGCATTCCATCAGTAGTGCAGGAAAGCAACTCCCTGTATTGCCAAGGCACATCTGTATTCACTGGAGGCTGAGAGAAGGTGGGACGTGCATTTAGCAGTGAAGGAGTCGCTATTCGGGGTCCTTCAGGCTCTGCCTGCCTCTCTTCTGACTGCTTCCATCTCCTCATCGGTCTCTCCTTTTCAGCAATAACAGTTAGAATATGTTGTTCTCTACCACCCACCTTTTTATTTCTACCTTCTTTTAAAAGTTATTTCACATAATAATTATTTTTATCACAGATTTGTTCAAGGTGAATATTTTAATGAGTTCAAGATTATATTTTAATCTTACAAATAACCTTTAAATTTTAAGGACCTAAAAGGTACATCCATCTTTCTTAAAACATCAGCATTTTCTTTTTCCTTTAAAAAAATTAATAAAACACTCCTGTGCTTCTAATGGAAAGTACAGATCACCTAAGGACAAGCCATGTTGTAGACCTAAAAGCTTGTGTGTGCTGATTAACAGTTTGATCTCAAGAAGCTTTTCATCAAAGATTCTATGTCTGTAATCAGAGAAGTAGATTCTAAAACAAATCCTTGCCTATAAATTACCAGTGTCCCCAAAGTTACCCTGTTCTGAAAGTATTGAGTGTAGCTTATGTGTATAAGGACACCTCTTTTTTATGCAGTGATAAGGATGTGTGTATGTGTCTGTGTGTATACCTATGTGTCAGTGTGTTTTAAGGCTGACATCCTGTAATTTGACATGCTTTCCTTGGCAATATGGAATCTTACTAACCTGCTGGAGAATCTTCTTAAGTATTCTTTTTTCTATTTTTAAAATACCAGAAAATAAGTCAATAACAAACATCAGCAAAAGTCCCCCACCAAATTACATTATACCACTTGGTTTATGTTTTAGAGCACGATTTTAAAATAAGTGGGTTCCTATTTTTATTTTTGGAAGCTGAAATGGAAGCTGTCTTATGAAGACATATGCTCAACTCTATACTTACTCAAATCTTAGGAATTCTAATCTTGTTTTAAAGGGAAGATGTTAATGTTATGGTGCCACCAGATGCTGTTGCTACTACCACTGGCAAAGTTTAAGGGTAAAATAGCATAAAGTTTCTGTGTGGTTCTGGCTTATGTAATGGTATGTGCCAGGCAGAAAGGCTTGCTTTTCTAACACTCACAAACTCATTTATATTTGTCCTTGGTTGCTGCCAAGGCAGTTTCTTAATGGGGAATACTAGCAGGGTACAGGGGAATTTTTTTTCCACTTTCTCTCTTCTATCTGCCACTACTATCCTGCCAAAGGTCTGCCATGGAAGGCAGGTATGTGCCCCACCAGGTATTGCAAGGCAGCCCAGGGAACAGGAAGGAAAAGAGAGATGTAGCTCGCATGCTTCTTAGTCCTTCTGGAAGAGGAAGGCTAAGGAAGGTCATCTTCAGCACTCATTTTCTCATCTTCCCAGGGATGTTGATTAGTTTCTTCTACAGTAAGTCTGGCAAGACCTGCCTGTGAATACGAGGATATTCTGAGTTAAAAAAAAAAAAGCTAAATAGCAACCCTGCCATTATTCTTACTACTTAACTGCCTACCTTGCCACCTTCTCTACTGCTGACATCTTTTTGTTCCTAAATAAAAGGAGAAGAGAATGAGCCATTTGGCTTACCAGGCAATAATTGCTCTTGGGTGGGGCCTTGAGGCCAGCATCACTCCCAGACCCAGCTGACTCTTCTTGGTCTCCAGCTCTTATCTTATTTCATAGTTCTTAACACTGGTGTACTTGACTGAAGGCCGGCATTTTGATGGTTGTAAATAAATTATTTCAGCTTTAGGTACTCTACTAAGCTTTTTGGTACTTTTAGAAGAGATTACTAAATATTTGCTTTGCTTTTAGAAATTTTTTCATCAGCATATTCTTTTTTTATTTGTTTTGAGACAGGGTTTTGCTCTGTTGCCCTGGCTGGAGTGCGGTGTGGTGTAATCATGGCTCCCAGGCTCAGCTGATCCTCCCATCTCAGCCTTCCAAGTAGCTGGGATTACAGGCACATGCCACCACACCCAACTGATTTATATTTTGTAGAAACAGGGTTTCGCCATGACAGTATATTCTTAATAAAAAATCAGAAATCACTCTGAATTTATGCAAAACTGTCAAGGGACAGACACTTAGGTCACATTTATCTTCTGTAATATGGTTGGTAGAACATAGTCTAATGTCAAATTCCTGGAGTCATAAGAAACTAATTGTTCAGAAAGTATGAATGGATGGAAAAGAGGTAATTTTTGTCTTACTTCCCTTCTTGTTTTATGTTTAAATAGGTTAAGCTTATTCATCTTAAGTACTCACTGCTTCCTGACTGTGATCTCAGTCTTAAATATCCATTTCACTATCAGTTTCTGTTGATTTATTTTTTGAGTCATAGAATTCAAAATTTGTAGGTAAACATCAAGACCTGTGTTTAAAAGTTCTTCGGTGTTTGCGTATCTTAATTTATTTGAATATTGTAATTTTCTGAATGGTGCTAAAGAAAGAAAATCTCTTAGGTTTGGGTGATGAACAACTAACAAGGTTTGGGTGATGAACAGTTATTATTAGCAAACAATTAGTAGTCCAAAAAATCTAGGTATTTTGCACCCACACAGCAGAGTATAGCTGTACCAGCCCTTGCTGAACTTGAGTAGAGGCCTGAACATCTACCCACTCCTCTGGCTTCTGTTGGCCAGTCTTTCTGGCCAAGGACATGGTCAAGAAATAACTAGGGGCCACCTTCCTTGTCTTCTCATTATAGGTTACTAGTATTGGAATCTACTGCTCCATCAGGAGACCTCACCCGCCCACACCACATTGCATCAGTTGTTCCCAACCGCTACCCTCGCTGGTTCACTCTAAGCCACATTGAGTCCCAGCAGTGTGAGCTGGCATCCACCATGCTAACTGCAGCCAAAGGTACTGTACTGTCCTGAGGCCTCATAATTGTTTCATTCGTTTGCCTGTTTATTTTTTTTAAGTCTTGTTTTCTATCAAATTCTCAGCAGTGGTGTTAATGTCAGATAGGTTGAAGGGATCTTTTTCTTTAGATGTTAGCTTTTAAGGCAAAACAGGTGGCATTTTCCTCATTTACCTGCATCATTAACTTGCTGCCAGCAGAGTTCAGGTTAGTTACCATGCTAAGAAAATATAAATGGTTGAAATTCAGAAGCAGATTTACAAGTTGGGTTACATTTTTTTCTTCCTGAAATATTCACCAAAAATACATAAGTAGGAACTAGGAGAGCTGTTGCTGTCTCATGTTGGTCCTGGTTCATATGTGCTTTGAGTCATTGAGGGTGTGTCTCAGTGTATCTTTTTTTGTGAAGCCGAGATTCACAGACATTGCAGTAATTATGGGAGCCCTAGTTGTAACACCTGTGCCATCTGTGAACATGTTAGGTAAATTAACTTGTGCTTTATGTTTTGTTTTGTTTCTTTTTTCCCCCTCTGTGTGTGTGTATGGTTGTATGATTTTTGTTTATTTGTTTGTCTTGCTTTGCTTTGATTTGGTTTGGTTTGGTTTTCCCTTGTTCATTGCAGGCGATGTTCGGAGGCTGGAAACAGTATTAGAATCCATCCAGAAAAACATTCACTCCTCATCACACATCTTCAAGCTTGCCCAAGATGCATTTAAAATAGCAACTCTCATGGACAGTTTGCCAGACATCACTCTTTTGAAAGTGTCTCTGGAGCTGGGCCTGCAGGTACATGACTGGTAGTCTTTCCTGGGACATCAAAGACTGCTAAATAAAGGCACCTCTTAGGGTTGTTTTTGTTTGATTGGATTTTTGAGTGCAGGTAAATGACTCTTTGGAGTACAAATCTGTTAGACTTCAGGAGAGAACTGTATTTCAGAGACGTGGTCATTCCCAGCTGAACCAGACTGCTATGTAAGGTGCATGGACTGTACATTTAGCAGCCTAATTTGTGTCTTTCAATTAAAAAAAATCATTTTCTGAATTGCAGCCTTAACGACACTGTTTCTCCTTTGAATGAAGGGAGAAGAATTATTGCTAATAAGAGACTTAAATAAAGCTAGCATGTATAATGAAGATTCAGTTGTTAGGGTTAAATTTTTAGAGGAAGTATAAATTTTTATTGATGTTTGCATTTTCATAATAGATGGGCAGTTCTAGCTCCTTTTAATAACTCTGAGAAAAATAGGTAAAGGAGGAGTGATCGGGCCAGAGTCCAGTTTTAGATTTCAGCAGAACAGAATACCAAGGACATTTTGAGTTCGTCATGCAGATAGATGTTTGCTTCCTTATAGTTTCTGAACAGATCACTGGATAAACCAAGAACTAAAAAGTTTGTTTCATTTTTCTCATGGAATCTCTATTAACATTTGCTTTCTTCCCATTAAAAAGCAGTGAACAAAATTGTTATACCCCAGTTACCTAAAGAATGGGGAGTATAATCCCCTGATTGGATAATTAATCTGGTGTTTTAGTTGTGGATTCTCCCTTACAGTGACTAATAATGTTTAAATAATAGGATCACAGGAAAATGTACCTACCATGGTAACATAGAATACTGTACAAGCAAAGGGTATAGAAGATTGCTTTTAAGCTATATAGTGATGGTTCAGAAGTTTTTTGTTTTTTTTTAATTCTTGTTATTTGGCTAATTTTTGTCACCATTTGCCTCATCTTAAAGATGTGATGCAGAAAGAACCATTAACATGAGCTCTCTTGTTATTTGGAATTCATGGTAAATAGGATATGCACGAGAGCTTATTCCTTGACTCATTCTTTCTAGAACCTAAGAAGGAATCTCACAGGCCCTTTGTGAGTATTTCTAGAACCTAAAAAGGAATCCCACAGGGCCTCTGGGGATATGATGTCCCTGGATATTTTGTGGGTTTTTTTTTTTTTTTTTTTTTGTTGTTGTTGTTGTTTTGTTTTTTCAGATGGAGTCTCACTCTGTCACCCAGGCTGGAGTGCAGGGGTACAATCTCAGCTCACTGCAACCTCTGCCTCCTGGGTTCAAGCAATTCTTCTACTTCAGCCCCCTGAGTAGCTGGGACTACAGGCGCACGCCACCACACCTGGCTAATTTTTATGTTTTTAATAGAGACGGGGTTTCACCATATTGGCCAGGCTGGTCTCAAACTCCTGACCTCGTGATCCATTCCGCCTCAGCCTCCCAAATTGCCAGGATTACAGGCATGAGCCACCGCACCTGACCGTCCCTGGATATTTTGAATCTTTAAAGAATGGGGGAATTATGAAGAGGGAGATATGTTTATTTAGGGACTTCTTGTTAGAAAGTGAAAAACAAAATCAGATCACTAATGATATCAAGGATGATTTTTTCCCCCATAAACCTGGAGTTACCTTCATGGTCACCAGAAAAGAGCAATCAGAGATTGAAGGAATAACTAAAATGATTATTTTAAAATACCTCTTTCCCCACTGAGAGTTCCTGGTTAGAATGAATTCACAGGAGCCTCAGAAATTGAACTATGGAATGTTAAATCTGGGGAGGGAAAAAGGGCATGGGCTGTGTTTAATGCTCCAGTCCAGCCCTCTGATTTTGCAGATGAGAAAAGATAGAGTAACTGGTTCAGATACCACATCTAGTCAGTGGGCCCACCAGGAGGAGAATATGGGCCTCTTGCCAGGAGGAGAATGTGGCTGTGGCAAGGCCACCTGGGGTAGCCATGGACAAATCCAAATTCATATGTAGAGCTTTGCTCTAAATTATGCTTTCATCTTCCTGGTGGTAGACAGTAGGTATGCCTTATATGCCTTATAGTTTATCCCCCCCCTTTTTTTTCATTGACTCAGGATAATTTTCTAAAACATTTTGTTACCCTGTTTTTATAGGTTATGCGAATGACACTGTCAACCTTAAATTGGCGACGGCGGGAGATGGTGAGGTGGCTGGTAACGTGTGCTACTGAAGTCGGTAGGTAAACTCTGGAACAGAAGCTTTCCTAGGTGCCTCATGGTAGGATTTAACTTGTCAGTTACAGACATGTGAACATATTCACTCTTTTATGTTGACTTCTCCAAGGCTCCTTCTAGCAGTCCACAAGGGCTTCCTTCTCCCTGACCCCTTACCCCTAACCTTCAGTTATACATACTTGTATTATTCAACTTGAAATGGTCACATTTGTGAAGCTCCAGCTTCTTATTTAAAATGGTATAAGTCAGTGAGTAAACTGTTTTTATTCAGTTCATATATATAAAGTTACCTAGTTGCACTGTTTTTCTTCTTTATCATCTGAAGGCATACATCATGGTATCCAGCAGAGAAGTGATGACCACTGGGTGTGGTTTAGGTGATCCTCCAGATGTGTGAGCAATTGTAGCTGGCCATAAGAAGATTTCCTGGCTGCCCATAAGCTGCCATTTTGTGAGGCCCTTCAGCTAACTATTTCTCCACTGCAGCAGTAGATCAGTTCAGAAGAAAACTGTACATTCCCAGCAAGAATGCCAACAGAAACAAATGGTTGCTATTTAAAATAAATAGTGGTTAAACGTTCTTTTTTCATATTTGCATCAGAAAGGGATACATACTTCATGCTGAGAAAACACTGCCATCCCAGTGTTTAGATATGACACAGCATATACTATAAAATTATTATTTTTCTTTCACTAACGTATAATGGTTTTTTTATTTTGGAAAAAGGGAAGCTGGTCTCAATATAAAGATTATCTTTACATCATTAAAGTCATGCTTTAGTGAAGCAAAACAAAAATAATACTAATTTAAGAACTGCCACACAACTTCTTTGCCCCTGCCCCAACATATAAACCTGATTTCTCTCTGAGACCTAGTACCTTCTCTTCAAATCATTCACTTTTAGGATTTTCCTACAAGTGAGGGATATTGGGTCTGTGAACGTAAAGTGATTATTTTAAAGACATGGTCAGCCATTTCCAACGTTTGATTCATCTGTAGGTCTGCTTCTATTGACTTTGTTCTCTTGATTATGGGCCACATTTTCCAGCTTCTTTGTGTGTTTTAAACTTTTGTATTATGTGTACTTTTACCTTACACACAAGCACATAAGCCATGTAAAGTCCCTGTTTTGGTGAGGTTGCAATTTTTGAGCCTCAAATTCTGACAGGAAGCCCCAGTGAAGTAGAACTCATTAGCAAAAAGCCATTGTCTGAAATGGCAAGCAGCACAGTACAAATACCAGCTACCAAGAGGATTGGTTCTTTATTATAGCAAGTTCATGTTCCTTTCAGGCATTTCACTGAATAACAATTCATAATGACCTTATTCTTAAAGGTTTCTCACAGGCACATTACTTTACAGGATTTTCTAGCCTAGCTCATGTCCTATGATGGTTAACAATGTAAACACTGGTTGTAAAAGTCAAAATAAGGCAGGACCTCTGGGCAGCCTCCTCGTCAGTAATAGAGCCTGTTTGTGTTCCTTGCAGGGGTTTATGCCCTGGACAGCATCATGCAGACCTGGTTTACACTCTTTACTCCCACCGAGGCCACAAGTATAGTTGCAACTACCGTGATGTCCAACAGCACCATCGTCCGCCTCCACCTGGACTGCCACCAGCAGGAAAAGCTGGCCAGCAGCGCCCGGACACTTGCACTGCAGTGTGCCATGAAGGATCCACAGAACTGTGCCCTCTCTGCGCTAACCCTTTGTGAAAAGGATCACATAGCTTTTGAGACGGCGTACCAAATTGTTCTCGACGCTGCTACGACTGGCATGAGCTATACACAGCTCTTTACAATAGCACGGTACATGGAGCACCGCGGGTACCCCATGAGGGCCTACAAGCTGGCCACCCTGGCCATGACCCATCTCAACCTGAGCTACAATCAGGACACACACCCTGCCATTAATGATGTTTTGTGGGCCTGTGCGCTTAGCCACTCCCTTGGTAAAAATGAGCTTGCAGCTATAATACCTCTGGTGGTCAAGAGTGTCAAGTGTGCAACGGTACTGTCAGACATTTTGCGCAGATGCACTCTGACCACTCCTGGCATGGTGGGACTTCATGGGAGGAGGAACTCTGGTAAGCTCATGTCACTGGACAAAGCCCCCTTGAGGCAACTCTTGGATGCCACGATCGGGGCCTACATCAACACAACGCACTCACGGCTCACACACATCAGTCCTCGGCACTATAGTGAGTTTATAGAGTTCCTCAGCAAAGCCCGAGAGACCTTCTTAATGGCGCATGATGGACACATTCAGTTTACACAGTTTATTGACAACCTGAAACAAATCTACAAAGGCAAAAAGAAACTGATGATGTTGGTTCGGGAGAGGTTTGGTTGATAGATCTTGTATGAATGGGGTGGGGGGTGGGGATGGGAGGGATGGTTTGTTTTTACTTGAGCCTGCCTTTGTACCCTTTTTAACTTAAAGAACAGAGCCACACCGGTATTATATGTGTATAGTTATATTGCGTTTGCAGACTAAATTGTCATGTTGTGAAAGTTTGTGTGTTTTTTATTTTTTCCCTATTTCTTTCTTTCCTTTATTTTATTATTTTTTTTAATTTTTTTTTTCTGGTTTTGTATGAGAGAGAGGTTAAAAAGGTTTGGTTTACACTGAGTATATGTTGTCAAGTGGCAAAAGTCCACATAGCTCTCCTGTTTTCTGTATACGTTCACAGCCTCAAAAAAAATAATTGAAATGGCTTTAAAAACCAAACAAAACACCTCCATCCTGTGATAAGTACCTCGAATGGATTCAGCTTTACTCCTTTGTAACTCATCTTTACATTTTCAGCATATTTAAACAAACCAACAAAATGAAATACTAATAGTAAAAAGGCTGACCCATGTGGCTTTGCAGTGCTGTTCGTCCAGAAGCATGGCACACGATGCTTGTGCATGTGGAAACTTAGCGACTGTCAACATACATTCTCAGGGATTTATCCAAAAAAATTAAAAAAAGAATGAGAGCATTTATTGTACTGTATATATATTATAGTATATGTCTGAATATTGAAAATATAACATTAACTAATTTATAAAAAATATTCTATGTAATGCAAAATACTTGAAGCTGCAGTAGCTTGGTTTTAAACAAAAACAAAAAAAAAACTGAGAGAAAACCTATCAGAAGGACTAAAAGTACGCCTTGCTTCAGGGTTGGCTCAGGTGGTGAACTTCATGCTGGGCATCTATGCAGAGCCACCTTTTGGATTGCATGGTTGGACTGAGATCTATTGGGAGAAATTATATATGTATATATATTTATACAACTTATGTATACATATATATATGTATACACACAGACACACACACACACCACCAACAACCACCACTACACCACACATGCTTATAACAGGCACTAGAATAAAGAGGGACAACAAAATACACAGCCAGAGCAGCAAGCCTTAGCATTAAGAATATACAATATGCCGGAATTGGGGTTCGTGCCTCCTAGCCTAGGAAACTTAAAAGAAATATCCTTTTGACACAAAACACAAAATGTTTTCCAAAACAATTGACATAATGATACATTACGCCTTTGCAGTGAGCTAATAATAAGCTAACCTTTGTGCACAAATAACATTATATATATTATATATCTATTCTGCATAGGTATTTTGACTTTGTGCAGGACAGAAAGTTGTGTAGGTATGACTGTTCTACTTTTCAGTTTTCTTTTTTTTTAATATATTTTATTTTCTCTAGAAATTACTCAAACAAAAGCAGCCTTCTATCTTGCCTTGTCTTAATGCTTTAAAATAACCAAACTGGAGATCTAACTACCAAACTGTTCATTATATTATTAAATACCAACTTTGGTTACAGTATAGTGTCTTTACTTTAGCTGATGGTTCTGTAACCTTGTGCTTTTTAAAGCAATTTTTATGTTTTGGTGCAAAAGTTGTCCAGTGTCTCTTGTTCCCTTCACTAGAGAACATGCTTAGAGGTATGTTTGTAGGTATTTTTGTTTAGAAGAACTATTTCATGCGCTCCATTTTATTTATTATAATAGGTAAAAAGAAAAAAAAAGGTTGTAATTCATCACCCATGTAAACATGCTCATGAAGTTGAAAGTAATTAAGATTTGATACACTGATATCAATTTATTTATGTAACTAAATCACTGTTTTATAAACTTGTTAATGATCAACAATTTTTGTTTTGATTAAAATTAGTTTTTTGAAAGTTGATTCTGCCTCCTTTATGGTATATCTCTTATTGCACCTGAATTTGGTGATTATAGACTTGGGTAGTACTACGCCTCCAAGTGTCTAATACTATATTGACTCATCCAGTAAACGTTTATGTGCTATTTTCCAGGCACTGTGCTAGGCCCTGGAAATGTAATGGTGAACAAAATCAGACCCTGGACCTCACTGTCTGCTTAATGGAGAAGGCAGACATAAGCCAAATAATCACAAAGATAAAATATGAAACAGAATAGTCTGTTTTCTGTCTGAACCCTTGGTCGTTCCTCTAATAAGCTATAATTTAGGATGCTCAGTACTTAATATATTTAATAAAGGCTGAGTTTGTGAGATTTTCTTGTGTGTGTGGTTTAAAAGGAAGTTACATTATAAAGGGCAGATGCTACATGCACACCATAGTCACTTGTATCCAGTATTTCCATCAAGGATCTGTACCCAAAATGATGCAAATAGTTTTTGCGTGTATGTGGTTAAAAACAACATCACATAATTTACCATCTTAGGCATTTTGAAGTGTACAGTTCAGCAGTGTTAAAAATATTTACAAAGTTGTAAAACAGATCTCCAGAATTTTCTCATCTTGCAGAACTGAACTCTATATGCCCATTATGTGACTGCCCTTTTTCTCCTCCCTCCAGCCCCTGCTAGCCACAGCACTCTTGCTTTCTACTGTTACGATATTGTCTGTGATATTTTAGGCACCTCATGTAAGTGGAATCACAAAGTATTTGTCTTTTTGCAATGTTTATTTTACTTTTGTCCTACAGGCTCATCCATGTTGTAGTATGTGAGGGGATTTCCTTCTTTATGGCTGCATAGTTTTTCATTCATGTGTGTCTATATCACATCTAGTTTATTCATCCATCAGTGGACATTTGGATTCCTCCCACTTCTGGCTATTGTGAATAATGCTGCTGTGAACTTGAGGGTGGAAATACCTCTTTGAGGCCCTGCTTTCAATTCTTGTGGCTATATATCCAGAAGTGGGATTGACAAATACTTCTTTTAAATTCACAATTTTCAGAATACTTACTCCTTTGAAATGTTTTAAGTTTTTATTTGACATATAGTCTTAACAGTGGATTCCAAATGTCAAGAGGTTAAGTCGATAGGTGGAAGTTAAAGTAAATGAGTCCATGGTGACATTTAAAATCCCATTAATGCTAAGTAGAAATAAAAATAAAAACCATGAAGTGATTTGAAGGTTGATTCTTTTTTGTAAGTTTATTCTTACTTTTTTGGAAGTTGACATTGCCTGAGGGCAAATACAGTTTATGTGGGTCTACTGAAACGCTGGGACATTTCATAATGAAGTAGACTGTGATACGGTTAGGAAAGATGGCATCAAAGAAAGAAGAAAGGTGACTTCTAATAGTTAAGACTTTGAGATGTCCCCTGATGGAAATTGTTCTGTGTTAACTGGCCATTTTTGCAGAGAGATCTTAAACTCTCATGAGCTTTTAGAATACAGATGGAGACCAAGGATGACACGACTTGCCCACCCCCGTTTTAGCCAACGTTTCTGACCCACCATGCCTTCAACTCCATTTTTACGACTATGGTCAAGTAGACAAAACTGATGTGATTTGTACATGTTTTCTTACCTTCCAATGGGCTAGTGCTAGAAAGACTTCTGAGACTGTTAAAATTGGAATAGCAGAAATGAGAAATAGAAGTGACAAGCTTGGTTAATTCAAAGGCAAGAGAATGTGTTCCTAATTGGGGCCTGGACTGGAATTCTGCATTTCTCGGCTCTTGATTTGTGATTTCATTTGAGAATAGGGGCTATACTTTCAGGGAGAAAATGAATGTTTCATAACTTTCAAATATTAATAAGTCAGTTGAATAAAAATTAACTGAAGTCACTATAGTCACAATATTATAGTAGTGCAGTGTAGTAGCAAAGGAGAACTGAACTTTTTCTAAATTGCTGAAAAAGTTGTTAAATTGCAGCTGGTTCAGAAATTAGATGGTCAGTGAGAAGACGGGAAAATGCAGGGAAAAAATTAAGTAACCTGATACATTTTAATAAATGTGTGACTGAGGTAAAATTTTTATTTAATTTTTATTTTATTTTATGTTCCAGGATACATGTGCAGGATGGGCAGGTTTGTTACATAGGTAAATGTATGCCATGGTGGTTTGCTGCACCCATCAACTTGTCATCTAGGTATTAAGCCCTGGATGCATTAGCTGTTTGTCCTGATGCTCTCTCTCTCCCCAGCACCCCCTTCCCCCAACAGGCCCCAGTGTGTGTTCTCTGAGGTAAAATTTAAGAACTGTTAACACCAGTTGGTAAGTGGACCAGTTCAATCTAGCTTGAGCAAAGAAGAAATGTATTGTATTCTTCAGTGAACATTTTTCTATGAGCCTATCCTGCAATAGGCATGGTTCTAACGCTAAAAAGACAATGCAGAAAGCAAAATGCCTATTCTTACGGAGCATAAATTCTAGTGGGAGGGAGACATATAAAAATGTATTAAATGTATTAACTGGTGATATGTGTTGTAGAGAAAGGCAGGGGGAAAGGGTGTGATTTGAGGTGGAATGATTCTGGAAGACCTTGCTGATGTGACGTCCCCACGGATGCCTGAGGGAAGTGAGGGAGCTGGCCCTGTGAGTGCCTGGGCAGATGTATGTTTGAGGTGGAAGGAACAGCAAGCGCTAAGACCCCGAGGAGGAGGTGTGGAAATGTGCCAGCCTAGTCAGAACAGCCAGCAAAGGAACTGTGGCTGGGGCAGAATGGGGTGGGAGGTGGTGAGGTGGGGCTAAAGAGCAGGAGAGTTAAGTTGCAGCTCCTGGCTTGTAAGTCATGGTAAAGATTTTTGCTCTGTGTTTTTTTTGGTTTTGTTAGTTAGTTTGTTTGTTTTTGAGAGGTAGTTTCACTCTTGTCGCCCAGGCTAGAGTGCAACCTTCCTCATCCTCCTGAGTAGCTGGGATTACAGGTACCCGCCACCACGCCCAGCTCATTTTTTTGTATTTTTAGTAGAGACGGGTTTCACCATGTTGGCCAGGCTGGTCTCAAACTCCTGACTTCAGGCAATCCTCCCACTACGGCCTCCCAAAGTGCTGGGATTACAGGCGTGAGCCACAGCGCCCAGCCTGGTTTTTTTTTTTTTTTTAAGGATCCAAAGTAGAGAAGAATCATATGATCTGACTTTTAAGTGAGATGAGAAGACATTCGCTGGCTGCTGCGTGGTTAGCACAGCCAGGGAGAAGCCGAGAGATGAGAGGCTATTAACAGTAATCCAGGCAAAAAACGATGGTGCTTGGACCCAGTGGGGTCAATGAGGATGGTGACAAGAGTCTGCATCTCATGGAAAGCTGAGCCATTTCCTGATATGAGCATTAGCATGTGAGAAAGAGATGCATCAAAAATGACCATGGAATTTAAACTTGAGCACCTGGAAGGAAGAAGTGGCTGTTAACTGGAATGGAGAAGATTTTGGGAGCAAGCTTTTTGGAGGAAGACCAGGAGTTCAGTAGTGAACATTTTAAATTTGAGATGCCTGTAAGATATCCAAGTGGAGATGTCAAATAGGAGTTAGTCCAGGATAAAGCTCAGGGCTAGATATAAACATCTGGGAGTCTGGTTTTAAAATTTATATAAAACCGTGAGACAAGGTGTGAGTGAAGAGATTTGATCGAAAATTGAGAGTCCTGGAAATGTTCATTTCCTCGATTGAATACTTACTGATGTAAACCTTTGCTAGTCCTTCCTGATTTTTCCTGGCCTTTAAATGCTGGCTCGTTTTATCACTTGGTCCACTGAGCCCTTCTTCTTTGTTCTCTGCATATTGACTTTATTCTCATTAGTTTCTCCACAGATAGAAAACAAACTTCTGATCCTCCCATCTCACAGTTTCTCCATCAGAGGACTGTCTCCTCTTGAGTTCTAGTTTGGAAAATCCCAGAGAAGACTCCACCATGGCTTGGCCCCAGACGTAAGGGGGAGGGTCAGAGAGCACAGATATGGCCAAGCAGGGAGCCCCTACTCACTGAGATGTGGGATTCCAGAGAAGAGAGATTTATTTTCAGCTGTGCAATCATCATTTTGTGTCCGCTGTGCCAGGAACAATAATAACCTGCTGATGGGCAGCCTTACAAATATAACTGCCTTGTGAATATTTTGATCTTCTCCTACTCTGTGCTGTCATTTGGCAAGAATTTCATATTTTTTACATTTTGGAGATCTTGGTTGCTTAAAAGTTAGGAATCAATAATCCCTGTTCCTCTCTATTTTTCTTTTTAATTTTTCTTTTTTTTCTTTTCCCAACTTTTTATTCTGAAGTTTTCAAGCACACAGAAAGGTTGAAAGAGTAGCAAAATGAAAAGCATTACCTTGTAAATATCTCCATAAACTGTAAAACTTGAAGTGTGTTTTGGTGACTTATGTTCATAGGTCTGGTGACACCAGACCCCCTCTATGTAAAAGGCTGGGCTCTGATGGGGTGAATTGCTGCTGCACAGGGAACCCAGTTTTAAAATAGGCAAGGAAGAAAACAGCCTCTTTCCTCTTCTCTTTGTACTCAGAGCCAAACTAGAAACACCTTCCTACTCAAGGCAGAAGCATGAAGAAAAAAAAATAATAATGCTTTTTGAAAGAAATTGCCCTATTTCACTGTGTGTATTAACATTCAGAAAAAAATAATTGGCTCCACTGATAAATTCTAACTTGAAGGATGCAGGTCTTTCAAACATAGGCATGTACAAAAGAATTTTGCTTTTCCTCCACGGATGGTTTTTAAATGGGCTGCTGCCTTGTAAATATGTTCCTTTAAGTAATACAAAAGGTAGAAGAGATGAAATATTCTTCAGAATGGTTTGAACATTGGTTCCATTTTAGAATAGTGCACTACGCACATCGACAGACACTGAAAGGACGTTAGGCACCAGTGCTAGCATTATAGTGGACCTGTAATATGGTTTTGGTTATCACCATAATAACCATCATCATAATAGTTATGGCAACCACATTTTACACTTATTATGTGCCAGACCTTGTTTCTATGTGTTTTATATAGATTAACTCATTTGCTCTTCACAGCAATCCTAGGAGGCATGTATTTATTTTCCTTATTTTACCAGTGAAGAAACTAAGAAACTGAGACACAAGTTGTCCAAAATCACGCAGCTAATAAGTGGCATATTCAAACCCAAGAAACTGGCTTCAAATCACACTCATACGTGGTCATGCTCCACTGCTTCTCATGGACTAATGATTGTGTTTTTGAGCACTTACTATGCTCTTAGTTCCATAGAGGATCCAAAGAAATACAAGACATAGCCCTGACCTTCAAAAAAATTGCTAAAATGAATTTTAAAATGGGTGAAGCAACAAGGTGGTTGGAACTCTTGAACAACTATCTAAATGTTTGCATTTTTGCTCAACAGAACAACATGATATGATCAATTGGATATCCTCCTCACCTGAGTCAAGGAAACCCAATTTTATGTACTGTATGTCTGTATATAGGTGTTCGCATGTCTGTATGTCTGTATATAGGTGTTTGAAATCAAATAGAAGCTTAATAGCTCACCTCACGGTGCCAAGATAGGCAGTCCAGAGCACATCCACATTTTCCATCTCTGGGTCCAAGTTGACTAATCTGGTTGCTGTCATCACATCCGCATCCCAGCCAGTGGTTAGCAGCAGATAGTGGAAGGGGAGTTTTTCATGTAACAAAATATATTTTTATCTCCTTAATATTTGAATCATCTAGTATAGTAGTGTTTGTCAGAGCATGGTTCATGGACTACCTATGTTAGCTAATTCCTGGACCCAACCCCAGACTTAATGATTTTTGATGGTCTTACTAGGGGATGCAGGAATCTGTATAAGGAAGCCTAGTTTTAAAGCTCATTTTTATTTTGTCCTCACATCCAATATTCCCACGTGTTACATAAAGGGTTGATTATGCAACAAGATGGACTGGAAAAAGTAGGCTTGGAGGCTGGGCTCTGGGCAAAGCCAGATCTCAGCCCCCAACGTCAAATCCTGCTTCTTCTCTGCCAGCAACCCTTCACAGGAGCACTTCTCCCTTTGTGAATCCCTCATGCCAGGCAGAGAAACAGCATTTGACATCAAGGGCAGGGAGTGCTACTGCACTGAAATGCTGCATATAACAATGAGGGAATACCTAGAGGCTGGATACTGACGGAGGTTCCTCTTCGTGACAACCATGGGTAGAAACCAAAAAACATTCTGTGAAAGAGTTCTCTTGGAACAAACTTTTTAGACAGGTGTGGCTTCCTATGGCAATCAATACATTATCCCATATACACAGCACCTAAAGAGAACAAATGGGAATATATTGGAGAAGACACTGTAACCTTGTAAGACATGAGCCTTCCTAAAATCATAGTAAGTAAGCAGCCCAAATTGTTTCAGATGGCTCTCAGAGCTGGAATTGCACTTGCATCCACTTTTAAACCATTCAATTGTTCCTGATGATCAAATGCCTTTTTGTCCTTTACACGTCATACTTCAAACCCTCAGGTCCCCTCACTGGCGGTGTGACAAAGCCACCGAGCTTCCATATTGGGAACCAGCACATTTAATTTGTGGATGAAATTCCCCAAATCAATTTTGATTGCTGTCATTCTAGGAGATTTGGGGGACTCAGAACCGATGATGATGTGTGAAAAACACTTCCTTAAACTGCAAGGCAGAGGGCAGAGAATTCACGCTCAAGGTCATCTTGCCCTTCAGGTCCCACCGGGTTTTCATGAGTATCCTGTCAGTGGTTCAGGTGAAATTGAAGTGGGAGTGGTGCATTTCTCTCTATCTCAGTGACCTTCTCAAGTGCCTCTTTCTCTTAGCAGTTTGTCTGGCAGCACTGAAATTCCACCACATGCTTTATAAAGGCAATATATTTGAGCAGTGGTTTGTTCCTTCTGAGGCCTTTCTGGCGGGACTTGGTCTTGCTGTTCACCAGGACCTAGGTAGAGAAAGTGGCCTTCTATAAAGATGGCTTCCTTGACCTATAATGGGGTCTCATCCTGATAAACCTATTGTAAGTTGAAAATATAATAATTTAAAAATGCATTTTATTTTTTTATTTGTACAAATTTATGGAGTGCATGATAAATTGTGTTACATGTATGTAATGTGTAGGGATCAAGTCAGGGTATTTAAGGCCTCTCACCCTAGTATGGAACACTTTTGTTCAATATAGTCATCCTACTCTTCTATCAGATATTGAATGTATTCCTTCTAACCGTAGGTTTGTACCTTTTTACCCACTTCTCCTCTCACATCCCCCCCACTCACCCTTCCTAGTCTCTGTTATCTCTCTTTCCACTCTCTACCTTCATGTGATCAAATGTTTTAGTTCCCACATATATGTGAGAAGAACATGCAATCTTTTTGTGCCTGGCCTATTTTGCTTAAGATACTGCCTCCCAGTTCCAGCTGTGTTGCTGCAAATGACATGATATCATTGTTTTTTTATGGCTGAATAGTATTTCATCGTGTACCATATTTTTCTCATCCATTCTTTTGTTGATGAACACTTAGGTTGATTAGGTTGCTATTATGAATAACACCACAATACACATATGAGTGCATGTATTCATTTGATATATTGACTTCTTTTCATTTGTGTAGATTACAAATAGTGGGATTGCTGGATCAAATGGTAATTCTACTTTGAGTTTTTAAAGAAATGTCCATACTGTTTTCCACAGTGGCTGTACAGTGTCCAAGAGTTGCCCTTTGCATCTTCACCAACATCTATTATATTTTGTCATTTTAATATAACAATTCTGACTAGGGTAAGATGATACCTCATTGTGGTTTTGATTTGTATTTCTCTGATGTTAGTGTGATGTTGAGCATTTTTTACATACACCTAGTGGCCATTGGTATGTCTTCTTCTGAGAAATGTCTATTCATATCATTTGCCCACTTTTTAATGGGATTATTTGATTCATTGTTTTTCCTGTTGAGTTGCTTGAGTTCCTTGTTTATTCTGGATATTAGTTCCCTTTTGGATACATAGTTTGCAAATATTTTCTGCCATTCAGCAGGTTGTCTTTTCATTCTGTTGATTGTTTCTTTGCTGTACAGAAGCTTTTTAGTTTAATATAGTTTCGTTTGTGTGATTTTGTTTTTGTTGCCTGTGCTTTTGAGGTCTTAGTCATAAATTCTTTGCCTAGACCAATGTCCACAAAAGTTTTTTGTAGGTTTTCTTCAGTGTTTTTATAGTTTTGGGTCTTATATTTAAGTATTTAATCCATTTTGAGTTGATTTTTATATGTGGTGAGAGATAGAGGTCCAGTTTAATTCTTCTGCATGTGGCTATACAATTGTCACAGCACCACTTGTTGAAGAGGGTGTAGTATAAGTGAGGTAACATGATGCTTCCAGCTTTGTTCTTTTTGCTCAGAATTGCTTTGGCTATTTGGGCTCTTTTTAAGTTCCATATGAATTTTAGGATTGTTTTTTTGAATTTTGTGAAGAATGATGTTGGTATTTGGATAGATTTTGATTGTGTTGTTTCATGTGGCCTTGCCCACAAAACCATTTTTCCCTCCTAGGTCTCCAGGCCTGTGATGAGGGGAGCTTCCATGAAGATCTTTGGAATGCCCTGGAGACATTTTCTCCATTGTTTCAGCTACTAACATTCGGCTCCTTGTTACTTATGCAAATTTCTGCAGCTGGCTTGAATTTCTCCCCAGAAAATGAGTTTTTCTTTTCTACCACATGGTTAGGCTGCAAATTTTCCAAACTTTCATGTTCTGCTTCCGTTTTAAACATAAGTTGCAATTTCGGATTATCTCTTTGTGAATGCGTATGACTGTATGCTTTTAGAAAAAGCTGGGTCACATCTTGAATGTTTTGTTGCTTAGAAATTTTTTCTACCAGATACCCTAAGTCATCTCTCTCTAGTTCAAAGTTCCACAGATCTCTAGGGTGGGGCAAAATGCCACCAGTCTCTTTGCTAAAGCATAGCAAGAGTGACCTTTGCTCCAGTTCCCAATAAGTTTCTCATCTCCCTCTAAGACCACCTCAGCCTGGAATTCACTGTCCATATCACTATCACCATTTTGGTCAAAACCATTCAACAAGTCTCTAGGAAGTTCTAACCTTTCCCACATCTTCCTGTCTTCTCCTGAGCCCTCCAAACTGTTCCAACCTCTGCCCATTACCCAGTACCAAAGTCACTTCCACATTTTCAGGTTATCTTTGTAGTAGTACCCCATTCTCCTGGTACCAATTTTCTGTATTAGTCCATTTTCATGCTGCTAAAAAGAACTACATGAGACTGGGTAAACAAAATAATTTAATTGACTCACAGTTCTGCATGGTAAGGAGGCCTCAGGAAACTTACAATCATGGCAGAAGGTGAAGAGAAGCAAGCACCTTCTTCCATGGTGGCAGGAGAGAGAGAACAAGGAGGAAACTGCCATAGACTTTTAAACCAATTCACTATCACGATAACAGCATGAGGGAAACCATTCCCATGATTCAATCATCTACCACCAGGTCCCTCCTTCAAAACATGGGGAATTACGATTTGAGATGAGATTGGGTGGGGACACAGAGCCAAACCATGTTACTGCTCGAATGCAGTAAAGAACCTGACAAGCCCTCAGATGCTGCTACTTTTTTTTTTTTTTAATTAAGGAGACACTTTAAATATCCACCTTTCACGATTACCCAGTCATTTGGTGCTCCTGGTTCTGGTAACTTCAAGAGGAGAAAGGCTCTATACCTACTGGTCAGGGAGTAAATATAACCGTTCAACAATAAGTTACTGAAACAAAGAATCTGTTTCATCTTCATTCTCCAGTTAAAGCTATGACAACCAGGTGCTATAGCTCATGCCTATATCCCAGGACTGTGGGAGGCTGAGGTGAGAGGATCGCATGAGGCCAGGAGTTCAAGACCAGCCTGGAAACATACTGACACCCTGTCCCTACAGGCATGGTGGTGTGTGCCTATAGTCCTGGCTACTTGGGAGGCTGCAGCGAGAGGATCACTAGAGCCTAGGAGTTCAAGGGGGCAGCGAGCTATGATGGTGCCACTGCATTCCAGCCTGGGCAATGGAGAGACCCAATCTCTAAAAATAAATAAATAAAAGCTGTGGCAGAGATTGTAATGATTGTGAAGCATCTAAGCCTTATAAAGAGATTGTATGATGTGATAGAAATGCTTTATTCTACCCAGAGCAGGATCTGGATTTCTGAATGATTCTGTAAAACCATGGTGAGGTGGGGACATGGCTTTACCAACGTCATAGGCTTTTCAGTTACTCCTTAGTCCTCTGAGGCTTTCCTCCCTCAACATGGCTGTGTTATGGGGTCTGATCTCATAAATGCTGTTGAAGACAAAGACATTTCTAGGGCTCTTCCTTCTCCTTTTGCAAGCCATGAAAGCCACAACCCTACAATAAGTAAAGAAGGAAATCAAGAAACAGAAACTCGCACTCTGTCATCATATTCCACATTCCAGAGGACACAACTACCCCTCCTTTGTCTGAATCTGTGGCAATGGGGTACATCAGTGGGTGGTAGGATCTTCTCTGGCCCCTGCTTGATACAGCAAGTGGCAGAGATGTGAGGTCAAATGAGGAGCACACATAAATCATCTTTAAAGGCGATAGTGTGTTGAACAGGATGGGAAAGAGAGACTCCAAATGCTACACAGCCTTGTAAGTGTTGATTTCTGTGAAGGAAAAAATAACTCACCCACATACACAATTCTGATTCCAGAGAGAATTTCTGCTGGTCTGAAACCCAGGCTGACCTGTCCCATAGGAATTGCTTGCAAAAGCCTTGTCCGGGGAGAACTAACCTCACTGCAAGATAAGTAATAATAAAAAACATCATCAGCACAGGATCTATACAAACATGTTACCAAAAAAAATAAAAAGATAAAAATCAAGCACCAGAAAAATGTGGCTGCCAAGCACATAAAAATCATGACCCTATTTTCAAAAATGAATGAATTTTTAAAATGTTACACATTAACCTAGGAGCTCAAAGCAGAGACATAAAAGCTCAGGGAAAAAGAGCTCAGCCATTATTATTATTATCATTAATCTCCTTTTGTTAATTCACAAACAGAACTTAAATTGTGTCCATTATGGTTCAGAGTGTGTTTATTAGGTTGGTGCAAAAGTAATTGCTGTTTTTGCCATTAAAAGTAATGGCAAAAACCATTACTTTTTAACATGTATTAACTCATCAAAGGCCTTACAACAGCCCTATTCGGTAGATGTCCTCATTTTACTCATTTTAAAGATGAAGTACCAAAAATCAAATAACTTGACCAGGGTTACATTCTGGTAACCTGGACTTTAGAGCTTTCACTTTTAACCACCATGTTACATTGCCAAGAAGCTGGGAAAGCCAGGTGGGAGGATACAGAGAAATGAAGGCCACATTGAAATAAGCACACAAGGGAATAAACACTGATGAAAACGCGAGAAGGACGCGAAGGAAAGGCTTGAAAAGCAAGTGAAATGAGTTGGAAATGAAGAAGAGTTTGACAAGAAATGTGAAAATAATAGCTAGGGATGTCCATTCAATGAGATCCATAAATAGTATCCCTGTAGAAAAGAATGAAGTAACTAAAAGAGAATACTGAAAGATATTACTCAAGAATATTTGCAGAAAAAAATGAAGACTTGAATTTGTACTAAGAAGACATGCCATATCCCAAGAAAAATGAGCATGCTAAGAATCAAATCATGATACAGTAACAAAAATTCAAAGATAATCCTATGAGCATCTTAACAAAGAGGAAAAATTGCATATACCGAGAAAAATATCAGATTGATATGAAATGTCTCCACAGCAATAATCAACACTTTTCTAAATCATGTAAAGAAAAGGTGAGGAATCTAAGAATTTTATACCCAGAAAACATGTTGGTCACATATAAAAGCAGGAGACAAGCATTTTCAAATATGCAAGACCAGCAACTCTGTCAACCACTTTTTGAAGAAACTACAGAAAGGCAAATTTTGGTTAACTAAGAGATCAGTGGAGAACTTTTGCCAAAAGGAATGGTGGTGACCATTGAACCCATTCAACTGTAGGACTAAGAATTAAAACACCTGTGGAAATTATAGTTGTAATACAGCATGTAAGTGTCATATGCTCTTTCAATGTAGAAGTTATAAATTTCATCATGATGTGAGGTTCTAGACGGTTAAGGAAAGGCAAACACACTAATTTCCAAGTATTTTAGAGCTGGAGGTCAAATGATATTTTTAAAGCAGGTAAATGACAATAGTATAAATATATTTAATTGTAAATAATTAGATAGAGCTATTGAATAGTTTCCAATATATAGTAAGTGGAGAAAAAGCAAGTCAGAATGTGTACAGTATACTTCCATTTATGTAGTGGGGATGATGATAGACATATGCTTATAGATGCATAGGTTATCTCCCAAAGAATATACAAGAAATTGTTAATAATGACAAGAAATGACAAGGAATTGTTTCTTTAGGGAGAAGATCTGCTTGGTTAAGATACAGTGGTAGAAGGGAGACTTAACTTTCCACTTCTGTCTTTAGAATTTTATACCATGAGCTTACATGAACTAATTAATAAATTATTTTTAACCCAGGCTTTGATATATCTTTAAGAGCCTCAGGTTTACAACACTTTTTTCTTTAACGATTTTTCTGGGTCGCTCTATTTCCTGCCTTTTCTGGCTTATTAACTTGACTCTGAGCTCCCTCTGCTAGTCTCCAGATTATCATCTTGCGCCTGCCTGAAGAAATGCACACCATTTTTTTCTTAACATAAGACCTTTAAGGCCCTGGTGAGAATAACCTTTGTTGGAAGAGACCGTCTCTAGTTCTCATCTATACCCCAGCTCACCACCTCTTCTATAGCTTCTTCTTACTAGGTATCCTTTGCCTTGATGTGAAAACCTCTCCTCTCTGGCCTCTGAGATGAATGTGCATGACTCAAGGGAGAGAAGCTTGTCATCAAGAAGGTTGGGGGAAAAGTTGAGGACCACAAAGAGGTTTAATAAAAGTAGCTGTCTTTTTTCTCTGCAGAAAACTTGCAACCCACTGAGGCAGGAATGGTATGCACAAAAGACTGGTGATGTGAGCAGTGCCCTCTTTCTTTATTATGGAATCTAAGAGCTCAATAGAAGCCTCAGACTGACACAGAAGAGCTGGGGGGTGTGAATTGTTCCAAATCACTGCACTTCTATGCATCTTGCAGAATTGTGGACTTTGCAAATGGGCTAGATGGAGCAGCTGCCACCAAGTGAGGTCAAATGCTGCTGATCACTGTGGATGCTTAGTCTCCTCTCATGTTTGTGAATGCTTCTGGCAAGAAGTGCCCTCCTCTCTGATCTCAGACTCCCTTCTCCTGCTAGGTTGCCCAGTTCCTTGGATGGAACACTTGGCTTCCTCCTGAAGGCACCCCAGGAAAAGTGTTTTCCCCACCGGAAGCCTCATTTTTGAAGTCTGATACCAAAACTTACCCTTGGCATGAGGTTGCCAGACTGAGCCAACTACCTGTCCAACAGGTCTCCTCTGGTGTCTTCCACACTGGGGTCTTCTGGTCCTCTTCTCACTTACATCCTTGCTATCTGACTCCCACTGTCCCTGGGATCTACCAAGTGCCAAGCACTGTGCAAAGTGCATCACTTTTCCTACCTTTCATTGGGGCCTACTGATGCCAGACACTGCACTAGGAAGTTTATAAATGAAGTTTCACAACAGCCTTTTGAGGTTGGTGTTTGAGGTTTAAAGAACTTTCAGACATACACAGGCCTGTTTCTACCTGACTCCAAATCTACAATGTTTTGAACTGGGTCAGCATCTTATTCTATCTCCACAGTAATCCTGTGAGGTACTTATTATTATCGATATTTCTAGCACCTACATCACTAAGCATGGTACTATTCTTGAATCTTAAGTGGGCTGACTGAATTGAAAATCAGGAGCTGAGGTTTTAACCATGCACCTGTAGATTTTTTTCTCTCCTTTCTCTGCCTCTTTTCAAACACAGGCAAATGCTGAAGACACAATAGAAGACAGAAGGATTAGCAGAGCCTGTGGACTGAATGTGGTGGCACACTGCTTCCTCTTTTGCCCTCTAAGATCTGAGGAGTAAGGAGTGTCCTGAGGCCTTTGGCCTAGAATTTTGACTTGGGAATGGGAATCTTTGGGAATAAATGAGATTAATGAAAAGGTTGAAGCTAAGATAATTTAAGTAGGGCCACCTTCTTTCTCCCATCTCTATGACATTTATTTATTTATTTTACCATTTCACAACAATGAAATTAAGTCTTTATAGATTCAAATGGCCATGTGGGATGTGGAAAATCTTTAAAGGACTGGGACTACCCAGGTCTCTTGCTGCTTGTTTGAAAGTGTCCCACCTTCTAGCCCTGTTTCTGATGTCCTGTGCTGTAGCCTCCACGGGCTTCTCAAGCCTCCCGTTAATTGCAGAGCCAGTCATAACCAGCAAGAAGAGGTGTATAATAAATATCTCAAGTTCTACCAGTGTAAGGCTCAGTATCACTGCCTGGGTGTTGGAACCAAGACTTGAATTTTAAAATTGTTACTGAGCCTGAGTCCTCACATTGCACCCTGGGAGTTTTATTCCTATTTCTAAAATCTTATCATGTTCCCCTGATTCATGGCCTCTTCCCTTTTCAGGGACAAGACACTGGCATGTTCTTTTGAGTTGCCCTTTTAGTAAATGGGAGGGTTATAATTAACATATACTCAACCACAAGGATATACACGAGCTTGTGGCAGGAGTTATCCCATGTCATCTTCAAGAGTCTTAGAAATTCTTAGAGAAGAACTAAGTAACTTACTCAAGGTCACACAAGTCCAGATCTGCCTGTCGTCAGAGCACTGTGCTTTCTCCCACAACACACAGATAACCTCAGTTGTGCTCTTCTTGGAAAAACAGCTGTAAACATTACATTCAAAGGTTACTTTGTGGGCACAGGTACCCATCAGGGTTCAGCCAGCCATGTTAGTTTTTAAAAACAGTTTTATTCAGAAATAATTTATGGACCATATAATTTGTCCATTTAGAATATACAATTCAATGGTTTTAAATATGCTTTGCAGAGTTGTGCAACCATCACCATAATCTTATTTCAGAACATCTTCTTCACTCCAAAAAGAAATCTTAAAATCATTAACAGTCACTCTCCATTTCTCCCCATCCTCTGCCCTAGGTACCACTGGTTTATATTCTGTCTCTACAGATTTGCTTATTCTGGACATTTCATGTCAATGGAATCAAATGTGGTCTTTTGTACTGGCTTCTTTCAGTTAGCAATATGTTTTCAAAGTTCACCCTTGTAGCATGTATTTGTATTTTATTCCATTTTATTCCTGAGTAATTTTCCATTGTGTGGATATACCACAATTTGTTTATCTATTCATCAGTTTGTGGACACTTGGATTGTCCACTCTGGGCTATTATGAATAATGTTGCCATGTACAAGTTTTGTGGACATATGTTTTAGATTCTCTTGGGTATATACTTAGGAGTGGAATTGCTTGGTTAAACCTCCACGTTTAACACTTTAAGGAGCCATCAGACCATTTTCCAAGCTGGCTGTACCATCTTACACTCCCACTGATAATGTGTGAGAGTTCCAGCCATAGGGTTTTTCTAAGCCATTTTGGTAATCTATTTCATCTGTAGAATGGAACTAATAATATCTACCCTGCTTTGTTTTTGTGAAGGTTGAAGAATCTAGAGTGTAAAAGGGGCCTACTGGAATGGAGGAGGCACTCAATAAATGCAGCTACTTGATTCCCAAACAAAGGGCACAGCTCACAGCACAGCAGCCACAAGGAGCCATCCTGCGCTCAAGGAGTTCTCAGCCTTCAGCTATCTCTTTGGCTGAAGACAGTTTAATGAGTGCTTCTGCCATGTCAAAGAACAGAGCCATACCTCAGTCACCTCAGAACAGAAGTGTTTATTTAGGGGTCTACCTCAACTGGAACCAGAAGTTTGCCAGACTGGAGGTAACCCAGAGTCCAGTTTTTCTCTCTTGCTAATGTGGTGTCTGGGCTTCTCTAGTCTTTTTCCTTTCCCAGGCCTCTTTGCACGGGCCCCCGTCTGTTTGGGCTGAGGGGGTTCTTAGATAACAGTTAGCTTCCTGTCAGTTTTATTCACTGGAGATAGCTTATGAGCTAACTCTAGAGCTCTTGAACTGTGCAGGAATACCATGCATCACCATACTCACTTCTGCCACTACTGGGCTTGGAGAAACACACCTGTCTTATTCCATTTTGTGCTGCTATAACAGAATACCTAAGACTGGATACTTTATAAAGAACAGAAATTTATTTCTCACATTTATGGGGGCTGAGAAGGCCAATATCCAGCAAGTTCATTGTCTGGTAAGGGCCGGGTGTCTGCTTCCAAGAGGTGCTGTGAATGCTGCCTCCTCCGGGATTAAGAATTTAGCAGTGAAGACATAAAAATGCCCCATGGTACAGATTTGGACTATTGTTTCAATTTGGCAAGATGCACATTTAATTTTCAGCAGCCAAGTTCAACCAGACAATCTAGCAACAAGTTTGAACTTTTTCCACTCCGAGCAGCCACTGATCCAAACTCTCCTCTTTATGTCCTTTGAATTCTTCTCTGACAGGTGCTATATGGCCCCCAAATTCTTGCTGTTAGTTGGCTCCTTGCCTTGGCTATGGCATGTGTGGTATAATGGTTTAGAAGAGCCAGAGGTGTGTTTTTCTTTAGACATTGATGTGGCGCTATTGTCCTGTCCCACTCAGGGGCCAGAACTGTCCCTTCTACTGGGCTGGAGAGCATCTTTAGATAGAGGCTTTCTAAGAGGCTGAAAGCTGGGATGGTACTGGACCTCAGAAAACTGGGGCCATGTACAGTATCTTAGTTATGTGGTCAGTTGGGAGCAGTGAAATGTAAACCAATTAAATCAATGAATAATGAGAGGATACTGAGGTCTCCCCAAGCCCATAGAAAGAACTACTTCATAGTGACATAAAATCAGTGACAGTAACACATTTGGTGAAGGCACAAGGGTGTCTAATCTGCAATGCAACTCAGAAAAGAGCACATCTTGGGAGGAAAGAACAATGTGGTTCCACTGACTAGAGGAGAGCCTTGGGACTGGGGACATCAGAATCCTGCACAGAGTGCTGTGAGCACTGCAGACATTGGAAAGGGACCACCCTTTCCTCCCCCATACTCTCCTCTTGATATCAACACATTGACAGGCTGCTTATCCATGGGCCATATGTGACTATACTTGATTTAAGCCCCCATCACTAAGAGAAGTCGCTGAAGATATGAGAGAAGATTGCTTGTAAATCTGGGAGGATAAGGTCTGGCCTGTGGACTGTGGGTCTATTGGTGACTTGAGGTGCCAACAGCCTGCCCTGACACACCCTTCCCCTGGCCATGGGCTGTATTTCCCAACCTTACTCACAGTCTTTGGAGAACAGCCAGTGAGATAAGGAGTTTATGAGCAAGCTGGCTAATGTGGGACCATCAAGGAGATAAATGGATGGGTTTATTCTTAAGCTAGCAACATTGACTGAAAACCATCTGTTTTAGTCCGTTCTCACACTGCTATAAAGAAATACCTGAGACCGGGTAACTTACAAGGGAAAGAGGTTTAATTGACTTGCAGTTCCACATGGCTGAGGAGGCCTCATGAAACTTACAGTCATGGTGGAAAGCGAAGGGGAAGCAAGGACCTTCTTCACATGGTGGCAGGAGAGAGAAACCCAGGGGAAACTGCCATCTATAAAACCATCAGATCTCATGAGAGCTCCCTCACTATCATGAGAACAGCATGGGGGAAACCACCCCCATGATCCAGTCACCCTCCAATGAGGTCTTTCCCTCAATACCTGGGGATTACAGTTCAAAATGAGATTTGGATGGGGACACAAAGCTTAACCACATCACCGTCTTTGTGCCTGCACTGCCATTAGCACTTTCCGTACTTTTTCTTCTTTAATTATCTCAACAACCCCCTGAGTTTAACATTACTCCTCTCACTTTATAGATGAAAGGAATGGGATTCAGAAATGTGAGGTCACCTCTCCATAGTCACACTGCTGGTCAGAATAAGAGATTCATTTTGACCTTTGACAGAGGACACTGACTCAGGCCCAGATTGTCGACCGCAAGCCCTGAACCTCCTTTCCATGCCACTGACCACCCCAGTCCAAGCCCTTCCCTTGAATCATGCAGCCATGGCCCCGTGAGCCAGGGTGACTTCCACCTATGCCAGCCCAGTCCCCGAGCACTGAGGTGGCCAGTTCCTGCTTTGCTGGGACAAAAGTGGCCCTAGGCATTGTTCTCATAACATCCAGAAGGGACGGGGCCTCAATGAGGAGAGACAGGCGACAGCTATCCTCTGTGTCAAGGGGAGGAATTCATTTGTGAAGGCAGCAGCTTCCTGGGAAGGAAATGTGCTGAAAAGGCTCACAGTCAACGCTCTCATCCGCACTCTGGGAGAGAGCAAGGCCATTTCCACTGCAGCCCCCATGCCTCCATGTGAGAGGGGATGATGCAAGGCAAACATCCTGGCCAGGCAGTGGGCCTGGGTGAGGGTCTCCCGGTGGGCCTTGCTGTGCTGCAGCCACAGAGGGCCATGGGGTGTCAGGCTTAGTTCTGAGGTCTGGAATTTTCTATCTGGAAAGCCCTGCACTGCCTTCTCCCCTTCATTCCCAAAGGTCCAATTACACAGTTTCTGGGCAGGCTCCTAAGTATTTGGAGAGACCACAGTGTGCTCCAGGACGCTGGCCACCCCTTCCTTCCAGTGCTGCAGCACCCAGCCATGTTGTGGCTGGCCCACAAGCAGGCTCTGGCCCAACAGCTTCTTTGAATAGATAGAAGCAGGTTATTGACAGAGGTGGACTTGGTAAGGTGGGAGCATTGCCCTTCAAGTTGCGCTGTAGCCTGGTTCCTCCTTCCACATCATTGGGTGGTCATAGGGCTTTTCCACGCATCATCAGTTTCACCATGCAAAATACTTTAATTATCCACAAATATTAAATATCCAGTACATCTAAATCAAAGCTCTACTCATATATTTCAAATCTTGGCCCCTGCTTGACTCTTGCAGCTCTGCATGCATGCACACATGTGCACACACAGCGTAAGCCTGACCTTGGAAGCCTGCAATGGGAAGGTCTCTCTTCCTTGCTCCTCTTCCTCTCTCACTCACCCCATTGCCCTTCTTTTGGTTGTTTTGGGGCCCAGCCTAAGTGAAAGGGGGTTGTGTAAGAAAAAGTGCACAGACCCCAGATGATGAAGCTGTAATCTGGGTCAGGGCCCTCAGGGAGGCCCAAATGGGATGCTTTTGTGGGTTCTTTGGATACTCACCACTACCTGGGGGTCTCTCATTTGCAGTGACTTGCCGTGGCAATGATTTCTTGGGGTGTTTCTTACACCTCTGGGGGCCAGAAGCCCATTCCTCTGTTGGAGTCTCTCCCTCTCTTCCTGCCTTTTCCTCAGGCCGGCTCCTTTCCTGGGGCCCATCTAGAAGCAGGCATGAGCTCAGTCTAAGTTCCGCAGACACAAATCACACTCCTCTGGAGTGCTTTCTTTGAAAGCGCCCTCACTTTGACTCTTCCCACCCCAGGAGACAGCTCCTGACATGGTCCGGCCCTCTCTGAAGAAGACCCTCCTACCAGCCTCTTCATGCTCCTGAACCCTCACTCCGACCAGTTCTCCAGCAATGCCCATCACCACCTCCACGCTACAGGTAAGAGAAGGCTATTTGCTAGACATCCACAGCTCACTTTGGAGCATGGGCTTTGAGCATCTATTGCTCTCAGTTTGGGACCCCAGGCAGTACTGGCAGGAAGAGTCCTGTTTCACAGCTGCTTAGACAGGGAACGCCCAGGGAGACTCTGCATCCCTGGGACATCAGCAGCCCTCAAAGGCAGGCTGGTTGTGCCCTCTCACCAGTGGAATTCCTGGGCCTCATCTCAAGCTTGTCTTTGTTCCTGGATGGACTTAGTCTCCCTGTGAGCCCCACATTCTCCTGTTATATCGTCACTTCTGGGGAAGAGGCAATGTGGGGCTGAAATTCTTCCAAATCAATTTAGCCCAAGCTGCCTTGGCCGGAGAACTGGTCATGGGCACCTCAATACAAGGAAAGTGAACTGTGGTTGGGCTGGAGGCAGGGCGTGACCTCTGTTCTGTTGTATTCAGGGCTGGGGATTTTGGACCACCTTTGGCTGAGCCCCTAAGCAGCTGGGACACATTGGGGATGTCACTCAGCCCCTATGGCCTTCGGCACTTCACGTAAAATGGATTTGGGCTTCATCTCTAAGGGCTCTTCCAGAAGCAACAAGGGGAAAATGAGGTAAATGGGAGTGGGAAAAGACAGCTCCAACCAATGGTTTGTGACTGGATTACTTCAGTGTGTCAGGAGGCCCAAAGGGCGCAGAGACAAAAGCACTGGGAATTTGTCTCCTCTGGGTCTGATGATACCACTCTGGGTCCCCAGTTTCTTCTTCCTCTGTCGTGTTCCATCTTGGAATGGCCGCCATCACCCATGCAGCGGCTGGAAGCAGAATGCAGGCAGGGGCCCGACTTCTCCCCACTCACCCACTACAACAGATCTACAAAGTCCCATGGATTCTGCCTCGAAAATACACCTTCAATGGGCTTATCATCTTTTTTTGTTTTGTCCAGTGAAGACTGATCTGATCCCTTGCCTAGATTCTTTATCTTTCTGACTGTGGCTTAAAACTTTCTTCTCTTTGGAGCCTTCATTGATTAGTTCTTGTTGTCAAATATATTGGTAGTTCCTGTGCTTTTGCCTCATTGTACCTACCAGTGTGTAGTTACATATTTGTGTGATTATTCAAATCATATTTCTCTTCTTCATTTAGACTGTAAAACCCCCAAGGGCAGGGACTGGGTCTGTTTTACTTGTCATGATCTCACAGTGACTAGCACAGAGGCTAGTATTATACATAACAGATACTCATCAAGTGTTTAACAAATGATTAGTGAAAGAATGAACGAATGGGCAATCCCAATAGTCTCCTAAATGATCTCCCAGATCCCAGACTCAGCTCGCTCTAAATTATGCTTCAATTTTCTTACCAAATCTAGGCTCTGAAGTCCTGCAGGCCACAGGAGATAATAAACCTCTAACCTTGGCCCTTCATAATCTAGTCCCAGTTTACATGTTCACCATCCCTGCCCTCTCTAAAGCGTTTTTCAACCTTGGCACTACTGAAATTTTTCACCAGGTAATTTTTTTGTTGTGGGGACTGTCCTGTGAATTGCAGTGTTACTGGCCTCTATGTACTAGATGCCAGTAGTACACACCCCTAATTGTGACAAAAATGTCTCTAGACATTGCCAAATGTCTCCTGGGGGTCAGCTGTTTCCCGTTGACAGCGACTGCCCTAGCCATATCTAAAGCTTTCCCTGAACATGCCGAGCTCTCTGACTCTACAGGTCTTCAGAAGTCCTGTTCCCCAGCCTAGAATGCTATTTCTTCCGGGATTAAGAGATTTCTTATTCATGCTTCCAGACACAACTTGGTTTCCTCCTTTTCTGTGAAAAATTTCCCTAATTTTCCAGGGCAAAAACAAAGGATAATAATGCTGACCCTGTATCCTTGTGAAGACTCTTACAGAGACTGAATGATTCAATGTACATGAAAGGGTTTGGCAGGAAGGCAGGAAAGCAATGTTTGTCGAATGTTCAGGAGGCGTACGGCTGGTGCCCATGGAAGACACAGAATACTTGTCTCCTAATACCTGAAGGATAATCTATGACTGAAAGATTCTCTTTCTTTCTTTCCCTTCCTTCGTTCCTTTGTTCCTTCCTTCCTTCCTTCCTCCCTCCCTCCCCCCTTCTCTTTCTCTTTCTTTCTCTCTTTCTTTCTCTTCCTTCCTTCCTTCCTTCCTTCCTTCCTTCCTTCCTTCCTTCCTTCCTTCCTTCCTTTCTTTCTTTCTTTCTTTCTTTCTTTTCTTTCTTTTTCTTTCCTTTGACGGATTTTCACTCTTGTTGCTCAGAGGCTGGAGTGCAATAGCGCCATCTTAGCTCACCACAACCTCCACCTCCCGGGTTCAAGTGATTCTCCTGCCTCAGCTTCCCAAGTACCTGGGATTACAGGCATGTGCCACCACACCCGGCTAATTTTGTCTTTTTAGTAGAGACGGGTTTCTCCATGTTGGCCAGGCTGGTCTCAAACTCGTGACCTCAGGTGATCCACCCACCTTGGCCTCCCAAAGTGCTGGGATTACTGATGTGAGCCACTGCACCTGGCCTACTCCCCTTCCCTTCCCTTCCCTTCCCTTCCCCTCCTTTCCCTTCCCTTCCCCTCCCTTCCCTTCCCTTCCCCCCTCCTCTCTTCCTTTCTTTCTTTCTTTTGATAGGGTTTTGTTCTGTTACCCAGGCTGCAGTGCAGTGGCACAATCACAATCACAGCTCACTATAGCCTTAACCTTCTGGGCTCAAGCAATCCTCCTGTCTCAGCCTCCTGAGTAGCTGAGACTACAGGCACATGCCACCATGCCAAAAAAAATTTTTTTTAAGAGATAGAGTTTTGCTATGTTGCCCAGGCTGGTCTTGAAGTCTTGAACTCCCGGCCTCAAGCGATCCTCCAGTCTCAGCTTCCCAAAGTGCTGGGATTACAGGTGTGAGCCACTGAGCCCAGCTCGACTGAGAGATTTATTTTGTGAGTTATGAGTGATCTTTCCTGGGAGGTTGATAGTAACTTAACATTAGAAAGGACTGTTAATAAATAGTGGTGTCAGGCTTGTGGTAAAGAGAGCCCCACCCCCCAACCCAGGCATTGGAATATCCAGGCAAAGGCTGAAGACCATCTGTTGGAGGTGCGATGGGGGTCTTCACCTGGCCTGAGAGTTCAATCAGGTGCTGTCGATTCCTTATTGGCTTGAAGATTCTACAACCTGAAATCTTCTCACTGTTTATCAATGAATTGGGTAACTGTTAGACAGTCCTAGATTCAGTGGCCAAGGTAGGCCTGGAAGTACCCCTGGCCAAAATGAAATTCCCTCTTTTAACTGCACCAATTGTTAAAGATCTCTGGCTCTCCTAATGTGGAGGTATTCCTGGTCGGGGCTGGTGGTGGTCACTGTGATCTGCTGTCTGTAACCCCTTTGGGACCCGAGGACCTAGACCCAGCTGTTGGGTGTGCTGCAGGAAGACAGCCCTGAGCGCTCAGCACTCTGGGAAGTGCGTTGCTGAGACAGCCACCCTGCCCAGAGCCAGGCGCCTTCCTGGAGCAGCCCACATCCAAGGACTAATCCACATGGGAGATGTGAAGGCCTGGTTTCCCTCCCTGACTTGGGATGACTCCGTAGGGGCGCTCCAGCTCCACAGCTCCCTGTGCAGTCAGCAGAGGCCTCTGTCGAGACTGCTACTCAGCAGCTCCCTTTTCCAGATGCTCTTTTTCCCTCTGTTGTTGGTCCCCTGAGGACTCCCTAATAAACATGCTGCACACTAATCTCTGTCCTTCTCGGGGAATCCAACTTGGAACAGGGTTCCTTTCTTGCTCCGCCTCTTACCCTTGCTCCATAGCCCTTTAGATTTTTCCCATGTAGATCAGGGCCCTGAGAGCAATGGCCCCTAAAAAGCTGTAGAAGTTCTCGTTAGCCTGTGGTGGGCCAAGGGAAGCTTAGGGAGTTGAATGTAAGTGGCTTTTGAGTGTATGTCTTAGATGTTATGAAGCCTTTGTCTCTGACACTTCCTTGCTGCCCCTGCTTGGAGAATTAGAAGGCTATGGGAGAGCTTTCTCGGAGACTCCTTTATCCTTTGAGTCTCCAAGCTCAGGGCAGTGGGATACTGTGGCAATGCCTTAAAGTCAATAACACTGGGGGGTTTTTGATAATGCAGAGACAAGTATACTTTTGATGTGAACCATAGAATATGCCCCTGGTAAGACTGATAGAGGCCAGAATTTCTACGTAGTTCAGCTGATTCTGGAGTCTAGAGCTGTAACCATTGAACTAAACTATCCCTCCTGTAGGGTGTGGTTCCGAGACAGAGAGGCCCATCTCCAGATTGGAAAAGGATTTAGACAGAAGCATCCCATTCTTAAAAAGCACCCACTTGTAGGGCAGAGGGAGTAAGAAGAAAGAAAATGATGGGGGATTTGCAGGAAAGATGAGGAGGGGATGTGCTGCGGGAAGAACACAAGGCACTCTGGGAACTTTCTCTGGTTTCACCAAAGTTTTATGAGCACTCATGACATCTAGCAAGGACACTGGGAAAACCCTGAGAAAATGCTGATCCTCCACGCCCTCCCACGGGCCTCCACTCTCCTTTCCAGAGGCCTCCTCCAAAGGCCTGGTTTCACTAAATTGCATTTATTCAAATGATGTGTCTCAGAAGGATGCCGGGCCTAGCAGAAATCCTTCAGGGATTGGAACCTGCAGTTCCCCGGAGCGGAAGTATTTCAAACCTGAGGCTTCGGTCACCGAGCCAGACCCTGAGAGGACTGAATGCAAATTTCGTAGTTTAATTTAAATCTGAGCAGGAGAAAAGGTGCGGCAGACTGCACTCTGCCAAAAGCCCCAACTCCCACGTCTCTTGCCTCTGGCTGCAGCAGGCACCATGGAAAGGGGGCAGGGTGGTAAAACAGTCCCCGATGTGTGAGGCTGATTGCATGTTCCTGTACATTCTTGGAAGATTTTCCTTCTTCAGCTTAGACTCTCTTTGCATTTAGTGCGTACCTACTATGCACAGGACACGTAGTTATCTCATCCTTCCAATGAGCAGTAAGGAAGTATCATTGTGCAGACAGTACGAGGAAGTGGAGGTTCAGGATTTATTGAGGTCACACACCTAGGCTTACACCACTGGGTTTCAGATATTCCAGTTTTAGTTCCGGTAAAATCTGCAGCATTCCCATGTTCTTTAGCACCCTTTCCAGGGGTGAACACACATGGATTAAAACCTGGGTGAGGCTCTAGGAGGGACTGCCCCACCAATTTACTGTAGGTTATAAAACACCAAGAACCAGGGCTTATGATGAGACACTGACACCAGCCTCGTGTGCTGATGCTAATGGGCAGCTCTATAATAAATCCCACTGAGCTTTCGAAGATGCATGTGCTGTTTGGAGAAGATATATTGGTTGCTGCTCAAGGTAAATCTTGTCGTTTCTATTTCTCAAAGCATTTGTATCAGGAAATGGGTGCATGGTGCCCTAGTTAGGTGCTGGCAGCTCTACCTGCCCCAGGCCCTTGGGAAATTCCTCCTGGCCCGTCCCCAGCTATGGGTGTCAGCGTGAGCCATTGGAGCCCACCTGTGAGCCCCCACTTGCTTCAGGGATTCATTGATGCTTATTCCCTCTGCCTGGGTTTTCAGGGTTGATGCTCTCATTAAGGAGCACTATATGAGCAAATTTTGTGCTGGGAGGCTGATATGCTCCCGCTAGTGTGTGGCTGGAGCTAGACAGAAAGGCCCTAAGTTGTCTTTCCTGATGAATGGATGTGCATCCAGCCAAGGGGCTGAACCATCAATGGGTCTGCAGGATGCCAGATGGGCAGGTGGCCTCTCTCTGGGCCGCAGGGAGTAGAGGCCCACAAAGGCTGCACTGCCCACACAACAGTCATCTAAAGGGAGGGGCAGAGGAAGGCAGAAATAGGCTCTTCATCTGGTCTTGGACCAACCGCATCTCATGTCCATGGTCCTTCCCTTGAGAAGCAGTGAGAAGGGCATGAAGAAAGAATGTTTTTGGCCAAAAGGCGACCTTTCTGCCTCTAGACAAGATGGGAGTGTTACAGGTTGAATTTTGTCTAACGCCTCCACCACTCCTCAACTGCTCCCTGCCTAAAATTCATATTATTGAAGTCTTCACTCCCAGAACCCCAGGATATGACCTTATTTGGAAATAGGGTCTCTGTAGTTGTAATTAGTTAAGATGAGGTCATTAGGGTAGGCCCTAATCCAAATTGACTGATGTTCTTATAAAATGGGGAAATTTGGACACACAGAAATTGGTGAAGTTGATGTCAGAGACTGGAGTGATGCTTTACAAGCCAAGGAACTCCAAAAGTTGCCAGGACACTCCAGGAAGCTAGGTAAGAGGCATGGAACAGATTCTTTCTCACTTTTCTCAGAAGGAACCAACCCTGCTGACACTTTGATCTTGGATCTTTAGCCTCCAGAGCTGTGGGACAGAACATTTTTGTCGTTAAGCCTGTGGTCATTTGCTATGGTAGCTCTAGCAAACTCACACAGTGTGTAAGCTGCTCAGCTAGGGGCATCTTTATCTCCTCTCCAGGGGGGCAACTCCTGGGTGAATTATCACCCCCTGCCCATGCCAAGGGTGGCAAACTCCCACGTGGTTAATAATAGTGATGATAGTAACTCCTCTGTTTATTTAAAAAAAAATTAGTAAGTTTGAGCATCTGTTATTTATCCAGCATATTCTAGGTGCTGAGGATACAGCAGAGAACATAATGGCCCTCATGGTACTTACATTCTAGAGAGGGAAAGGAGGCAATAAACCCAACGTGTAAGGAAAGTGATGGCTCATCGGGCAGCGATAAGTGTAGTGGAGAGAAATAAAACTAGAGAGGGGAATAAGGACTGCCGGAGGGGATAGGAGCAACTTGTGAAGAAAGCTCTCTAAGAGGGTGACATCCAAGCAAACCTGATGAGGGAGGGAGTGTCAGGAGTGTGTGTATCTGAGGGAGGGCATGCCAGGCCATCAGCCTGGCCCTGAGCAAGACCCTGAGCCTGGGAGACGCCCGGCACGTTTGAGAAACCGTGGGAGCCTGGAGCGCAGGAGTGGCAGGGGTGACGGAGAGCACAGGGGCAGCTGATGAAAATGTGCTCTCCGTTCTGGGGAGTCCAAGCTTGGGTCTCCCTGCAGCTCCGTGCTATGATGAGGAAAGGGACTGGCCTTTCCACCTCCAGGAAACAGGCAGCTCAGTCCTCCTGCACAAGTGGGACCTATGGCTGTAATGTCTGGAGATGTTTGGGACCTGCTAGGAAAAATCGAAAGGTCAGCATTATCCTGATGTCACCAGGTAGAAGCCGGCAAAAGCCCCCTAATCCTTTGGCTCTGACAGGAAGCCATTTTAGGTAGAGCCAGGTTTTTTTCCCTATAGGAAGAAGTCCCTGTCCCCACGGACCCCTCCTCTTCCCCCTTCCCTGAGGCCAGCCTGCCCAGGGAAGAGGTCCTTGAGCTCTGGGGACACAATGGGCCTCTGGATACTGAGCAACCTCACAGCGAGAGACAGCAGGGCCAGTGCAATCTCTTTGAACTCCATCTGTTGCCTGTTGGTAAGGACTGTGTTCCTGTGTTTGAACTTTTACCAGCGATGGTGAAGAAGTAAATTCTATCATTAAGTTTCTCTTCTAATTGTTACAGGTCAGTTCTACTCACTGAGTTGTTTTTTGGCTTCCTCCCAGAAGCAAGGAGATTTGGAGAGAAGAAAGGGAGGCTCTTTGCTTTGGGCCACACAAAGGAGACCTCAGCATGTGTTTTTCTCAGCTTTTTCTCACAACCAAGGACAAGCAGCCATGGTGGAGCAAGTACCTGGATCTGACAGTGGGGATCTGACTATGTCATTATCCTCTCTTGAAAAGTGCAGAGGAGAGGAATCCTTCCACAGAAAATCAAACCAACTGACCAAATACATGTGGAGTTGCCTGTGTTAGGCACCGCGCAACAATGGAGACAATAAGGGCATCCATGTCCAGGTTCCTGCCCCCAAGAGGCTTTCAGTCCCATTGGAGGAGCCAAGGCCCATGTGCACATGGTTTTTGAGGGAAATGAAGATTAAGGAAAAATCAGAGGAATACAGCAAGCACACGTGAGTTTATATCAATTTGTTTTTTTTTTTTTTTCAGAGTGGGAGGGTCTGCACCCAGGGGTCAGTGATTCTGGTTTGAAGGGGAGGAAGGAGTAGAGGATGATGGTGTGTGGGTATCCCCTAATCTGGATGCTGAGACTCCCTGAAGATCCTGTCACCCCCATTTCATTTTAAATGCCACAGATGGGCTCTGAAAGGGCTGGACTGGATGTCTGGATTGAGTTGCTGAGTCAAGAGCACTTCCCAACAGACCTCACGATTGTGCTTCTCTGCAGAGTTGGCTTTGTCTACTGTGAGCCCATTTTGTCTCTTAAATGTCTACAGAGCCTCAGATGGTTTCATCCACAGCCATGTTTAAAATGCCCATGCACATATGTGCATACACACACAAAAACAACTTTGTATTTTCAGTGTTTCTTGCTTAAAGAAAAAGAGGCTGGGCGCGGTGGCTCACACCTGCAATCCCAGCATTTTGGGAGGCTGAGGCAGGTGGATCGCTTGAGCCCAGAGTTTGAGACCAGCCTGGACAACATGGTGAAACCCTATTTCTAAAAAAAACCTGGCCGGGTGCAGTGGCTCTCCCCTGTAATCCCAGCACTTTGGGAGGCCGAGGCGGGCAGACCACCTGAGGTCAGGAGTTCGAGACCAGCCTGGTCAACATGGTGAAACTCCATCTCCACTAAAAATACAAAAAATAGCTGAGCCTGATGGCGCATGCCTGTAATCCCAGCTACTCGGGAGGCTGAGGCAGGAGAATCGCTTGAACCCGGGAGGTGGAGGTTGCAGTGAGCCGAGATCGCACCATTGCACTCCAGCCTGGGTGTCGCAGCGAGACTCTGTCCCCCCACCCCAAACAATAACAACAACAACAAAAACAAACAAAAAAAGAAACAAAACACAAACTCACAAAAATTAGCTGGGCATGGTGGCGCATGGGTGCCTATAATCCCAGCTACTTGGGAGTCTGAGGTGGCAGGATCACTTGAGCCCAGGGGGATTCAGGCTGCAGTGAGCCATGATTGTGCCACTGCACACCACCCTGGGCAACAGTGTAACCACTGAGCTAAGCTATCCCTCCTGCAGGCTGTGGCTTGGAGACAGAGAGGCCTATCTCCAGATTGGAAGATATTCCAACCTAAAAAAGTTAGAATCCAACCTCTGAGCTGTTTCTAGAATGGGCAGATACAGCCTTCCTTTGTATCCCAGACCTTGGAATGCCATGTGTGGCTGCTTAGTTCTGTCTGATCCCTTCTGGTTAACAATGAGCCCCGCCTCCAGCCCAGGCATCTGGCTCATTTCCTGTATCTCCTATTTCTCTGGACATGTGGTGTGCAGTTCCTGGAAGGAGCATGATGTGAACGTAGTGATTAGGGGAGGTGGCAGTTCAGGGAGGCATAAATGCCTTCTGATAAAGGACAGGACACATCCCTTCTGTTGGCCCCTTACCCCCTGCCCTGGAGCAGCCTTGGGGTGGGAGTTTGCGTGCTCATTTGTGAGCATCTTGGACAATCCGCTCCAAGGCAAGGGTGGGTTAACAGTGGCAGAATTAAGAGATGAGAAGATGGCTCTCCATTCGTGTAATGCTCAGGTTCCTTGGGGAATCCTGTCACTTTGGAAAATTAGAAGATTAAACACAGAAGAAAGTCAAAGGACACTCTAGGTTGTAGAAGTTTTTGAAAGAATGTTTGCCGGGGCCTTGGTTAAGCAGCCACCCTTGGTCACGCTGTTCTGGGGAACATCTCATTTTTATTTGCCTTCCCCGACGTGGCACTCCTCCCCCCATCACCCAGGCAAAGAGAATCGCCACACTCAGCCAGGCCTGCCAGTGAAGTTGATTTCTGGCACATTTTCAGTGTGTTTGCTCTTGGGATAAGTGTATATAATCAGTACAGTAGCTCCAGAGTCAGTTTAGTTTCTAATGGGAATTCTGTTTGGCAGGGTCATTGTGGAATGGGTCCTGCAATATACAGTTGCCTAAAACTTAAACACAAACACAGGATGAAGCTGGGCGTGTTGGTGTGCACCTGTGTTCTCAGCGGCTCAGGAGGCCAAGAGGGGAGGATTGCTTGAGCCCAGGAGTTCGAGGCTGCAGTGGGCTACGATTGCACCACCACACTCTAGCCTGGGCAACAGAATGAGACCCCATCTTTAAAGAAGATTAAAATGAAAAACACACGATGAAAGATCTCCTCAGTTTTCTTATTTCCTGTGCAAACGCAGATTCCATTATCAATGAATTTAGTTCAGTAAACATATGTTAAGCACCCTGTAATGTTTAGAATATAAATGCAGTGGTTCTAAGGCAGACTCAAAGGAACAGTGGCTTAAACACAGTGGAAATATGTCTGTCTTGTATAACTGTCTGTGCATAAGCAGCTCAGTTGGCTAGGAAGGTGGCTTCATGGAATCCGGGATGGACAAGCCCTTTCTGTCATTGTTCTCTCCTGTTACTAGGGTGTTCACTCGCTTCTACTTGGACCAACATGGCTGGTCAGCACATCTGTATCCCAGCTAAAGAAAATGAGGACAGAGGAGAGCACGTTCCTCTTCAAGGGAAAAACCTAGAAGCTGCGTATACCCTTTGGTTCACTTCTCATTGGCTAGAACTTTTGCCCATGGCCACTAACACAGGGGAGACTAAGAAATGTAGCTCTTACCAGGTGGCCATGCGCACAGCTAAAAGCCAGCCGTTCTCTTACCAGAAGAAACAAGCAGAGACTGGATGTTAGGGGACAGTTGGCAGTTTCTGTCTTGCATGTGTAATATGTAAGATGATAAGTAGGTGCTGAGTCAGGAGATACAAGATGGGGTCTACTTTCAAAAGATACACTTAATTTAAGGAACCTACAATCTAGCATACTTTATAGAAAATATGCAAGGCAGACTTTGAAAAGGGCTCTTGAAGAACAGAGGAAAGGAAATCTCTGTTGGCATGAAAGAGTTAGGATTGGATCTGGATTTGGCAGGCGGGGAGTACAGGTGGGGAACAGGCAATTGCAGACAGGCAGACTAGATGGAGACCCTGAGGCGGGGGGGAATGATCTGTTTGGGAGTGGTAGAGTCAAGTGGCAGCAGTGGAGGCAGGTGTGCCTGGGTGTAGAGTGGCAAGCTGTGTCAGCCTGGGTGGGCTACCCAGGCCTTTGCAGCATTGTCTGGCCACAAAGGGCCTTTGTCAAAGCTGCACTTGATGGAGGTGATTCTGGAAGCAGTGTAGTCTTTGGATGGGGTGGCAGGGCTGTGAGTGTGCACATGTGTGTGTGCATGTGTGTATGTGTGTACCCATGTGTGTTGGGGGTGTGATGGGGATGTAAGTGATAACACTGTTGGCAAAGAGATAGTAAATAAACCATTTCAAGGTCATGAGACCTAGATTTAAGAGAGGTAGCAGGGAGAATTAAAAGGAAGCAGTGGACTCAAGAGGTTTTTGTCAAATAAAGAGGTAAATAATATTTCTATAGATGCAAGACTTTGGGGAGGAAGTTTAAAGAGAAAGGGCTGTTGGACTCTGAATTGTGATTTTCAATAGGTGAGTCAAGAAGCTTCATTCACAGATGCATACCCACCCTGCGTCTTTCCCTGCCCATCCCTAACTCCTGCACAGATATTTTATAGTCATTGCAGCCCATTAAGAGTTGGCCTTGGTGATTGAGGGACCTGGGGAAATTTCACATCCGAAGATGTCTTAGAGATCTACCTTGAGCTCTTTTGAATAAAGCCAGGAAACTTGATCAGACATTTCTGTTCACTCTCTGTCTTTGTAAATTTATTTTGAAATCTTTACATTTATAAAATAGGAAATGAACTTACGTTATTCAAAAATCCAAAAACATAAAAGATGATGCAGTAAGGATTTCACTTCTGTGTTCCATAGTGTTCAGCTCCCACCTGAAGTCCACACATTAATCACTTTTATTATGAGTGTTTATAGAGTTTCTTATCCCCTCTATCATCTTGATCAGTTATCTCTTTATTTGACTGAATTCACTTAAATCCATTGCTTTCTTTCCATTCCTACTGTTACCTCTCTCTCAAATACAAAGTCTCGTGTGTCTTTATTGTCTCTTTGCTAATATTTTACTCAGGTTTACCCTCACCATTCCCCCAACATGTGTATGCACACACACATACACACATGTGCACACTCAAAGCCCTGCCACCCCGTCCAAAAACTACACTGCTTCCAGAGTCATCACCTTCATGCAGCTTTGACAAAATCTCTCTGTGGCTAGACAATGCTGCATAAGCCTGAGTGGCCCACATAGGGTGATCCAGCTCACCTCTCTACAGCCAGGCACACCTACCTCCATTCCTGCCACTTAAATATCACTCCCGAACAGACCATTCCTCCCCGCCTCAGAGTCTCCATCTAGTCCCCGTGTCTGCAATTGCCCATTCCCCTCCTGTACTCCCCACCCACCAAATCCAGATCAAATTCTAACTCTTTCATGCCAACAGAGATTTCCTTTCCTCTGTTCTTCAAGAGCCCTTTTCAAAGTTTGCCTTGTCATGTGTTAAAATGTATAGTAGGTCACAAACTGATTTATGGGAAGATTGGAGAGATGTTTGATCTTGGAATAGGATAGGATTTTTTTTTTTTAACTAACAGAAAGACCCCAGAATCACTTCATTTGTCTGAGTGAGGAGCTCTTTATTTGAAGGGGTTCTAATTTGGGTGAGCTGAAGCTCCCGCCATTCTAGGCCATGCTGAAAGCCAGGGAGGTTAGAGATACCCAGTGGTGTGCTGGAACTAGGTCTCACTGGCTCATGAAAGTCAATTGCAAACATCTCTTCCTAATTTCTCATTCAGTGAGGTTACAATGGTAGTTTGAAATGGCCATGGTGGGAGTATTTACACCACAGAAACTGGCATTAATTCAGGCCATTCTCGCCCTGGGAGGCCAGAACGCTGCTGGAGACATTAATTCAGATTGGTCATATTTGTTTTGTGGAGATCTTCATTAATCTTGGTGAGTTTCTTGCCATTTGTCACCCATGTCTTTAGCTTGCTGTCTTCTATCCCCAGGTACCATCTCACTTGCTCATTCTTCCTTTTCTTTTATCTCCTTCTCAGTTCATCAGTTCAGGTTTAACCAAATAGACCAAACCCAATGCCATCCTTTCACTTTACTCACTTTACAAATGTTACTCACTGTGTCATCCTGCATCTGCTACTAGTTTTCTTTTGTATACTATTAATAACAATTGTTCCTACAATTTTCTTGATTCAGCCTAAAATAGCTTAATCCAGCTTTCACCAAACAGCTTTACTCTTGGGCTTTCTGAGTAAAATGTTGGTCTGGCTCTTTGGTTTACAAGTCATGATAGTCACTGTTGCATTTTGAAACAGCAGATGATCTTTGGGGTTGGAAAAAGTGACTAATCTGGAAGACCTTTTTGAATATTTTTAGGGCAGAATGTTAGGTGTAGGGTATTAAAGTAAGGGAAACATTGAAGTTAACTTTGAAATGTTAAACAGAAAGGGTGAGCTGATGTTAAGTCAGTAATTGAATTAGGAAAATAAGAGGGGCTTGTTTAAGGGGGCATGGCTTGATTTTAGATATGCTTTGTTTAAGATAAGGTAGTGTGGCATAGAGAAAAAAATATGACTTGAACTCAGAACACCTGGGATGGAACCTAAACTATAAAAGACATGTTTTGGCTGGGCGTGGTGGCTCACTCCTGTAATCCCAGCACTTTGGGAGGCTGAGGCTGGCAGATCACTTGAGGTTAGGAATTCGAGACCAGCCTTGCCAACATGGTGAAACCCCGTCTCTACTAAAAATACAAAAATTAGCCGGGCATGGTGGTGGGCACTTGTAATCCCAGTTGGGGGGGCTGAGGCAGGAAAATTGGTTGAATCTGGGAGGTGGAGGTTGCAGTGAGCTGAGATGGTGCCACTGCACTTCAGCCTGGGTGATAGAGTGAGACTCCGTCTCAAAAAAAAAAAAAAAAAAAAGACATGTTTTGAGGATGTGTGCCCAATCCATGCATCTTTCCCTGAGAATTGCCTCTCCTGCATCCATGTTTGGTACTTTCTAATCCACCTCTACCAGCTCCTGGCTATAGTTGATGGGGTCAGGAGTTGTTACCTGATAGGAGCTGGTGAATCCAAATCTCTCTCATGAGAATTTGGAATTAGTAGACATGACTATGATCAGTCTTTGTGTATATTGGACTTGTAAGGGTGCTGTAGTCTGGGGGGACAAGGAAGCCATTTTTGAGCCTCCATGATGATATGATGGAGCATGATGAGCAAGGCGAGAGGGCCGGTCTGCAGCTGCAGAGAGAGGCAGGAGGGTGGAACAGGTGGTTAGTTAGTGAGGAGCAGGGATGACGCACAATCTGATGAGGGAAGGAGAAAGAAAGTAGCTGCCTTGATCTGCTGGTTCGCCAGACCTAGTTCCAGCTTCTCATGGCTCTTACTCTTGAGTTCTAGGAGACATCCTGCTTACCTTATAATAAGGTCTGCTTCTACTTGTTAACCTGAGGAATTTCTGCTTCATGGAGCTAACACAGTCCTAAGACCCTGGCTCTGCTGCTTGCTGTTTCAAGCCTTAACTAAGTCACAGAGCTCACTTTGCAGATGGGTTTTAGTTTCTTCATCTGTAAAATGAGGGTAATAATGTTTATCTTTTTGGGTTGTATGAAGATTATGTAAGATACTCTATGATAAGCACTTAGAAAAGTGCCTGGTATTTAATAATCACTGAGTGAATGTGAGGTAATATTATTTTGTGAAAACATCTATTAGGGTGCCTGGCATTTGACAGGAAACTGACAGTTACTAGGTGACAAATATAAGCTCTCTTGAGTCTTCATACCCTTACTCTTCTCTCGGCCTAGAATGCCCTTTGCCATTGCATCCGCCGGGCCACCTGCCACTTGGCCCTTCCTTTGAGGTCTCCTTGGTGGGTACTCCTCTATGGTGGCAATTGTTATCCTTCATTATTGTTGTTTACTTATGTCTCCTCTCTAAACTTTGATTCATTAAAGGAAGTCAAGTTTTTCTTGGTACTCAATTTTTAGTAACATCATGCATGACAAGGTCACTATAAATGTTTGATAAATTAAAGGGTGGATGAAGACATACAGTCTAGACTTTGGGGTCAAAGACATCACATGGGGACCATCTACTCTAAAAGGATACTTGAAGTTAGAGGTGTGAATGAGATCACCAGAGGACTGTAGCATGAGCAGAGAAGAGGATGAAGGCAGAATGTGACAAAAGCTTATTGAATGGGAAGGAGTGGGCTCAGAGGAGGCAGCAAACCTAAAAAAAAGTAGGGTAAGGATGGGGTACGTGAAGGAGTAAGAGAATGCAGAGAAGTAGAAACTAAGAAAGAAGAAACACGGCAAATTTAAGAAGTGGTGAGAAGTGTTAAAACATCATATAATCTGAGAATAAGATGTTTTAGACAGATATTGCACCTTGGAGGCCATTAATGAGGTATTTAAAAGCAGATTCAAAAGATTGGCTAAAGAGAAAGCCAGATTCTAATGTATTTGTGTTGATGGTAAGTATACACTGTTCCTAAGCTGGGTACAGTGGCTCATACCTGTAATCCCAGCAACTTGGGAGGCTGAAGCAGGAGGATCACTTGAAGCCAAGAGTTCAAGACCAGCCTGGGCAACATGGTGAGACCCCTGTCTCAAAAAAAGTATACACGGCTACTTTGGTAATTCAATAAAAAATGAAGAGGGAGAAAGCATGTTGAAAATATGTGTTAGGATAAAGAACATTGGAGAAAGTATTATGCTCGCCCTACCTTCAAGTGAGTAGGCTCTCTAAACTGTCCTTTTGCTATGTAAAGTAATGCTATACTTATATTTTCTCCATTTGCCATTTTAATGAAGTTTCTCCTGAGCTACTCTTCAGTAAACAAGCTTTTATTTACTATTTTCTCTACTCTTTATGATCTTAGATACTGGTAGTCTTATTTCTGCTAATTTTTCTTATTTTATTTTATTTTATTTTATTATTATTATACTTTAAGTTTTAGGGTAACCCCATCCATCCATCCACCCACCCACCTACCACATATCCATCCATCCACATGTTCATTCTTCCATAAAATAAATATTAATAAGGCCACTATTAAGATCTAGGCACTACCTTAGGAAATTTAGAGAACCAAGACTGCCCTCAAGGAGTTTCTAGTCTAGTTGAGAAGATTAGAACACACTGGCTGCCTTCTCTGGAGTATTCTAGTTTCATTCTTTTGGAAGTTGGAGCCACCTCTTGATACCCCAGATACTGTGGTGGTGTGCTTGACCCCAGGGATTCATAATGGTTGACCAGCCTAGAGCTCATCCAGCAAGTCAGAAACCAGGCTCCATGGAAGCAGTTTGTCCAATAGCAAGCCAGAGACAAAGGCAATAGGCTGTATGGTTTGGGAGCCTCTCTGTGAAAGAGCTGTGTGCATTATTCATGGCTTGTCATTTGCAGTCAAAGAGACAGACTGCCCTCTGACATCTCTGAAGAAGTTCATGATTTATTGGAGGCATCAGAAGAAATATAAAACTAAATAGTAATATAATCCCCTGGGGGAAGTCTTACTTTGGTATTTTACATAATATTAGAAACTCAGCAAATAGTTTCCCTGAGATAAAAACTTTGGCAAACATTCGACTGAAATGTTTGAGAAGTGAAACCATTCAAGTTTTTGTGTCAGGAGACTTGAGTCTCATCCAGCCTTCTAAATATCAAAATTTGAAAAATCCCTGAATACAAAGGAATAGGAAGTCTGTAATTCAAACAACACAATATCAGCAGCTCTATCCCCGGTTCTGGAAATTGTGGGGGATTTTGAAGTCTTCCTCTTTGTGCCTTTCCCCACACCACCAAAACAAGTAATAACACTTTAATTGTGATTCTTTGTTATCAGAAGTGAAGAAATATGCTGGATCTTAGGTGTCTCTGTGTGATCATACCTGTACAATTTAGGAAGAAGATTGTGCTTTTGTTTTGCTTTTACAATTAACAGAAGATCCAACTATAAGGTATTTAAATGATGAGTTGGACTTTATTTTCCTCAAATAACAAGAAGTGTGGAGGTGGACAGCCCAAGACTGATCCCGCTGCTCTGAGATGCTATCAGTTGCTTTGGATCATCCTGTTCCATCATTCTTAGCATGCAGCTTCAAGCTTCCTGTTTGCAAGACTGCTCCAGACAGGAAGAAGGGGGAATGCCAGTCTTTTCCTTGAGACCCTTTGTCTTTTTACTTGGAAAGGGAAGTGTTTCCCTGTGACGTCCACTGACCAGAACATGGCCATTGCTGGCTGGAACGTGGCTAGGAAAACTGAGTACTGATGTTCCTTGAATTAGGATGGGATCACACCCCCAGTAAACCCATCGTGTGTTGGAAATACCATGAGTTGACAATGCATTTAATAGACTTAAACTACCAAACATCATAGCTTAGCCTAGCCTCTCTTAAACATGTTCAGAATACCTACATCATCCTACAATTGGGCAATATCATCTAACACAAAGCCTATATTTTAATAAAATGTTAAATGTCTCATGTAATTTATTGAATATTGTACTGAAAGTGAAAGAACAGAATGATTGTATGGGTACTTGAAGTACGGTTTCCACTGAATATCTTTCACTTTTGCACCATCATAAAATTAAAAAATTGTACATCCAACCATAGTAATTCAGGGACCACCTGTATTTAGCTTTAGCCTCTATGTTAGAGAAAGGTAAGGAAAAATGTGGTTGAAATTGGATAAGTAAGCCATCCTATAGTAGTCAGAGAAACATTCTGGCATTTTTGAAGTACAAGAACTCATTACAGGCTGGCTGTAGTTGTTCACACCTGGAATTTCAGGGCTTTGGGAGGCTGAGATGGAAGAATTGCTTGAGGCCAGGAGTTCAAGACCATCTGGAGCAACATAGTGAGATCCGATCTCTATGAAAAAAAAAATTAGGTGGGCATGGTGGTACATACCTTTATTCCCAGCTACTTGGGGATACTTGGGAGGCTGAGGCAGGAAGATCCCTTGAGCCCAGAAGTTCAAGGCTGCAGTGAGCTATGATTGTGCCACTGCACTACAACCTGGGCAACAGAGCAAGACCCTGTCTCCAAGACAAAAACAAAAACAAAAAACCCAAAACCAAAAACTCATATATACTTCCTCTTTTTAATGAATCAGTGAATTAAACCTAATGATTAATAGATGGCCCCAAAGTAGCTATGCTTGGCAAACAATTGTATCTCAACAGAGTTTTCATAACAATTTTATTAAGAAGCACAATGTTTCATAATGTTTTAGTTCAACTGAGAGCTAGGGAGTGAAGAACATGGTGGGAAAAGGGAAAAAGTAGAATCTCTTCTTTTCCCTGAGCAAATGGAGCAGGCTTGACTTCAGCTCACTGGGCAATAACCCTTGGGCTAAGGGAGAGACAGATAAGCCACTTAGGGTGATTTGGTATGAGCCTCTGATAAAAATCTAAAAGAAGCTCTCCTGAAAGTGTATTCCAATTCAAGTCCTCTCTGGGAATTCTACATGTGCTTATGGTGACATGTGCCATGGAAATAGAGTGGCCAATTTGGTTGCCAAGACATTTGCCGCCCTGCTCTGAAGGTTTCGGCAACAGGTGCCATGCTATCTTCCCTGTCTGCTGGGATCTAAATTGAGTGTTGGGTAAACTTGGTCATATGGCTGGGCCTCACAGCTTCAATTTTGGATTAGGTGGTTAATTCATCACATCCCAGCAATCTAATGGTTAAAATATGAGTTTCCTCTACCCCACATGACCAGATCTGCTCTCTTCCCTCCTTCCCTCTCCCTACCTGCCCAGTGGGCTCAGGATGGAGCAAGAAGGAATTTCTAAGCATCCTTCCTGGGCTCCCAAAGGCTATCCTATCAAGTTAGCCAGACTCCCTTTAGCTGGACTTGTGTTTGCCTTATGGAAATAACTTCTAGGAGATAATGTTGAATAGACCTTTCACAGACAGGAGGAAAGAGAATATTCAGGCAGTATAAACCCCATCATAAGGCTGAGGATAGCAGAACTTCAGGACATGTGACGCTGGGGCCAGGATAGAGATGAAGATGTTAGTTATCTTTAGGATAAGATTGTTTACGGACCATTTTATGAAATCCTGAAAACAGTGGATTATAAAACAAAGGTTCTTTTTTGTATCTGTTTGTTCATTTTTAGAGAGAGAGTCTTGTTCTGTCACCCAAGCTGACGTGCAGTGGCACGATCATAGCTCACTGCAGCCTTGAACTCCTTAGTTCAAAGGATCCTCCCACCTCAGCCTCCCTAGTAGCTGGGACTACAGGCATGTGCCACCATGCCAGTCTAATTTTTTTATTTTTTGTATAGATGGGATCTTGCTATGTTGCCCAAGCTGGTCTCAAACTCCTGGCATAAACCTCCCACCTTGGTCTCCCAAAGCACTGGGATTATAGGCATGAACCACCATGCGTGGCCCAAAGATTCTTTAAATGAAGCAGCCTCTCAGGATTTATTTTAATTGTGTTATGGGTAGCTTCTCTCTGAGGAAAAAAGATGAAAAATAAGAAAAAAAGAAGAAATCAATATCATGCACAAACCATATTTTTTTTGTTTGTTTGTTTGTTTGTCTTTTGAGACAGGGTCTTGCTCTATAACCCAGGCAGGAGTGTAGTTGTGCAATCTTGGCTCACTGTAGCCTCAACCTCCCCAGCTCAAGTGATCTTCTCACCCACCTTCTGAGTAGCTGGGACCACAGGTGCATACCAACACACCCAGCTAATTTTTGTATTTTTAGTAAAGACTGGGTTTTGCCATGTTGCCCAGGCTAGTCTTGAACTCCTAGACTCAAGCAATCTGCCTGCCTCAGCCTCCCAAAGTGCTGGGATTACAGGCATGAGCCACCACACCCAGCCAACCATATGATTTAATCTTCACAATAATCCTATGAAGAGAAATCTACTGAGAAAAGTGGTGCTCAGAGAGGTTATGCACTACCTAGTGTTACACAGCTGCTGTGGGGCAGGTCAGCATCTGTAAAATCCCACATGCCTTTGCACGGGACCGCCTTTCAGAGTCCTTATCTAGCTGACTTGTTAGAGAATCCCTAAACTTAGAAGTTCCCTAACCTATTCAGGAAAGACATCGCTAAGCAACATTTGGAAGGAGAGATGGTGAAGAAGTGCCCTTTGTCCTTCAGACCGAAAGCACCAGGCTGACAGCCCCTTTAGGGGAAAACATTCTTATATGGACCAAAATGGCTGTGGAGTTCAGCTAAAGTCACTTTCCTAGTTCCATCTGGAAGCTCTTCACCAGCATAATTTCATTCCAGCCAAATGTAATTAAGAATTTGATTTGATTAAAAAACAAATCGAAGGAGAGAAATGAGGTTTCTCCTCATTCCCTCCCTTTCTTCACAAATAGGGCACTCATTAACAAGTCACGTGCAGGTGACCAGTTCAAGGGAGCTGCCCTCCCCACTTGGCCACACTTCCTAAAGAACAATGGCTGGAGGGGGGCGAAAGGGGGGCAAGGGGGGGCAATTCCTGCCAGAGGTCAAGAAACTCAGCAAATAAACGCGAAGGATTTTTAAGTTTCTAATTTGGCTTCAAGATACTAGCAAAACACAGCAGCTGCACAACCTCTCCAGGAACAAGATGTCCACTTAATTAAAGCATGGCCAGGCGGTGGGTGTCTCCCAGGGAGTGAGACTCAGCAATACTGGGTACTGATCAAACTAGACCTGCTGCCAAGAGAAACAGTGGTCAGCAGGGATCCTCAGCTCACCTCTTTGGAAAAACGGGGCTCCAAAGCCAATTTTGGAAAAAAAAAAAAAAAAAGAAGAGGAAAAAAGTAGAGTGAGAGGAAAGGATTTGTGATATTGTATTATTGGCCACGACTCAAATAATCTGCCTCTGACCTACTCCATCTTATCTCAGAGGCTCTAATGAGAATTGTGTGGTGAGCTTTTTATAAAGGGCAATTTAAAATGAGAACAGGGAGGTTAGATACTATGTGGGATGCTCCTGTCGGATTTCTGCCCAGACACACCCTCTCGTCAGCTCCCCTGCTCGTGGGAATACTCCTTTATTCATTTCTGAATCTGCCTCTTTCCCCCTCTTTGAAGAAGCCCCTGTAGTATAAGTCTACATGAAAACTAAGCTGAGCAGAAGCTGGGACCACTTTCCAATGCTCCTATGTAATCAAATTAAGACAGCAGTTACTGAAAAGAGGTGGAACTTATAAGAAAAGCTCCAGAATGTAGGACGATTACAGAATGGGACTGAAGCAGGACTCCTACGGCTAAGGTGGTGGTTTAGCTGCTCAGCAATGCCACGATGGACGCAGGCTTTCTATTCTTCCATTACATCATTGCTAGAGCATTGCCTTTTGTCTTCATGTTTGGTGACTCAGATGCAAGACGGTTACTGCAGGTCCAAATGCCATGTGTACGCTCAAGGCAGAGAACAGGGTAAAAGAGATGGTGTTAGTCCTGTCTGTTTCATCTTATCAGGAAAGCAAAAACCTTTCCTGAGATCCCAGAAAACTACTTATATTTTATTGACCAAAAACCACCACATGGTCACCCCTGGCTGCAAAGGAGACTGGGAAAGTGAGTATTTATCTGGAAACCTGGCTGATCTGGTCAAAACTGGAATTCCATTTACAAGAAAGACGGGGGGATGAATATTAAGTAGGGAATAAACAGTGTCTTCTGTAGGAGCTTAGACTACTGCGTAATAGCAAGGTCTAGTAAAGGAAATAAAAACCACTCTAGGTGTATCAAACAGAGAGAATTCAATGCAGGGATTTTGCTGTGGTTGTTGGGCAAAAAGTGTCAGAAGGGCCAAAGGCAGGTGGTCGGGGGAGGGGGGAAGAAAAATGAAGTTACCCAGGCATTAGGAATCACAGGAAGCAGGAAGTCCCTACCAACCTTAGGCTGAAGGGAATATAGAAATAAATTGTTTTATTGTGCTTCACTTTATTACACATTGCAGATGTTGTATTTTTTACAAATTGAAGGTTTGTGGCAATCCTGTCTCCAGCAAGTCGGCAGCATTTTTCCAACGGCATGTTCTCCTTCATGTCTCTGTGTCATATTTTGGCAATTCCCTCAACATTTCAAACTTTTAAATTATCATTATATCTGTTATGGTGACCTGTGATCAGTGATCTTTGATATTACTATTGTATTTGTTTTGGGGTGCCATGAAACCTGCCCATATAAGACGGCAAACTTAATTGTTAAATGTTGTGTGTGTTCTGACTGCTCCTCTGACTGGCTATTCCCCATTTCTCTATTCCCTGAGATACAACAATATGGAAATTAGGCCAATTAATAAGCCTACACTAGTCTCTAAGTGTTCAAGTGAAAGAAAGATTTGTACATCTTTCACTTTAAATCAAAAGCTAGAAATGATTAAGCTTAGTGAAGAAGGCACGCTGAAAGCTGAGACAGGCCAAAAGCTGGGCCTCTTGGGACAAACAGTTTGCCAAGCTGCAAATGCAAAGGAAAAGTTCTTGAAGGAAATTCAAAGTGCTATTCCAATGAACTCATGAATGATAAGAAGGTGAAATAGCGTTATTGTTGATATGGAGAAGGTTTTAGTAGTCTGGTTAGAAGATCAAACTAGCCACAACATTTCCTTAAGCCAAACTCTATTCCAGAGCCAGGCCCTAACACTCTTTAATTCAGAAGGGTGAGACAGGTGAGGAAGCTGCAGAAGAAAAGTTGGAAGCCTAGCAGAAGTTGGTGTATAAGGTTTAAAGAAAAAATCTGTCTTCATAACAGAAGTGCAAGGTGAACAAGCAAGTGCTGATGGAGAAGCTGCAGCAAGTTATCCAGAAGATCTAGCTAAGATCATTGATGACAGTGGCTACATTACAGAGTTTTCAAAGTAGATGAAGCAGCCTTGTATTGGAAGAATATGCCATCTAGGACTTTCATAGCTAAGGAAGAGAAGTCAATGCCTGGCATCAAAGCTTCAAAGAACAGGCTGACTCTTTTGTTATGGACTAACATAGCTGGGGACTTTAAATCAAAGCCAATGCTCATTTACCAAATTTCAAATATCCTGAGGCCTTTAAGAATTACGAGATATCTACGCTGCCTATGCTCTATAAATGGAAGAACAAAGCCTGGATGACAGCACATCTGTTTACAGCATGGTTTACCGAATATTTTAAGCCTGCTATTGAGAACTACTGCACAGAAAAAACATTCATTTCAAAGTATTATTGACAATGTACCTGGTCAGAGACAGTGTACCTCTATCAGAGCTCTGATAGAGATGTTCAAAGTGATAAATCTTGTTTTCATGCCTGCTAACACAACACTCATTCTGTAGCTCATGAATCAAGAAGTAATTTTGACTGTCAAGTCTTATTATTTAAGAAGTAAATTTTGCAAGACTATAGCTGCCATAGGTAGTGATTCCTCTGATGAATCTGGGTAAATCAAAAACCTTCCAGAAAGGATTTACCATTCTCGATACCATTAAGAATATTCATTGTTCATGCGAGGGACTAAAATAACCAACATTAACAGGAGTTTGGAGCATTGATTTGGAGTTGATTCCAACCCTCATGGATGACTTTGTGGGGTTCATGACTTCCATGGAGGAAATAATTGCAGATGTTGTGGAAATAGCAAGAGAATTAGAATTGGAAGTGCAGCCTGAGGGTGTGACTGAATTGCTGCAATCTCATGATCAAGTTTGAATGGATGAGGTGTTGCTTCTTATGGATGGGCAAAGAAAATGATTTCTTGAGATGGAATATACGCCTCATGAAGATGCCATGAACATTGTTAAAATGACAAGATATTTAAAATATTACATAAATTTAGTTGTTTATGTAAGTTGTTTATGTAAGCTGTTTATGGAAGCAGTGGCAGGGTTGGAGAAGACTGACTCCAATTTTGAAAGAAGTTCTGTTGTGGGCAAAATGCTATCAAACAGCTTCACATGCTACAGAGAAATCTTTCATGAAAAAAAAAGAGTCAATTGATGCAACAAACTTCACTGCAGTTTTATTTTCATAAATTGCCACGGCCACTCTAACCTTCAGCAACTACAACCCTGATCACTCAGAGGCCACCCACATTGAGGCAAGACCCTCCACCAGCAAAAAGATTATGACTCACTGATGGCTCAGATGATTGTTAGCATTTTTTAGCAATAAAGTGTTTTTAAGTTAGGGTATATACTTTTATTTAGACATAATGCTACTACCGCACACTTAATAGTCTGCCACGTAGTGTAAACATAACTTTTATAAGCACTGGAAAACAAAAAATTTCATGTGACTTGCTTTATTGTGATATTCATTTTATTGCGGTGGTCTGGAACCAAACCTGCAATATGTGTGAGGTATGCTTGCATAATGTTACACAAAACTCAGGATTACTGAACTCCTGAACTGCTGGGGTATACCTGCTGCTGCTGCTGTTGCTCCTGCTGCTGCCACCTTAGGGAAGCCAGAAGCCTGTGCTCTCATTGACATTGCAGGGACCCTGGGATCCTGTGGCAAGAGACAGAGACCATAAGCACTAAGCTGCCAAAGCTGCTGCCACTACTGTCCAGGAACCCAAGAGTGTCCCCCTGGCCTGCTACTGCTGCTGCCACTGATGATACCAGAAAGAACAAAAAGATGCCTTCTCACTTCATCCCTGTTTCCAGTCTCCTGACAGTGCTGACATTGGCAGAAGCTAACTGGAAGCCAGCTGGTGCGGGAATTGACCAGGGAAATGTTTGCAGCCTTCAGTTGCCACATGGGAGCACAGATAGCCAGAGTGTTCTGGACAAATGATGCCATAGGCATCACCCTCTGCAGGGTATGAGGAGGCAGCGGTTGATGCTGTCTGGTTTGTGAGGCAGCAGGAGTGATACATTGTCTTTTGTCTGCACTGACCAGTTAAGGGACTGGTGACAAGAGTAACCCAACTTCAAATACTAATCTAGTGGGGAATCCAGAAATAATTATTAATTTTACATCCAAAGGACTGGATTCTAGATGAAAAAGATCTTTTCATTTATTTCTACTCTAAATGACCAGAACATTTCAAGTTGAGTGAATTTTTAAAGTGTCTGTCATTAACACTCTCTCATGTTTGATGTCATATTGGGAGTATTGAAAAAGAGGAAGACTCTGTTGAAGGTGGTTCAGGCCAAAGGATCTATGTCAGTGAACAAACTGTGTTGAAGAATTAGTCCCACAATTCTCTTGCAGTGGGTTTATTAAGGTCATCAGAGAAGAAACCATAGTAAGCTAATTATGGCCATATATCCCCTCTACTGTCATTGTGTCCCTCTGTTTGAATGTAGGACTCTGTGGTTCACCATGACAGTAAATCACCATGGTAGGAGACTGGCTGGAGAGCGTTAGCTTCAGGGACAGTTTAGAGCATCCAGTTCTGAGGGTACAAGTGGACAGAGGAGTTTGTATCCCCATATCCAGATATATTTGAGTACTGGGAAACTCAGGGCTTGAAATGTCAGCTGGGAGCAGATGTAGGGATGAGAGTGCAGGCATATAGATCAGGAACCTCAGGTAAGCAACCCCAGGGGCTTCTGGGGGACCTCTTTGCAATCTTGACCTCCTTTAAAACTGCATCTGGCAGGAGAATCACTTGAACCTGGGAGGTGGAGGTTGTGGTGAGCCAAGATCGTTCCATTGCATTCCAGCCTGGATAAAAAGAGCAAAACTCCATCTCAAAAAAAAAAACAAAACAAAACAAACAAACAAACAAAAAACAGCACTCCTGGAAAATCTGAATGCTTGGGCACAGAGAAAATTGCCATGGGGTGAAACAAGTGCCCACAGCTGCCCTTTGGGACAGGATGGGAAGGGAAGTGCAGGAACTCGTGATATTAATGATGACCCTTCACATTTGTGGAGCACTTTATGGTTTACAAGGTGCTTTTCTATAATCTTAATGATGAATTTCACATGGGAGTCACTTGATTTACAGGTGAGGTGTTCCAGTGATTTTATTGCAAACTTCCCCCAATTTAATGCACATGCGCATGCCTGGCATGTGCTGTGGGGCTGCTCAGCAGGGCTGGTAGCTGACCGTTGGCTGGAAGTTCAACGGGGCTGATGGCCCAGAATGTCTGCAGGTGGCCTCCCCATGTGGCTTGGGCTTCTCAGCACATGGCAACTGGGTCCTGAGAGGGGGCATGAGAGAGTGAGTTTCAAGAGACAGGGGTGGAAGTTTGAGATGACGTATGATCTATCCATGGCTGATAGTGAGTGTCATCTCCTTGGCATTCTGTCAGTCAAGCAAGTCACAAAGCCTGGCTGAGATTTTAGTGGAAGAAATAAACTGCAAGAAGAGTAGTGAATTGGGGGCCATCTTTAACACAGTAGGTATTATGAGCCCTATTTGACATATTTTATACCAAATTAACTTGCTTGAAGCAATCTAGTGAGCAAGTGCCAGAACTGAATTGAATTGGAACATAGGTTTGCTGACTCAAAACACAGTATTCTTATACCAGGTCCCTCTTATCTTAGCCAGGTCCCTCTCCTGGCTATCTTGTTTGGCTGTAATTATCTCCCATGGCCCTACTCAAGACAAACAGCATACTTAATCCATACCAGAAGGTCTGCCATTCTAGGTCTCAAATGAAAAAAGAGGGGCAGCCCCTCCTCAGACCCTGAGAGGCTTTGACCCCAATTGCCCCTTTAAGTAGCACCCGTTCTATCTCCATGCCTTCTGGGATACTCCATTGCCAGCCACAGTCCCACATGCTTGAGACAGTAGAGTGAGGGACAGAACAGAAGAAAATGGTGAAGGATGCTGGGAAACTCCTTCTTGCTGGGAACCTTGTCCTTGGAAGGGGTTGGGGTGTAGAGGATGGGCATCTACAGGGTGTTGCTGAAAAACTGTCAGGGGGCACTTCATGTTGGTGCCGTGGTCAATGGCCAGAAGTCCCCTCTTATCAATGGCCAGATGCCAACTCATTGATGATACAGGACAGGGGCTGCCATCTTGAATCTCTTGGGCAATGCTTGGCTGAGCCTTCCCCTGATGCCTTTAGGATTGCATTCATCCACTGAGTGCAGGCTTTGGGGCCCATGAGTGGCCCAGGGGTGAGGCAGAGGTGGCCTCTGGCTGCTTGGTTCTGCCTTCTCCACTGTTGTCTCATCACTCCCATGTTGCTCCTTTCTTCTTCCTCTGAGCCCCTTGAGTGGTCTCCCTCCCGCTTTGTCCCATCACTCTAAAGTTAAGATTTGAGGAATGGCTGAATGAGTCAGTGTTCTCCAGAGAAACAACCAACAGGATGTACACACAGAAAAAGATTTATTCTAAGGAATTGGCTCAAATGATTATTAATGGCAAGCCCCAATATCTGTAGGGTAAGTTAGCAGGCTAGAGACCTGGGAGAGCTGATGGTGTAGTTCCAAACCAAGTTGGAGGCCCTGAAAACCAGGAGAGCCAATGTTTCCATTTCAGTCTGAAGGCAGGAACAATTCTCCCTTACTCAGAGGAGAGTCAGCCTTTTTGTTCTATTCAGGCACTCAACTGATTGGTGGAGTGCCCCCCAATTCCCCACGTTGGGGAGGACACTCTGCTTTACTCAGTCTGCAGATTCAAATGTTAGTCTTATGCAGAAGCACCCTCATAGACACACCTAGAACTGTGCTTGGCCAAATGTCTGGACACACTGTGGCCCAGTCAAGTTGACACATAAAGTTCAGTATCACAATAGTCACCATGTGCATCTTTGCTGGAAGTGGAGCCTGGGGTGGAGAAATGTTCCTATAAAGCACAAGGAGAAAACCAAGGCCCCTGGGCTGGCAGGTGAACCATCAGCACTGGTTGCTGTAAAATTACAAGGGACTCTCCAAATCTTTCCCCCAGTGATTCTATTTTGCCTTCAGCACAAAATCACGTCTTTGCCTCCCAAAACGTCTCATTGCCTCTTCTGTGTTCAGCTTGTCTCTGACCACTTTTACTGCCCTGCTCCACCATCCTTCTATACCCACCTACTCTCAGCTCCTGACTGTGCTGGGTGTATTCACACCTCCAGGCCTTTGAATGTGCTGTTCTCTCTGCCTGGAACACCCTTACCTACCTTCTCCACCTGGCAACCTGTATTTGTCTTTCAAGATTTAGCTTAAGTATTATTAAATGAGTTAATAATTATAATGCATCCAGAACCTGGCACAGGCACTGTTTAAATGTTTGAAACTATGAGTATTGGTATTCAGATTTATATCACCTTATTCATTCATTCAGTTAACAAATATGTGTCAGGTGCTATACTAGGTGCTGAGATACAGGAGTCAAGGTGTACATGGTTCTATGGAGCATGTATTTCAAGAGAGGAGACAGACAAAAATCCAAGTAAAGAGACAAATACATAAAATACATTAAAACTGTGGCAATATGAAGAAAGAAACCAACAAGCAATATATACAGAAAATAATGAAAGTGGCTCTCCTTTGATAGGTCGTTGAGGATGATCTGATTAACACATTTGGGCCAAGACATGACAGATGAGAAGGAAAAAGTCACACCCATAAGGATCGGGGGACAGTTATCTAGAGAGAGAAATGGCAGGGCAGAGGCCCTGAGTGTAGCCTGGGTGTTTGAAGAACTGATGAAAGGCATAAGGAACCAGAACAGAACATGCGGGTGAAAGGACAAGGACAAGGTTGGAGAAAGCTGGGTCTGCCTTCTCTAACTTCCCAGGTGTGCCTTTACCACTGACTTCACAGGGGCTGTCAGCCTGGCTTTGCACTGGCCTGGAGACTCCCTGAGGGCACAGACTGTCTGTCTCAGAACTGAGAGCAGGCTTGGCAACTAGAAGACACTCAGTCAATTTTGCTAAAGGACTTAACACAGTCTTTGACTTTTAGCTATGCCAGGTGTGCTCCCCAAGGAAACTGAGCCCTGGAGGATGGAGACTCTGTCTACACGCCTCTTCATCTCTGCATCTCTGGCTCCCAGCCTGAGCCGCGACATAGTAGATACTCATTAACACCTGCTGTTCGCATGAGTAAATTTTACTTTATTTGGCTCCTTCATGGCTTCCAGAGCAGAGCTGGGCAGAGTTGATGACCAACAAGTACTTTCTATATGATGAATGGTCCACAGTGAGTTGGGCTTAAGCTTTACTTCTGGAGGAGAATGTGACAGAACGGAACAGGAGAGAAGGCCAAGGGCATGAAGGATGGCAAGGTTTCCCATGAAGGTAGATGGCAGCTTCATATTTATGAAAAGTTATGCACTGAGCTGTCACCCCAACTATGCAGATAACATTTATGCTTCTGTTTTCAGGACTCGTCTGTTATGCTTTTCAATGATTAGCCATTCTTATACTTGGGCTAGCTCTGCCCCCTCCCTCTCCCCATTTTATTCATGTATGTGTGTATCTGATTCTAAGTGAATGGAGCGTAAGTTTCCCTTTGAGGATTTTTTTTTCTTTTGGAATTATGTAGTTTTATAAGTATATTGTCTTTACTTCTGCATTAAACTAGTTTACTAAACTGTTTCTGGAAAACAAAACCACAACTTTGGTTTGTTTCACAGTTCATTTAAACAACAGCATTTGTTGCTCCCATTTAAGCAAAAAGGGAATATTTAGTCTCTTTTTTAGGCTGGCAGCTCAGCAAATTACAGAAGGATGGTTTGCTGTGGTTTTGGGTTTCTCTTTAAGTTCCTGATTGAGGCACAGATGTTGGAAAATGGTGGGGAGGGGGGTCCCTAAATATGGGGGGAGTGGTAGGAGGTTTCTGAATGGCAGGAAGCAGGCTGCTTGGCTTGAAGGACAGCAGAGGAGGAGACCTAAAGGGAATCAACAGAAGCAGCAAAATTCTGTGGCCCTTCATGGCAACACAAAAGCTTCAGGGTCAAGAGGCAGAGAAAGCATTTTTAAAAATATGATCTGTGAGTATAATGACTGTAAGTTAGCTGTTTGAAACTTGAGATGGTTTAGGGCTATATTGTTATTTATTTATTTCTCCATATTTTTCCAGGAAGAATTTTGAAATATTTAGCTGCTCATCACCTGCTGAGGAACTTTAAAGAATCGATGTGTGGTCTAACTCCAAGGTCCTGATGCCCTTGGTCTGTGGTGTCATTTGGACATCAGGATTTTTAAAAGCTCCTCAGATGATTTTGAAGTGCAGGCAATTTCAAGGTCACTGATTTAAGTGACATATAAAACCAGATACAATGCAAAAAAGGCAAAATAGAATCAGTAATAAATGGATGAAGAAATTAAGACAGTGGAGAAATGCAGGTAGAAAAGAGAAGTGGAAGCCAGCGGTGAGGTGATAATATCGAGTTTTAGGTCCATATGATGAATGAGAAGAAGGTTCTCAGGAGAAGTCTCACAGTCTCTGGTCCTGAGACCATAGAGAAAGTTATCTGGTTATTCACCATAAAAAGTGAATTGTGTACAGTTTAGCAAAGATCTTTAAGGATAGAAGTCTACCACCTTCAGTTCTGACAGCATGAAGCTCTCCCAGGTGCATAATGGACTTTGAGTTTTTAAATCAATTGGGTACACAAAAGAAGGTGCTTTGACATATGCTGGCCATGCTGTGAAAATCTCAGGGGAAAGTAGGGCTTTAGATACTGACCCGGATTTGAGCAGCTAACAACCTTCTTTACCAAACTTGCAGCTTGGGATAATCATGTTCCAAGATTTAAAGATGGAATATAGTGTGTTAGTGAGGAATTTGACTTCCTGTGTACCACTTACCTATTATGTGATCCTGGCCATGATAGTTAACATTTCTGAGTCTCAGTTATTTAATTTCTAAAGTGGATATAATCATGGTAACTATGATAATAACATTATTTTGATGTTTAAGGGAGATAAACCATGTAAATAATATGGAATAATCTCAGCATGTAGAAAATGTCCAGAAATGCTACCTATTATGAATACTGTCATCTTCCCTCACTGATCTGGCTAAACTCAGGTTTTCTCATACAGGATTTTCTCAAAGCAAAGAGTAATTAAAATGTTATTTAAATTTCATACAATCCTAACTGGACTCCCCTGGTTTATTCAGGTGGCCTGGGGTGAAACCTGGACATTGGTTTGTTAAAAAACAAAAAAACTAAAAACAAAACTCTCCAGATGATTCTGAAGTGCAGCGCAGGCTGAGAAGCAGTCTTGGCATCTGATTTTATTTTAGCTGCTCTCCTAATAGCTTCCAGCTGCCCCTTCAGCAATCTAGTCTTCAGGCTTATCTGAGACCCACTTCACAACTGCTCAGATTCTAGACAACTGCCTTTTGCTTTCACAGTTTTTGTTTTTCTTGTCCAAGGTAAACATGGATTATTACTTTTATTTAATTGTTTTTTTAATTATCATTTTTTTCTAATTATAAGAATCCATGTTAACTTTGGTTCCCTACCCAGAGATAAATACTGCAACGAGTATGTTACATTTTCATCTAATCTTTGGTTTGCACCAATGTTGTAAAAATGCAAGTTTTAAAATTGCAGAATTGATTTTGAAATCTGCTTTTTTTGCTTAACTTTTTATCAGAAGCAAAGTCTCATATGCTAAGGATTTTTGAAAGCATAATGATTTTTTCTTGTTCATGATTCTGACGTCTCTCATTGTATTTTACCATTTCTTTATTATCAGTTGTATTAGCTCCCTAGGGCTGCTGTAACAAAGCACCACAGACTGGGTAGCTTAAAGCCACAGAAATTTATTCCCACTGTCCTGGAGGCTGGAAGTCCAAAATCAAGGTGTAGGCAGGCTTGGTTCCTTCCAGAAGCTCTGAGGGAGAATCTGTTCCATGCTGCTCTCTTAGCTTCTGACAGTGCCTGACAATCTTTGGTTCCTTGACTTGTAGAAACATCACTGTAATATCTGTTTCTGTCTTCCTATGGTGTTCTCTCTGTTTCCTGCTGTGTTTCTATGTCCAAATTTCCTTCTTCTTATAAGGACACCAGTCACTGGATTAGGATTCACTTTAATATAGTATGACCTCATCTTAACTTGATGACATCTGTAAAGACTGTTTCTAAAGAAGGCCACATTCACAGGTTCTAGGGGTTAGGACTTGAACATATTGTTTCAGGGGACATAATTTAATCCAAGGGCATCAGCCAACTATTATGTCCACCCATCTTTTTAAGGAACCAGAAAAGTTTTAAAGCTTCTTGTTATTTCTATGTGTCAGCTCTCTATAATCTCCCATCCAGCTGCGAGTTCAGACAGGTGCTGAAAAAGCCAGGCCAAGGACAAAAATGGAGGGGAGGTCAATTTCTGTCCTCTCCAGACACCCACCTTCCTTGGGCAAGCAGGGAGAGGCAAGCTCTGTGGGGGTGGCCCTAGGGAAGTGCAGGAGGGGACAGATAAGGAAGGGATGAAAGCCACAGGTGGTGGCGGGAGCAGGGCTGAGGGCTTCCTGCAGCTGCTCAGCCACCTGGCTAGACAGTTGTTCTCCCTATCGGGGAGCTATGTAAGGCAAGGACTGCTTGACTTATCACAGCCTTGCTTAGGATGCCAAAATGCCTGGTCAAACCTGTCAATTCACTTCAGCAACTGTTCTCAGGGCTGGGGAGAGTGGGATTGGAGGTGTAGAATCACCAAACTGGTTGTTTATAGTGACTGCCTTCTTTAGACAAGAATTGACCCAAGTGTACCAAATGTTACTGATTCAGCTGGGATGGTTTAGTGCAGGGGTCACTTACAACAGCCTGCAGCCCAAATCTGGTCTGCTGCCTGCTTTGTACAGGGAGCTAAGAAAGATTTTTTTACACATGAACATTTGCAATTATTTGGTCATAGGGAACACTAACTTTGAACCCCAAATAAGCAAAATGTTATCCCCACAAATGAATTTCATGTTTCTCATTATTAGACCTGTATTATAAAAAAATCATACTCAATGATTATTATCATATTTTGAATTTCATCAATAAAATTTTGTGAGAATTGGTTTTCTATCTTGTCAGGTAAGTACCTAAATTATAGCTTCAATTTTACTTCTTGGCTTGCAAGTCTACAATTTAATCCCTGGTCTAGTCAGGTAGCCTCAAACACCAACAACACACACCAGAGAACGCTGAAAGGCTCTTAGAAACACAGATTGCTGGGCCCCAGCCCTGGGGTTTCTGATTCAGTAAGTCTGGGGTGGGACCCAGGAATGTCCATTTCTAGCAAGTTTCTAGATGCTGTGGATGCTGCTGGTTGGGAGCCACATTTTGAGAACCTCTGGTTTAGTCAATCGATCAGTTAACAAACATTGCTCTAAGAAGCAACATCTCGTAGTGTTCACAAGACTAGATGCGAGAATCAGAACGGCATCATTTCTCGATTCTGCCACTAACTAACTCTGTGATCTTGGGCATGTTATTTATGTTTCCTGAGCCTTCTCGTTTCCTCGTTTGTAAAATGGGGATAATGCAAGTTGCCTACCTCACAAGGGTTGTAAAGATTTAAATGAAATCAAGCTTGTAAAGCTGTTCACACACATTGGCTAGTTTTCAAACCCCTGCCCTCAGACAAACTTACAATTTGGGGCTGTGGAAATGAGACTAACTTTAGTGAACAGTACCGAGTGCTGAGGGCTGTGAACAGGAAGCTCAGAGGAACAGTCCTGCAGAGCTTCCTGTAGGAAGTGAGGGATGAGCTGAGCATATGAGAGGGATGGGAAAGCAAGTGGGACAATTTGTGAGACTTGGAGATGGAAATGAGATTGGCATGCTTTTTGGACAGAGGATTTCAGACTGCCCGGTGGGTAGGAAGAGCTGCCAAGTGGTATGGGAGGCAGAGGAATAGTTGTGCCAGCTTCTGGAGGTCCAGTGAGAGTTTCACGGTGCAGATGCAGTGTGTGTGGGCAAGACTTTGGAGTCCTAAAAACTGCTCTTGGGATTTCATTAAAACTTGGGAGGTTGGGGAAGCTGAAATGCCCTATTTCTCAAACCCCAGCTCCACTTCTTGGGGCTGCTCAGTGGGCGGGCCTCATCCCCATGTCTCCATTCTGTTTACCCCACATGCATTCCTGTTGTTTGGTTAGAGCTGCTGCCTGGCAGAGAAGCTTGGGAAGCTTTGCTCTGTCTTCTAAGAAACAGGAAGTCATTATTTGCCCAAAGCAAACAAACTCACAAACTGCAGGGTTCATGTTCAGTCCAAAGCTGGAGTCCCAGGAGGTGAGCGTGTGGGCCAAGGATGTGGGGATCTGAGCAAAGAATCCTTTCCCTTCCCCTCCTCCCCTGGCCAAATCAACAACTGCCATCTTTTCATAGTAGTGATTTGCAGGAAACCTGAGCTAAGTAATCCACACACAATGTATAGATGCTGAGCTGCACTTTCTTCCCCAGACAGCATCCATTCCCAAGTGAGGCTTTTCTTCCCATGACATCAGCAAAACCATTTCCATTATTCCTGGAATTGGAGGATAATTAACCTTCCACATGCCCTGTTTCTTTCATCTAGGAAAAGAGAAGAAGGGAATGAGCATGTATTGGAAACCCACTGTGTGCCCTGCCCTGTGCTTGGCACCAACCTTGCCTAGGCTACTTCACTGAAATCTTGCAACAACCCTGTCAAATAGACACTATTGTTTGCAATCTACAGATGAGAAAAAACCAAGGCTCTGAAAGAATGGGTCACTTTCTCAATGTCACTGAGTAGAGCTGCCATTTGAATTCATGTCTGGCCAATTCTGCATGCAGTCAATGCCATGTGGTTCCCTGTTACTTTTAGAGTTCCTGCTAATGCCTTCTCTCCCCCCTAGACCTCCTTGAAAAAGTGTTGTTTTTAAAAAGTCCCATTTCTTAAAAAATGGGACTTAACAGCTTTTCAGCGGCATTTGTACTTCATGAGGCTGATGAAATAGACCCTGTCTTACTTAGGTGGGGCTTGCAGGAGAAAATTTTGAGAGAATGGTGGCCCTTGAAGAACATGTCATATGAAAAGGATGCTTAAAAGGACAAAGTCTACCAGATTCACTATTTACCTTATTCAGGCAGAGCAGAGGGAGGCAGTGGGTAGAGGGGAACTGTGGGAGCACATCCCCAATCTCCTGGTGGTGTGGAGAAGGCCTGTACCTAACCTGGGCTTGTATAAACCACGTATTCAAAGCACGACTTTTTAAAATATATAGAGCATGGCGGCCTCTGGAGCTAGAATGCTTGGGTTCAAATCTTGGCTTTGCAATTCACTCGCTGTGTGCCTTTTCAGCACCTCAGTTTCTTCATCTGTAAAATGGGGAAGAAATAGTTCCTACTTCACAGGGGTGTAAAATGCTTATAAAAAGGGCCTGGAACATGTGACCATGGGACTCAGGAGCTGCTGGAATGCAGGAAGAGGGTAGCCTCCCCTCCCAGCCTGGGAGTGAGGGGCCCCTGCCCAAACCTGAAGCTCTACTGGCTCCCTGCCCTGGACCCATCCCAAGACCCACACAGATCAACTGGGTGTGATCTCAGTAAGGCCAAATCTTTCTTCTTGACAGATCTTTGGCCTATTGTAGCAAAACCTCTCAGGCCAAACCCTTGAAATATTTAAGTATGTTTGTTCTAAACAATTAATTATTAATGAGTCGTAGTCTTCAACATTATATCAGTTTCTCCATTCAGGCTTTAAGATGAAAAGCAGGAACTGCAACCAAGATTGGAAAATGAAAAAGAGACAAAAAGATCTCTTTTGTGCTCATCTTCTCCAACTTTATAGCAACCCCCTCCCCACCTGGCTTCTCATGTTCTCTGTGGTTTGCCCTGCCTGGCTTAGGTCTTCTGCCACAGGGAGGGCCCAGCTGATGGGTGGAGTGTTATGAACTTGGAGCTGTGGTTGGCATGAGTACCTGAGAGACTGAGGAGGGACTCTTTGAGATATTACTTCTTTACCTCTACCTGAAGAATTCTTCAATTAACAAGACAATACTTATAATTATATAACAAGCTGAGTCTTCATAATGCTCATTACTGGTCAGTAACTATAATAATAATAATAATAATAATAATATCAATGATGATTGCAATTTTTTATGCTTACTACATCCCAGGCATGCTGCTAAGCATGTAAGTATGATGTTATCAGTGAGGTCTTTCTATTGCAAGTGATGGAGAACCCAGACACAGCAGATGCTGCTGGTGCCCACCATACCCTCTTGGGCCCATCATTTCTGTGTCTACCAACTCAACTTCCAGCTGCCAGCTCCTGCAACTCTTTGAGGGCCTTTTCTGGAAGCAGAAGCCCATTGCCTATGTGCGGGTCTGGCCAGAGTGGTAGGGAGGTAATGCCCTTCACCCTACCCTAGAGCAGCCCTCAACAAATGACAGATGGAACCTGGTGGGTCAAGACCGCTTCCCTTGGCCTCAGGTGGGACAACTCCAGGGTGGTGTGATTTGCAGTTTCCCAGAGCTCCTCCCCAGAATTATGTTCCAGCTTCTCCCAGTGGCACTGATGGAATAAGGGAAAATGCACTGGCTTCCTTCCCTCCCCTGGCTCACGCCCCGCTCTTCCTCCTCCTGTGTTTCCTGGGGTCATCTCCCAAATAAACTACTTGTAGTTGAGTTTTTGCCTTAGGGTCGGCTTCTGGGGAAAATAAACAAAAACTCCCGAATTAAACTGTCTTAAGGTTAAAAAAGGAATGTATTAGCTCACGTAATAAAAAGTGTAGCTTCAGGATTGGCTCAATTCAGGGTTCAAATGCTGTTCACTCCCCTACCCCCACATCCACCCCCATTCTCCTCTTCTGGTTTTGTACCTTCCAGTTTTCTAGAAGCTCTCCAGGCAGCTTCAGGGCCACATTATCACAATGGCCAAACCGGGGGCAGAGCAAGGCCAACTCCTTGATATAAAATCCTGGAGAGACTTGAGTCCTATTGGTCTGGACTGGCCAGACATGAGCCATGGGCCACTCTTAAAGCAGTCCTGGTGGCCAGGCAGGTGGTGTGTGGAGGTTGCCCATCCTGAGCCAGGTGTTCTGCCCCTGGGAGGTCTGAGGCTGAGGGCTGGGGAGGGGTGGTTCCTCAGGGAAGAAAGGGAGAGTAGTTACTCTGGAGGGACCTGGCTGGCAAAAACAGCAGGTAGCCACCCATATTCATGCACTGTGCATTTCTTCACCTGTAAGTTGGCTTTCTGTCCACTCACAGGTGAGTCTACCGAGGCTTGGGACAGTTATTTGTCCAAGGCCATTCAACTGAAAAGGGGCAGAGGAGTGACCTGGGCCCCCTGATGCAGCTGTTCCCAACACTCTTTCTCTGGTACCTATATTGACTTAAATGCATTTTAACTTAAAACTCATGAACATGCATTTATTTCCCATCCTTTTGCTTTAGGACCAAACCTCGTTTTTCAGTGTGGACTCTACTTATTCCAGATTCCCCCATCCTTCTGGTATAAAACATTCTTGAAATACCTTGTCTATGATTTCTAACGTCAGTGTCTTTAGATGGAGAACTTAAAATGCTTGGTAAACAATCTGAGTCTGGAATTCTTTTAGATGTTCACATGCCTCTCCTCAATCTTTTACATTTGTCTCCCTCCATTGCTATCTAATTTGACAGTAATCTTTTTTGGAAACTTGCCTTCATTGAGCTTTTCCAAAGCAATCAACTTAATTTTCATGGAAACAAAAAGTTCTCTCTCTCTCTCTTTTTTTTTTGTGTGTGTGCTTTACCAGTTTACAGGATAGTTAATTAAATTACTTGATCACAGTGACACACACAGCTGGCATTGGTAGGTTTGGGAACACACATAGCCGACTCTTGGTTGGCATGCAGCTCAGCTGGCAGAAGACTGCCCAGGCTTCCCAGAGGGATGAACTGCAGCTGAGAGGCTCCGCCTGCTGTGGCAGCAGAGGACAGACTGGATGGAGAGGAAAGGGCTTGTTAGCCAACTGGGCCAGTTGCTTGGGGGAAGCTGTCTGGGAGCATTTTTCCTGGGATATGAAAGGTGCTTCGAAGTGGTGACTGCTAGGAGCCACCACGGGTGTTAGCTATAGAACATTCCTTCTGTGCAAGCATTCCTGCCTAGTGCTCTGAGAATGTGCGGGAAGAGAGAGCACCACATGCCTTGATTATTCCTAAGGCTGCAGAAATGACTTGTCTCTCATTTGATTGAGAGCTTCAATGTCAAGCAAGAACTAAGGTTGGGAAGGTTCTGTGACCTTGTGACTTTTCCGGTGGTCTCAGAGTGTGTATGCACTTGATGCTCTTTTATGTGTATTGGTGAATAAGGGAAATTTATTTAAGGTCATTACTGCCTATGTATGCTTTTGTGTAAATTAGAAAAAGCTATTCTCTTTGGATAGATGAGTTAGAAAAAGGTGCTCTCTCTGGACACATAAGCCCTCTTTTCCAGGCCAACACAGCTTCTTGGCAGAGCACGCAGCTTGGCTGGTGGAGCATGAACTCAATTGCCACCTTCCTCATCTCCTCATCCAGGTGCCTTTAGGCAGTGCACAAGCTGTACAAAGGCCGGCCTTTGCAATGTTTTAATCTCTTATTAGTCCCTGGAGTTCTAGGCTGAGGGACAGGGTGCAGTAGTGCAAGTGTGGAGGATGCATCTCTACCAGCAGCAGCAGCTGCAGCTGCAGTCCTGGAAATTTGCTAGAAATGTAAATTCATGGGTGCTGCCCCAGAACTGCTGAATCAGAATCCCTGGGGATGGGGACCAGGCATCTGTGTTTTAGGGTTCCCCCTAGGTGAGTCCCATGCTTGCCAAGGTTGAGAAACACCGCAGTCCCTGAGCCTGACTAAAACTGCGAGCACAGTGGAGCCTTCCCAGTTGGTGGGTTTGGGTCCATCTCAGCCTCGTTCCCCTGGCCCCTGGGAGCTCCCACTTGTGCTGGACATGACTTGTGAATATCACCACTGGGCTTGCCTCAACAAGCACAGCCCCTGCATTTCTCATGACATTTTTACTTCGTGGGAATGAGGAAAACTATTCACTTCCTGGAGCAGAGGAGTCTGACTAACCCTAGGCAGAGCAGGGCCTCACGATCTAGAGGGTTGAGTGACCCTCAGAGTTGGGTGGAGAGGACACAGGAGTCTGAGTGAGAGTGTTTAGGAATGTGGGTAAGCAAATTCTCACACCATGGGCTAGTGCATCCTGCTGCTGGTGTCCTTGAACCAAAGCGAAGGCTTAGGGGATGCTCAGTCCTTGCTTCCCCAAAGAGAACAGCTTCTTTATTCTCTGGGACCAGACTGATGTCCTTGTGAGCCCAAGACCATCTCTCCCACTCCATCCCATTCCTCCAAGCAGCACAGATATAACGTGTTTTGTCAATGCTCTCTCTGTCCTGCTCATTTTAAACTGTCTTCGTCTTGTAGACATTTTATTTCTTTCAAGTCTGAGCCTCTCTGGAGGCTGCTTCGTCTTTCTGCTTCCTTCTTTCTAAAATGGCGTGGAGGTGGGGAATGGAATTGTGGCCATTCATCAGCTCAGCGTCTTGAGGATGATGATGAGGATTATGCAGGCAGAATAATGCCTCCCAGAGGCAGAGAGACCATGGGTGGAGTTTAGACCACCAGAAATCTGTGTTAAAAACTCAGTGAGGTCTAGTGCACACTTTAGTATTTAAAGCAATAGGAATTAGAGGCACAAAAAGCAAAGCAAAACAAAACAAAACTCTTTAAATTTGAAAAGAGGAAGAATTGGGCCAGCTTTGTTCTCCTTTCAAGCTCCTGTGAAAAGAACTTTGAAAGGAGTTGATTACATTGCAGAAATTGAGAGAATTTCCCTACCCTCCCAAAGTGCTGGACTCAGCCCACATACCCCCAGAAGGTGCTGAGACCCCAGGGCCCACCAGGGAGCACTGAATCCTGTGCTGGACAGAGTGTTTTGTTATTAGAGAGCCGTGGATTCAACAAGGACCACCATTTACATACTTACTGTGCGACCTTGATTGAGTTTCTGAACTTCTCTGAGCCTATCAGTCAAATTTGACAAGTTACTACATGGTAATATCAAGTAGGTACACGGTACAGAGGCAGTGTAAGAATTAAGAGGATGGATCGAGGTACTGGCACAAAGTAGGCATTCAAATGTTAGCTCCTTTCCTCCACTAATCACTTGTCTACACAACATTCCTTATGTTATGTTATGTCATGTTATGTTACTCTGTGGGGAGGTCTAGTGAATGATGGTTAAGAGTTGGTGCTCGCAGTGAATAAGGCTGGAATTCCGGCTCCCCGCTTTTCCAGCAGTGTGAACGGGGGGTGAGTTGCTTAGTTTCTGTAACCCTCAGTATCTTCCTTTGTAAGAGTAGAGGTCACCTTAGCACTTATCCTTTTTTTTTTTTTTTTTTTTTTTTTTTTGAGACAGAGTCTCGTTCTTTAGCCCAGGCCGGAGTGCAGTGGCATGATTTCTGCTCACTGCAAGCTCTGCCTCCTGGGTTCACGCCATTCTCCTGCCTCAGCCTCCCGAGTAGCTGGGACTACAGGCGCCCGCCTACTTTTTTGTAATTTTAGTAGAGACGGGGTTTCACCGTGTTAGCCAGGATGGTCTCGAGCTCCTGACCTCTTGATCCTCCCGCCTCGGCCTCCCAAAGGGCTGGGATTACAGAGCACTTATCTTCAACAATTGTTGAGAGGATAAGATAATGTGTACAGAACTGTGCTTAGAACAGTGACTGGCACATAGTTATATATGAAAGCTACTAAGATAATGATTGTATGTAAGCATGGAATGCTTCAGTTGTCATGCATGCAGAGGCTGTTCCAGGTCCTTTGTTAGGTGCCAAGGACACAAAGAACCAAGGAGCCACAGTTTGGGGCTGTGAGGATCATCCAGTCTAGTTGTGGAGACAGAAAGTTAGGCAAATGTTTCTTTCATCTTGCAACAGGTGAATGATGACAGCTGCAGGCCAGGCCAGAGCACACAGGAGAGTGTGCAGCGGTGGGAGGCAGGGAGGCAATGGAGGGACCGGGTGGGAATGACGGTCCAAGCAAGGCCGGTGCAGAGGCGCAGCCTGGGAGGCTGGAGTGAGCAAAGCAAGTCGCAGGCATTGGTGGCTGGGAACACAGTTGGAGACCCTGGAGCCCATCCAGAGCTGAGGCAGAAGAGGCAAGGGTGAAGGTGAACTGGATTATCAACTTCAACCAGCAACCACTTTTGTCTATATCCTGAGCCCCTACAGCAGTGCCTGGCACTTGGAAAACAATAAATAATTGGTTGACTAAAGGAAAGTGAAAGAAGAGGTTACAATGGACGCAAGAAGAGATAATGACCCCAGTAACACCTCTGAGGGAGCCAGAGAGGGGAGGCCCTGAGCGATGGGTGGAGGTGGTGCCCAGCCTCCCCTCTGACAGGAGGCGGGAGATGAGGGTATGTGGGAAACACACTTGTGGGGCAGTGGTGAGGGTGGGGGAGGAGGAGCTGATGAGGGCCTGCCTCAGGCCTTGGCGAGCTGGGAGGTGGAGCCACCGCCCTGCTGGGGATGAAGGATAGCGATGGAGGAGAGCGCCCTGGGGGAACGCCTCCATTTTGAGTTGGCGGTGACGAGGAATGGGAAGAGAGCTCCCAGGGACTGGAGGCATGACTGAAGGGCCAGAACAGGTGGACGGTGGAGTTGGGAAGGGCACCATGGGCGCCACGGTGGCACTTTTCTCTCGCATACCTCACCTGCCTGGTGTGGGCGCAGGGAAGGGGACTGGGGGTCCATCAGAGCTTACTGTGGCACCGGGCCAGCGTGAAGGAGCAAAGCAACAGGCCACGGGGCCTCTACTGGGGAGAGAAAAGCAGAGAGAAAGGACCCAGCCACTTCCGAGAGGAAGGAGGTCAGGAGGCTAGGAGGCTGAGGCCAGAAGAGCAATAGTGGGGGTTCTATTTCCTCTCACAGATGGAGGTTTCTTGCCTTTGCTGGAATTCTTCCCCTACCACCATCTCTGTATGTACAATTTTCTCATCCTTCAAGGCTTCACTCAAATGTCATTTGAACTTCTCAGAGGTAAAATTGCTCCCTCTGTTGAACTCCTATCTTCCTTGGGGCTGTAATTATTTGCCCATGTCATTCTCATCTTTCTCATGTACGCTCCTGAGGACCACCTCAGGTTTCAACTCCACTGCCCCCACGGACGCTGCTGAACTGCTTCTTGTGCAGGGCAGGTAAACATTTGTGACATGAAACCATCACTTCTAACAGAATCAATTCTATGTCTGATTGATGTTCCCTTAGAATTAAAAAAATAATTCTATCTGTGGATTCTCGTTCTGTAGAAAGGCAATGTTGCATGAGAGAAAGCATATACATTTTGAATCAGGGAAACGTGGCTTTCCTTATTGGGATAATGCATTGATGTCCTAGTGACCAGAAATGGTATGTAAATTAGCAAGGCATGCACTTGCGCATATCATAACAGATCACAAAAAGACACCCCTTGCTTTGGGATGCTACAGACGCCACAAAGACAAAGAATTTGCATGTGGATTTCAGTCCTCACGTGCCTTGCAGCCAGACACCTTTTTGCAGAGCACATCTGTAAATTGTGGCCTCCGTAAAATACCTGGCATACAGTAGGTATTAAATAAAAGTAGCAATTATATTTATAGTTATTATTAGTACATCATTATTATTATTATATACAGCACCCACCTGGCATTGCATGCAGACAGATCCTTGGATTAACATTCCTCTGCAGTTGAAGTTTTTCTATTTTAAAGATTTAAATCATAGGCACATAGTAGCACAGTCTGTCTTGAAGAAGAAAAATGAAAGGCTGTAGTAAATGATGCTATTAGAATTATACTTTCCTCATTACAGAAGTAATATGACCCTGCTTTGGGGCTCCAAGCTCTCACTGATGCTGAAATTTAAAATACAGGGTCTAGACCAGAACCCCAGAGTAAAAGGAGTGATTGTAAGAAGTCATATAAATGGATTTGATCTCTTGTTAGTGGTCCGTATTCTCTTGGTAGGGCTAGAGAAGTCAACTTATTATCAATAAAAAAGAATAAACACTTTATAGGAAGCTATTTTCTCTGTCACAAAATGTTTTATATGCCTGTCAATAATTGTAACTGTTAAATATGACATATTGATGAATATAGTGGGACAAAAGGATGCTTTTTTCTGATTAGGGTGGAAAGATTTTAGTCTTTATTTTATGGATGGAAGTAATCCAACTCACAAACTTCAGCTATCTATAATCTTCTATGGGAAGGCAATAAAAGAAAAAGAAGAAAAAGAAAATTCTGAAAGGAGCTCTTTCAGCTAAGAGCCCAAGCCTGTGGAACTTGCCCTTCTCACAACTGGCTCCTACGGCTGCCTGGTGGACCTCAGAACCATTGCAGCCCTTGGTTCTTTGTCAGACCTGCGGGTAGGGTACACATAGTGACTGTACGGTTGAGGGGCCCATCCTCCTGGGCACCGGCATTTGTCTCTTACTCACTCATGGAGATAAACTTGGCTGTCTACTTGACCAGAAGTAGCAGTTGGAATGTCTATGGGTGAGAACAGAGAAAGCCAGAGACTCCTGCATTTGATTGTTAGAAAGACAATCAAATGGTTCTCTCTACAGAAACATTGTAAGAACAGTGCAACAAACAACCATTGATCCTTCTGGTGGATCCACTGGCTGTTACTATTTTGCCACATTTATTTTCTCTCTCTGTAAATGTCCCTATACACATACATATATACATTTTTATTATTTTTGCTAAGCCATTTGAGAATAAGTTGCAGACATCACGACCTTTACTCCCAAATACTCAGCATGTATCTCCTAAGAACAAGGGTGTTCTCTTAGAAAATCACAATGCAATCATTGAGTTCTTGACATTGTATATGGATGCAATACTATGATCTATCTTGCAGTCCTCTTCAGTCTCCTTTAATCTAGAACAGTTCCCCAGTCTGGCTTTGTTTTTGGCAACATTGACATTTCTGAAGGGTAGAGATGTTGTTTTGTAGAAGCCTTTTCAGGTTGGGTTTGCCTGGTATTTCCTCACGATTTGATTCAGGTTGTGCATGTTTTGGCAGGAATATCACAGAAGTGCTATTTTATCCTCTTCACTACATCATATTAGGAAGCACGTGATGTCAGTTTGTCCCATTAGTGGTGATATTAAGTTTGATCTTATGGTTTAAGTGGTATTTACCAGATTGCTTCACTGCAATGCACCCGGTCCCCCTTTGGAATTAATGAATAATTTGCAGGGAGACAGCAAATGGGTTTTAAACTAAAAACACTTTCACAGTTGAATAGTGTTGATCACACTTTAGAAACTCAAGCCCAATGCTGCTGTTGGCAAGAGGAAGTTATAAAAATAAAAGTCTTCTCCCTCTTCAAAACTAGAAAAAGAAAAGTACTTTCAGGAGAAGGAAAAAGCTTTTCCCTTTTTAAATTTGGAAGTCAGAAAACACAGAGAGGGCTATGGGTAAAAACAGGCGAAAAAATGAGAACTGAATTAAAATACTTCTGACTTCTGGCGCTCACCCAGAGTAAATGAACAGTGTGCATGCACTCTGAGAAGATAGAAAATGCCATATATATATATTTATATTTGATGTGATGGGTGCAGAGTGGTGGTTGCTCCCAGCCAGGTCATTTCAATAACAACAGGAGACCACAGTTACTGCTGAATGGCATCTTTCAGGCTCAAGAGCTTCCGCAGTCTCTCCACTTCCATACTGATTAGAAGTGCTTGAGATACATCATAACAGTGTCAGTGCAGTGTTTATGGGGGAAATTGTCGCTGTCTCTCGCTTGTGGAAGGTGACATAATGGGATTTCTTCCCTTTGTCCTGGTGACAGGATGATGAGCACTGTCTGGGCTCCAGTTCGGCGGGCTTTGCCATTCAGGCATCCGGCGCAGCTGACAAGCCCGAGGATCGATGGAGAAGGTGAGTCTTGTCACTTGGGGGGAAGAGGGAGGTTCAGCAGATGATGGGGAGCCAGTGGGTGCCCCCAAATTCCTGTGTGAAAGAACACTTAGAAATGCTGGTCGACTGAACGAAAGTGGGCGGGGCTAGACACCAAAGTTGGGGGCAGGGAAGTGGCTCCAGTCTGTTTCCTGGGAGGTTTCTGAGGCTCTGGACCCAGAAGACTTAGGGGATTGGTACCCCAGGTGCCTTTTTCAGGGTTGGTGTCTAGGTACAGATTCAAAGCATCTTTACCCCTTGTCAATTCCTCCCCTACTCCCCAACCCCAAGTCACTGACATGATTTGTCTGTGTATTAATATTGTGTCTAGTTCCAGAAAGGTTTTAAGAAGTCTTGCTGTGATATATTATTAATTGCATTGAGCTGCACATTTCAGCTGAGACAAATTAAACAATATGTACTGGAGTGAGGGGTATGTGGAGGGAGGGAAAGAGAGAGAGAGAGAGAGATCCCTTCATTCACCTTGTCATTTTTCCCAAGTGAACTAGACCATCTCTACTAGTACCACAGGAAAAGGGATGACATAGCAGTAAAACAAACTGGAATAAAATTAGTTCACTGCGAGTGCTTAGGTCCTAGTTATTTCAGGAATTTTAAAGGATGATTTTGTGATTGCCAACCTCTGCCTTGATTATTTCGATCACGGCAGAAGCTTCTGAATGGTCTCCCTGGCTAGACTTATACTTTCTAGTCCACTTTCTAACTTGCCGCCAGAGTGAGATTTCAAGCACAAAGACCCGGACAGATAAGTCCTCACATGAACATTTCATGACAGCCTATTACTGTCTAAAGACAAAACTCCTTGTGATGATTTGTAGTAATAATAATGCTAGCAGCATAGGACTAGCATTATTATTATGATCCTACATTTATTGAGCCCATGCTATGTGCCAGGTACAGTGCTAAGTGCACATATTATTTAACAAATCCCTTATAACAACCCTATGAAGTAGTTACTGTTAGGTATTCCCATTTCACATGAGAAACTGAGGCTCAGGAAGTTAAGTGACTTGCCCAAGGTCATGCAGCTAGCAGGTTGCTGAGCAATGTCTGGATAAGTTTAATTCCAGAGTCTACACTGATCTCCTGAAGTCATGCTTTGCCACCCAGAGGTCGAGTGTCTCCTGGCCTTTGCATAGAACAATGCTGATAATAGCTAATATTTAGTGGGCATTGAATATGGATGAGGCACTGTTTTTGCACTGATTTGACACTGATATACATAATCAAACCTTGCAACAACCTGGTGTTTGAGGGAAGTGCTGTTATGATCATCTTTCCATTTTACAGATGGGGAAACTAAGGCACACACTGTCCTGCAGGTGATAAGTGGCAGGCCAGGCTTCAAACCCAGGCAGTCTACAATCAGAGACTGCCCTCCTCATCATCCACCATACCTGGCTTCAGGTGTCCAGAGCCAGGTGTCTACACATGCTGGTGTCTTTCAACGGATGTCTCTGTTAACAAAAATAAAGTGACATTTGAAAACCTATAAACTGGCAGGGCCCACCAGCTGTCATCTGGTTCTGTCCCCTGAGCCAAACCAAGTTCACCCCTGGTTTTTTGAAAACAGCTAACAGGCTCTGTGGGTGTTAAGCATCCCCCGGGGACAGGGATTCTGCACCTCTCTTGGTTGCCTACCCCAGTGTTTTATCACCTCAGGATGCCACCAGCCAGATGCCTTCAAGGTCTCGCAGCTGGAAAAATGACTATGAATGAAATAAATGAAGCTTTCAGTGATGGAAGCTCCTGATGGAGCTGACAATGGGGTATTTCCCAGCATCTGTCTCCTGCCACGTGGAGATCATCTTTTTATCGCCCAAAGATACTGCTACTGTTTTGTCACTGGCCACTAACCGGCTGGCCGCTCAGGTACTGGAGTCCAGAGCTGCCTCATTATTCAGTGCCGTCAATGTCACACCCCAGACTGCAATACATTATCATTCAAATGAGTCAGCCACAATGGAAGAAAAAAATATGCAAGCTGATTTTTCTCCAACGTCCTTTTCCCAGCACTCCCTAATTACAGCCGGCAGTTGATTGGGACAGTTGAACATGGAGGCTGATGGGGCCAGCCATGGTGTTGCCATCTAAGCAAAACACAAACAATACATAAACTCTCTGTATGCATTAGGTAAGCAGGATTTTATTCACAGCTCAGTGGTGTAACAATGCTCTGAATTTATCAGTCAATGGTCTGTTATAGCATTTCTCTTTTTGGTTCCATATTTTTGGTTCTTTCTCTCTTTTAAAAAATCTGACACATTAGTGACCTTGGCTTATCCCTGTTTCCTGTTTGCCTTGTATTTCAAAGTGATTTCATGATGGTTTTTTTCCTATCAAATGCTCACTATTTTTCCAAGGATGAATGAGCTCCCATGCTGTATTCTCTGTGTGTTCTTTTGATCATTCATTCATTCATTCATTCATTCAGTTAATATTTATTGAACACTTACTAAGTGCTAGAACACTGTGCTGGGTGCTGGGGATATAAAACAGACATTACCCTTGCTTACACAGCTTTAAAGACTAGTGACAGTGCTGGGTATTTAACAAACACTCAAATACACTTTTGCAAATTATGATAAGTGCACTAAAGAAAAAGAAGAGAATGCTCATATTCTTGCATGCAGTCTAAGTGTATAAGAGGAATACTGGTCCTCAACACTAATAATGGACACAAAAGATACCTAGTATTCTCCAAATAATATTTTTCTTAGGGTACACTCCTTGTACCTTAAAAAAATGTATTAACTTTCAAAGTGGTCTATGTTTTTCTGAGGGAGAATTGGATTATTCATGAAGTTCTTTGACCTCCACAATAATCTCATCAGTTTTCTCTAACCCATTTCATCAGCTTTGATTACTGCTGTGTGATGTTCTGTGTCTCATTGGTGATATTTAGAGCTTGGGGTAGTCAAGTGTTCAGCATGAGGAAGACAGCCTTCCTGTACTCTCATTTGGCAATTTTTTTCTTTTGGTTTTCCCTATGTTCCAGACACTGTCCAATTCAGCTTTCTGTCCTCATCACCTGACACACAGAGTTCACCATCAATGAGCTCAGATAATCTTTAATACATTGTGATGAGCGCTATTGTTTATTCACTAGACAAATATTTATTCAGCATCTGCTTCATGGTCTTGCTGCGCCCTGGAGATCTAGGGGTGAAACGGGTCGAGTCTGTCCTCTCCCAGAGCTTAAGGTGCACTGAAAGGTATCGTGCAATTACACTAAGGCAAGAAACGTGCTATGATGGGGGAGGCCAGGGGATAGAAAGGGGGCACTTGGACTTGGGGTGGGGGACCAGGGAAATGTTGGGAAGGAGATGACACCTTAGCTAAATGAAGAGTGTGTGGCTGTGGCCAGGAATAGGGGTGAGGGGAAGAAGAGAGCAGCAGATCTGGAAGTAAGAGAGAAAACCGGATGCCTTTTAAGAATTGAAAATTCTGTGGTTGGAGAATGAGCTGTTGTAACAGATGAGGCTGAAGAGGTAGGGAGGGGTTGGGAATGACTTTCAAGGCCCTGGTAAGGGATCTGATGGTGGAAGGGAGCAGAGAGATCAGGTTTGCTTTTAAGACTGTGTCCTGGGGCTAAGCTGAAGGTGCCAAGAGTTGTTCTCTGCTCACTGCAACCTCTGCTTCCCAGGCTCAAGCGATCCTCCCACCTCAGCCTCCCTAGTAGCTGGGACTACAGGCATGCACAACCACACCCAGCTAATTTTTGTGGTTTTTAGAGAGATGGGGTTTTGCCATGTTGCCCAGGCTGGTCTTGAGCTCATGAGCAGAAGCCATCTGCCTGCCTTGGCCTCCCAAAGTGCTGGGATTATAGGCGTGAGCCACTGTGCCCAGCCACTTTTTCCACTTCTTACAGGAGCACATGCAGAGCTCAGCTGCTGTTTTGCTGTTTTCCTTTTAGAATCTTCAGTCTTCTGCAGCATAATTATACCGTAATTCATACAACTAGTCTCTTGTTGATGGAAAATTAGGTTGGTTCGTTTTTTACTATTATAAACCATGCCACTGGGAATCTATGGCCTCAGGGGAATTTCTAATAGTGGAATTTCTGGGTCAGAGGGGTTAAGAGACTCACCAATGTCTCCCAGCCAGTGAGTGGCAGAGCTGCTATTCCAATTCTGTTGGAAGGACTAGGTCCGTGGTCTTTCAACTCTGCTGTGCTGTGCCCTCCCAGGCTGAGCAACTGGGACCTTTGAATCTCAATGTTCTTCTCTTGTGGAGGGAGGACCAGCTGGCGGCAGGGGTTGGGAAGTCACTTGGAGAACTTCTTAAACATGCAGCTTGCTGCACCTTTGGCATCAGAATCTCTGGAGACAAGCTTGGAAACTGGCATCTTAAATTATGTCCCTGACACTTAAGCAGCCAGTTGATCTTGATCCTGAGTCCTGTACTGAAACCACTGGCCCCTTCTCAGAGATCTCCAGCTATAAATCTCAGGATTCAGAACAGTCAGTCCAAAAACAGCACTGCCTTCTGTATCAGTTCCTCCAGAAAGTCAGAGAAGGTGGGAATGAGGACCCCTCTCCCATGGCATCCTGTGACACCATGCTGCATAAAGAAGCTCAAATGCCCAAATGTTCCCCTATCTCATGGGCCAGGAGGTAGGAAGTTATGCTGTGGGCTGCCATCCTACTCTATCCCATCCCTCTGCCCCCTGGTAAGGCAGTGTGCTCATGCCTGGGCCAAATTCTTACCTGTGATTAACAGATCAGCAGTGGGCCTATTCAATGCCATATCTAGCACACACGAAGATGCCTTTGACCAGGAAACACTTCACTACAAGTAGAAAGAGTCCCAAGAAAGAGGTATTTCCTTCCCCTCAGCCTGGGAAGCCACTGCCTGGGTTGTCCCATCCCACACTGTTTACCTCTGGATTTACAGTCTACCAGCTCCATGTTGGAATCACCTGGGGCCAACTGGAAAAGTCCAGATGCTGAGCTCGCACCCAGAGATTCTGATTGAATTGGTCTGTGGGGGGGCCAGGGAAAAGTTCCCTCAAGTGACTCTAATGTTCAGCCAGCTTTGGGAACCATTGTGCTAGGTCTTGTGTCCCCTCTCTTGGGGCAAGGTGGGCTATAGCTTCCCTGGCTTCTGTGGGACTGGCCCAGCCTAGCACTGATGTGGGCATGGCCATGGCCCATAGGTCGCCTCCTGGGCAGGCAGACGACAGAATGGGGTCAGCTCTGAGACTCTGGCTGCTCCCAGAGCCTATTCTGGAGGAGGTGTGTCCGTGCAGACCAGGATGGCCCCCGGCTCCCTCAGTGCCCACATTACCTGCTAACACAGCTTGCACGCAGCTTGACCTCCATACTCACAGGCAACAACCCCTTTTCCTTTTCTGAAATTAGAAAATGTGTAACAAGCACTTGCATTTGTTCCTGTTCGCTACGGAGCAGTGTGATGCACCAGCAGTGTTGCTCATGATTTATGACTAAAAAAAGTGGTTAGGTGAAAAAGTAGATTTGTCCCCAGAGGGCTCTGTGAAGTGGCACTATTAATTTGGAAACATTAGCCACCATGTTCTGGGCACCCCTACCTTGACTTTGTGTCATAGATGATGACAGAAATAACAATCAATCGCTGAGTATGTGCCATCATGACCACCTCTCTCATCTCTCTAGACCTCCGTGTTTATCCATCTATAAAATAAAGAGTTGTGTTTTTTTGAGATTTTTCTGCTCTTGGTATCCTGTGCATCTCTGAAGGGTAATTAAGTCAACACTGATGATCCTTGGACTGCCCTTCTCATTGGAAGACTATTAGTCACAAATAGCATAAGAACTCAGGAAACGTTGAAGCTGAAAGTCAGAAATACTGACTTCTACTAGAAACATACTCAATTCAACCTTTTTGCCATCCCCAGTATGCCAAACAGAGAATGTGAGGGAAGATGCCTTCAAATGTGCATTTCTGGCCGGGTGCGGTGGCTCACACCTGTAATCCCAGCACTTTCGGAGGACGAGGTGGGTGAATCACTTGAGGTCAGGAGTTTGAGACAAGCCTGGCCAACATGATGAAACCCTGTCTCTACTAAAAATAGAAAAAATTAGCTGGGTGTGATGGCACGGCCTGTAATCCCGGCTACTCTGGAGACTGAGGCAGGAGAATAGCTTGAACCTGGGAGGTGGAGGTTGCATGAACCGAGATTGTGCCGCTGCACTCCAGCCTGGGTGACAGAGTGAGACTCCGTTTCAAAAATAAATAAATAAATGAAAATAAAAATAAATGTGCATTTTCACTACTCTGGAATGAGGAGTTTTTGCAAAGGAACAAGTGCCCCAAAGCCCCAGCTATCCAGGGGATATAGCGTTCCAAGAGGGGCTCCATGGAGCACAGGAGTCAGCCTCTACGTTTGGCAGCTGTGGGCCCTGGCTGAGAAAGAGGCTGAGGGGAGGCCTCTAGAGGAAAGGGGGAGTGCCCAACTGGCCAGGACATTTGTGTTCTGTAGCCCTTGAATAGATTTTTATCATGGGCTGGCTGGCTCTCTGCCCTCTCAAACCCCTGAGTGGCAGCTGAGCTGGGAACTCCATGCCTGTACACTCAGCTAGCTCCAGGCTGCTCTGGGGCTGATCCTGGGCTTAGAGGAGTGGGTGAGTAGCTCTCACTAGATCAGCACTGAGTCTGGCTGGGGGTCCGCTCTGGCCTTTCCTCCTGGCTTTGGCTCTGATCTCAATTAATGTGCTCTAAGCTGCAATTAATAGAGAACCTCACTGATATTGGTTCTAATAAAGAATACATATGATCTTACATAACTTGAAGATCCAGTTGGATAGATACCAGGCTTGGCTGCTTGTTAGAGTAATGACATAATGAAAGACCCATATTCTTTGTGCTTCGTCCCTCTGCCATCTTTGATATTAACTTCTTCATCTGGGTGGTAGCAAGATAGTTGTTGCTGTTCCAGGCATCACTTGTGGATGTGATGATATCCAAAGGAAGAAGAGAGACTGTCCCTTTCTCTGGCTTTCTCTTAAGAGGGAGGAAATTTCCTTTCACGTCTCATAGGCTCTGGTTCAGTCACATGTCCGTTGGGATTGCTTGATTGGCTTAGATTAAACATCTGTGGTAGAATGGATTGGAGGAGTCAACCCAATGTTTACCATTATTTCTAGTGTATCTGTTTTCTTGCTTGATAGTGTGAACTGGTTTTTTTCTTTTTTTTTTGGCTTGGTCATCTTCCTCTTTAGCTATTTGCCAATTATCTCTCTTTACCTTCCAATTCCATTGTTAAAAGCCCCCTCTGAACTTATTGCAGGTGGACACGCCAAATCTAGACTCTATGGAGTCCAGGAATGACAACAATCTCATCTTGTCCATTGTTCCTCTTGGCCTGATCCATCTACCTCCAATTCAGTCTTTTCTCCTGACCCACGCCCACTGACTTCAGGGAAGATGGAACTGAGCTGTTCCCAGTGGTAGAATTGTGAACAGCATACAGGAGAGACCCTCAAAGCCTAACCTGGGAGTCTCCCAGCAGGCAACCCTGTGGTTAGAGGAAGTTGTATTCTTCTGTGTATACATGTGCATGCATGCAGATACATGTGTGAGCATGCACACAGTGAGCATGGGCTGTGGTGTGCACCCAATTAGACCCAACTGGACCTGTGTACACACCTATCTTCTTTGTCATGCCTGGCTTTGTTGGTCTCCCAGATTCCCAGGCAACTCTTGCTACATTCTACAAAGGTTTTGGGGTTGCTCTTTTAAGAAATGAAATTGCCTTCCAGATGCTTCTTTCACTTATTTTTTTCCTCCACTTGACAGAACTGCCTAAACTTCCCATTCAGGGGCTCTAAAGAGAAGTGTATCATTTCATGCTCCCTTGTTTAGCTTTTCCAAATCTAAAGCCAAAGCTGCCACAGCCACTGATTAACAGAAATCAAAAGCAAAGGCTGGGCTTTTGATGGGAAAAATGCTACATTAGAGAGGGCTGGTTGTTTTACAATTGCAGGGTAAGGTCCATAATATTACCCACCACTGAATGGCCATTAGATTGCAAATTACTGGTCACTTTGCTGGACGGCTCAGTCATCCTGTAATCATGATCATAATATCCCCCTGTAATGGTCAAGCCCAGGCACCTACCAGGAGTCTGGTTGCTGAGGCGCCAAATTGCTGGGCTGTGTACAGTAATGATTATCGCAGCAGGACAGAAGAAAAGCTGCCCCGAAGTCCTGGGTGTGTGGCATTCTGTCCTAGTTCCCCATTAGAAAACAGAAGGGCTGATGAGAATTACTCTAATGTTCCCTCTCTCCAGTGTTCTACTCATTGGGGGTCTAACTTTGTGTGGCTATCAGGTTCACATGGTGTCTTGGGCCAGCTGAGTTGTGAGCTCTGGGCTGACAAGTAGAAAAGGAAGGTTATTATTTTATTCCTAGCCTTTTGCTGTGGTGAATTGTGCCTGTGTGTGTATGTGTGTGCACACCCACATGTGTGTCTCTGGTGATGAGCATTGGCCATGAAACACACAGACTGCTTCAAAGTTATTAAGATGTGTGTGCATGTGTATGACAGAACATACAGGGAAGCCTGTAACTTTTCTATATTTTTAACTTGGGTCCTGGTTTCATATCTTACATGTATGTTATATGTATCCTTTTGTGGTACAAATATGAAAAAGAAAAAGAAGATGCAAAGCTGATGGAGGGATGAGCTCTTAGCTCAACACTTGGCTGATCTAAGGGTCCCACAGGAAGCAGACGGCATGCTCCACGGGGCAGCTGGGGAGAGTTAGGCCTCCTAACAGAGGCATGGGCAGGGTCAAGGGCAAACAACAGGGGCGGGTGACAGGAAGAGGCCTCAGTTACTCCCAGGCCCAGGAGTCAAGGGGAGGGAGCTGAGCCTGAAGAAAAGGCTTCTGGGGGAAATAGGGAACCTGACTTCACTGTCCTTTTGCCCTCCTTTCTCTTATTACTGCCTTCTCTTGGCCAAACCCAACCAGAAGCCAGAGGGCAAGGGAGCCCCTGGGTACTTTCTACAAAGGGAGAGCAGGCGAGGAAGGTGCCGGGGGATGTAGAGAGGGGTGTGGACATAGCCAGCACTCAGCCCAGCATGTATTTGTTAATGGGGTGTCTAGCCATCGGCTGGCAGGAAGGGACTCTTGGGCCCTGCCTGGATTGGGTTTCTAAGGTCTGCTGTCTGGGAGTTACCGTGGCAGGCTATAGACGTGCCCTGCCTGCTGTGCCCACATACTTGGTCCATGGGGACAGTGATTCCTCAGCATACACCCAGCTTCAGTTCCTGCCCAGCACTTTGGCTGCCGTGCCTGTGGCTTCTGGGTTCCAAGAAATGATATGAGATGTCTCCCTGGCAGTGAGTGCCTTGAGCCAGACCTGGGATTAGAGGAGAGGAGGTGCTTTGGATAGGAGCTGGGGGGCACAGTGGGTGAGTGGAGGAGTCTCCCACAGGCTCAGAACCTGGTCGCAAGCCTTCCCAATGGCTTGCAAGGAGGCTGTAGACAGGCCCTCGTCTGTGTTTCCCTGCTCTTTCTAATTTGGTAGACATCGTGTCCTGCATAATTTTGTAAGGAACTGCATACTCCTCGCCAACCCTCCTTGCCAGCACAGGGGAATGCTAGCTGAGAAGGGAGTGTAAGGTTGGCATGACTTCAGTTCCCCCAGAAAAATACCATTCCCTGCCCTGAGAACCTGCTTGTCAAAAGCTTTTAGCAAGGCTGAACTAGTGACAGGAAAGGACTCAGATGGCTTTCTGTATAAATAAAAAGAGTAAGGAAAATAGCAAATGCTAATTGTGTGCCTACTCTACCCTAGGTGAGCTCTAAATGCTTTACCTATGTTATTTTGTTTGATCCTCATGACAACTCTATGAACCAGGTACTAAAGCTATCCCCACTTTTCAGATGAGGAAACTGAGGCACAGAGAGATTAAATTACTTGCCCAGTGTCACACAGGTGGTAAACAGTAGAGCTAGGATTCAAACTTGGGCAGGCCGGCTGCAGAATTATGCTCTGTCCCCTTTTCCTTCTTGGCTAACTTCTCCTTAGTAGGTGCCAAGAGACGGGATGTTCCTAAATCTGAACTGAGTGTAGAGCTGGAAAGAGCTTTGAGATTCATTTAGTCTTGTCTTTGTGTTCTTACAGAGGGGGAAACTGAGGGTTCCAGGGGTTCAGTGATTGGGTCTCCAGATCCCTGCTCTGGAAACACTGGGCAGCTGAAAGGTGGCCAGCTGTGCCTGGTGATATTCTGGCAATTTTCCTAGCTTTGTTTACCAAGTAAATTTCTTTGAAGCAAAGTTCCTTTTATCCAAGAAGCAATGTGACCTCCAATCTTGTTTTCATAAAACGTCTCTGACGTTAGCCACATGAGGCAAAAGCCCTGGAGGTGTTTGTGTTGCCCTTCTGCTCCCTGAATCTGATGCTGTCTCTGTTTCTACTGTGAATAACAGTCAAGCATCAGGCCGTGGGGAGCCTGGGGGCCAGGTGAGCTGGGCATGCTGGGGCACAGATAAAAGGAGATCGTTCATCAATTTCCAGGGGGTTCAGGGGCACCTGAAGCATCTTTGTCTACAGAGGTCCTCGGCCCACCCTGCCAAGTGGCTGTCACAAAGAACAGAGTGTCTTGGGCCATGTGACCATGGGGGAGGGTGCCCAGGCCTCCGAGGGGGCTGCCAGCTTCTGAGCTGTTGATTCCATGACTATCGGATCCAGCGCTACAGAGAAAGGGCAGCATTCTTCCTGCAGAGGCTTGGTCCAAATGGCCCCATGGCTTTCTTTTCTCCGGGATCAGCAAGGCTACTGTTGAGAGGGACAATCGAGGTTGTTGTCCTGGCCTGGCCCAGAGACACTGCTGCCAGATGCAGAGCTGGCTCCCTGGGGCCATCCTTGCCACACCTGCCCTCCAGATCACTGGGTGCTCATGGGCCAGTGCCATACGGGAGCTCTGTGCCTTCCCACCTCCTGGCAGCTGAGGCCTGGAAGGGCAGATATCCCCTGGTCTAACCCAGACAGTCCAGGGGCTAGTGAAGAAGACCCCCACTCCTCCCATGTGCCCAGTGTATTTTAGTTCTCCTCTTGGATACATTAGAATTAAGACAGAGGTATTCTATGCCTCAAGGAGAAATTTTGTGCTACATTGGAGGACGGTCATTTACCCTTGTTTTCCAAATAGTGCACTCTCAAAGGGGTAAGTGTGTCATCCTTGTAGCGTAAGTGACAAAACAGATAGAGCTTGGTCTCTTAGGGTAAGGAACTGCTATCTTTCCATTTTATGGATGCTCTTTTTTTAGTCCTTGCTCATGACTGTTTTGAGAAGGCTAAACATGGCCTGGACAACATCTACTCTTGGTATAGGGGCAAATGCTTTTTCAAGTTACAGGGAATGAGTGAGAGATCTCAGGCCTGGGTTTGGTAACTGGGGGGAGAAATAGAGAAGAGGTATCAGGAACTGCTTTGGTACAAGGCATTTTAGTGTTTGGTCAAGGGATCCAAGAATTCCTAAATCCTGTCCCAGAATGGCCACTGTCCCCTCAAATGATTTTCTGTTCATCCGTATAGGTCAGGGTTGAGCAGGAAACAGATGACACATTCAAACTGAGTAATCGGAGGAGATTTTTGCAAAAGGATGACTTGTAAAAGTGTGGGTAGGATTTAGGGAAATGAACAAAAGACAGTGCAGTATCCTGAGCTAACAACAGTGGGGCACCATTACCACTTCTAGGCCTGCAGGGCCCAGGGGGGATGTAGTTCCTGCATGCTGGAGAGAGAGATGCAGCTCTGGAAGACAGCCTACCAATAGCAGCCATGGCCTGTGGAGGAGGAGAGCAGCCAATCAACCATGATCTGGCCAGGAGGGATCCAGGGTAATCAACCTCATTCTCCTCCCATGCTGCCATTGGCCAGTTCCTCTCATGGGCCAAACCCATCCAAAGCCAGAGAGAGAGTGAGCATGTCGATGTAGCCCATAGGGTCACCTTCCTGAGGCACAAAGCAAGGTGGACAAGGGTGGAGAGCACATTTAGAGGGCCGGGTGGGGTAAAAGGAATGTATCCAGCACATCTTCATGTCACCTGAATCCCATCATATTTCTAACTCCCAGCAAATACTAATATAAACACCCTAAATAGCAGGCACATTTGTAGTTTGTGTCATCTCTTCTCAATAATTTTGACTTCTTATTCTCATATTATTTGTCTACTAATGATTTTCATAAACATGATTTACATTTTACCATTGTATTAAACACATGAAAAGGTTGTTATATCTCTCAGAATTATTGGACTTTAGTGCCTAATTTAGTGGCTCACAGCTGGGAACAATTTGCCCCCCCCGCTCTGCAGGGAACATTTCTCAGTGTTTGGAGACATTTTTGGGAAGGGTGCTACTCACTTGGTACACAGAGGCCAGGCCAGTATCCTACAATGCACAGCATAGCCCCCAAATGACAGAATTATCTGGTGCCATTGTTAAAGTGCTGAGGTTGAGAAACATTGCTCTTAGTGGAGAAAGGTTTGGGCTCTGCTAAAGGGAATCAGAGAACAAGTGAAAGGAGAGATGGACTTCTGTGTTTTTTGTTTTGTTTGGGCAGGGGGAGCCTATCTCAGAGGAAGTTTCCATACTCCGTCTTTGGGGAGGATGGCTCCTTTTTGGGCCCAGCTGGGCTCTTTGGGCTCAATCCCTGGGCATCCTGGTATCAGTTGGACTGCAGGATTGAGCATCTGAAAAGCCAGACTGGGAGCTCTTGCGGGGAACATCTCGGGCCATGTAGATGACATTCTTAGCTTGCCTGCCCTTTGTGGCTGCTGGAAGTGGTACAGCACACTCTAAAGAACTATTTCAAGATGGTTCAGCCAGACCCACAAGGTCTGGCAGAGTTCTTGCCTTTCCCAGGCTTTGGGGTTCTCTGCATTTCAGTTCAGAGCTCTTAGAATGTTAATAAGTAGGGACTTAAAAAAAGTCCTGAAATAGTTCTCAGGACACGAAGAAAATGTCCTAGCTCAGAAAGTAAATGAGTGCAGTCAGCTGTCCTTTGTTAACTTGTTGATTAAACCTAGTCTTTGTTTCCTTTTTCTATTTTTTCCTATACCCATTGCGGGGTCATTTCCCTGCCTATTTGGGCCTGTGTTAGAGCAGAGCAGAGGGCAGGCAGAGGAGAAAACTCCACATCAGCGCCTCCTTTGGCAAGTGGTTAAAAGACATGATAAAAGATGTAGAAGTAATGACTACAATTACCTGTAAAAATCAGGATTATCAGTTAACCCTTGTCATTCCTTGGCTGTGTTATCACTTGAATGATATTAATACTTATTACATTTAATTTATTTTTTAAGCAAACAATTCATTTACATTGTTTAAAACTGAAATAACAAAGGATTTAGATTAAGCTTGTCCAACCTGTGGCCCTCAAGGCCATATGTGGCCCAACACAAATTCATAAACTTTCTAAAAACACTATGAGATTTTTTTGCATTTTTTTAGCTCATCAGCTATCGTTAGTGTATTTTATGTGTGGCCCAAGACAATTCTTCTTCTTCCAATATATCCCAGGGAAGCCAAAAGATTGGACACCCCTGATTTAGATAAAGGAGAGAAACTCTGTCCTCCCACCTCAGCCTTCCCCCCTTAAAAGGCAACATCCACCCAGAGAGATAGTCTATGCATATACAAACAAGTATGTATATACATGTTTCTTTTATTTTTTCATCCCATACAAATAGTAGTATATTTGCTTTTTTACTTATGAATATGTCTTAGAAATCCTTTCATGTCAGTAAAGAACTTTCTGTTTTCTAAATGGATCTATGGTATCATTTGGTTATACCTTAATATATTTGGCCAAAAGTGACTTGTTTTAAAAAGCCTTCTGAATCTATTTCAAACCAGAAAGAATGCTCAACTAAAAACCCAAAACAAACAAACAAAAACTTATTTGGAAGTTTAGGCATGAGAGACTACTTTCTTCTACCATTTTGTAAAGCTTTCGTTTTCTCATCTTACTGAGATTTTCAGATTTTTTTCTGCACTTGCTCCTTAACATAAAGCCTCTATGAAATAGCTGTTCAGCACCATAGAATGTCCCAAAGGTTTGGATACTGCTTGTGACTTAAAAGGTGTCTATTTTATTACATTAGTAAATGTTTATTATCTTTTCTTATGAAAATCCAGCCTGAGCCAGTTGAATGATACTGACTCCAGAAAAGCCTGTTTGGGCCTGGGACAAGATATTGAGCCTCCCTGTTCCCAGTTTTTCCATTTTTAAAAACTGGATAATATCCTGGAGCCTTAGCAGCTTTAAAGCTTTGTGCTGGGCGGGACCAGCTCAGCTTCAGAAATAAGAGCCTGCCTATCTGTACTGTCTTTCTGTGGTACATCCAGGATGCGTGTGAAAGATGAACACATTTTAAGTAAAGAAAGAGCTTGCTGCATTTGGAAGCCAAAGAGAGGGCAGGCAGAAGAGCCGTCGGGGTGTACAGCGTTCTGGGGCTCCAGGGCTTTGAAATGCTTTCCAGTGTTGTCACTTGAATGTCGAACACGTTATTCTCAGTGGACACTAAAGAGAAGTACAGGTACCGTGGGCTCCAGGGGGATTCATTATTCAAGGCACAAAATTTCCTTCTCCGGCCTGCAACACATTATAATTCAAATGAGCTCAGCACAATAGAAGAAAAATATGCAAGCAGATTTCTCTCTGTCATGTTTTTTCCCTCCTCTCTGAAGCCCTGTAATTACAGCAGGCAGGTGGAGCATCTGGGGTGTGGGGGAGTCCACTGTGTTTTTACCTTCCCAGGAACGCGACTTGCCTACCGCATCAATATATTTTATTTTTAATTAAGCGCTTATTGCAAAATCGGAGTCCCTGCACGAAAGCCTGATTCAAAACTTTTTTTTCCTGTCGTTCTCTGAGATGTCGCTGCTATTACTGTCTCAAATTTCCTTTTAAATTTTGCTGTTTGAGTAAATTAGTGCTGGCCTTTCCTGAGCTCCGCAGCTCCGAGGTGGCCCGACTGCCGGGCCTCCACCCCTTTTCCCCGGTCCCGGGTCGGTTTCTCCGGGCGCAACCAGCAGCGCCACAAGCCGGTTGGGTCCCCTGGCTCCCTCTCCAAGGCCAGCGCGGTCATGCGGGCGGGCGGGCGGTGTTCCCCAGAGACCGCCCATCCCGCGGTGGGGGTGGTGGAACCGCAGAGGCCACCGGATACAGCGACCTCAGGCCTGGCAGCGCCCATGGCGGGCCCTGTGGCCCGGGTACTGCGAATCGCCGGGGCTTGGCGGCCTCTGGAACAGGGGCCTCCGCCTCGAGGAGGCGGCGGGACCTGAGGGGCCGTGGTCGCTGCACTTTGTCCGAGACCCCTAGATTGGCCAATAGGAGACCGGAAAGGTGCAGGGAGGGCCAGTGGGGCCGATGGGCCGGGGCCCCGGACAGGCTGGCGCGGGGTTCGGGGGTTCTCTCCTGTCTCTGACGCCTGCCCCCGAGGAGGCAGAGCTGGGCAGCCCTGGGCCTCCGCCGAGCCCAGCTTTCCTAAGCCGGGAAGTCGGGGGTTCCTGGGCCGGGTGGGAACTGTCGTCCCTGGAGGACCCCGCCCCTGAGATCCCCGCCCCACATCCGGGTAGCGTGGGGGCACCTGGGGTTCCCGAGATGAGAACCGGTGCTCTGGGGGCGACAGGCTTCGGCGGGATCCCTGCAAGCCGGCGGCCCAGGCGGGTGAACCCCCCGGATTCCAGCAGGAACAATCCCAGTCCCCCGCTCCGGGAACCAGGCACTCGATGCAAATGGCTTCCCAGCCACCCGCCAGCCCTGCCCATGCCAGCGCCTCGCGGGGTGGCTCCCGCCTCGGCGCAGCCCCCCTGGTTGCTGGCTGCACATCTGCTTCCGAGCCACCCAGGGGCAACTTGAGGCAATGTCGGGGGGGGCGGGGCCGGGACGGTGGAGGGAGACTGAGGCAGCAGCCAATGGGCTGGAAGGTCCGGCAACATTTGCAGAGAAGGGGCCACCTTAGGTTACTATGAATCTTCACCAAGCGCAGGAGGGTCAAAAGAGTGTTTTCAGGAAGACCAAAAGGAGGAACGAATACCCACATGTGGCCAAAAGAGGGGCTGAGACTGGACGTGGGGGCCTTGCCTGCCCCGTGGAGCTTCCTCAGGCACCGGCTGCCTCTGTCCATACCTCCACTTTCCTGGGTGCAGTCTTCAGGGCTTGGACCAGTACTGGGGTCTGGGACACAGAGAAGAGACCCAGATCCCTGTAAAGATGGGGACTGATTGCTGGATGGGCCTCGGGAAAAGGCAGGCCTCCATGGGGCCAGTGGGGGCTGACAGGGCAAGACCTGGTTTCCCACACAGGCCAGAACTTTCTCAGGACAGTGTGGGTGGGTGCTGTGACTACATCCGGACCCACCCACTCTTAACCATCCAGGAACTAGGACTGGGGCTCTGTGATGTTTCCTCTTTTACAACATCTATTGTATTTTTCCTTCTCATTACAAAAGCAGTACATGTTTATCACAGAGTTAATGAAAAATGCAAACATACATAAAGAAAACAAAAACCATATATTCTCATTAAACAAACATATTCTCATTAGCTGGAGGCAAACATATTCTCATTAGCTGGAGGCAAACCTTTCTTGTATATCCTGAGTACAAACACGGTTATTCTGTGGGGTAACTGGCTTTTTCTTTTTCTGAACAATACACTGTGAATATCTTTCCACGTGAACATCCTTCTAATGAATATAGTTTAATAAATATACTCTATTCTTAATGATTCTACAGAACTTTCATTGTAGGGATGCGGTGCGATATTTTCAATGATTCTCTTACAGGGCTTCTAGGATGTTGCCAGTTTTTGTTTTTTGCTTTTTTTTTTTTTTTTTTTAACTTCTGTCCACACCATTCCAAGGTCATTCTCTTGCTGGGTCACTATGCATGTCCTTAATTATTTCCTTAAAATCTATTCCTCAAAACGACTGGGCCAACTGTTCTGCATTTTTAAAGTTTCACTACATTTTGTCAAACCGACCTTTAGAAATGTTATGTCATTTCATACTCCCACCTGCAGAAAATGCAGAAGTCTGTTGCCAGAATTCCATCCTTACCAATCATGAATATTAGTCTCCTTTTTATTCTTTTCTGTTTGTCTATTTTTAAATTGGAGTATTCATCTTTTTCTTACTGATTTGTAAGAACATTGTATATGTTCAGTCTATTAATTCTTTCTCATGCATTTTGCAAGCTTTTCCCATTTGTCAATTGCTTTTTACCTTTCAATTTACATTTAAAACTGTTGGGCAGTCCATCACAAAGCGTATCCACCATGATCAAGTCTGCTTCATCCCTGGGATGCAAGGCTGGTTCAACATATGCAAATCAATAAACATAATTCATCACATAAACAGAACCAAAGACAAAAACCACATGATTATCTCAATAAATGCAGAAAAGGCCTTCGATAAAATTCAACACCCCTTCATGCTAAAAACTCTGAATAAACTAGGTATTGATGGAACGTATCTCAAAATAATAAGAGCTATGTATGACAAACCTGCAGCCAATATCATACTGAATGGGCAAAAGCTGGAAGCATTCCCTTTGAAAACTGGCACAAGACAAGGATTCCCTTTCTCACCATTCCTATTCAACATTGTATTGGAAGTTCTGGCCAGGGCAATCAGGCAAGAGAAATAAATAAAGGGTATTCAAATAGGAAGAGAGGAAGTCAAATTGTCTCCGTTTGCAGATGACATGATTGTGTATTTAGAAAACCCCATTGTCTCAGCCCCAAATCTTCTTAAGCTGATAAGCAACTTCAGCAAAGTCTCAGGATACAAAATCAATGTGCAAAAATCACAAGCATTCCTATACACCAATAATAGACAAAAAGAGAACCAAATCACAAGTAAACTCCCATTCACAATTGCTACAAAGAGAATAAAAGACCTAGGAATACAACTTACAAGGGATGTGAAGGACCTCTTTAAGGAGAACTACAAACCACTGCTCAAGGAAATCAGAGAGGACACAAACAAATGGAAAAACATTCCATACTCATGGAAAGGAAGAATCAGTATCATGAAAATGGCCATACTGCCCAAAGTAATTTATAGATTGAATGTTATCCCCATCAGGCCACCATTGACTTTCTTCACAGAATTAGAAAAAACTACTTTAAATTTCATATGGAACTAAAAAAGAGCCCACAGAGCCAAGATAATCCTAAGCCAAAAGAACAAAGCTGGAGGCATCACACTACCTGACTTCAAACTATACTACAAGGCTACAGTAATGAAAACAGCATGCTACTGGTACCAAAACAGGTATATAGACCAATGGAACAGAAGAGAGGCCTCAGAAATAATGCCACACATCTACAACCATCTGATCTTTGACAAACCTGACAAAAACAAGAAATGGGGAAGATTCCCTATTTAATAAATGGTATTGGGAAAACTGGCTAGCCATATGCAGAAAACTGAAACTGGACGCCTTCCTTTCACTTTTTACAAAAATTAACTCAAGATGTATTAAAGACTTAAACATAAGACCTAAAACCATAAAAACCCTAGAAGAAAACCTAGGCAATACCATTCAGCACACAGACATGGGTAAAGACTTCATGACTAAAATAGCAAAAGCAATGGCAACAAAAGCTAAAATTGACAAATGGCATCTAATTGAATTAAAGAGCTTCTGCACAGCAAAAGTAACTATCATCAGAGTGAACAGGCAACCTACAGAATGGGAGAAAATTTTTGCAATCTATCCATCTGACAAAGGGCTTATATCCAGAATCTACAAGGAACTTAAACAAATTTACAGAAAAAAAACAACTCCATCAAAAAGTGGGCAAAGTATTTGAACAGACACTTCTCAAAAGAAGACAGTTATGTGGCCAACAAACATGAAAAAAAGCGCATCATCACCAGTCATTAGAGAAATGCAAATCAAAACCACAATGAGATACCATCTCATGCCAGTTAGAATGGTGGTCATTAAAAAGTCAGGAAAAGACAGAAGCTAGAGAGGATGTGGAGAAATAGGAATGCTTTTACACTCTTGGTGGGAGTGTAAATTAGTTCAACCATTGTGGAAGACAGTGTGGTGATTCCTCAAGGACCTAGAACTAGAAATACCATTTGACCCAGCAATCTCATTACTGAGTATATACTCAAAGGAGTATAAATCATTCTACTATAAAGACACATGCACACATGTTTATTGCAGCACTACTCACAATAGCAAAGACTTGGAACCCACTCAAATGCCCATCAATGATAGACTGGATAAAGAAAATGTGGCACATATACACATGGAATACTATGCAGTCATAAAAAAGGATGAGTTCATGTCCTTTGCAGGGATATGGATGAAGCTGGAAACCATCATTCTCAGCAGACTAACACAGGAACAGAAAATCAATCACTCCATGTTCTCACTCATAAGTGGGAGTTGAACAATGAGAACACATGGACACAGGGAGGGGAACATCACACACCAGGGCCTGTTGGGGGGTGGGGGCAAGGGGAGGGAGAGCATTAGGAGAAATACCTAATGTAGATGACAGGTTAATGGGTGCAGCAAACCGCCAGGGCACATGTATACCTATGTAACAAACCTGCACGTTCTGCAGATGTATCCCAGGATTTAAAGTATAATAATACAAAAAATGTTGTGCAGTCAAAATTTGTAATATTTTAATTTATAGCTTTTGTCTTTGCTGTCATTCTTGAGATGTAGTCTCATTCTGTCTCCCAGGCTAGAGTCCAGTAGCACAATCTCTGCTCACTGTAACTTCCGCCTCCTGGGTTCAAGCGATTCTCCTGCCTCAGCCTCCTGAGTAGCTGGGATTACAGGCATGAGCCACCATGCCCAGCTAATTTTTGTATTTTTTAGTAGAGATGGGGTTTCACCATGTTGGCCAGGCTGGTCTTGAACTCCTGGCCCCAAGTTATCCACTCACCTAGGCCTTCCAAAGTGCTGGGATTACAGGCATGAGACACTGTGCCCGGCTTGTTTCACTTAAAGTTTTAGTTCATATGGAATTAATTTTGGTATCTGACAGAAATAGGAATCTAAGTTTACTCCCTTCCCCACTCCCTTATCCTCATTGTTAGTCCTGAATCCATTTGACTCTACCATATGCTATGGCCAAGCCCCAAACAAACAGATCCAGATGGGAAGATTTAGTGTGGGAGACCCTGGCCCTAAGAAGCACTGAGGGAGTGGGATCAGGAAACCTTTATAAACAGGAACGGGACCTGTTTTATGGTCCCATATGTTGGAATCACATAAATCTGGATGAAGCCAGTCTCTGTCACTTTTACTCCCTGGAATGTGGGACAAACAAATAAGTTACTGAACTTATTTAAACCTCAGTTTTGCATCTGTGAAATGGGTACAATGATAACCCCTACCTCTCAAAATGGTGGTGAGGATAATGTGATAATACAAATGTGAAATGCTTCAGCACACAGCAAAGCATTCAATATTATTAGTAGTAGCGGGTAAAGAGAAATGGAGAATGATGGCAACAGCATGTAATATAGAGATATTAAAAGAAACACAGACATTATCAACAATTAGAGACACAAAGGTGATACTTCCCTGTGCTGTGGTTCTATTTTGAGTCCCAGAAAGTTTATCAGACCAATTAGGAGGGTTTCCTGTGAAAAGAAAGGCTTATAGTCCTAGAGCCTGGATCTACTGGAGCCTGCACTTAAATGCACACAATTCAAAGGAATCCAGTGGCATTTCTGTTCTCCAACCTGTTCCAAGGCTTTCTGATGAACCTGCCTGCGTCAAAGTGAATCAGCTGAGCAAGCTGGCATTTGGAGAGCTCACAGGACGGAGAGCACTCGGGGCTTGTGCTTTAAGTGGGCAGCCATCTCCCTCCTGGCTCGCCCCCAGCTGAGGATTGCTGCACAGAGAAATAGTCACTGGACGTGAGCCAGGGGCAGCAGTCAGCTTAACCAAAGGAATCAATGGACACTGTGTTTTCCCTCTGCAAATGAGGAAAATGACATGGTAAGAAGGCATATGCCTTGTCCAGAATCACAAATCCCAGGGGCAGAAAAGGCAAAGAGAAACGCTGCCTCAGAAGGAGCCATTTCCCATCCCGAGGAAGCCCAGAGCTGGGACTTGGTTAACAAAGGAAACAGAAACGGGAACGCTGCCCTCGAGCTCCCGGGGAGTGGAGGCCCAGCATATTTTTATGAAGCATGGACAATGAGTAGCCATTCAAAAGGCCGATGCTGCCTCTTCTTAGGAAAGGGCAAATATTTTAGGAATCCCTTCAAGCAAATGCCGGATTGCTTTTTAGGGGAGTGGGACTTGGCTGGGTAGTTAGTACCAAGGGCTTTAAGCTTTGATTCTGAGTTTTGCTCCTATAGAACAGTGGTTCTTAATTCTGGCTACACATTGGAATTAGATGAGCTCTTAATCCAGGAGGTTGGATTAAATTAGCCTGTAGTAGGGCCTTGACGTCAGTATTGTGAAAAGCTCCTTAGTGAATCCTAATATGCAGATTAGGGTTGAGAAGAAGCTTCCTGTTGCATTGCTCTTCCCAGCTGCATCTCACTTCCCAGCTGATGAGAACTAGGTTACAGGGCCAAACCATGCTAGCAAAATGTTTCTCACACTTCAAGGAATTGTCTGGGGACCTTGTTAAAGTGCAAGTTCTGATTCCGTAGGTCTGGGGCAGGGCCTGAGATTCTATATCTTTTACAACCTTCCAGGTGTTGCTGATGTTGCTGGTGTCAGGACCACACTTTGAGTAGGAAGAGTCTAGAAGTGGTCCTCATAATTCAGTGAGCATAAAATTTTCCAGTGAGTTCCAGGGGCAGGCTCCAGGAATCTGTATTTTTAACAAGTCCTCCGGTGAATTGATGTATTTGGTAGTTCAAGGCCACACTTGGAGAATGGGGTCAGCCTACCTACGGTTTTCTCAGGCATTTGTCATTTTAGCATATCCTGGGCAAATACTTGGCTGGAAGACCACATAGTCAATTGGCCTGGAGTTGAAATAAGAAGAAAGCCCGTGATGCCTGGCTCCCAGGCCTGAATCCCAGCCTGCTGACTCTGGTATCCCTTAACGTTCAGGCCAAATCCCATTACCACAGGAGACCTACAAGTCTTTGCATTTTCTTGGGATAAAGGAACCATCTGTTTAGGTTTGGGTTTTGACTATGAAGTCATTTACCCTGTTCCCTCTTGGAACTGTGACTAATGTATCAAGAGTCAGAGCAGAGATCCTGGGAGAATGAAATGCAAAGTACTTTCAAGAGCCCTCCACCTAAGGAAAACCCTCATGCAAGAAGGTGAAAGATGCTGTAAAAAAAAGTCACTGCTATATGTGATTTTAAGGACATCAAATAAGAAGCCTCCACCAAATTAATGTGGCTTTTCTATTTCAATAACATGGCCTGTGAGGTAGGATAAAGCCAGGACCTGAAATGACAGCCTGAAAGAGAATGGACAAATCAGGCACATACTCTCATTTGGTTACTGTTAAACCACTGTTTTTCAAGTACAAGTTATTCAACTTATAGATGATTCTGGCCTTTGGTTCTTCTCTCTTTTCTCTCTTTGGTTTGGCCATTTCACTGTTTATTAGCAGCTCCACCGAGGGTGGGAAATAGAAATGGACCTCAAATGAGGCAGGGTAACATCTGTGAGTAGGTCTGCTTAGAAGCTTGATGAGGGGGAACAGAGATTTTAATTGTAATTGCAGAAATTATAGAATTCGCTTCACTGTGCTGTCTAGGCCCACTTTTATATGGCAAATCCCAGCCTTATAACAAGAACAGACCACTCTCCCTACCCATAGTTCAACAATTGGCAGCAATGATTCAGTGGAAAAATTGGAACTTTAAAAATGCTTTATTCTTTCACTCAAGTATACTTATTGCTTTATATGCTTCTTATTCGCATGGTCATCTGGTAAACCTGGTTGTGAAATGGGGACAGAAATTTATCACTGCATGTACGTAGGAACATGGGCAGGTGTGACTTTCATGTTTAAGGAAGTTTTTGTGGTCTACTCTTCTAGTTAGTTATAATATATTATATAACAAAACATATCTCCTGTTCCTGTCACTTGGTATAATAAATATGTTGGTGAAATTTCTTGCAGAGTTTGATTACTCAGTCAAAACCTAAGTATCCTGTTGGGAGAAGAACACTCATTTTAGTGGCACTGTTCTATTCTTTGGATGAATTGAATAGTTACTAATCCAGCCACAGAAGAAAGACACAGGTAATTGCAATTGAGCAAACATACAGAACCCCACAAAAAAAAAGACTCACGAGAAGTGTAAAATTTCCCATCAAACATCCATCCATCTCTATTTTCTCCATTCCTTAGAATAGTCATTGTAGCCATAGGAAATAACTCGGGACCAGGTCTACACTAGGAGGAAAAATGTCATTCCTCATTCAAGCACTCTGGAAATGAGTTTAAAAAGACACAGTCTGCCCATGGTCAATGTGAGGTCAAAAACTCTAGTAGCCAATTTGAATTTTCTTTTAAGAAAATGTAACACACCACCTACTACCCCGCTTTTTACTGTGTAACACCACTAGAGTTCTTTAGGTTGTCCGAGGGTAGACAGGGATGTTGATTGGTCAATGTTTTAAATGTAACTTGTTTAAATTAACAGCAACTATTTTCTCTCATTTATCTATATCACCAATACCATGAGGCCTCACCCGGGGCCACTGTTGGAAATCAGGTGTTACAATGCAACTGGTGGTTATGGTTTTCATGTGGTCAGGATCCCTTAGACTGGTCGCTGCATGAAGCTCCATGCCTCTTGCTCACTGCTGTTTCTTGGGTGAATAGCACAGTGCTTGGTTATATGTAGGCATGTGAATTGGTGGTCTGGGTTTAAACCATGTTAGGCAACAAATGCTTTTCAATATATGAAATTTTTAGAGCTGGAAATACCTTTGAGAGAATAGAGGTCACTATACATTTTCTGTCTAGCAGCAATTCTCCCAATTTTCCTTCCACACAGAATTGTGATTTTGTTCTGTTTTCTTCCGCTTTTGTACTCCCAGGAGAGGCTGAAACATCACCTCTTGAGGGTCTCCTTTCTGGTGATTTATTCAGATATTGGCACATGTGACTCAATAATGGCCAATACTATGTGAAGGGACATCTTCTGGGGAGTCTTCCTCCTTTTCTTCCGGATTCTTTGTGTCTGAATGTGATGCCTGGAGATGCAACAGCAGTCTCACTACCAGCACGAGGATGAAGCTGATACCCAGGTATGGCGAGAGAGAGAGAAAGATAGAAAGAACCCAGGTTCTTGATGACGTTGTTGAGCCACCCAATCAGTCAACCCCTAAGCTTCCCTGCTGCTCTACTTTCTGTTATACAGGATAGGACGTTTCCTTAAATGTTTAAACCACTTTGAATCAGGGTTTCTGTTGCCTCATGGCCCAAAGCATCTGAAGCGATGGAGAGAATTTTAAGTCCAATTTCTCATTTCACAGAAGATGTAACAGAGTGTGCTCAATGTTATGTTGCAGGTGACAGCAGAACACAGGAATAGAGAGGCTGAATCTTCTGCTTTAGAGCCATTTTTAGTCAGATGCTGCCCCTCTTACAATTTACTTAATTATAAATTAAAGATGGTTTAAGAGTGTATCTCTCAAGTCACTGTCCTTGTATTTGACAAAATTTCCTGGCCAGGGTTAAAGTCTGGAATTCTAATCCAAATTTTCCTCATTTGGACATGCTGAATCAAACTGGCCACTACAGAGACAAAGAGTATGCTTGTTGACTTTGAAAAACTAAAAACGCTTTGTTCCTAATGACTAGGGAGCAGTGACCTGGGAGACTTGATCTGTTTGGTAACTGTGGGCGAGAAAGACGAAATATATCTCTTTGGGTCAAGACTTAGCATTTGTAAAGTAAGGAAGACCACAGGATGTTATTCAAAGCCTTTGCCAAGGCTTTGGTTGGAAGATTTAATGGAATCCACAGGCAGAGAATAGGGTGAGGGTAGGAGGTGGGGATACAGGTTAGGAAGGTTGGTTTATCCTTTCTGTTCCCAGGGGCATTTCTTCTATCAGGTCATTCCCTCAGCTGCAAGGCCTCCTGTTTGCCTCTAATGCTACTTCCAATCTGTCCATGCTGCAGGGCCCAGGTTATACTATATTGCCTCTATCAAGTCTTCCCGGATCACTTTAGCATGCACCAGTAACTCATTTTCAGAACTCACTCATTTCCTGAACTCTTTACTCATTCATTAAACATGTCATGTTACAGAATATTTCTCTTCTGGTATTTCACTCATTTTGCTCCTAAATTTTATCTTGAGGAAGCAGATCAGAAAAAAAGAAACGACATAGACTTTAAGGGCACATTGACTTCACTTGAATCCTGCTCTAGGGCCCCTGCCTTGCAGAACTCCAGGGGCCAGTTAGATAGCATGCAGTCCTGACTGGTTCTACCACTCTGGAGCAACTGTCTATGACCACCTCAAATCCATTGTGGAATGCAAATGGGGCATACTGTATTAGTTTCTATTGCTGTTCCAACAAATGACTACAAACTCAGTGGCTTAAAATAACACAAATGTATAACTGCTATAGTTTAATATCCCCTCCAAAACTTAGGTTGAAATTTAGTTGCCATTGTAACAATGTTGAAACATGGTCTTACAGGAGGTGATTAGGTCATGAGGGCTCTGCCCTCATGAATGGATCAAGGCTGTTAATCACAGGAGTGTGTTAGTTATCAAAGGAGTGGGCTCCACATAGAAGAATGAAGTTCTGGTTCCCTTCCTCTCTCTCTCTCGCATGCTCTCTTGTCAGGTAATGCCTTCTGCATGTTATGACACAGCAAGAAGGCCCTCACCAGATGCAGCCCCTTGATCTTGCACTTCCCAGCCTCCAGATCCATAAGACAAATAAACTTCTGTTATTTATAAGTTACCTAGCCTGTGGTATTCTGTTACAGCAGCAGAAAATGGACCAAGATATCTTACAGTTTTGGAGGCCAGAAGTTCACAGTGGGTTATCAGGGCAGGGCGTCTTCAGGAGGCTTGGGGTGGAGGGGGAGGAATCTGTTTTCTTGCCTTTTCCAGCTTCTAGAGGGTGCATGCATTCCTTGACTCATGACCCGACATCACTCCAATTTCTGTTTCCATTGTCACATCCCTGTCATTCTCACTCTTATCTTCCTATCTACCCCCTTATTAAAGACCATGGCAATTACACTGGGCCCACTCAGAAAGTCGATAGTAACATCCCCACTGCAAAACCTTTCATCACCTCTTCAAAGCCCCTTTTGCCATTTGAGGTAACCTATTCACAGCCTTCAGAATTTTTGAAGGAGGGGAGGCATCATTCTGCCTGCTATATACATAGTCTTTGGATCTCAGTTTCCACATCTGTAAAATGGAGAACTACTGTCTTCCCCACAGGGCTATTGAGATGATTGAATGAAGTAATTTCTGCTTATGAATTCCCAGCTCTGTGCCTGCCATGGAGGCAGGCAATTCTGATCCATGTTCTCTTCTGAGTGGGTTGTCAGCTGGAGGCCTTCTACTTCTTTCTAATCCATTAGCTTCTTGCTAGTGCTGCGTCCCCAGGAGGAAATCAGTAAATGCAAGAAATAATTACCTTGACAATGCCTTGCACATAGTAAGTACCCTAAAATAATTCATTGAATTGTTTGTTATTTTGGTGTTAATGGATGGGGATCATCTGATTAAATGTTATTATTTATTAGATCTAAAATATAAATTTGGATTCTTCTGTTGCACTTTTACCTAATTACTCTAAACACCAGTGGGAGAGAGGAATTAGTCACAATACAACTTAAAGAAAAAAATATCTTGCTGTCACTGACTTCTCTCCTTGGTCTGAAAACTTTCTGATTTTGTAGGATGCCACTGACTGCTCTTTCTGCAACTGAAAAATCTCTCAAAGGGCCCTGTCCAGTTAGGTCACACAAAGCCAGGCTGATTATTTAGAGAGAACACAATGCTCCCTCACATGGGGCACAGAGAGGAAGGAATTTTTTTTTTAAGCCAATTCCAGTCCCTGGAGCTGCAAACTGCCCTCAGGGCAAAGAAGCCTGCAGAATAATTGGGAGGAGTCTGGCAGGAAGGAAGCCAAGGTAAGTTAAGCTGCATTTCTGTCTATAGCCAGGGTCTCCATGCCACTTTTTAAACATCCCCTTCTGGGATAAACCTGTATGTCAAGATAAACAATTAAATAATATGCAAGGGCCAAATCAGGAAAACTGCAGCTTCAGCCCTAGAAAACAATGCCAAGAAACACCAGCCTGTCTGCCGCTGCTAAGTCGAGGAGATGGGTTCCCATGATTCCGTAAGAGAACTGGGTCAGGGAGGAGACACTGTCTGTTTAGAATATGCTTCAGGCCCCTAAACTTGGTCGGTTTATGCTTTTTCAGGTTAATAAAGTGGAAAATAACTTTACCTCATCCCTCTATCAAAGCATAGTGCGGCTGCCCCAGAGACCCCTAATACAGCCAGGGATGATGTGTTTGGAAAATGGGGCAAGAGAGGGTCCAAAGATGAGACCCCAAAACTGTGAGGGGGAGGTTGTGTGAGGAGGACAGACCAGAGCTGGAGGGGGACTGTGAGAAGAGGAGTCTGGTTGCTGCCGTCTCTGAAGGGTCTTCCTAGGCTCCCACACCATCATGTCTTGGCCAGCCAAGGCCAAGTGGTTGTGTAAACTTAGGATGGTCATAGAATCCTGAACTACTAGCACATGGGGGTTGAGCTTGTCTGAGGATCTTTTTGAGGAAATGGGGGAAGTATTATTCATGTAATGTGTGACCAGAGTATAGAAATCATGATCCCAGCAGATGGCATGAACGGACACTGAATAGTCCGAATGTCTCATCTCTCTGGACAGAGCAGGCTGGTGGGATCTGGGCAGTCGGGCTGGCTGAGGAGGCATATTTCAGAGTCCAGAGCGAATCCCAGCAGTAATGCCTGGGAACAAAGCCAACTGGTGCCCAGGGCAAGCAGCCCAGTTCTGGGGTCAGGCTACCAAGGTTGTACCAGGCAAGAGAAGAAGGGTGAGCAGGGGAATATTCAAGAGCATCCAAGAATGCAGGGAGCTAATGAGCATGGGAGTGCAGAACTGAGGTCAGAAGGCGTGGCCAATGGAAACTCCCAGCAGCCCTGTGCAGGGGCTCTGCGGATACCTGCTAGCTCTTGGGGCTTAAGCACGCAGTTCGGGACTGGCAGCTCAAAAATGTCTTGAGCAGATTGGCCCCTCAGATAAAGTGGGACACACAGTCTTTTTTTTTTTTTTTTTTTTTTTGAGACGGAGTCTCGCTCTGTCGCCCAGCCTGGAGTGCAGTGGCGCGATCTCTGCTCACTGCAAGCTCCGCCTCCCGGGTTCACGCTATTCTCCTGCCTCAGCCTCCCGAGTAGCTGGGACTACAGGCGCCCGCCACCATGCCCGGCTAATTTTTTTGTATTTGTAGTAGAGACAGGGTTTCACCATGTTAGCCAGGATGGTCTTGATCTCCTGACCTCGAGATCAGCCCTCCTCGGCCTCCCAAAGTGCTGGGATTACAGGCTTGAGCCCGGTTGGGACACGCAGTCTTTAAGAAGTACTTAGGAAGGGCAGTCAGGCTAAGCAGTGGGCTGTACTTTGGGACCCTTTTGCCACAGAACAGAGGGCAGCCTCTGAGTCTGGCCGTGTGTCGTAATTCCTGTGTTGGAACAGCCCCACCCTAATGAGGGCATTTAGATATTTACTTCCATCTACACTCTCCTTGGGTAGGGCGGCAGCAGAAATAACTGGCTTTGAGGCCTCCACCTTGCAGGGTCCCCTTTTTCACTACTAACGCTACCTCTCAGGGCATCCCAAATTCATGGGAATCCCATTCTGAGAAGCCCCAGTATAGGTCTGGATGTTGGATAAGAACCAAGGGCGGTGTGATGCTTATACACTGGGACAGAGTAGGCCTGCCTGATTTAGCAAATAAAACCACAAGATGCTCAGTTAAATTTGAATTTCCAAAAAGCAAAGAGTAAATTTTTTAGTACATGTCTATCCCCAACACTGCAGGGACATACTTATATTGCAAATGATTTGTTCTTTGTAATGAAATTCAAGTTTAACTGGGAATCCTGTATTTTGCAGGCCACCGTATTACAGAGGCCCATATGGAACCAGCTGGTCTGAGACAAGCCCAGGTTCTGGGCCAAAGCAAAACAGGCAGGTGTTTGCTCAACCTCTGCTAAAGGTCTATTTTTAAGGCTAGATGCTGAATTAGGAGAAGAAGCTTATGAATTGAATAAAATACTATTTGCCATCAAAACCCCTTTGAATTTTAGCTAGTAATTCACCCATAAAGTGCCACCCACCAGGGAGCCTCATACGGTTTCATAAATACATATGAGAGCTGCTGTGGAGAGAGATGGAGCCCGACGCAGGCACCGGACACAACATCCCACAGCTTCCCCATGGCTTTCAGAAAGCTTGCAGATATTTCTCTCTTCTGTTCTGAACTCTCCACAGAGAAATCTGTCAAGGGAGAAAGCAATGACTTTGCTCTCACTGGGCCAGAAATTCCATGGCTGAAATGACCCAGGGGTAGCAGGCGGGTTTGACAATCTGTCAGTTTCTGGATAGTGTTACTCGTCAGTCACTCATTTTTGCTAAATTGCAGAAACTCTTTTCTTTAAATGAAACTTTATTTGCTCATGATGCAGGTTAAGCCCAGTTTCTGGCATGTGTCCAGGGAATTGGGTGTGCCACCCTGTCCACTTGGTCATGGGGAAACCGTTAAGTCAGCCTTCAGTCTGGACATCTCTGCTCAAGGCTTTAGTTAATTTTTCTTCCCATCTGAGACTTAACCGCTGGGACTGTTTTACATATGAAGATAAGAAAACAACCGAAACTTGATTTTGCTCTATGGAGATAAAAATAAGGTAGCATTTTATTCAAGAAGAATGTGTGTAATAACAGTAATCTGAAAATAATGATATCTATAAGGTCTTTGGCAAAGCCACCCAGGAAAAGAAAAACAATAGATGTGAAAGCTTCAGTGAGTCATAACACCACCTTTCAGCATCAAAATGCCCTGGAATCAGATTCAGATAAACTGGTTTCATCAGCTCTAGACTCAGCTGTATGCGTCCCTTTTTATTCCTTGTGCCGATTGCACATTCTCCAGATAATGGCAAGGTATTGGCTCTCCTTCAAAACACTCAATTGTGCAGCAGAGGAAAGAAAAGGATTCCTTGTAAGCTTTTTCATGTCTAAACACAAAAATAGCTCTCTTCCTGGGCCTGCCCAGTGGGCTTCCTTTCCCTCTGGACATCTACAGAGTACTGCTGACTGGACTAGTGTTCATCAAAGGTGGTCTGTGGACCACGTGTATTCGAATAGTTTAAAAGCTTATTTAAAATGCAGATTTCTGGGACTCACTGGAGACCTAGTGAATCTGATCTCCTAGGTAGAGCCAAGGACTGTGCATTTTTAACGGCTCCACACCCCAAGGATTCTAAGGCATCCTAGGGTTTAGGGGCCACTGGGTTTGTCCAGCCATACAGCCCTCACCTTATCCTGCTGCCTGCGTTGTCACTTGGCTTCCTACATTTGAGTGTCTCTTCTTCCCAGTGCAATTCTAAGCACAAGGGATGCGTTTGAAATTCTTTCTTTGTCCCTGTTAGTGCCTAGTTCGCTGTAGGTGTTTAAAAAATTTTTTTGTTGAATGAAGGACCTGAAATAATTTCTCTTTGCTTACAATTTGTTCAAAGAAACTCTTTTGCCTACAGAAGATTGGATCATGAATTTGCCAATTTGATTTCAAAACAAACGGATCTCTCTCTCTATAGACGTGTCTGTGTGTATGAGTGAATATTGCTCTCCTAAACAAATGTTTTGAGTCAAAGGTCCGCCTTTGTCCAGAAGAGGACAACAAAGGATATACCGTTGGGAAAAAAATTGTATAACTCAAAACGTGTAAGCAGTCTTTGCCCTTTCTGAGAACCACTGTCAGAAAAGCTCTGTGAAGATTTTAGGGTAAGGGGTGTCCTAGGGGAATAGGGGAGTGTGTGTGTGGTGTGGTTGAGGGGATACTAAAAGCCCATCTGACTAGCTGCACCTGGCTCTTTGGTCTGTCTCCATGTGTACAAATAAAGTCACTTTTCTTCAAGTCAAGGGCACAGCTCAGTGTATTAGAGTGTCTAACCCCAGAGATCAGGAAAGATATGTTTTGCCAGAGTTAGAGAGCCTGGGGCTGCAGCAGTGCTGGTGGCAGGTCTGGATGGGGAGTGAGGATCGAGTTGGGCTCCTGGTGGGGAGGAGAAAAGATCCCTGGAGAGGGCAGTGGGTGCAGGGCACGTAGAGCCAGCGCCTCCTCTTTCCCAGTCTTGTTCAGAGTTGCCCCTGAGGCAAAACCCAAGATGAGGCTGCACAACACATGTGAAGACGGGAGCATCAGGAATGAGAGGGAGGGAAATGGAAGTGAGAGAACAACTCCAGACTCTCCGAGTTGGATCTAACCTCACTTGGCTAGACCTGCCCTTGGGATTTTGGAATCTGATCTGCAACCTCCTGAACATCTTGTTTGAGGAGTCCTAGGGTAGGGATGCACACTCCCTCACAGCTACAGTAGGGATGAGAAAGTACGTTCATAGACTGAGCTGTGATCCACCTGCTGGTGATTTCTGCCCTTAGCTCATACCCTTCTCTTTCCTTCCTTTTCTGGACTCTACTTCCTGAGAGAAGGCTCTTTGTCCTCTCTAAGTTTCCTCTTCTGTAGGTTGAATTTCCCTAGCTACTTCCACTTCTCCTATGGTGTGCCTCCCTGCCGCTCTTTTTTCCATGCATGGACTTTCTAACCCCAGGCTGCCTCTGTCTTCCAGTGGGGCCCTCACTGTTTCTGTCAGCAGCACCTGCAATTTCTCAGTCAGCCAGGCTTGGACAATTGAACTTAGCCTTGCCTCCTTCTTCTCTCTTATCCTGAAGCTGTTGGGAATTGCGTGTGCACACGCATGTGTGTGTACACGTGTGTGTGCACAGTTCTCCATAGGAGGTTTGCACATTTGTGACTGTTTTTGTCCTGGAGAAGTCCCCAAGGCAGAAAGCAAAAATGTAGCTGGTCTAAGCTTGAGGTGGGTCATGCCTGTGGCTGGACTCTCTCAAGGAGAGCCTGAAAGCATGTGGAACTGCCCACCACAGCCGAGGCTGAAGCCAGAGGAGAGCTGCGGCCAGGGGATGTGTATAGCACCAAAAGTGGCTACTATACAGAACCCCACACCTGCTTAAAGCCTTGCCAAGATGTGTTTTCCATTGCTGTCAGGATGAGTTGTGTGTCTTATTTTTGCAGACAAGGCCTTTCCTGAATGATACAGTTTGGACATTTGTCCCTTCCAAATCTCATGTTGAAATATGACCCCCTGTGTTGGAGGTGGGGCCTGGTGGGAGGTAATGGGATCATGGGAGCAGACCCCTCATGGATGGCTTGGTGCAGTCCTTGCAATAGTGAGTTCTCATGAGATTTGCTTGTTTAAAAGTGTGTGACGTCTCCCTCTTCTCTCTCTTGCTCCTGCTCTCTTCATGCGACACACCTGCTCCCCCTTCACCTTCTGCCATGATTGTAAGTTTCCTGAGGCCCTCACCAGAAGCTCATCAGAAGCAGATGCTGGCACCACTCTTCTTATGCTGTCTGCGTAACTGTGAGCCAATTAAACCTCTTTTCTTTATAATTTACCCAGCCTCAAGTAATTCTTTATAGCAATACAAGAATGACCCAATACACTGACCTGGCTGCATGCACCTCTCTTCTCTTCTCTTCCACTCCTGAAGGACACTGTGCCACAGACATGCTGAGCAATATTCCAGCCATGCTGAATGCTTAATATTTCTTCTAACAGAACCTAATACACTAAGATGTTTGGTTCAGCCCTGTTGGCAATGGGATCCACCAGAGCTTCTGGAAGCAAGTGGGCAAGGGTTACTTGACCAGATTGATACTTTAGAAAGAACAAGGTAGTCTGAGGTTGGAGGATGAATGAAAAGGAAGTAGAGTGCTAGAAGAAATTCACTGTGGTTGGGCTTTATCCTGAGGGCAACGAGGGTGCTGTGGGTAGGTTTTAAGCAGGGAGGTGAAGGGATCATGCTGGCATGTGAGATGACTTGCTGCAGGGTAAGGCATGATTAAGGGTGACTTATTTGGTATGGAGATATGGGGAGAGGCAAGGATGATGTCCCAGTTTCTAGCCTGGGCAAATGAGTGAACCCTGTTGCCATTCACTGATATGGAGGTCAAGGGATGACGATCAGGTGGGGAGGGAGATGATGAATTAATTTAGTTTTGAATATTATGAGTTTTAGGTACTTTTGGAACATACAAATAGAGTTGTCTAAAAGTCTGCCCAAGAGAGAAAACTGGGCTTGAGTGATAGATATAGGAGTCCTTAAAGGAGATAAGTGGCCAGGTCCAGAGAGTGTGTTTATTGAGAGGAAGGCCTTGGACTGAACCCCAAGGTACACCAGGTTTCAGAGATGAGTAACCCATAGAGAAGACTGAGAAGGAGAGAAAGGTCAGAGGTAGGGAGGATAGACAGGGTTCGGTGTCATGGAAACCAAGGGAAGAAGCTTTCTCAAGGGACAGGCTGACAGTGTCAAATGATGCTGCAAGTTCGTGTGAGATGAGGATGGAGAAGAGTTTATTGGTTTTAGTAACAAGCAGGTGGATGGTGATACGGGTGGCAGGGGCTTCTGTGGAGTGATGAGGTCAGAAGTTGGTTGCAGTGGGTTGAAGAGTGTGTTGCAGTTGGAGATGTGGAGATAAAGGGTGCAGACACATTGTATTTTTGAACGTTTGGTTGTGCAGGAGAGGAGAGGCCAGAAGCTTGAGTGGAAGGTGGGTTTGGGTGATGGTTAAAAAATAATATTGTGAGACACTAAGTCTGGGTATGGTGGCTCACGCCTGTAATCCCAGCACTTTGGAAGGCTGAGGTGGGTGGATCACCTAAGGTCAGGAGTTCGAGACCAGCCTGGCCAATATGGTGAAACCCCATCTTTACTGAAAATACAAAAATTAGCTGGGTGTGGTGGCTCACACCTGTAATCCCAGCTACTCGGGAGGACGAGGAGGAGAATCATTTGAACCCAGGAGGCAGAGGTTCAGTGAGCCAAGATCGCACCTCTGTACTCCAGCCTAGGTGACAGAGTGCGACTCTGTCTCAAAATAATACTAATAATATTGTGAGACGCTAAAATGGTTTAAAAGTTAATATGGAGGATCCAGTAGAGATGGAAATGTTGACCCTACAGGGGAGGGAGAGAATGATACACACATTAGAGAGGTATCTGAAGAGGTGGTAGAAAGGAGGGATGGGATGCAAAGGAGCCTTACCCAGGAGTAGGGAGAGCCCTGTCACAGCGACAGGAGGGAGGGAAACAGGGCCAGTGAGGATGCAGGAAGGTAGTGATGAGACTCGGAAGGGGTTCCCACCAGGTGATTTAGTTTACTTTGAGAATAAGGGAACAAGGTCAGCTGATGAGGTTGACGGGGCAGAGGTAGCAACCTAGGTTTCAGGAGAGCAGAAAAGGTTTAAATAGCTGCTTGGGGAGCCAGAGAGCTGCTGAGGGAAGCTATGGGTTTCCTGGAAGTCCCAGAAGGCTCAGTTGACTTTAGGTGACCTTTCCATGGTCTCTAAGTAATCTCTGTCCCTTTCACATTCTCATGTGACTCATATTACCTGTACCTCTCTCAGGACACTTACCACTTTCTAACTCTTTATCCACTTGTTTGTGAGCATCTTGGCTCTCCTCTAGACTGTCCTATGCTCCACAAAGGTGGGCTTTGTCTTTATATGACTAACATCACTGTGATGTTGCGTTGCATGTAGAAGGGGTTCAACAAACATTTCCGGAATAATTAAGTGAGTGCAGCCTGACCCCGTAGGAGGTAGCAGGACACTTAATCTGTGCCAATGTTTATTTAGAAAGCAGGGATATATCTAGTGTGCTCTGAGAGCAAGACATGTTATTTCATAGCTGGAAATATAGATGTAGGGGTCATCAGGGTTTATAAATGGCCAAGTCCAGAGAAATTTGACTCTGGTATTCTATTCTTGTTTAGAAGCTCTGCAGTTCCTCACACCCAGCTATTGAATTCAAGCGATCCTGGAGCAGCATCCTCAGCCCTATCAGACCCAGCACTCTCTTTCACTAAAATAGATTTTGTAACTTCCATCACTTTCTTTAGATAAAATTCATTGATAATCTAACCCAACTTTACATATAATTTAAAAATTTAATGTAATGTCCTAACTGTAATAAAGAGGAGAAGTAAAAGGAGAGTAAATTATAATCAAAGAATACTTTTTTCAATGCTCAGGACTGTGGAAACTAGAAGAGAGCTTCTCAAAATTTTAAGTACATATGACTCATTTGGAGATCTTATTAAAATGCAGATTCATATTCAGTGGATCTGTGTGGTGCCTGAGATTCTTGTTTCTAACAAGATCCCAGTCAATGCAGATGCTACCAGTCTCTGGACCTCTCCTGTAGTAGCAGGGAACTAGGGCTCATGAAGAAGCCCTCAAAGCTTTCCTCTTCTGATAGTGAAGCACTTGGATTTAGGAGAAGTAAAACAACATTTAATCAAATATTGATGACATTTTATTTAGAGTTGGCATGTATAAAATAAGACATATATATATCATCATTATGAATGTAAGAGTTTCAAAGACAGCTTTATTCAGGTGTGTCCTATTGGTGACTCAGATACCATGATGTGACTTTTGGAAATGGTGACTAACCCTGGGGAAGATTTTAAACAAAACAAGGTAAATATTTCCCCAATTTTCACTGTAGTTTCATGATTGGATAATTCAGTATATATTGAATTGTGCAAAAAAATATTTTGTGTTTATATGCAAAACATAGTCTGAGAAAAATATAAATAGATTTTTCACCTATACGTATGTCAGGTGGGACTTCAAAGTCATGTAGGACATTGAACAATTCTTGGTTGGGACCACCTCTATGAGGCATTGCAGAATGTCTACAGCTCTGCCCCTGCCCAATAAATGCACCAGTGCTTCCCAATCATTGGAACAACCAAAAATATGCCCTCAAGTTTCCACAGTGCCCCACCCCTGAGAACCAGCAACCTAGAGGAACTGAGGAAGAAGAGCAACTGTAGGTGGAAGCTTCTGGAAGCACATGCATCAGAGCCCACTGCTGTTAGCAGAAGGTGCATTTCCCTGGGAAGGAGACACAACCAGATTGCTTCCACTAAGCCGACTTTGCAAATCTGCAACTGCTGAGTGGACACAAGTGGCTGGAAGCCATGCTGCATCACAAAGAAGATAGAAGTTACACACTTTCCCAAGGCAAGACATGATCAAGATGCTGCCTGAGAGGGAAGAATATATTTTTCTAGGTGCAAATTAGTGCCAGTGATGTTTCTGTTAAAACTCTCAAGTGAGCCCAAGGTTGTGGCTTTGTCATGCTTGTGTATTCTGGAGAAGAGCAAGAAGTAGGTAAGGTAGGGTCTGGCCCCTCCTGGATGCCAGCAACTTCTCCAGCTCCTTCTGATGCCAGGCCTCTTTGCGCTTACTCTGTTTGTTCATTTGTTTTTTATTTTGCTTTTGTGGTATCTAGACATTCTTTCAGGTCTCAGGGCTCTCTTATATACTGCTCTCTGTGCCTAGGATGTTCTTCAACTTTCTTATCTATCTCTAGCTACCTTGCAGACTAGTTTAAGTGACTCTTCCTCAAGAAAGCCTCCTGGACTGCCAAGACAAGGTCACAGACAATATCTTCTTTTAAGCTTTCATGTCAACTTGAACTTATGCTTTATAGCATCAACCACAATGTTAACTAAATAATAATTGGTACCTAAAGTCTGCTTTTGCTTCTAGATATGAACTCCCTGAGGGTAGAGACTGTGTCTGTCTGGTTGACCAGTTCCACTTGCCACCAAGCAGACACTCAATACTTTTTTGACGAATGCATGAGCGCCAAAGCAAAGGTGTTTTATTTATTTTTATAAATAATAAAGAGTGTTCAGGCCAGGAGTCTATAGGATTAAATTAAACTAAGAAGTACAGTGAGGCACAAGTGAGTTCTGAAGGAAAGAGGAAGCCATGGAATGTGGAGAAGTTGACTGGCAAGCATACAGCCAGCTGCTTGTCTTGCTGCAATCCCGTTGGGTGCAGTTTGGGTATATTGCATGCGCAGTGTCTGTATATCAGCTCCCTCTCAGAGCAGGGGCTGGAAGTGTGCAGGCAGAATGAGGTGACTCCTGAGGACCGGATGCAGGATCCCGGTGGACACAGGTCAGTATATCTGCTGGTGAGTCAGGAGGAACACACACTTTCACCCTGTTGGGAAGTACATTTGTAATAAGGCAGGACCCTGGCTTGCTTTCCAGTGTCTGTTGTTTCTGGACTTTGGAGAAGTTTGTTAATTCTCCTCTGCAGTTGCCTCATCTGTAAATGAGAACATTACCTATCTCAGAGATGGGCTAGCAGTATTTAAACACGGGGCCCATGCAAAGTCCTTTGTATGTTGTAAGGTACTATGTAAGTTATACTCAGCTGTGTGAGTGGCTGTTACTCACCTATGTCCTAAGCAGGCTCCCCAAGCTATCTGGAACACCCGCACTGAAGACAGCCTGCCCAGGATGCAGGATGCTGGTGTTCAGCGACAACGCCCTGCCACACTCCGCTCATATTCCTGAGTACCCACTGCATGCCAGGAACTCTTCTAGGCCTTGAGAATGCAGAGTGAACAAAGGAAAGTAGGCCGACTGGAGTTGGGTATGGGATTAGAGAGGGATGGAGATGGGGCTGTGCTATTTCAGCTGGAGCAGCCAGGGAGGTTGTGGCAACTGAGTGGAGATCTGAACAAAGTGAGTGAAGAGCCAGGTGCGGTGGCTCACACCTGTAATCCCAGCACTTTGGGAGGTGGAGGCAGGAGGATCACTTGAGCCCCGGAGCTTGAGATCTTGGGCAACATACTGAGACTCTGTCTCTCCAAAAGATTTTTTTTAAAAAGTTAGCTGGACATGATGGTGCACGCCTGTAGTCCTAGCTACTTGGGAAGCTGAGGCAGGAGGATCCCTTGAGTCCAGGAGTTCAGGGTGATAGTGAGCTATGATGTTGCCACTACATTTCAGCCTGGGCAACAGAGTGAGTCCCTGTCTGTAAAATTAAAAAAAATAAAAAAAAGTGAGTGAAGGAGCCATGGAAAAAATTTCCAGGATCTGTACGAGGTTATTATTTTATTTAATCCTTTTACTAATCCTGAAAGGCAGATATTTTACAGAGGAGGAAATGGAAGCCCCGAGCTGACCCAGCCTAGGGGCACAGGGCTGGGTCCATGCTCTTCCCATGCTCTGCTCCATCCTGTGCACTTGCTACTTCCTCCCTTTTCAGCCTCAGATGTCTTACTATGTCCACCTTATTCTCTTCCCATCAGCTTTATGTGATCCTTTCTTCATCTTTCTCTTTATTTCTCTTAAAAAATGAACAAAGAGAAGAAGGAGTAAAATAACCTGGTAACTTGATGGACACATATTCTCACTGAGAATGTTGTTTTTAAACTCTAAACTCATCCCATATGCATCCGCCTCGCTCCATCTCCCCACCACCTCCGAATGCAGGTTATCACCACCTTTTGCCAGCAGAGGCTCCTAACTGCTCTCTCTGCTTCCAATTCACTCTCTGTGCAGCAGCAAGGGTGATCTTTTAAAAATGTAAATTGGATCATGTCACTCTGTGCTTAAAATCCTCCAGTGGCTTCCCACTTGCACTCAGAATAAAATTTAAACTTCTCATCCTGACCTCCAACCTGGCACGATCCAGCCCCTGCCTACCTCTCCAACCTCACCTTGTCCCACCTTCCCCCTGTGCACTCTGTTCCTGCCACTCAGATCTCATTTCAGTTCCTCAAACATGTCATGCTCTTCCCCAACTCTGTACTAACTAACTTTTCCTCATTATTGAGTCTTCAAATTAAATGTCACTTATGCAGAGAGGCTTCCCCTACTCACCCACCCTACATTAGGTCTCTCTTGTTATTCTCTTTCAGCCTCCAGAACCTCTGGTAGACTAGGAAGCTATGAGGGCAGAGGCTGGCCATGGCAGGCAGGCTAACAAAGGACCTAAAGATCCCACCACTGGGTTTTCATGCACATGTGTGGTCCCCTCTCCTTCTGTGTCATCTGAATCCAGTGATTTGCTTTGAATCAATAGACTGCAAAGGTGACGGGATGTCATTTCTGCAATTAAGTTTCAAAAGATAGTGACCTATGTCTCGCCAGCAGACTCTTTCTACTACATTCTTTGGCATTCACACTTTGATGAAGCAAGTTTTGTACTGGAGAGACCCCTGTGGCAAGGAACCAGGGCTGGCCTCTGGTCAACATCCATCAGGGAAGTTCGGGCCTCAGTCCACCAGCCCTTGAGAAATTGAGGCCTTAGCACAGAACTTGGAAGCAGATCCTTCCCCAGAGGAGCCTTGAGAGGAGGCCACAGGACCTGGGCTGGCCTTAGACTGCAGCCTTGTGAGAGACCGGAACACAGAGGGTCCAGCTAAGCCATATGTGATTTCTGACCCACAGAAGCCGTGAGACAATCCGTGCTGTTTTAAGCTGCTAAACTGGGGTGATTTGTTACACAACAATTGATAACTAGCACACTGAGCATTCATTTGGAAATACTTGTTGAATGAATGAAGGAATGAATGGCTTAGTTGTGCCCTGAACCTCCTGAACAGGGATGGGGAAGCGGTTGTCCAAATGTGCCAAGATCTAGCCTGTAATCACCATAGCTCTCTGCTCTCACATGTCTTCTCACACAGACTGCATAACAAACCCAAACAGAAGGCCTATTGGCTTCCTGAACAGCTAGTTTCAAGCAAATGGTGTTACCTTTGACTTAGCTTTCTGAAAACTACCTCTTCTGCCTGTTAGGATTCAGTGGTCTCCTAATGAGATGGATTTCAAAACCCAACATGCATCTTTTCCAACAGTGCGTGCCTTCTCCAAGGGGAGAAATAACCCCACTCTTTTCCCTGGTTATCAATGATACCATACTCATGTGGCAGAGCCTCCAAAATGAATAATTCATGGTCTATGAGTACATTTCATGAATATATAGGATGCCATATAAAAATAACATAAATGTTTCCTAATAGAATTAATACACTTTCGAAGCAGTTCAGCTTGAGGCAATTATTGCACTTCCTGGGAGATACAAATTACTTTGCCCTCAGCCTCATGCCAAATAACCCCCCTAAGACACACACTAATTACACAGAAATACACTGCCTGCCATAGCTCATTGACTAATTGACAATCAGTTTAAAACTTCAGCAAAATATCTTAAAACTTAGGCTTTGCATTTAGCAAGGAAACCAATTTTGTTTATCTCCTCATTTTGGTCTGCCTCATTGGCAAAGTTGTAGTATGGTTGGTAAGTAATGACTGAGCAGGCTTATTATAATGATCAATGGTAAAAGAAAGCATTCCATCATACTGTATAGCATTTCCATCTCTCATTTCTGTGATTCTATTAAGAACAATTACCAATAATATATCCGTTAATGTGATACAAAAATAGAATGCAACCGTGTATGTAATAGTTATTGCTAATGTGCTCTGCTAAGCTCAGTGTACACTTGTCACTGACTCATGCACTATTAAGATGTGGCCTTTCCAAGCTCTACACCCTTTACATTCTGATGTAAGCACATGCACCCACTGAGTTCATGCTGTACCTACACACATTCCTTCTGCCTTAAAAGTAAGTCATGGACAAAAGTTAAATCCTTGGGAATCCTTCTTTACCATATCTTCTCTATTTACCAATCACTGTTAGAGACCCAACTTCTTTGTAAAGCTATGTGAGCCTACGTCTGCATAAATGTTGTTTCTAATCACCTTCATTATTCCGAGAGTTGACATACTATCAACCTTTGCTCTGGAGTTTCTGAAATAGTCCAATCTTAGAGGGGAAGTACACCCAAATACCAGACAACTGATTTATAATGAAACATCTGGGGGAATGACCAATTCACTCATTGGAGATTGCTGTTCTAGGTGCTACAGAACAAATCTGTAGGAGTTTAGAGTTACAGACGGGGCAATCACTGTGGGATTGCTGGACTGGCATTTCTCTTAGGATTGCATCTGGTTGCAGCCACGGAATGTCCAACCAGGAGTGGCTTGAACAATTTGGGATTTATTTTTCTCACAGAATGAGACTTCCAATGGCAAGAAACCAGGGGCTGGGGTTGTGGCTCAGTGACGATATCAAAACACCAGCTCCTTTTGCTTTTCTACTCTTCCGTCCTTTGCTTGTGGGCTGGTTGCCTCATGCTCTGGAAATGACTGCTGCAGAGAAGCGGGGCAGAGTCTGCACCAAGCTGCCTTGAACATGTCTATTGGGAAAGCACATGCTCGGCCCCGAACCCTCATCAGACTTCAGCTTAGGTCTCGTTAGCTAAAACTGTGTCCCACTGGCCTCACTTGGCTACAGGGGAGGCCTGGAAACAATAGTTAGTTTGGGCACAGGGCTGTCCTAATAAACAAGGTTTCATTAGCAAGGGGTGAACGAAACTGGAGTGGGCCATGAATGGGTCTGTCATTGCTGATAGAAGATGGGATATCTAGCTGCAGTGTGAGGGATGGGTAAAATTGAGGTAAGAAACAGAAGAGGAAAAGTGGTCCTTGGTGGAGTTAGAGTGAGAGTAACTCTGGGAAAAGAAAGAATAGCAGCATGTCTAGGAGACTGTGAGAACATTGCTCCAGGAAAATTTTGTTCAGAGAGGGTGGATAAAGGTCAGATGTGTCTATAAATCAAACAACTGATTTATAATTGACCCTGTGAAGTGTGTCCAGTTCCTGAGGCAGCCCCCTATCCTCCCCTACTCTTAACACACACACACACCTCATTCTCACTCCCAGGGCCATCATGGGCAGGCTTAAGTGGACTTTCTGACCAAAGGGAATAAAATCTTAAGGGATTCTATGGCCTGCATTTTTGCCTTTTCCCCAAGCCAGAGATTCTCAGCATTGGCTATATATCGGAGTAACATGGGGGAAGTTTTAAGCACTTTGATGCCAAGGTCACATCCCAGAACAATTAAAGCGAACTCTAGGAGTAGGCTAAGTATGTGCTGGTAAAAGTTTAATAACCAGCTCTCTGGAAAACCAGTGTTCATGTATACATGTAGATAAATTTATTATAATTTTACTGATGAAAAGGATGTATGGTATACAACTTACAAATAATAATGAAATATACAATACTCTTTATTATAGAATGCTCTCCTGCAACTTGAGTCTCAGGTAATGCTTTCCTGCATTTTTGCTGAACTCTTTTGTCTGTAGTTAACCTAGGGCTGCAATTCAACCATGATTTGACAAAATCAGTCTACAAATAAATGCTTGACTACTGTCCAAATTCAGTCACTGACCCATGAATGTAGTTTCAACATGAATGTTGGTTGATATTTTCATTTACATTAACAGATAACATGAAAGTAAAACAATGAAGATGTATGTTGGAATTTTACTTGTTCATTAATCACATGAGAGACTTCTTTGCTGATGAGGTAATAGTTTTCAACACTGGGAGAATATTTTCTCAGTTTTCTGTGCTATTTATAATGTAATAGTTACAGACACAATGTACATTAAGTTTAATTTGCATTATTAACATTTTCTTAAGTATAGACCAGGGCTTGGCAAAGTGTTGCAATAAAGGGTCAGATAGTAAATATTTTATGCTTTGTGGACCACAAATGATGTCTTCCTCCTCCTCCTTCAAAAAAAGAATCCTTTAAAACTGTACAAACTTGTAGGACATACAAAAATAGACTTCAGGCTAGATTTGACCTGTGGGCTGTAATTTGCCAACCTCTTATGTAGACAATCAACAATACGATAAATCAAGCCCTGATTTATAGTGTTTGCTAATTTCTGTCGATGTGATGGCACTGACCATGGAATTGGGAAGAGATACATAACAACACGTCTTAATATAGTGTTGCCACCATTCAGATGTGGTAAGCAACCTCAAAAGCATAGGAGTAGTAAAATTATTATGAAGTGATAAGTTTTGAGTATTTATTACCTTTATTTTCAATGACTTATTTAATTATAAGCTTATGTCTTTTGATCTTTAATAATGACTGTGTTTAACAATTGGCTCTGAAAATTCCTGAAAATTTAACAGCCATCTTTTCTGAGCTGGGAAGAACTGGCTCTAGCACACCACTGGGTGGACCCAGGCATCATGATTTTTTTTAAGCTCCCCAGGGGTTTCCAAGGAACAACGACTGCTGTCAGTACATCTGGCCCCTTAAAGACTAGAGCAGAATACCCAGGGGTGTGGTTTTTTGGTTTCTTCCCAATCTGTCAATCACATTTTCTAAAGTCTGATTAATCTGTTCCAAGTTTCTCTCTCTTCCTATCCCTGGAATAAACCCCTGACATCGTCCCACCAGCCTCCCCAAGCCTCTGTGGTCTCCCGCTCTAATTTACCACTCTTGCTACTTTTCTGTCTGAGCAATTCACCAGGCTCGGTCTTATTTACTTGCAACTCTTGGGCTGAATACTGCAGCTTTCCTCCTTGAACCAGTGCCTGACACACAGTTAGTGCACAACAGATATGAGAACCCAGGTTCTATCATGGCTGCATGAGCAGGAGAGGCCAGGTCAGGAAGGGTTTTTGTATGACTCATTGGCCTGTTGTACCTTTTTTTTTTTTTTTAAGACAGAGTCTTGCTCTGTCACCCAGGTTGGAGTGCGGTGGTGCGATTTTGGCTCACTGCAACCTCCGCCTCCTGGGTTCAAGCAATTCTCTTGTCTCAGCCTCCTGAGTAGCTAGGACTCCAGGCGCCCGCCACCATGCCTGGCTAAGTTTTGTATTTTTAGTAGAGATGGGGTTTCACCATTTTGGTCAGGCTGGTCTTGAACTCCTGACCTCAGATGATCCACCTGCCTCGGTCTCCCAAAGTGGTGGGATTACAGGCGTGAGCCACCATGCCTGGGCTGGCCTGTTGTATCTTATGCTCATCGCAGCCTTCCCCCTGCCCTGGTCCTCAGGCATCCCTGCAGGCTTTTGCTCAGCTAGCTGCTGAGTCATGTGGTCTGTGAAGACTGGAGAGCTGCAGGAGAAAAGAAGCCCTGAGAGTCCTCACCTTCTCTTTCTGCTTTGGCAGCATCACCAGCTGTGGCTGGGTCTTTTTTCTGGACTCCAGCTCCTGTCGAGAGACCCCTGTTATGATTTTGGCTCCCCCGGACAGCCCTGGCTCCTGGGCTTTGGTGACATCACCTCTTTCCTTTGACCCTCAGGCCTCATTCCTGGCTTGCTGCTGGTGCTGATCTTTGGATTGCCTTACCATTGCCCTTGTCATTTCACCTCTTTCTCCACCTTTGCAACAACTCCCCTGTATTAAATTTCCCCTTCAGCTCTTTTGTTAATGGGGCCCTGGCAGATTTAGCCTGAAATGCTGCTCTGAGGAGTCTGGGTTTCATGCTTTCTGGTAGTTGATTTGACATCAGGAGAGGCTTTTGAGAAGGACGTGATATGATCAAATGGAGCAAATGGGTGTTTGATATTGGGGGTTTCATGGATGCCCTAGAAAATTTGTAAATAGCCTTTAAGTGTCTATGAGCATGCCACAGTTGTCTGAAATTTTATGCATATGTGCAGAAGTGACTTTTTTGTGTGTGTGGGAAGAGATCCTATAGCTTTCATCAGATTCTCTGTGGGATTTTAGAATATCCTAAGAACTACTGGACTAGAAGTAGGATCAGTTAGCAATGCAAATCACTCAATGCATCAGAGTCCCAGCAGGAAACAGAACTCACTGGAGATGGTTCTGCTGGAGACTTTAAAGAAGGGGCTACTTCAGAAGTGTGGGCAGAGGTAGGTGGACAAACAAGAGATGGGAGGCACCCCAAGTTTAGCACCAGTGGGGAGCTGGTATCCCCAAGGATGAAGGGCCAAGGGGAGGAAACTGAGGGACTGGGGCCCATGATAGTTGGAGCCCTGGAGGAAGAGCCTCTCGGTGGAAGCAGGAGTGCTGGAGGGACACAGTCTTCTTCTGAGATGGGGAGTCCAAGCAGGGGACAAGGACACAGTGTAGCTTCTCTCTTCCCACTTGACTGGCCATTAGTGCCTCCCCTCGTCTCTAATACAGTTGGAAGCCAGCAGCCAAGGGTGTTTGGGTGATGTGGTCTGTGGGGTCAAAGTGGGGGAGAGAATGCAGTAAATGGGTAGATTCGGACAGAGCAGGGTAGACGGAGAAAAACCAACATTCACAGAAAATACGTTACTTAGGACTTCCAGCATTGTGCAAGAAGGAAATTGACAGAAGTCATGTTTGGTAGTTGCCGGCATCATTCCTCACGTTCTGACTTCTGGATTCTGCTTTTCATCAGTCCCTTCTGCACTAACTTGCCCAGCCTAGTAAAGTCATATAAAGAGAAGCAAAATTCAGAGGATTCTTTTGTTGTTGTTGTTAACCTTTTCCTTCCACTGCTACTTACAAGCTCTCTGACGTTGGAAGTCACAAAAATGTCTCTGAGCCTCATTCATCAAGTATGGAAGAGGTTGGGTTTGATGTTTTGCATTGTGCCTTCTGGCTTGAAGGTTTTATGATGCTTTAAGAGGGTCTTTGGCTTCCTCCTTATGAAAGGCATGTAGTGCTCTGGCCCCTTCTAAAGGGGTGAGCCGCCTTCCCTTGCCCGTTGTCGCCTGCAATGGTTTGAAGGCTGGAAGAGAGCACAACAGCAGTACCCCAGTCCTCCAAGGAACAGACCGCAGCAGGTTATTAGCATTTTATCGACTTTGGCTCTGCTGTTGATTGTCAGGATCTGTAGTGAAATACTTTAATATACATTTGAGTCTAAGTGTTACCCAGGCCGAAGGAGCACTAATTTTGAAGATATGTTTGCATTATAGCCTGTGTTCTAGAGAGACCCAATATAAAGAAACACACCCAGCAACTCTGCTTACTCGGCTGGTGGAGGGAATTGAGGATTGTTGCTGAAGGGAACTCACTTTTGTATGCATTTCAGAGATTTAATTTTATTAGCCAATGCAAATGATCTGTTCCACAAATGTAAAACAAAAGGACAAGAAAATGATCCCTGTGTCAACATCAGGATGTCTGACTTAAAATCCCATTCGAATAACTCCCTAAAAATGATCAGACACTGAATACATTATTTTTCTGACTTTGACAAAACTAGTCTGCACAAAGAAGCAGCCCCATGAGGTTACGGATAAACCAACCACCTTAAAACTTCAGCATTTTCATGTCAGTCACAGATTTTCTTAAGGGCCAACTCACTGTTTAAGGACTAATGTGTTTGGAGAGGGAAAAAAACCACACTGTGTTATTAAGCAGAATCCCCTTTACATACAGGGATCGGATCAGTTTGCCCGGATTGTGTTGCCTGCTTTATTGTCCTACTTCAAACACGGGGCCCTGGGCATCATCTCGAGGAAGGGCTGATTGAACTGTCGGCCTGACACTTGTCAGCTGTGGATAATACGGGCTTCAGTCCGTCATGCTCACACATAAATGAACCATGACAGAGATAGACTGTTGAATAGAAAAAGCAGTTTTACTGTGGATAACCTTTCTTGAATAAATGCAACAAATAATAAAGTCTGAAAAGGGGGAACATGTACCTTAGGAAAGCAGTGACGTTCAGAACCAAACGGTTATTATCTTTTTGGGCCATCAAAAATTGCCCATTTATCCAAGTACATTATTGAGAGAAAAGCTAAAAGTGCTATGATTATCATAAAAATGATGGCAGTTGAATCTATGCAGTCTTCAATATTATATCACATAACAAAACCTAGTTACAGCTCACCAGGATTGAAAAAGGAGGCATTGTTTGTGTACCAAATGGAATCCACAATTGTTCTTAGAAAATGGTGGCACACATCTTAATTAAAAGAGCAGAAAAAGAATCTAAAGCTCTTCTTTATGTCTTTAAAACACTTCTCCTTTTTTATTAAAAGAAGAAAAAAACAGAACTCCCAGTAGAAATTGTGGAAACTCTACATTTCAATCAAGACAGTCAAAAGAATGATTTGAATTTACAGGCCTGTAATTGGAACAAATTGGAAACAAAAGAAGAGCTCGTTTAAGCCACGTGATGTGGCCACAGTGCTGCCGTGTACAGTATGTTAGAAAAAAAAATCATGTTTCTTTAAAGCAAAGCTAACTCCACTGCAGGCTCTGAGCAATTTGCATAAATGTCTCTACCATGATTTTTTTTTTATTTATGGGCCCTAAGTTTCTAATTAAATACTAATTAATACTATCACCAGAATTGTCTCCCATCCCCAGCTCTTCATAGCTTTGTCACTTTGATTAATGCACAGTCATTTATTAACTTATTTAACAAGCCGGGGTGCCTCATGACAAACTAGATTAAATTATCCTCATAACAGTCTCATTACTGGAAAAAGGGAGTTTTAAACTTAATAAAAATTATCCTCAATAATGTTAAAGCTTTTTCACCATACCCTTAAAAGACAGAAATAGGTTTCTTGTTTGATTTATAATATAAGGAGTTGTATAAAGCATCCATTAATAAAATTTATAAGTTCATTTAAGCTTGCACATTACAGTAGTGCTGTAGCCTTGGGTGCTTATTATTTAACTTTTGCTGTAGTTATGAAGATAATTAATGTGCTGACCAGACAGGGACTAAAATACCCACCAGAACAAGATAATTAGAGACATAAATAATGTTTAGGTTCTTGTGTGCTGCTCTTAAAATTAATTGTTTTGTTTTCCATCCAAACTTGATAAAGAAGAAAATAAGAGTTTACCAAGGAACTGTACGATGAAGGTGAGATGTTTGTTTCGGTGGACTGGCAAATGCTAGCAAGTCTGGCAGTTTTTGGGCTGGAGGAGGGAGCAGATGTGTCAGGGGATTTGGCTCCTTCTGGGAAACTGTTCGACCCTCATTGCTCTCTGTCGCCCTCTGGTGGCCAGGTCCTGGTGACACGCACACCTTGCAGCCAGGCCTGTTTGTCAGTGGTAGGCGGAGGGGTGAGGCAGAAGTGGGAGCTGGAGGAAGTCTCTTCATTTAAGTGCTGGGATAAACTTCTCATCTCAGTCAGATTCCAGGAGAAGGGGGGCCCCAGAGGGAGCTCAGCATATCTATGGCAGCAAATCTTCCTTGCTGACAAAGCAGAATCCAGGAAGCTGTGGCTCACTCAGGCCCTGCCGGTCTCAAAATAAATAGGCACAAACGCTTTAAAACATGCGTGGAGCGCTGACCCTCCATGGGGCTGTGTGCTAAAATAAGTGTTCAGCATGTTCGGAGGGCAGATTCTCTTTTTATTTTCAGTTTCTTGCTAAAATAGCACCCTTGTTAAGGGTCTAGGTGACCCGGTAGGAAGAGCAGGGAAAGGTATCTGCTGACGGAGGGTCTACTGTCTAAATTTCCTTCTGGCCTGGGCCGTCCTGAGTCTTTGGGTGGGGTTGTGGGAAAGGCGCAGTAGCTCCCTGGTCAAACAGGGAGCTGCCACCCTGTGTAGACAACACTTCACCACTGACAAGGCACCTTGGCATGTATCGTGCTGTCTTCACCCCTCCAGAGCCCTGTGAGACCAGAGGGAGGGACTGTTACTATGGTTGCTGAGGGGTCACGTGCTGATTTCAATCCACAAACCGGCCGGCTGGTGACTTCCTTGCCGGGAAGAGCACCTGGCTCCTTTTCTTTCGGTATCTGAAGTCCTTTCTGCTTTTCCGCACCTCACCCCCAGTTCTTCTCTCTCACACCCTCCTTCTCCCGCTCACCTTTTCTTTTTATCCTTGATTCAGAGCAGAGATAACAATAACTCTACTTGTTCTCATACTAAAATAGCTCACTTGTCAAAGCTGCAGGGAGACTGGTGCCGCGGAAATTCTGTGAGCAGAAGAATGGCTGGGAGAATTTTCTCCGAGTTTAGATTAGAGCGCTTCATGGTCAGAGTCCTCTCCCATTCACTCCCATCCCTGGGAGGTAAAAAGACAGCAAACGTCTTCATGATTTATAACTCTTGTTTAGCATTGATTCAGAGCTCCATCTTTGCAAGTCTATTAGTAGAGACCTATTAGTGGAGGTTGGCTTTGGCCAAAAATAGATCAACGTTAGGCCAAATCTTAGCTACCTGATTCATTCAGTTTCCTCCAGGCAACTTCATTTGAATTCAGGGTATTAGGTTCCCAGGCTTGCCCAGGATTCTGCTTGGGCAAGGAGGCCAAATTAAATGAAACAGGGCCTCTAGGAGCCAAGTGAGGGGATGTCCTAGATTAAAATAAAAGCGCAGGAAGAGAAGAGCTCTCGGTCGGTGAAGGAAGGTGAAGGCCCAGGTGATCTTATTCCTGTCTGGGTCCTTCCACTGGAGTTCCCACTGGCTTCATCATGATGGCCTCAGGAGTGGAGGGGCAGAGGGGAATGGTGGCTAGATGGATGCAGGCCACAGATTAGGGATGCATAGTTGGGAAGAACACAGGAGAAGAAGAGAGAGTTTTTCAGTGGTGCTCAAACTTTAATGGGCAAAACTTTGTTTAAATGCAGAGTCCCTTGCTCCAGTTTCAGACTTGCTAATTCTCTTAGTCTGAGATGACACCAGGAATCTGCACTGATAACAGGGCTTTAGTGACTTTGATTCAGGGGTCAGTCCATGACCAGTCATTAAGAAACACTGGACGAGGAAGGGAGAAAGAGAAGATAAAAGAACTGTAGGAAGTGAGGGAATTTTGCCTAAATCATGTTTACCTCCTGAGAAAGTGCCATAGCTGTCTTCTCTCTCTCTCTCTCTCTGTGTGTGTGTGTGTGTGTGTGTGTGTGAGAGAGAGAGAGAGAGAGAGAGAGAGAGAGAGAGAGACAGAGAGAGACAGAGAGAGACAGAGAGAAAGAGATGCCCTCCATGGCCAGAGAGGAAGGTAGGTCAAACACATATCCTTGGCTCTTCCAGCACCTCTCGTTGTGCTTACCCTGGAGGCCCTGCTCAAATCCAGTCTACATTGTGTCCACTGGAGGCTGCTCTTTAAGCTCTGTCACTCTCCTGCTCACCCCTTTGCTCTGACAGCGGCATCCTTCTGTGAGGGGACATCTGAAGGAAATGGGGGTACAGCTGTGCCCTGAGCCAGGGTTGCTGCCAGCATTGAAGAGAAGATTGAAAGAGCCCTATTTCCCACCTCCATACAACCTTCTGGAATAGTCAAGTGCCAAAATGGCCTTAATTAAACTGCCTCAGGCACATTCTGAGGGCCAGTCTATTGCTTGGGCCATTATGGGCAGACAGAGGTGCTGTGAGGGTAAGGTACCCTCACACAGCTTCAGAACTAAAGGCGCCCCAGCTGGGATGTCCTGACCTGTCAGGGCTCTCTCTATTGTTCTCTTCATGCCTTGGTAACCACGTAGGCAGAGCGATGTGGATGCCACATGTGTGCACAGATCAATGCATTCATGGTCACAGGCAAGTGCCAGGCACTGTGCTGGGTGCTGGCAATAGATGAAGATGAAAGACGTTTTCTTGCAAACTAGCTTCACTGTTGCCCCTTGAAGGCTCTCAGTGACATTGCCCTGAGCTGAAAGAGTATATCCAGAGGTTACTGGGACTGAGTGTGTCTTCTAACACCACTTAGACACCTGGCAGAGAACAGGACACTCATGACTAGACTGGCTCAGGGATGGCTTTGTAGGGTGGATGTGACAGAAGGAGAAGAGAGTGATAGGGTTTAGGGCTGTGGTCCCTAAACTGGAGTACACACACCCTCAGGGGCTGTACAAAATGCTCCAATGGGAATGGGCAGAAAATACTGAAATGCTTATTATATTGGCCTTCTAAAATCATGTCATTTGTGCCTTTCCATTTTCGTGATATGTTTTAAAATGAAGAAAATGTCAGCCCAGTAGTAAAATGTATGCGATTTATGAACATATTGGGGCTATGTGCTCGATTCTTTTCTTGCTTCATTGCTGGCTGTGCACTACGAAGCAGGTTCATAGGCTGTTGGTTTAGGAAGGGGGCTATTGTAAAAAATGGGGCTGAAGTGCTAGGCCCTGGAGTGTAGGTGGGAGGGGGAAGGAAGCAAAACCAAAAGGGGGGGATGAGAGAATGAGGAAATGGGAAGAGCAGACATGGACGGGCTCAGGGAGATTGAAAGTCAGGGGCAGCGGGTTGAAGGGAACCGGGATCTCAGTAGAGGAGGCTGTGATGAGGCTTCAGGATACAGGTTGAGAATATCTCAGGTGGGACCACTCTAGGCCATTCGCAGGTTAGGGGTGTCACCAGGTGAGGGAGGGAAAGAAAGGGACGGCAAGTGTATTGGATGTGCTGCCCACAGGGAGGGACATTAAAGTGCCCACCCTGATGGCAAGATCTAGGACAGAAAAGAAGACAGTAAGTTACCAAGGTGTGAGCGGAAGGTTCAGGTGGTTTTGGGCAACCAGGTGGCTAAGAGAGGGTGGGGGGGGTTTACATACAGGTAGAAGGACACAAAGCCCTTTCCAGTCCCCAGGAGTTTGGGGCCATGAAGCGCTCACTACCTGGGGTAGGCTGGGCAGCACCCGGGAGAGCCACGGTCCCTGCGGTCACAGGAAGAGGATGGAGTGCTCCGCCCTCCCCACGAGCTTGGTTGCGTTGCTCACCCTGGAACCAAGGTCCCAGAGGGCACTGGAAGAGCCTTTGGATGTGAGGGATGCAGCGGGAGTGGGTGTCTCGGTGGTCAGAGCAGCTGGGGGGAGCCTGTGGGAGGGGAAGGGACAGCAGAGGGCTGCTCACACCGCCTGCGCCTCCTGTGTGCGCTGCCTCTACATGCTCTGCTTGGGATTTGTGGAATCGATTTTGTGAGCGTCACCAGCTTTTTAACAATATTATTATTTTAAGGAATGTACAAATGTCTTTTCATTCAAAAACACAAAATAAGTTATCAGTAGGCATGGACAATGACAACTACAAACCATCGTATACTTGGCCAAACGGAACCCTTTACTGAAACCTGTAACCTTTTCTTTAATCTCTTGTTTGAAGTGATTTCTCTAAGATTATTGGTGAGAAGCACAACTCTGAGCTTCCCGTAACAGTTCCTGAGTAGTGATAAAGCACTATTTAAGGAGTTAGAACTCGCTGCCTCCCATGCCACCTCCACCCAGTCTGCCTGTGCCAGGGTCCTTCTCTTTAGGATCTTCCTGACACCTTCTTCTCTGTTTCAGGCAGAGAAGCAGCAGCCCTACCTACCATAATAGTGACAATGATGCCTGTCCCCCTCCCCACCATCCTCTCCCCTGTGCAGCCAAAGATCTCCCCGCAGGGCTTCACAACTAACTTCTGAGGGGCTTCACACAATGTTCTCAGCTGTCAGGGATCTTCCTAACGTCTGCTCTTGTCAAGGTCACTGCAGGCATTTTGAATTGAATGTTTTATAAAACAATTTCTGTATCAGTTTTTTGATCTTTATTAGTTGCAGTTCATGAGTCCCAAATTGGAATACGCTGAAACCAAGCCCAGCCACCTCTTAGAAAGAAACCTCCTTCAAAAGCAGCTGGAACCACCTTGAGTGTCTCTGGGGCTACTTCTTTTTATTCACTCGGCCTCACCTGTCCCACCAGCCCTTGGCATGGCTGTTCTACCTGAAATTTTTGCTATGTGTTCATTCATACTCACTAGCATTGACCTTTCTTGAATGTATTTTTCCATTTGAGGCTCATCACCTTTCTTTTTCAAAGGCATGGTGGCATCATCTTTGGTCACAATGACTTCTACTTTTTCGAGGCTGAACATCTTCAAGATTTAGAGTGAGCCCCTCCTCTTCAAACACCTGCAAAAACATTTAAAAATAAGCTAGTTTCAGGGTATGGTTTTTCTTTAGTCTACCAAATTTATTCATAATACATTATGCAGGTGTTTTGAATGGAATCCAGAAACCTCTTTAGATACCGTATTTCTCTGAAATGTGAGAATGGAAGATCATTGCTATTCCAGGACAAGTCTTGTGCATAGAGCTTTTTATTGCTTTAATTTGCATTATTTCATTTACTCCTCAGAACTCTGTCAGTTAGTAACAGCTTGATCATGCAGATGAGTTAACGGAACCCAGAGGAAACTCGCCCAAAGTTACACAGTTAGCAGTTGGTGGAGCCAGGACTAGATGCTGGGCCTTGACTCTCAGTCCAGTGTTCTGTCTACTAGATCATTCTGTCTTTCAGATCATTCTAATCTGAGGACAGGTAGACAGGAAGATCATTCCTGATCAGGAGCATGATGCTTAGACCTAAAAGGGACCCTGTTCTGTATCTAATTCAACCCCCGTCCTCCTAAATATTCAGTGGATGTATCTAACTAAGAAAAATGCAAACTATAGGACTGTATACCTATAAATGTTATCCCTGGAAAGAAAAGTAACATTTGGTAAATGTACAAAAAATATGGGAAAAATTTGCATGTTATCCTTGTGCAGGGGCCATGCTAATCTTCTCTGTACGGTTGCAGTTTGAGTCTATGTGCTGTTAAGCAATCTCCAGAATATTTTAAAATGAATCTACGACAATAGAAAAGATCAAAGTGTGTCACATAGTAAGCATTGTTTTGTAAAACGTTTGTGTAAGTTGCATACATGTGTGCACGTGTGTGGATCAGGATGTAAAGTTTCCTTCTGACTGTGGGTTGTGCCAGCAAATGTTGGGAGCCACTGGTATGGTGGAAGGAGCCTTGGAAGTGGGTTCAAATACTTAGTTCCAGTCTCTGCTCTGCCAGCAACTACCTGTGTGAGTGTGGCCAAGGAAATTAACCCCTCAGGTACTCCATTTCCTTATTTTTTAAATGAGCAGTTTGGACGAGATTATTTTTGAGATCCATTCCTCTCAGATTCTATCAGTCTGGGGGTTCTTTCATGGCATTGCTGAAACACAGAAGTCTTCCAAATGGGGAAGGTGGGTGGAAAGAGGGGACAGGCTCAGAACAGCAAGCATGAGCCAGGTGCAGCCACGTGACTTTGCCCAAAGCAGTTGCTGCCAGTGCTCATGCTCACTGCCTGTCATCATATTGGTGGCACCCCTAGATCCTGCTGCCATGAGGGTGTGAATGATGACCATGGTTAAATCCAAATTGGAGCCTGTGGATGGCAGTGGAGGTGAGGACTGCCAAACGTATGCACCTGGTCCCAGGCTTGGCACTGTGAGGGCTCAGAAGCAGTTCTTAACGACAAGCATGATAAATACTCCAAGTGGGAAGCAAAGGAAAGGCAACTTAAATAGAACAAGTTGAAATTTAGGAGCCGTATTCCCTCTACAATCTAAGTGGCCCTGGAGTAATAAAGAACTTCTTTGGAAAAAAAAAATAAGGGAGGGGAGAAATTTCAGCAGATAAGCAATGTGAAATTCCTACTGTAACTCCTTATCTGTTGTAAACTAGCGTTTAGTTTTCTATAAAGAGCAGGGACCTGTTCTCACTTTTCACTCATTTGATGGGTAAGATGCAAAGTTAATTTCATGGTGGTGAAACACCCAAGAGGTTGCTTGCTTTCCGTTAATATAGAAGACATCTTTGACATTAACACATAGGAGATTTACATATATATATACACACACACACGAGAGCTGATAAATGCATTAAATGCATAAATTATTTATTGATCTTGAGACAGCATACAACATGACAAGAAATGAGATATATCTGTGTGATATGCTTGCACATGTAGAAATTGAAGGAGTATATTTTTTTCCTCAGGTAGAAACATAATTCCAGAAAACATTCTGCCTTTGAAGAACAAAAGTACAAAGATGTTCCAACAGTTGAAGGTTATAGTTTTGCAAAATTGCTTATTACTCATTGCATTTGGAAACAGGGCATGGAGAAGACAATCATCTTTCCCAGCCTAAATCTCTTTAGCATGCTCCAATTTCATGTCACCCGCTAGGTAAGATTTAATAAGATGTGTCTGTTGGCCTGCACAAAATCTGGTTGACAAGAGCCTTGTGTGTCATGATGCAGATCAAAAGTGGGCTTGGTTGTTGTTGAGCACGGTGTATTTTTAAAGAAATAAATTAATAATTTAAGGCCTTTTAGAACTTGTGGAGGGCACCGAACTGACAGCTTGGGGGCGGGGCCTGTCTACTGCCCAGAAGCATCATGGGTGCAAGTCTGGAAGTGTCCCCACCCAGCCCACAGGACAGCCTCCCCCAGTCTTCCTTCCACGAGACCCAGGAGAAAATGTAGCATGGTGGGTGGGTCCCAGCATGACCTGGGGTGTGCAGGAGGCACTGCTGGACAGAATGGGGAGGAAATGCGCTTGTCAGCCCCTCCTTTTGGGTAGGCGGCTGGGGAGATTTAAGAGGTGAGTACATTTCTGGTCATTACCCACCACTGCTGGAACTAAACCCAGGAACCTCATGTAGGAAGTTGGTGTAGCCACTTCTTCAGATACTCTGTTTACTTTCAAACTACAAAAACGAAACAAAATCCAAAACCAAAACAAAAAATAACTCAGAACGAAGTCTCAACAACAACAAAAAAGAAAAAGTCCACAGTCTGTGCTAACCAAGTGGCCGTTATTTTGGGCTGTGGCTGGGCTGGTGAGATGCTCTTTGGCCGTCTGTCACTGTGCACAGCAGTCTGACTGGAATTTTAGTGAGCCAGGAAAGGGATGGCTATATTTGGCCTCTGGAAGGGAAGTTGCTGAGATGGAGACCGTGCTTTGGGTCATAGGATTTGAGCCAGCAGGAGGGGAAGCAACTTGCCCCATTTCCCATTTTCAGCTGAGGAAGTGGGTGGGACAACACAGCCAAAACCTTTGTCAGGAGGAGGTCTCTAGGTGAACACACCACGCTGTTCCCAGAGGAGCTTGTTCCAGCCCAAGGAAACCAGCCTTGGTCTGACTGGCCCAGATGAGTGTGGGCTCAGCTATAGTGCCTGTAAAGCAGGATTATCGTATCTCTTGGTCTTCATTCAGCCTTTAGCACTGGATCTAGGCTTTCTCTGGTATTGTATTCATGGAAGCGTCTATGACTTGTTTACTAGTTACTATTTATGTGCCTCTATGTTTGCTCCTGGAACGTGGGCATTTTGGTTTACTTTTATGACCCACAGAGCTTCTACATACAAGGACTTTTAAAAATTTTAAAAATCAAACATTGGACTAGGTTGCCTTCCTCGTTTAAGCTGTAGGTTATGTGTACATATATATATATATATACACACACACACACATATATATACACACATATATACATATACACACACATATATACATATACACACATAACCTAGAGCTTAAATGGGAAAGGCGACCTATATGTATATGTATTATGTATACACACATAACCTAGAGCTAAAATGGGGAAGGCAATCTATATAATAAATTATTAAATCTTCAATTGTATTATAAAAAGAATGACATTCGAGTCATGATAGAAAAACAAGATTATTGTTTATAGAGGTATCACTAAAATATGCATTTTGTAAGGCTCATTGATTTATTTCCAATTCAAGAAGCAACATAGACATACAAAATGGTTCATTAGATATTCATTATACCTCCTTGGCTGCTATTATTAGAAGTGCCCATGGTGCCAATAGCAAGGTTGATGTTTTCAGGGGTGGAATCAATGCTTGAAACTCATCAATATCTTATAAGCAGTTTTGGTTTAAGGTATTTTGATGATTTCATTGAAATGTTTTACCACATTAAAAAGCTGTAACTTAAACTGTGGTGCAGGGCAGGCGCACATTAGATGATAAATAGCTTTATGTAAGATTTCAAATTTGTTAAATCTGCATTGAAGAACTACATTTGAAATTGGTTGGAAGGTTGGGTGAATTCTCTAGGTAAAAATGACATTTGTTTTACGGATCCCTCTGAAACAATTCCCCAAGAGTTTTCATTTGAATAAATCACATCTAAGTTCAGCACTCCAGAAACAGCTAGCATGGGAGAGTTGCCTTTGCTTTTCTGTTTCCTCTTTTCTGGGAAAAGAGTCAATTTCCTCATCTGTAAAGGGAGTGAGACTAGATAACCTGGAGGTCAAAGTACTTACAGCCTTTCACTTATTAATTCATTCACTTAACGCTTATTTACTGAGCAGGGGTGGGCATGTTCTGGCACTAACGGAACAGCAACATACAAAACGTAGTCCTTGTTCTGGTGGAGATGACATCCTACAAGGAGAAAGACAATAAACAGATGAGATAATTTCTTGAATAATTTACTGCTACGAACGCAGTAAAGAGTATTGTGTTGAGAAGTTGTGGGTGGATGGGTGGTGCCAGCAACTTTCTCTGAGAAAGAGTCATTTCAGCTGAAAAGAAGCCAGGAGTGAACATCTAGAGGAAGAGTATTCCAGAGAGAGGAACAGCCAGGATGAGAGGCAGTGCAATAGCATGCTAGGGGAAGAGAAGCACCCAGGTCTTCCCTTCTTGGGTCTTCTTCCCCTGCCTCTGCTGCAACTGTGAATACTGTGCTGTGAGGAAATGACTGAGGCCAAGGTGGCTGCAGAAAGAGTACAGAAGGGAGAGAAATCGGAGGATGGGGAACACTGGGGTCGGAGGTGGATAGATCTGTTACAACAGACTAGGCTGCACTTCAGTGATGAGTAAACACCCTATCTCAGTGGCTTAACCAAGCACATGTTTCTTGCTCGTGTTATGGTCTGACGCCAGTCTGATGCTCCTCTCTGAGTAGGGATACAGATTCTTGCCATCACGTGTCTCCACCATCGCAGGGTCCTTTACTTTCAGTCTCATGAATTGGAAGGGGAGAATGAGTGGAAGATTGTGTTGAATGTTTTAAAGGCCAGCCCTGTACAGGCTGCCTGACTAGAATCCAGTGACATGACTCTAATCTAATTGGTGAGCATGGAGTCAGTCTTTGCCAAAAGAGAAAAAGGCATAAAAGAAGGGATTCTACTGCTCTCCCCAAATCCTTGAAGACTTGCACTGCACATGTACCATCTTGGCCAGGAGTGCTGGTGAAGGGGTTTGGATGGGGAGGTAATGTCCTCACAGTGATGACTTCTCATCATCTCCACTAGACAGTACACAGAGAAGAAAGACTGGGGAAAAGGTCACCATTTCAGCCCTGGAAGGGAGCTCAGGAAGATGAACCTCTCACTTTAAGCTCAAACCAAGTTATTTTGCTGCTTCTTCAGAATCTGGAGGAAGAGCCAGGCTTGATGCAAGAGGCTCCTAACTCCTATTGCCTGGCATTAAAGACTTCCTTCCATCTGTCTTTAGCTCATGTTCTATCCAACGCTGCTTCTCACATCTCAGAACATCTGCTCTAGCCAGGCCAGACTTCTTGAGGCTTCCCATCCAATAGAGAATGGACTTCATTCCCCTGTGTTCTCATCATTCTTCTCTTGCAATGCCTGGTCCCTCCTCTCCATCCAAATCTATGAGTCCTTCTTATCTTTGTGGAACTTCACCGCCTTGTGGAGCCTCAGCTCTGGGGGGTCATGTGCATTGTTCCTATGTACTACTGGTGGAATAGGCTGGCTCAAGGGGGGTACAGTCACAAAGAGGCCGTACATTTCTTCTACCTAGCTTCAGATATGCTCAGGCAGGTCCCTACTTCCTGTGCTTTAGAGACATCTCATGCAGATGCCTTGGCTTTCTGGATTACTTCCAACTACTAGAAAAGCCTCAATTCTGATAATGAGATTTCTTTTCAGTGTTAAAGGTCCAGTTCAGCTTAACGTCAAACTTCAATCTCACCTCCATATCAAAGTTAGTGATATCGGCTGAAGCTCAGGCTCATGCAGTTGGGAAGGAGGGGTTGATTGGCAATTTTATTCTCTCTCTACCTCATCTCTCTTCTGGCTCTTCCAGGATCCAGGCTGGTATTGGTGAGATTAGAGGAAGAGGGACGAAAAACAACATCTCACATCAAGATTCTGCCTTGGCTGTGGTTGAGAGGCCCTGTGATGCCCTTCATTCCAGCAGGGTTCTTTCATGAGGCACATTTTTGGCAACCTAGAGGAAACTCCTCCCACTCATCACATAACCTTCAACCACTTCTCCCCCTTACTCCACTCCAGCCACGCTGGCCTTCTTTCTATTCTCAGTCTGGGAAGTTCCATTCAGCCTCAGAGCCTTGGCATTTTCATTCTCCCTGCCCAGAGCCTGCTCTCCCTCTCCTTTCTGAGTAGCCCCTAGTGATTTTTAAAATCTTGACTCAAGCGTCAATTCTTCAGAACACCCTATCATAAACTCTTACCAGGGCAGGCCCTAGTTGTGCACTCTCCCAGCCCCTGTAATGAAGACATTAATTGTATAAACAGTTGTTTAGCGTCTATCTTTCCTACTTGAATGTGAGTTCCAAGAAGGCTTGATAAATTGGTATATTAGGCTGTTTCTGCATTGCTGTAAAGAAATACCCAAGGCTGGGTAAAGAAAAGAGGTTTAATTGGCTCACAATTCTGCAGGCTATACAAGCATGGTTGCAACATCTGTCTCTGGTGAGGCTTCAGGAAGCTTACAATCATGGCAAAAGGCAACGAGAAGCCAGCATGTCACATGGTGAGAGCAGAAACAAGAGAGAGAAAAGGGGGAGGTCCCAGAGTTTTAAACAACCGGGTCCCTCATGAACTAACTTGAGTGAGAACTCACTTATCCCCAAAGGGATAGTGCTAAACTATTAATGAGAGATCTGCCATCATGATCCAATCACCTCCCACCAGGCCCAACCTCTTACACTGGGAATCACATTTCAACTTGAGATTTGGAGGGGGCAAATAACCAAACCATATCAATAGGCATTTGTAGAAAGACAGAACAAAGGAATGTTCCTAATAAGTAAATGAGTACCTCGACTTGCCAAGCAGACAGTAGACACTTAATAATTATTTGTAGAACTGTCATGAAATTGAAGGCAGGAGCCATGTCTGTTAATTTCTAGATTCATGATATGACTTAGTTCAATAAATACCTGTTGCCCAGTGTTTTGAATAACCTCATCAGAATTAACACAAATAATGGAGAACTGGCTGGAACATAGTTCTGACCTGCACTTTATGGATGTTCCTCAATGTCAGCAGAAGAATTACTGCTATCTTTACAAAGAACTGTGTCAGCCAAGGCATGATTCTTGCCTTTAATCAGCTGACTTTATGTTCTGTAGTCTGGGAAGAGCATGATTGCAGGAAAGGACATGGATAATGTAACCGTAGATCCAAAGAATGACAGTTTCTAAATAATTTGTCCCTTTATTCTCTTTAGTGCACTTGTACTTCTATTAGCCCAACCAATCCAATTCTTGGTTCCCCAAACAGGTTCACCATATGTACCTTCAACCTGACTTGTATGAAGACTTGTTTTATTAGTCACAATTAGTTGCAGGTGCAAAGACTGAGGGCACAACTAACTGTGTCTGGAATCACCTCCTCACATATGCAATTAAACACTTGCACACTCAGAATTAGGTTCAAGTGGCTAATTGCACCCGGAAGTAGGTAATTGCAGGTGCAATTAGCTACAAGTGCAATTTTTCACCCGAGACTAATTGCTCCCAAAGTAAGGAGATAGGGATTGGAAATTCAGCACTGAATGTATGTGTGGTTATTGCAACCACCTGTGATTTTAATAGTCGCTGCCCCCCCCACCCCCGCACAAACTTGTAGTGTGGTGGCCTCCCTTTGGTCTTTTTGAATAGTTAAATTGCTTAACTCCTTCTGTATATTTATTCTACAGCATTCTCTTTCCAGTTGGGTATTCTTTTCCCTACTTAGACCCTGTTTCTTCAGAATTTATTTATTTTCTTCTGGAACCCCTGGCTATTTAAAGGCCATATATTCCTCCACTGTTTAACTGTATCTAAAACTTCTCAGAATCTAAGTAAGAAATGGTCAATAACTTGAACAGCTTACTGGATGGTAACCATCAAGTAGCTCTTGAACACTGTTCCTTGAGGAATATCATTTAAACATAACAGATGTAAAGCTCTTCTTCCCATCCCTGGTGACGAGGAGATGGATCACTCCATCAAAGCACCCAGAAACCTGTCTTCACTAGCAGGTTTAATTTTTTCCTACTAGCTTTTCTCCTGTATCAGTAAAAGTCCAATCAGGAAAGCACCATCTTTTTTTATTATTTTATTTTATTTTATTTTATTTTTGATATGGAGACTTGCTTTGTTGCCCAGGTTGGAGTGCAGTGGCACAATCTTGGCTCACTGCAACCTCTGCCTTCTGAGTTCAAGCAATTCTCCTGCCTCAGCCTCCCAAGTAGCTGGGATTACAGGCAGCCACCACCACGCCCAGCTAAATTTTTGGATTTTTAGTAGAGAAAGGGTTTCACCATGTTGGCCAGGCTGGTTTCAAACTCCTGACCTCAAGTGATCCACCCGCCTTGGCCTCCCAAAGTGCTAGGATTACAGGTGTTAGCCACCATGCCTGGCCAGTTTTTTTTTTTTTTGTTTTTTAATGACTGTAAAATGAAAGCATAATTGGAAAAAATTCAATGAATTTAAATTGAATAAAGTTAAAATAACCAAGGAAACCAAAACTGTTAATACTACTACAGAAAGTCTTTTGATCATGTAAACATTATTTAAGTAAGGAGTTGATCACCATAGTTATTTTAACAGAGATAATTTAATAAAGGGGATTATTAGGCTAGTATTAGGACTGAAAAGGCAAAAAAGGAACCTTGAGGCATCTCAGTGACGGTAACTGCAGGGAGCAGCTACCACCCCAAGGGCTGAGGAAACAAAGCAAGAGACTGGGGTTAATAGAACCTAGATGCTTAGGGGAAGGGCCCAGCAAAGCTGGAACACAGGTCTCTGGTGGAGGGTGTTCCCAGGCTGATGCGGACTCTCAGCAGCTTGAGGAGGGATCACATAGAGCTGGGACTCAGAGCTCTTAAGAGGGGACACTGCCCAACTGGTTTTGTACCCTTGGAATTTGGAGAAGAGACTTGGCAGAGCTGGGACCCAGAATGTAGAGTGGGGCTTCCTCCCAGGTGGTCCTGAACTGTAAGCAACCCACTAAACACTGCAGCACTATGGATAAAATGGAAAAAAATGCCTGCAGGATGTGCCTTGGAACCTGGGGCTTGTGGTCTTTTGTTGGATCCAACCAGGATGAAGCATGTTTTGATATGGGCAGGTAAAAAAGGGGCATGAAGTTAGTGAATCAGAGCCTTTGCAAGTGTGTACATTTACGTGTGTCTTTTCTCTGTGTTCGGCATTTTCCTTTGCATGATTTTATTCTCATTCTTTCATGCTGAAAATGCTTGCGTGTGTGTGTGTGTGTGTGTGTGTGAGAGAGAGAGAGAGAGAGAGAGAGAATATCATAGTGAGTGCAAGCCAGTGGTGGTCATAAAATGGTAATCTTAGCAGGTGTGTACAGCTGGCCCTGCCCAGCGATCTGCAGCAGATTTCATTTCCTCATAGCTCATCTGGCTGGTTGATCTCCTTTTGCCCTTTCCTGCTGTGAGAATTCATGGCCAGCCTGAAGCCAACCTCCTGGCTTCTGTGGAGTGCTGACTCCTCCACTTCCCTGCTTAGTCACTCTGAGGTGGAACAGGATCCCACTTGCTAAGCTAGTGGCTGCTTCTGCTGAATGCCAATCTGAAGGGGCGATCAACCCCTTTGAACTCCCTCTGGCTATTGAGTCTGCCATTGTTCAGACCCTGCAGTGTGCATGGACTGGTGACAAAGCCCGGGTGAGGAAGCAAGAGATGACAACCGGAGGGGAACAGGGGAGGGCAGGAAGGCCTTTGACTTGGCCTGGACACCTGGCGATGCTTTATTGCCCCAGACAGACTCTCCTGCTCCAAGATCCAGCCCAGGGGCTGTGAAGGTCACTCGGCGCTCGCCGCCCATGGGAAGGAAGTGTTTCCTTGGGCAGCAGAGCCAGGCTCCTTAATGACTGCTTCAGCTGAGCATTTCTACTTGGAAAGGAGAGCAAATGTTCCTTTGCCCTTGCCACCCTGCTTAGTTGCAGCTTAGGCCTCTCAAGAGGGAACATAAATATTAGGGAAGTTGGGTCACCTACCAGTGGTTTGGGCTAAGAAAACATTTTTTTCTTCTCAGGAAAATGAATAAAACCACATGATGGAAAATGCTAGAAATAGAGGAAAGGGAACAACAGCTTTAAAAAATCTGAGTAACCTGTAATAATCACTAATAGCATTTGAAGGTGTTTTTACCCACCCCTCCCCTGTGCAAATAGTTCATTCATTCATTCATTCTCTAAGTGTCAGTTGAGTGCCTACCATTGCCACTTGCTGGAGATAGGACCCTGAACAAAATAGATCAAAAGTCTAGCTCCTAGGAGCTTCTATTCTTGGTAGGGGAAGAGGGGCACATCTTGCATTCAGTTTCTTTTCCTGTTGTCATTTGTCAGTCAATCTCAGCAGCACTTCCCTTGTCATTGCATTGTCTTCATACCCATTATTCTGATGATTGCTTGTTTTTCCGAGTGAATGGCTCAGACTCCACTTAACCATGTCACTACTGTCCAGTGGTTTCCATCTGCACAGTTTTAAATAATGCTGTGGTTAGTATATTTGTGCAGGCAGATTTTAAAAAATAGATTTTTGGGGTAATTTCCTCTCTGGCTATATCTTACACAGTATCAGGTAGGACTCTTGGTTACAAACAACAGACCCCAAATCTGGTTAACTTAGGCAGAAAGGGAATTTGTTGGAAGGCTATCTATCCAGCAGCCTATGGAATTATCAGAAGGCTGGAGAACCAAGCTCAGAAAAGCATCAGGAACGAGGGTCAGGGGGCAAAAGTACAGCACAGGTCCACGCCCTGTAGAGTCCCTGAGACCTGCTGCAGGCCCCTCCTCACTACCTCCTACTCTCCTTTCAGCTCTTCCAGCTTTCCAAGGAGAAATCTCTCTCCTCCTGAAGCCTCCGTCTTGCATCCTGGAATCTTGAGTTCAGGGTGGAGCACTGGTGGCCGGGTGAAGGTCAGCAGCCTGCTGTTCTGTTTCCAGGGAGTGAGAGGAGGTGTCCTTCCTGGCTCTCCAGAGAGGAAGTGGCTGCTGCCCCTCACCTCAACTTAGGGAGGCTGCTTGGACCCTCAGTAGGAAAGAGGAGAAATATCCACTACAAACACGTTCCTTTTCTTCTTATATATGTGTTTGTTGTGTGTGGGATGACAGAGGGTAGGGACACGGTTAAAGACACATCGAACATCACCTGCCAGAGAGGGGTGTAAACACTTCTCTGCATTGCTAGTAGGGTCCAGGTATTCTCAGCACCTCCAGCAGCCTGGGGGACTCAGCCTCCAGGACTGGAGAAAAGAGGGTGAAATTCACATTGATGATTGCTTTTTGATAGGTAAGAAAACTGGGGCTTAAAAAGGATGTGTGACTTACAGCGGACTATGTTGCCAGCAAACCTGGGCTGCGGGGACTTGAGTCCAGGTCTTCTGAAACACCCGAGGGTTAGTTGGACAAGTATTACTTCCCTGCTCTGGGCTGGTGGCCTATAAGGGGTGCCTGGAGCAATCCTCTTGCTGGGACAAAAGCCCTTTCAACAAAGGGGCCTTTGTAACAAGCCTTTCTTTGTCTGGCCACCAGGCTGTTCCCTGGAGTAATTAAAGCCTGTAGTCCTTAGATATGAGGCTGGCTAACACTGCTTGACAGGAATACAGCAATGTGAGTTTGGGTGCCAATGCTAGATTGGAAATGCATGTCTTCCTGCTCCCAGACACCTAGGCATGAACCACATGGCTAGATGGCCCTGCCCCTCCTCCCTGGCCACTCTGCGTAGAGGAGGACAGCACCCACTGGTCCTACAGGATGGGGGCTAGTGGCACTCTCCTGGGCAGTGCCAGGCAAGTAGACTGTCATGCAGCTTTACTGCTGTGGCCGCATCTCTGGGACCTGCTAGTGGACATCTGGCTTACTACTACTGCTCAGAGGAGAAAGGTCACAGCCTTCCAAGGGTCCTTGGATATCTGGCACTGTGCACCTGCATCTTGTCCACAGTGTCCCCCCTGGGGTGGGGAGGTGCCTCTTTCCTTTGTCTAGGGAGATGGTCTCCCCTGGACTCCCTTGGGGTCTCAGGACACAGCATTAAAATTGGCTTGTGTGTTTAGTCATCTTCTGTGAGGCTGGACCTTTATGCTAAAGGTCCCTCAACTAGTGGAGAAAAGACAAGCTTTACTCTCCCCAGAACTAGGAAGTTAACCTTTTATGAGAGTTGTACTGCTGGGGACCGCGAAGGACACCGGAAATAAACTCCGTCTCTGCTCTCAGAGAACTTTAGATGTCTCTCGGTGCGGCCACCACTTGGAGGGGAAAAGAGAAACTTCTCTCATTAAAGGCAGTGCCCTGGCTCAGGGCCTTCTCAGGCTGAGAGCTCTGTGGGGCTTTCACTCACCCTGTCCCCTGCAGACACCTGAGGTGCAGCTCACCTGCCAGCGAACGAAGGCATTCCAGGTATAGGTTAAAGTGGAATTTCGGCATTGGCAGAGTTAACATTCATAAATTCAACAACTTGTGTGTGCCCTCAAGGGCCCGTGGCAGGAGACGAGGTTTAATTGTGCTGAGGCACACATTTCCATCACATGGGGTGGGTGGGTCTCTTCACTACTGAGAACTGGGTACCAGGGTTTCAGCAGTTTTGGGCTCTTGGTTCCTCACCACCAAAGGCAGTTTGTGGGGGATCTTTATGTTTCAGCAGTATTTGAGAATCTGGGGAGTCATGAGCGGCTCAGGCTGGGTCTCCTGGTATGCAGGAGGTATCTGGTGGGGAGGGTGCTGGGGTCTGGGAATCCCCCCTCGCCATGCCACTTCCCCTCAAGTCCCCAACCCTCTGGAGCCCTCAGGCTTGGGATCAGGCTTTTTCAGGCTCAGCCCCACCTGCCAACCAGGGGCGGGTGCACCCACCCTCAAGATGCACACAGCTGCATTGTCTGCAGATAATTTAAAACCAATAATAAAATCGACTGTGAGTCAGTTTGCTTTTTCTTATCCCTAGGCCAGTAATTCTAAACAATGTCAGTGATAAAATAATCCTCCCACAAATCTTTTGTTTGTCCATTTTCTAAACAATTGCTGTGGTGACTATTGAATTTTAATTCTATACACTCATATACATCTGTGTGTATGTGTGTGTGTATACATATATACCCATATATATACACACATACATATATATGCTTCAAATTAGCATAGTTAATTACTTATCCTTTTACTAATATTATAGTCTATGTGAAAGTTACTTAGGAGAACTTCCAGTAAGAAAGAACAGTTCAAGATGGTTCGAACTGGCTTCAGGCACAGTTTGTGTCTCCAGCCCCTGTTGTACTAAGTATGCCTGCATTTAAATAATCGATAAAGGATGATAGCACAGTAATTGCAAAGCCAAGACACAAAACCTGAGTTAATTTAATTCTGTCATTCTGCACAACCACTTGGAATTTTAATTTGTGTTTAAAGTTTAGGAAATGCAAATTTTAGTTCATACACGAGATATTTGACTGGATTTGAATAATATCTTGAAAATTAAAATTTATTCTGTTTAAATTATTGTTTTAAAGCTAATGAATGAATCATGAGAGTAATAATAATTAATGATTATTACATGATTCTCACTGAAAATAATTTTGTCCCATAGAGGAGGGTACTAAAAAATGATCAGTTTGGGGAGTCAGATATGTTATCTTGGCCACTGTCCATGGTGATGCAGATGACAGAAATTGTTCCAGTTTATTGAAACAGGAGAGCATTAATAATCAGGTATTAATTGGCCTATGAACATTTTGGAAGTGCTGAACAAGCAGATTCTGGTTTGAGCTTTCAGAAACAATTCCAGTTCCCCAGATGATGCTCTGATATGATTGAGGGAAACTGCATCCCCCACTGTCCGTGGCAGAGCCCACCATTCTGCCATGATCTGAGCTAGCAAAGTAAAGGCCTCGTGCTGTGCCTCCCATCCCACTGACCTGGCTCTCAGTTGAGGTCTCATGCAAGTGGCTCTGATTGGTGGAACCCAATCCCATCAGGAACCCTACCTGCAAAGGAGGAAGAGAAAATTAGTTTTTCATTTTCTGGTGTCTACAGTATAGACTGGTTCCCTGAGGAAGTTAGGAATGGAGGCTGAGCCAGCTGGCCTACAGCATCCTTCACATCTACCCAACCGAGTTTCTACACTTGACCTTTTGGTCTCTAGATGGGGAAGAACCTCCCCTGTCTGGCAGCCAGGTTCTGCCTCATGCTGGCTTCTGGAGAGAATGACTGTCTCTGTAGTGAAGTGTGTCCAGCCCAGCTATTCTTTTCTTTTCTTTTCTTTTCTTTTTTTTGACAGGGTCTCACTCTGTTGCCCAGGCTGGAGTGCAGTGGTGCAATCTCAGCTCACTGCAGCCTTGACCTCCCAGGCTCAAGCGATCCTCCCACCTCAGCCTCCCAAGTAGCTGGCACCACAGGTGCATACCACCACATCTGGCTATTTTTTTTTGTATTTTTTGTAGAGACGGTGTTTCATCATATTGCCTAGGCTGTTCTCAAACTTCTGAGCTCAAGCAATCTACCTGCCTTGGTCTCCTAAAGTGCTGGGCATAACAAGCATGAGCCACCATGCCCAGCCTCAGCTCAGCCATTCTTATGCTGCCTCTTACCATACCCCCACCTTCCCACACCCCATGGAACTTCTCTGCCTAGGCTCTCCAACTTGGAATCTTCTGCTGGTGCATTGTGAGTAATAGCTCCAAATCTTCTCTCCCTCAGCACACAACCATCTCTTGAGTAAAGGCTGCTTCAAAACTCCCACAGCTTTTCATAATGCCACCCCTAAACTCTGCCCCCAACTAAAGTGCATGAATCTTTATCATTATTCTTTAATAGTAACTTTTTGGGGGATTCTTCTCAATACATATTTGCAGACTAAATATAACTCTTGTCCTCAGGATTTTTCACCATCATTCTCATAACATTAAAAAGATTCTAATTTGCATCTAAACTTGGGTCCCTAAATCTCAGCCCTCCTGTCCCTTGTAGGGACAGTGGGTGTTTGTGGTGATGTTGGGACTGAGGAGTAGGTTCCACAATGACTAGGCTAGAGGGTGACTCTTCAGAGAGAGGCAGGATGCAACCTTGGCAGGGAAGTGCCAGGTGAGGCCCAGGGAGGTTTGAGCCCTAAGTCTGTCCTGTGGCCCAGGACACAGGGCCCACATCAAAGACTGAAGCTGCTTACAAGGTAGGAGGAAAGAACATGCAATGACCTGAAACTGAAGAGGCTGGATTTCTTTCTGTCAGAGGCTCTTAATAGCTGTGTGACCATAGACCAGTCACTTCACCTCTCTAGGGAAGAAGGTTACTTCCAATGAAGATGGTTATTTACTTGTGAAGTAGTGGGACTAGGAAAATGGGTGGCACAGAAGGAAGGAGGAAGCAGGGTTTATGACGCTGGCATATCTCTCTCTGGACTGCCTCTGGAGGAAAGCCCTGAGACAGCACAGATTCCCCGCATGGAAGGCTATGCCTTGCTCTACCCCACCCTGCCCTCCGCCACCAACAGGGCACTCAGAGGAAATACATCCAGAATCCTGAGCTCCAACATGGAGCAAAACCAAGGATGGAAGTGGGCCTGGCAATATCTGGGCTAGAAGTCATATTTCCTCATTTTCTTTTGAACATGGAACCCTTTTCCCGAAAGGCTTTGTTCTCTTCAAAGCACAGTTTCCCAGTGTCTGTCCTGCAGGGACACTTTCATCACACACACACACACACACACACACACGTATCTATAAAATTGATTTAATTTCTTCCTGGGTTCTCATTTACCAAAATAACAAACCAACTAGGAAGTCTCTCTAAAGGAGAACATGGTCAAGATCAGACTCTTCTCTAAAGATACAGCTAATTCCAGCCAGCACATTAACATTCTAAAGTTAAAAGTGCATTGTGAAATGTAAATCGATGTGACATTGTCAAACAAAATGACCTGTGGGCTTGGGAGGTTGGTGCTTGTAGGAAGAGGCCGAAGTGTGCATCTTAATCTTGATTTCCTTTGGGAATATTTCCTCCACTGTGTTCCTGACTCTGATTATGTTCTTGTGCGATCAAAATAGCTCTAGTCTCCAGGGCTGGACAGTTCCTTTTTCTTTCTTTCTTTTCTATTCTTTCTCTCTCTCACACTCTTTTTTTCCCCACAGGACAAATTATTGTTGTTTTGATCAGTGACAACTGTTTGATTTTTTAGCTATTAGTATATACATGTGCACAAAATCCCATCCTATTAGGAAGAAAAGGATTGGATTTAAAGTCCTGCTTGTTGTATAGATTATTTAATGCACAGGGGCCTTAGAAAACCAAAGTTCAGCATTCAGGGGTTGACCTCAAAATGGCATGAACAATCCAATAGGCAAGCACCAGGTTTCTTCATTTATATCCATAATCACGGGATATGATGAAGCCTTTGGCCTTAGGAAAATTTCAGTTGGGATTTGTATTTAACAGCAAGCTTATCTTTGGCTTGGCTTTAAATGGATAGTAGGGACAGTGTAAGCCAGGTAGTAACAGAAGCTCTGAATTACAGTATAAGGTCTGTCTCTCCAAGCTCTTCTTCCCTGTCTATAACATCATTTGGAAACTTCTCTTCTGCACAGTGTCATAGCCATTTTTTGGATCTTGAACCACAGCCTAGTATTCAGGGTATCCGTCTGTCTCCATATCTGGACTTCACTCAGACACTGCCTAAACTCTCTTTCAATTTCTTTAGCTATGTACTTCAGTGAACGGCAAACAAACAGATCATTTTCCTGATGGTGATAAGGTGGTAATAGACTTTACTTCATTGCCTGGTGCCCTTCAGATATGCTTCCTACAAAACTCCTCAGCAGAACAAATATAGTTACTGAATTTGGTTACTGGTACACAATGAAATAACAGTGCAATAACATAGTTACATGGTTATAATATAGTTAAATCATGCAGCAAGTTGCACACAATAGAAAATGCAGTTAGGCAGAGAGAATGAAATTAAGGGTTAGAGGTAAAAGAGAGGATGTATCTTTAGATGTGATTTGAAATGAAAAGCAGACACCCCAGAAAGGACAAAGATGTCACCAGATGATGCCTGAAGAAGCTGCTTCTCTTGTCAACTAAAGCAAGACTGGGTAAGGACAGTGGGAAGGGCATGTTCAATTGGCTGTATAGCTGATTTTGTATAGCCCTTCTTCCCCTCCACTGTGATCATACTGATTTAGTCCTTATTACCTTTTCTGGCCTTTACAATTGCTAAATAGCTGATCTTCCAGTTCTCTTCTGAGTTATCCCACAAAGCACTGCCAAATCAATTGTCCTTTAACACCACTCTGATTATATCATCCTTCTCTCCCAAATCCTTCAAGGCTTCTCATTACTTACTGAAGTAGAGTAAGTAGCACTTTCTTAGCTTGGCATTCAAGGCTCTTTCTTCTAGCTGTACTTCTCAGAGTGAAGCAGCACATCAGCATCACCCGGGAACTAGTTTAAAGTTGCAGAATCCCAGGTCCCATCTTAGACCCATTGGATAGGAATCTGCATTTTATCAAGATCCCCAGGTGATTCATATGCACAGAAAGCTTGAGAAGTGCTCTAGCCAAACTAAAATACTTAACAAATATTTTCTTTCCTATTTCTGGTTTTTCCCTATGCTACTATATCCACTTTTACATCATCTTTGCCTATCTACACATGGGACCCTTTTATGATCATCTCAAATGTTATCTCATCCACAGAACCTTTCCCCATTATCCCATGGACAAGGCAGACTGATCTTCAGAATGCCTACTCTGCCCTTTATAAACTGAACTTCCCCCTGATGAAAGGGTAGTTTTATTATACCTCTTGACTTGGTCCTTTTGGCCATAGGGAGTTGGTCCATGTTGGATAATCAACATTAGAGCAGTTCAGCTAGAGGCCACCCAGTAACCCAGAATGTGGTCACATGAAATGTGAGTAGTGACAATAAAATTTTCTCTCCATTTTAGATTTAAATAAAGCAGCGATTACTAACACTAAACACCAGGAGACAGAGTCAAGGTCATGAGAGGTTATGTGCAAACTACAGTTATGAGGAAACAGAAACTTTGAGTAGCCAAGTTGGTAAAGACAGGAGGATGGAGCAAACATGTGGACATGGTAGACATGCCATGAGAGAAAGACAGAGGAGATGGAGAGAAAAATGGGTTCGCAGATCTGTCCAAGTTCATGATGACTTTTCTCTACCAGGTCATAGGTTCTTATAATAACATCTTCTAATCCCCATTACTTGAGAAAAATTACATAAATGTCCATTACTGGCAGCCAAGATACCCTAGTTTAGATCCCCAGGTGGAGCTGGCTCCATCCCTGGCCTTCTCTTTGAGACTGTGGTCCTCATTCTTGTTGACTGTTTCCCAGGCTTACATTATAACACCTGTGATGCTATAAACCCCAGCTACTAACAAATAGTAATAAGATTGTGTCCTCTCATTTTTTGAGCACTAGCAAGGTGCATGCTTAGAAATAATCATAGGATTGATTCAAATTGAATTCTAGGGAAGCAAAGCATTAAAGTAAAGGGAGGTGATAGGATTTATCATTAATAAGGCCAACTGAACTGTGGAGTGGTCAGCGTTTTTTTGAAATCTCTGGTGCATTGTACCAATCAAGCCAAAGAGCCACAATCTAGCGTGTATTTTTAATGCAAGCTGTTCGATGTCATAGCAGCAAAATTAATAATACCCATCTCTCAGAAACCTGATCTCAGCTGATGCTATTTTATCAGGAAAATAATTTCTTATAGTTAGTTGGATGTACCAAACACATGTTTCCAGCTGGTCAGCAATCTTCCTTCTTAACCTTTAATCTGCTCCAGGCTGTTCCTACAGATTACCAGACAAATGACGTTTTGAGAATTATGGGTCTCTGCAGGTTGAAGGAGGCAGCTTCATTGCTACTATTTGGAGGGTTGCCTCCCACTGAAGGTCAGTGTGGGTCTGTGCTTGTGTGGGCCTGGTGGTATATGCAGGGGAGCTATGTGCACTAAGGGAAATGGTTTTGTGTATGCATGCTTTTCTTTTAGTGTGGGTTATCAAGCTGAACCTTTGAAGTGTCATTTTACTTGTTCAGAAGGGAGGCAGAGAGGGGGCCCTAATTTTACAAGTACATGGGGATTTCTTTCCCCTCTCTTAAGTCTCTCTTGAAGAACATCACCCTCCAAATCTGGAGATTTCATCTGCTTTTAAGCTGGAAGCTTCTTCTTTAATGGCTTTGTGACTCACAGAGCTCGGGTGATGGTTGCTTTTTCTGTGTGTAGAACTATAATCCTTCTCAATTATCAAAGACATAAATTACTATTATTTCCTTACCAGATCGAACATCTTGCTTAAATATGTGAAAGAAAAATTGTTGGTTGTCTGGTGAATTTTCCTCTTGGAAAAACTGCCTATTCTTAATCTACAAGTTCAATGAAAGTTCAAAAGTTTATCAGTGCAAACTCTATATTCTAATAATTCATCAACCAGCTTCTACATCCACATCAGTAGACTCCAGGTTGAGACGTTTTTGTCTTTTCTCCCATGTAAAAGTAATCAAACAGCACATTTCCCGGGCATATCACAAAAACCTATTGATCATAATCAGAGCACAGATGGTATGAGAGAGCTTGGCTGACACACAGGCCCTGATGTCAATCACAGGAACAAATTGATTTTGACTGCCCGGTCATGATTCTTCTACCACAGCAGAATTCCATTCAGTGTTGTGTTTGGAGAATTTTGAGCAGACAGCATTTCTGAAGGGGTGTCATAGTCCAAAGTTATCATAGAGGTAAACTTGATTACTGAAAAAATGGTGATTTTAATGTACTTCGTACTTACCTTTACGACAAGAAGGTCAATGTCTTTCTCCTGTGTTGAAAGAGCTCTCATCAATTTAAAATTTATCCTGATTTATGTCTGCTAATTAGGGGAAAGGAAAATACTGATTTGCATTCTTCTATGACAGTATGCAGTGCCATTACTACTTTTCTCCAACTGGATTTGTTTTCTTACTCATTTTTTAAAACTTAATTTCTTTTTCAAAGATGCCAAATCGATGTTTATTTCTAAATTTTACAAATTATTCTCTTTAAAATTTCAAAACAAATGAAACTTTCACCAAATTTGTAGCTCACTTGCACTCCATGGATCTAAATCCCTCATTTAATTTTCTTCCTTTTCCTACACTTCTTATGTTAAGCAATACTTATTTTATAAGATTCTTAAAAAAAAAACCCTAATTATTTTCTGTCCAGAAGTACCCTGCTTTCCAGCCTCTTTACCTGGTGCATGTTATTTTTTCCTTCCTTCCTTCCTTCCTTCCTTCCTTCCTTCCTTCCTTCCTTCCTTCCTTCCTTCCTTCCTTCCTTCCTCCCTTCCTTCCTCCGTCCCTCCCTCCCTCCCTCCGTTCCTAATCCTGGGGTTATCCCTGCTGCAGGGATCTCTGCCATCTCTACATGGGAGCTATGTGCAGGCAGGTGGCCTATAAGTAAATCATGTTAAGTAAAACCTAATAATTTTCATTAAAATTATTAAAGCACTTACACTATCAGTCTTTCCCTTATGACCTGAGCATAGATATGTATGCTGGAGAATAATGCAGAAAGAGAGGGCCAATACCCCCCAATACCACTGTAAAATCCTCTGTGAGAGCCAGATAAGAAGGCACCTTCTTTGATACCATCCATTACTGTCTATTACTTTACTGCTTCATACATCAAGGCTGCCAGGACAAGTTCAACAGGGAATTGGTCTGACTCCATCAGGGAAGGGGTTTGGAATTTGAATGAAGAATGGCTTGGAGACCAGCCTGCTCTGTCTTTATCCTAGCCCCAGCCCCACGCATGTTTTCCACCTGGTCCTTCTTTCTTGTCATTTAGCTATCCTACACCTTTTCTCTCAAATTGCTTCCTACCTATGCCCTCTCACTGATATGGAGAGGGGAGCTAGGCAATGATGCTTTCATATTACTTGTCTTTAAACACCTAAGCCTGCTCTACAGCCATTGTTGATTGAACCAAAAGTGGACATTTCTCTCAAGGGGAACCAATCCATGGACTGGTCTAATCCAACTAGATGCCTCATCTCCAGAATTCAAGTCAAGAGATACACAACCTGGAGTCAGATACTGTTGGGTGCTTGGAATCAAAGGCATATTGGTCCTGGAGGAATCAAAGATCACCCAGGCCTGGGTCAGCCATTTTTGGCCATGTGTACTCTGATGAGTCAGTCAATGGAGAAAGCTTGTCCATGAAGTCAAGAAAGAGATCAAAGCTGGCAAAGAGATGAGAGACTTCAGGCTCCTGTCAGGAACAGAAGAGTAACCCTGGCTCTGGGTTTTGCAGTATCAGACTTGTCAGAATTCCTGTGGCCCAGATCCCCTAGCTCTTGTCCTGGAATGCTCTTACGCTTGCCTGCAGTGCTTTTGAATTGGTCCCTGCTTTTCTTAAACTGGCTGGAATGAGTTTCTATTCTTCACAACCAAATATGCTTTGTCTAGAAAGTCTCCTGTTAGAGAGATTCAGATGGGGAATTTCAGTCTCCTTCATCGCCCTAGTTGAGTGTCTGGAAACTCTAGGAGATCATGTGTTCTCTTCCATTCAGCTGAGTGCAGTTTCACAAGAGAGACTATGCTGGGAGAAGAAGGTATTATTCTTTAAGTGTTCAAATCTCTCAACTTCACCTTCAAGGTCCTTGGCACTCATCCTCCACCTCTCGCTCTGATGATTGTCCTGCTGTGGCTCTGACCACTCACTTAAACCATCTGCTTTATTAATTGTTCCCTCTGGTAGATAAAAGTTGGCAACACTTTTTCTTTTGTCTATTTTTCCCATTGAGAGATACAGTCTAATTCCCATTCCCTTGAACATAGGCTGGCCTTCAAGACCTGCTTAAACATTCGAATGTGGTAGACATGATGTTTGGGTCTTCTAAGGCTAAATCACAAGAAACCTTGCAACTTCTGGCTGTGTCTCTGGGAACAATCTCTTGGAAGCCTCTGCTGCCTTGTAAGAAATCCTACTACCCTGAAGTTGCCATATTGTGAGAAGCCCTAGACAAGGGGCAAATAATAGGGAGTGAGGAAGGGGGAGATAGGGAGAGAGAGAGAGAAAGAGACCACAGACTCCAAGCACCAAACGTATGAGTGAAGAAGCCATGTTGGAAATGGACCCTAGTGCCATGTAGAGCAGAGATAGGCCACCCAGCTGAGCCTTTCCTGAATGACTGCGACACAAAAATTGTGAGAACGATAAAATTTTTGTTTTAATCCACGTAGTTTTGAGGTAGTTTGTCACACACCAACAAAGAACCAGAATATTCCTAGTCATCTCAGAGGTATTTTGGCCTCCTTCCATTTCTGTATATTATTCTCTAGCCCAAGGACACCCTCTTCCTTCTTCTCACCTCTATATCTTTTGATGATCAGGACAAGAATCTCCCTTTCTGCGAGGCTTTTCTGATTTCTCCTCTCTTCTGCAGCATGTTTGGCCAAAGCTACTCTTGGAACCCTTAGCTTGGGCAATCTTGTGTGTCTCTTTGATATGTTTTAGACTGTTGTGTCCCAAATCCCCAAGGGCAGGGCCTATTTCTTGCTCCTTCTTTTTTTTTTTTTTTTGAATCCCTCTACATTTTGGCAGAGCCCTGAATAGAAACAATTCAATCTGTGTTGAGACTCCTAAATACTGTTGTCTTGAGGCTAAATAGCCCTAATCTCTTTAATCCAAATTTATATTGGCACTAATCAAAGGCTTGTCTGTCCAATTACACATTTTCAATTAGGTATTTAGATTAAATTAGGTAAATTGAGGTAGCTTTTACTTTTTCTTCTCAGATTGCATATAGACTTTAAACATTTGGGGTGGTTGGGAAAAAAACCCCAAGGGGAACAGAAAGAAATTCCCATGTAATGGGATAAATAATGGGCAGAATCAAATGGCATGCTGTAGGTCTGTTTGCTTGTCAACACATGCCTGCATCATTTATGGGAGGTCAGGGTCAAACTCCACATTTATAGTTTTGTTCTAGCTCGGGTGAGTGTCTTTTAACTGCTTCACCTCTTTCTGAAACCTATTTTGTTTGGACTTCTCCCAGCCCAACACAATGAACTCTCCCATGTTCTCAGGACATTTTTTTTTTCATTTTCATTTTCATTTCCATGTACCCCTTGGCTTCTCTTTCATATGCAACATTCTTCTTTGCAGTGTTCAGAAAACTCATTAGCTTCCAACCTCCTCAATTAGGCAGAACAAACATGCATTACTCCAAATTGCCCCGCACTGCGATAGAGACAGAGTTCAAGCAGAATGTTGGCCCACCACCCAAGGATCTGACCGCTGAAGTTTACTTCCCTTCAATCAAATCGAGATCACATCTTCCTGCAGTTTTCTATGTAAGTAATGAAGCTCTTATCTTCAGTCCTCAAAGGATCACTGTTTCCTTTTCTGTATATATTTGTTTGTTTTACTCATGGTGAGTACTTACCTATTATTGTATGTGTATCATTCATTTGTGGAATCATGTGCTGTCAGATTTTCCATTTTTCTTAATCTAACAATCACAAAATCAGCCACATATCTGATAGCAGAAGAACCACATTGAGATGCAGAGATCTTTTTAAATGGTGCGAAAGAGAAGGGACACATTTAAAATGCTCTCCTTCTTAAATGATTCTGTTTAAAAAAATGTGAAGTTGTTGCACTCCTCCCTAGAAATTACAACTGTATAAATTCTAACTTTTCCCAGTGCTCAGGCACACGAGAGACAGGGAACATTCACTACATTCTATTCGTGTTCATAGGTCGTGACTAAGATAAATAGATTTTAGAGAAACATTTATGTGGGTGTGCTCCAAGTGGGAGGAATTTCATGTTCCAGTCTTCCTGCTGAACACCTAGAATATTAGAGGCTTTGTGAAGTTTGTGTTTGACTCCTTTTAAAGGAGGATATGACTGAGGTCATAGTGTGATAAATCTCTGACACGACTGTGTGGAGGAATATGGATCTGAGCAGAGAGAAGCAAAACAAGCTGAAGTGAAAAGTTCGAATGCATGAGGACATTCTTAAAAGCAAGAGGCAATTGAGGGGATGAGTAGTAGCTTTTACAGAGGAGGTGGCTAAGAATCCACATTTCAAGCAGGAATGCCCTGAGCCTTCTTTTTCTCACCTGTTGTCAGTTATACCACCACACAAGGACATACACAGAGAGCTGATTTATACTTAATATCCAATCTGCTGCAAACTGTTCACTCCTCTTCATCAGAATGCTCACTTATGACATAGTCTTCAGTTCCTTAGCAACAAACTGTCATGTCACCCTGGTGAAATTCTGGTCAGCTGAGAGGAAAAGGAAATGTTGAATGGTGATGGAGAAAATCTTTATTTTAATCACAAATGTGTATGTATAAGAGCTGAAAAGACAATATGAAAAGGCAGGTCAAGGAAGCTACATTTGAACAAGTGTTTTTGATTAAGGTTTATGTGGGCACAGAAGTCCCCTTTAAGTTCCTTTTTATTGAATAATTTCCCTTTGATCCTTGAGTAACTAAAAGAAAACCCAGCATTTGACATTAACCTGGGACTCAAGAGCCCCATGGTGGGATTCCTTTGCCTGCCTGCTCCAGCACAAAACAGCCCCACCCAGCATCGTGGGAGCACATTCATCTTTATTTCCCAACCGGGCTTTTCCTCTTCCCCTCTCTTCTGGGTGAGAATGGAGGACAGTCAGCTGAAGAAGTCATTCTATGTGTACTTTTTCTTTGCTTGCGATCAACTTCAAAAGAGGCTGGTCGGGAGACACCAATGACAATGTAAGAAGATGAAGATTGTCCCGGGAAGTATGGCCCCAGAAAAAGAGCAGAGATGACCAGACATGGGAGGTGTTGAGAATTCTATCTTTTCTCCCTGTTTTAATTGTTAGGAATCATATAAAAATCATTTCTTTATTTTTGGCTTTGTGGATAAAACCAAATCACTGAAATGAGAGCATAATTAAAAGGGAAAAATGCAGAATTCTTTTTTAAAAAAGATAGATGAAGATAGAGAAAGAAAACAAAAAAGAGAGAGAACCCAAGCAAACAAAGATTATTTAAACACCTTGGAGCATGCTTTTTAAAAAAAAAAAAAAAAAAAAAAAAACCAAAAAGCAAAAAACCAAAAACAAAACCCTATCAGTGCCATTTACCTGAATTCCCAGTTTCCGTATTTAAATGTCTGATCAATCATTCAGTTCCAATACAGACATGATGTTTGAAGGCCACTTTGTAATGGTTTTACCCTGGTTCAGATTATTTGCAATCCAGGGGGAAAAATGTGCATTCTGTGCAAAAGCAAATAGAAAACATATCTGAGCACAAATCAAAAGAATGATTACCACACTCATGCTCTGTACCCATTACGGGGTCCCCAAGGCTCTCATTCTGTTTGTCTTGGTACTTTCTCTTTAGCTGCTTTGGTTGGACTGGGTGGGAAAAACAACAACCCACAAAACCCTAGGCAGAGAATGAGGCTGGTGGAAATGGGTAACATGAAAAGATGTGACATCCTTCAAGGGCTTGGCACTTCAGACTTCATTTTGGGGGAAGCTGCTTGGGGAGACCTCCTCGGGTTCCCATGGAGGTCGTTGCTGAGTGTGTGTCATGAAGTGCCTGACCATTAGCGGGAGGGCAACCCTGCTCTCATTTCAATCTCTAGCAAGCTCTCACTCAGTGGGTAATGAAAAATGGCATTTGCACAAAGTGGAGAGAAAAAGCATTGTTTCTATAGCATATTATACTTTCCACTGCTCAGGGAACAACATTTCATAACCTATAAAAAGAATTATCTGTATAACTTACTGTGCATGGCAGAAAAGTTGCAATATGGCTTTAAAAGAGCTGCCTCCAACTGCAAAACACACTCTATCTCTCCCACTCCCCACTGACAGAATAGCCTGTGTTTATAAGCAAATCCACTCAACCCCTTAATGATGACCTAGAATAAACATCTGACATACACTAGCTTTCAAGCTCTTCTATGTTTAGGCATGAATTGTTCATTTCTATGCCTTTTGTATCCAGCCTGAAGGAAAGACAAATGATACAAGGGATGATTTACATTATCAGTGGAGGCAGAGGTTATGTCTGTGTTTATCTGATCCTCTTTTATTGTGTAACTAACAGTGAGATAACCAGCCTGGTGCACAATGACCATTCAATTTGAGCCACCCACCCTATGTCCATGTTGACTTTAATTTTAAAATATATTAAAAAGACAAGCCCTTGTATAGTAACACAAGGTTTATTTGGTTCAGGCAGGCATGTAGGAAAGGTATGGATTTCTCATTTAGTGTTAGGCTTCCTCCACACTTACCTTTCCATAAAGCCTGCAAGAGTATTGCCACTGGGGCTTTCCTCTCTAATTGCACTAGGAGAATTGGTACTCCACTTTACGAGGATGATGTGGATGCCCAGCTCTGGTTGATCCTGTACTCTTAGTAGAGCATGGGAAACTTGGAACAAATTTACCTAGCATCAGAAAAGACCACAGGGAGTATGCATGATCCTGGAGAACAGGTAAGCTTGCTTTTCCTTGAAGAAAAATCCAGTCATCTCGAAAACTGTCAGTCTGGCTTGGAAGATAATTTCATGAAACCAACCATAGGCCTTCAGGGAAACCTATACCACAATTGAACATAGTTCCCCAAGATGGTATTCACTAAATATCCCCTTTGGGGAAAACTACCCATTCTTATGTAGTAGGAATTGATTTCTAAAGGGAAAAAATACTTTTAAACTCTCCAGGATCTGTCTAGTCATGAGGGTGCCAATCTTTGAAGTCCTCTTAATCTCACCTGCAGGGGATCTCTATGGAAATCATGGAGATGGAGTGGTGGTGGAAGATAAGCTCATGGAGATGGAATGATAGTGATGGTGGAAGATAAGATGGTTCCATATATCAGGTCCTATGCCCTTCTTTGAATTGGCTCAAAGAATATGGGGTCAGATGAAAGAAACACACTCCACCTCGTTGCTCTAAGGAAACTATAGAACCTGGACAGAATGTATAAGGAACACAAAAATTAAATAGTAGCAAGCAAATTGAGGAAAAAGGCCAGAATTTGGAGTATCGCTGAATTTATGGTGAGTTTATTATTTTTCCTCTCTGATATCTCCCATTCTGAACACAACGTGGCCTGAAAGCCAGAAGTGGGCACCAGGGAGCAGAGAGAACTCCAGGAGAAGCTGGTTCAAGGAGCAGGAGATTCTAACTCTCAGAAAGAGTGCAAAACTCCATTAATACTTTTTTATTTTCTCTGTTCTCTCATACTCCAGCCCCCAAGCAATCTCTTAATGGCAGTAATAGGAACAAAGGAAGCAATGAAGAACAGAATCAATGAAATTGAAAACAGAAAAATAATAGAGGATAAACAAAGAACCCAAAAGTTGGTTCTTTGCAAAGATCATTAAAACTGTTGAAACTGATAGGCCTTCAATAAGATGAAGTGGGGCAGGGGAGAGAGGAGGATGAGGAGGAGGAGGAGAAAAAGGAAGAGGAGGAGGAGGGAGAGGGAGAGAGAGAGAGAGAGAGAAAGACTAGTATTATTGACATCAAGAATGAAAGAGAAGATACTGCTATAGATCCTATATACCACAATAAAAAAACAAGCATCAGGGAATACTACAAACAACTCAATAAAAAAAAAGCATCAGGGAATACTACAAATAATTCTATGCACATAAATTCAACAACTGAGAAGAAATATACCAATTCCTTGAAAAGCCCAAACTATCAGGACTCTCAAGATAAAATAGATAACCTAAATAGTTCTATAACTATTAACAAATGGAATTTGTCATTAAAATTCTTCTGAAAAAAAATCTACAGGGTACAGATGATTTCACTGATTAATTCTTCTAAAATTTAAAGAGAAATGAGATCAGCTCTACACAATCTCTTCTAGAAAATGGAAGAAAACACTCCTAACTCATATTATGAAGCCAGCATTAACCTGATATCAAACACATATGTTTTGTCTCATTGATTTTTGCTCTATTTTTTATTGCTTTTTTCCTCCTGCTTGCTTTGGGTTTTTCTCTTTCTAGTTTCTTCAGGTGAAAGCTTACATTGTTGACTTAAATCCTTTCTTTTTTCCTAGCATTATTAAACGTTTTAAATAAGCATTTAATGTAGAAGTTTTCCTCTAATCACTGCTTTACCTGCATCTGCATCTTATAAAGATACATACAAAAAAAGATAATAAACACAAAGATAATAAAAACACAAAGATAACAAAAAAAAAAACCTACGGAGCAGTATTCCTGATTAACATAAACACAAAAAAACTCTTCAACATATTAGCAAGTCAAATCAAGCTATACATAAAAAGAATTATCATACCATGACCAAGTGTAATCCACTATATTAACAGTTTAAGAACCCAAATCACACATTCATTTGATTTGCTGTGGAAGAATCACATGACAAAATTCAACATCTATTCATGATAAAAACTCTTAGAAAATTGGAAATTGAAGGGGACTTCCTCAAACAATAAATAGCACATATAAAAAACTAGCTGACATGATGCTTAATGATAAAAGATTATGTACTTTGCTTCTAAAATAGGGAACAAGACAATAATCTCCATACTCACTACTCCTACTCAACATTGTGCTGGGAGTTCAAGCAAGCACAGTGTTGAACATAAAAGACAAGAAAGACAACAGATAAAAAAGACAAAATAAGTGAGTCATATATATTGGAAAGGAGGAAATAATACTATCCCTATTCACCAAGTGTCATATATGTCTATGAAGGCAATTCCAAGGGATCTACAAAAAAGTCTCCTAGAACAAAGAAGTGAGTTTAATGAGATTGCAGGATACAAGGTAAGTACAGAAAAATTAATAATATTTTTATGTAATAGCAATGTATAATTAGAAAACAAATTTTAAAAATTTATAGTAGCTTTGAAAAGTGAGATATTTAGCTATAAATATAACAAAACACCCACAGGATCTGTGCAAAAAACTACAAAATGATAATTACAGGAATCAAGAAAGACCTAAATAAATGAAGAGGCATACCCCATTCGTGGATTGAAAAACTCAAAGTTGTAAAGAGGTCAGTTAGCCTCAGACTGATCTGTAGATTTAACACAATTCCAATCAAAATATCCTACCTGGCATTTTTGTAGGTAGAGACAAGTTGATTCTAAAATTTATATGGAGACTATCCATTCTCCATTGTGCATTTTTGGCACTGTTGTTGAAGATCAGATGACTGTATATATGTGGATCTATTTCTCAACCCTCACTTCTGTTCCATTGATCTATATACCTGTTTTTATGCCAATACTATACTGTTTTAATTATTGTAGCTTTGCAATATATTTTTCAATCAGGAAGTGTGATGTCTCCAGCTTTGTGCTTCTTTCTCAAGACTGATTTGGCTATTTGGAGTCTTTTGTGGCTTCATGTGAATTTTAAAATTGTTTTATCTATTTTTGTAAAAAATGCCATTTGGGATTTTGATACGGATTACATTGACTCTATAGGCCACTTTTGGTAATAGGGACATTTTAACAATATTAAGTCTTCTGATCCATGAATACATAATATCTTTCAATTCATTTATGTATTTCTTTCTTTCATCAATGCTTTATAGTTTTCAGTATATAACTCTTTCATCTCCTTGGTTGCCTATTCCTAAGTATTTTAATTATTGATGTTACTGTAAATGGAATTGTTCTTAATTTCCTTTTTGGATAGTTCATTATTAGCCTATAGAAATGCAACTGATTTTTGTACCTGCAACTTTATTGAATTCATTTATTAGTTCTAATAGGTTTTTGTGGAGTCTTCATGGCTTTCTACACATAAGATCATGCCATCTGTAAAGAGGTAATTTTATTTCTTCCTGTCTGATTTGGATGACTTTTATTTCTTTTTCTGGCCTGGCTACGACTTCCTGTACAATGTTGCCTAGAAATACTTTCAGTGCTATGTTGAGAGTGAGCATCCTTGCCTTGCTGATCTTACAGGAAAAGCTTTTGTTAATTTACCATTGAGTCTGACATCACTGTGAGCTTTTAATATACAGCCTTTATTAAGTTAAGGTAAATTCCTTCTACACCTAGTTTGTTGAGGGTTTCTTTTTTTTCATGAAAGGATTTTTAATTTTGTTAAATGCGTTTTCTACATCTTTTGGGATGATCATGTAATTTTGAATCCTTTTTAAATGTCCTGTATTACTTTAATTGCTTTGCATATGTTGAACCATCCTTGCATCCCAGGGATAAATCCTACTTCATCATGGTATATGGCCTTTTAAATTTATTAAGAAGACTGTATGTATACATGTGAAAGAATGAAATTGTACCCTTATCTGACACCATACATATAAATCAATGCAAAATTGGTTAAAGATTTAAACATAAGACCTGAAACTTTAAAACTCCTAGAAGCAAACATTGAGGAAAAGCTTCATGACATTGGTCTTGGCAATGATTTCTTGGATATGACATCAAAATCACAAGCAACAGAAGCAAAAATAGACAAGTGGGACTACATCAAACTGAAAAGATACTGTATAACAAAGGAAACAATCAACAGACTGGGAGAAAATATTTGCATACCATATTCTGATAAGAGTTTAGTATCTAAAATAAGATTAAAAAACACCTTCAGCTGAATAGCATAAAAATAAAATAACCCAACTAAAAAATTGGCAAAGAACCTTGAATAGACATACCTCCTAAGAACATATACAGAGATATCTGCATTTCCATGTTTGTTGCAGCGTTATTCATAATAGCCAAGATATGGAATCAACCTAAGTGTCTGTCAACAGATGAATGGATAAATAAAAGGTGGTATTTATACACAATGGAACACTATTTAGCCTTAAAATAGAAGTAAATCCTGCCATATGTGACAACATGAATGAACCTGAAGGACATTATGCTAAGTGAAAGAAGCCAATCACATAAAAACAAATGGCTGTATGATTTCACTTATAAGAGATATCTAAAATAGCCAAATACATAAAATAAGAGAGTAGGACTGTAGTTGCCAGGGATAAAGAGAAGAGGGCAATGAGGGATTCGTCTTCAATGGGTATGAAGTTTCAGTTATGCAAGACAAACATGTTCTAGAGATCTACTGTACAATATTGTGCCTACAATTAATATTGTGCACTTAAAAACTTAAAAGGGTAGATATGTTGACATGTTAAGTGTCCTTACAACAGTGAAAAAAATAATATATCTGTTATAAACATTTAAAAAACAAAAAGTAAAGTCATAAAAAGTTTATATGAAAATTCAAAGCAATTATTTTAGTATTTGAAAACAGAATAAGACTGGAGGAATCACACCACCCGACAATAAGACTAATTATGAAGCTAGAGTAATTAAGACAGTATGGTATTGACAAAGGAAAAGGTTCAGGATTGTTGGAAGAGAATAGAGTCTAAAAATAGACCCCAAAACAGACAGCTAATTGATTTCTGACAAAGGTGCACAAACAGTTCAATGGAGAAAGAATAATGTTGTCAACAAATGGTATTAAAACAGTTGAAAACCTATATGCAAAAAAAGAACCCTGACTTAAACCTCATACTTCATACAAAAATTAACTCCAAATGGATTATAGACTTAAATATAATAGGTAAAACTATAAATCTTTTAGAAAAAAACCTAGAAAAAAATCTTATTATCTGTTATTATGCAGAGTTCTTAGACATGACTCCAAAAGCACAATTTATTTTTAAAAATTGACAAATGGACTTTATCAAAATTAAGAACTTTTACTCTGTGAGAGATCTATCTTGGAGAATGAAAAGTCAATACACACACTGGGAAAATACATTTTCGAATTACCTATCTGGCCAAGGACTTGTATCTAGAATAGGTAAAGATTATTCAAAACTTAACATGAAGAAAACAGTTAACCCACTAAAAAATGGGCGAAGGTTTTGAACACATCACCAGTGAGGACATAAAGAAGGCAAATAAACACTTAAGTAGATGTTCAATATCATTAGTCATAAGGGAAATATAAATTAAAACCACAATTAGCTACCACTACAAATGTAGTGCACTTAAAAACTTAAGAGGCTAAGTTGCCACCACAAATGTAGTGATAGCTAATTGTAGTTTTAACTTCTATCTATTGAAGTAAAAGAAAAATGTTGACAACACAAAGTGCTGGTGAAGATGCAGAGCAAATGAAACTCTCACACATTGTAGGTGGGGATGCAAAATGCAGGACCCATCCTGGAAAACAGTTTGGAAGTTTCTTACAAAGTTAAACATGCACTTACCATATGACCCAGCAATCCTGCTCCTGTGTGTTTACCCTAGAGAAATGAAAACTTATGTTTTTATGAAAGCCTACACATGAATGTTTTTAGCAGCTTTTTTTTTTGAGGCCAAGTCTTCTCACTTTGTTACCCAGGCTGGAGTGCCGTGTCATGGTCATGTCTCACTGCAGCCTTGACCTCCATGGCTCAAGTGCACACCTGGCTAATTTTTGTATTTTTTGTAAAGACGGGATTTCACCATGTTGCCCAGGCTGGCCTCAAACTCCTGGGCTCAACTGATCCTCTCACCTTGGCCTTATAGGCATGAGTCACCGTGCCTGCCAAAAGCTTTCATCCTAATTGCTCCAATCTGGAAATACTTTGAGTGTGCTTCAATGGATGAATGGACAAACAAACTGTGGTACATCCATACATTGGAATATTTACTCAGCAATAAAAAGCAACAAGTGGATGAATCTCAGAGGCCTTTGAAAGGCATTATGCATGGAAGAATCCAGTCTCGGCTGGGCGTGCTGGCTCACGCCTGTAATCCCAGCACTTTGGGAGGCCAAGGCAGGCGGATCACGAGGTCAGGAGATTGAGACCATCTTGGCTCACACGGTGAAACCCCGTCTCTACTAAAAATACAAAAAATTAGCTGGGCGCAGTGGCAGGCGCCTGTAGTCCCAGCTACTCGGGAGGCTGAGGCAGGAGAATGGCGTGAACCCGGGAGGCGGAGCTTGCAGTGAGCCAAGATATTGCCACTACAGTCCGGCCTGGGCGAAAGAGCGAGACTCCATCTCAAAAAAAAAAAAAAAAAAAGAATCCAGTCTCAAAAGATTATATACTATATGATTCAATTTCTATGGCAGCCTCAAAAAGACACGATGAATGGAGAACAGATCAAAGGGATACCATGGGCCAGGTGCAGTGGCTCCCGCCTGTAATGCCAGCAGTTTGGGAGGCTGAGGAAGGCAGATCACTTGAGATGAGGAGTTCAAGACCAGCCTGGCCAACACTGGAGACACCTCATCTCTACTAAAAACACAAAAACTAGCCAGGTGTGGGGGCACATGCCTGAAGTCCCAGCTACTCAGGAGGCTGAGGCAGAAGAATTGCTTGAATGTGGGAGGCAGAGGTTGCAGTGAGCTGAGATCACGCCACTGCACTCCAGCCTGGGTGACAGAGTGAGACTCCATCTCAAAAACAAACAAACAAACAAACAAACAAACAAACAAACACACGGGATGCCATGAGGGAGTTTTTTAGGGCAATGGAATTGTTCTGTATCCTGATTGTGGTAGTGGTTTTATATGTATATTATACAATGACTGAAATTCATAGACCTGTAAATATATACAGACACAAAGTCAGTTTTACTCTATAATGATCACAAAAGTAATCTAGGGAGCATAGCTGTGAAGTGTTCCCTAATAGGTCCTCCCAACCTCCTTCTCCTTAGGGGGTCCAAGGCCTTTCCTTCCTCTCCTTGCTTCTGGATTCTGTCTCATAGTGCTCTTCTGTTTCCCTCCCAGTCTTGGCACTACCAGGCTGTAGCGCTTCATCCAGGTCTTGTCTGGGGCCGTGGCTCTGTGACTTTGTTCCACACTCTTCTTAGTCAAGAACAGCCACCAAAATCTACTGGGTTTTCAGCCAGTTCCCTCGAAAAACAAGCAAGCTACAACAAAAACAGAAGTCATCTTTGATTTCTCTTTCTTCTACCTCCATATCCTATTTATTAGTGAGTATTGCCAGTTCTGCTTTCAAAATAGGTCCTGAACCTAATCCCTGCAGCCACCTCTGTCTAGGCCATTGCCATCTTAGGCCTTAGCTACTGCAACAGGGTTCTATCTCGTCTCCCTGCTTCCACTTCTTCCCTGCTATTGTCTATTCCCAATGCAGCAATCAGAGTAATCCCACGAAAACACATACCATGTCATTTCTACTTACAGTCCTCGAAAATCTTCCCAGTGTATTTAGAATAAAAGCCAAGTACCGTCCCACGGCCTCCACAGGGCTGGCCTCCTCCCCCTGCTTCCTCTGGTATTGTGCCCTGGCCACGCTGACCTTCTTGCTCTTTCCAGGATATGTGATGCTTATTCCCACTTCAGTGCTATTTTTTCTGCCTGGAACTGGCTTATCCCAGAAATCTGCATGGTCGCTACTTCAGATATTTCAAGACTCAGCCCTAAAGTCACTTCCTCAGAGAGAGCTCCTCTGCCCGTTTGTTTCAAATAGCTTCCCCAGGCTTCCAGTCTCTCTCTAGCCCCTTAATCTGATTTATCTTCTCTCAGCACTTAACCACCTCGTGCAAGGATGCTGGCTTCCCATGGCAACATAGAATCCACACTCATTACATCCTAGAATGTGCTATGCGACCTGGTTCGCGCCTCCCCTCTGACATAACCCTCTGCTCCTGAGGGGCAATTCCCTTTGCCGTGCCACTCCCTGTGCACCCCTCTAGACACACTGACTTCCTTGTGTTCCCGGAACAAAGCAAGCATGCTTCCACCTCGGAATCTTTGCATTTGTGATTCCATCTCCCTGGAATGCTGTTCCTCCATAGAGCTTCCTAGCACATTCTCTGCTCAAATGACACTTAATCAGAGACTTTCTTGACCATCGTATATAAAATAGCAAGCCCTTCATCATTCTGTACTCCTCTTATCTGTCTTATTTTTCATGGCATTTATAACTACCTGGTGTGTGTATAGCTATTCATCTGTTATGTGTTCTTAGCTCCCTGTACTAGGCTGTCAGCCTGCAGGGAGCCACGACTTTGTTTTGTCCACTATTGTCTTTCTCTGTGAGTCTCAGCCTCATTCATACCAATGTTGCTTTGAGGATGGCTGGGTGCAGGGAGGCACTGGAGTACCAAGAGCCCTGGAGAGACCCCTGGCCATGCGGCTGTTGTTCCTTGTCTGTCTCTCTCACCCGCATGTAAGCTCGATATTGGCGGTGACCGAGAGGCAGGGCCCAGTGCATAGTGGGTGCTCAAGAATAGTTGTAGAATGAATGAATAAATGATAGAGGCCTTTGGATATTTAAAAAGGATGTTTTGGCTTTTAAAAGGAACTTTCCATGTTTTAAAACCTAAATGCAGAATAATGGTATGAATTGGCCAGTGAGGAATTATCTTATGTGAAGTTTACTGCTAACATTTAAACATTTTCCCCTGCCTAGTAAAGACTTTTTGATGTCTTCCCATTGTTCTTAGGGTCATAATGCACTTTAAGATGGCTCCTGCCCCTTTGTCAGCCCACTTTCCCTTGCTCTGGGTCTCAGTCACACAACTCTCCTTTCAATTTCTCCTACTCGTGTTCCCTCCCAGTCCAGGGCCTCTGCCTGCAAGACTTCCTCTGTCTGGATGCTCTGGTCCCCACCCTCCCCAGAGTTAACTCCTCCTCACCCTCCCCATCTCCGCTAAAGCCTCAGATCTTCAAGGGAAGCCCTCCCTGACACTCAGGCAAGGTTAATGTGCCCTCAAATCACCAGGCACCTCTGATGTACACCCCAGATCCCAGGTGTGGCCTAACATGTGTTTGTGTGATTATATAGTTAACGCTCCCATGAGGGGGAACTGGGTCTGCCTTTACTTCACCATTAACTTCTCTGTAAACTAGCACTTCTGCAAACAGAATAGGCTTTAAAACAATATTTGTAAGGCCAGGTGCGGTGGCTCACGCCTGTAATCCCAGCAGTTTGGGAGGCCGAGGTGGGCAGATCACGAGGTCAGGAGATCGAGACCATCCTGGCTAACACGGTGAAACCCCGTCTCTACTAAAAATATAAAAAGTTAGCTGGGCGTGGTGGCGGGCGCCTCTAGTCCCAGCTACTCGGGAGGCTGAGGCAGGAGAATGGTGTGAACCTGGGAGGCAGAGTTTGCAGTGAGCCGAGATCACGCCACTGCATTCCAGCCTGGGCAACAGAGCAAGACTCCATCTCAAAAAAAAAAAAAAATTTGTAAAATGAAAACATTACTTAATTAATGATATAAAAGCGACTTTTTTATATAGCCTCAAGTTTAGTGTAAGGCAGTGAAGGTAATTGTTAAAACAAAAGTCAAGGAAACCCGTTAAGCTCTTAACCCCCTGGTACTGTTAAAAGATGAGAGATGCTGTAGTGTAGACAAGTTAGGACACCAGGCAGGTGAGTTTCCAGGGGCAGAGAGAGGAGATGAGCTTCACAGCTGCTGAGACCTGTCCCTCTGACTTGGGCAGGCATCATCGTTATTTGAAAGTACAACAGGGCCAAACCTTCAATCCAGTAACACAGCTGGTGCTCAGATTTTTTTTTTTAAACAACATCATGTGGAATTTTCTTTATGTCTTTCTACTAAAACTCAAAGGATGGGAATAAGAATAGAAGAGATCATTGAAATCAGCTCAACATAAGGTAACCTTTGAGCAGTCAGCTGTGTCCCACTGTGAACTGCCTGGCCACGAGTGTGCGTGGGGGAGAAGGGGGTGCAGAGGTCAAGGTGTCTCTCCTTGTCGGGGATGGTGTGGAGGTGATGGTGTCAGGGATGGTGTTCTCAGGTCAAGAGGAGCAGGATCTGTCTGGTGACTTTTAACATGCCTTTCCACCTGGAAACCCCTCAGAGTTTATGTTCATCCTTTGTGTTAGTCAAAGCTTAAATCCCCTTCCTTACCTAACCTTTGCTAGAAAGATGAAATCAGTATTTGCCTGGCCTGCTGCTCATTGGAATCACATGGGGAGGGAGCCTAGCACCCACTTGAGACTAGTTAAATTAGAATATGTGGTGTGGGGCCCAGATATAGGTATTTTTAAAAAGCTCTTAAGTAATTCTAAAGTGCAGCCAGAGTTGACAGCCACTGTAAAACAGGTAGTGCTGTGGACAGGTTTCCTTTTTCCTTCTCCTCTGATGCTCACTCGGTTCTCAGGCTGAATCAAGCTTGGCCAAGCCATGGCCCACAGCCCGCAGGCAGCCCAGGACAGCTTTGAATGCGGCCCAACACAAATTCATAAACTTTCTTAAAACATAATGAGATTTTTCCGTCATTTTTTTTATTAGCTTATCAGCTTTCATTGGTGTTAGTGTATTTTATGTGTGGCCCAAGAGAATTCTTCTTCCAATGTGGCCCAGGGGGAGCCAAAAGATTGGCTACCCCTGGGCTAAATGATCATAATGTGTGGCAGGCAGACTTCTGAGATGGTCACCAACAATCCTGTCTCCTGGCATTCCTGGCCTTGTGTAGGCCCTGACTCCTGGAGTGCACACTGGACTTGAACTCAGGTCCACTTAACCATCAGAGTAAAATGGCTAAGACTTTCAGAAGAGTGGGGAAGGGGAGCTAAAGAGTCCTGCATGAACTGAAAACTTGCATGCTCAATCTACAGTTATCAATGACCTCCGTCACTGCAGGTCCCTCCCCCAGCTCTAACCCCAACCCAAGGGGGATGACTTAGGGCTTGTTGGCCCTTTGGTACCCTAAGCATCCTGGCTAGAACCTTTCTTCAAGATTCTGCCCTTCTCCTTCTTTTGATCTTCTCTTGACCGCACCTGCCGGTCTGAACTGGGAGCTGGCATGGCACCTCTGTCTCTCTCAGCTAGAGAAAACCATCCTCTCATAGCAGAGCCAATCAGAACAATGTTCTCCATAGTGTGGCTTAGGAGCTGCTTCTCTGGATCATGATTACATTCATTGCCACGGTGTGAACTCAAGCACCAGGGGCCAAGGTCTTTCCAGGAGCCCTGGGTCTGGCAGTGGGCTCCTCTGGCAGAGCCCACGTGCCTTCTCTTGGAGGGAGAGCAAACTGAGCCTTTCTGACCCCTGGGGCTGTTGGCATTTCTGTAGTGAAGTTTGGATTGCCAGGCCAATCAGTGCCCACTCCCTTAAATCTGCCCCCAGCATCCGAGGAGCTGCTCTGGGAATTCTGTTCCATGTCCCCAGTTTCCCCCACCCCCAGAGGCCAGCAGCCCTTTTGTTGGTTTGGCTCTCAGCTTAGATCATTGAAGCGATTTCAGCTCCAACTGGGCAACACTCAGCATTTCATTTATGTCTTGGCAAGGTTACCATGTTATTACTTAACTGTGCCGCTGCTACTCAATAAGTGGGAACTGATTGAAATAACCACAGGAGTTACTGGATTCCCCTAATTTTAGCACAGAGTTAAAGCTTACTCCCACAGTTGGAAGTTAAAATAGGCTGCCAGCCCACAGAAATGCCCACCCACCACACCTAATTGTCACCCCACAGATGCCTGTCATGGAAGGAAACATGGAAGGCTGGAGAGAAGTTCTTAGAAGCAAGTTCTTCTCCTCAGTGGATGCCTGAGGTCATTTTGGCCAGGCCCAATTTCTTTGAGACTGTAAGCCTGGGGAAATTTGCATGACTGCTTTAGAGACTCCTGCTTTCTTCCCTGATTTGTCTGACAGGCAGTCGAAGTACAGAGTGCACATTAGAACAACTGTAGAGAACAGAAACTCCTGTCCGGGGGTGCCTCCTTAAATGATTCATTCCTGGAGTCCAGATGTGGGGAAGGCAAAGACCCTGAGAAATCTATGTAATTTGGAAAGCAGAAAAGAGACTTAATCCAAGTTAACTTGCTTTCTCTTGGTGTCATAGCCACCAACCACAACCCAATGACACCACTTGAAGAAAAATTTGAAGTAAATGGCATCTTGTGAAACTTCCCCCATCCCAGAACACTCGAATTGTTTTTTTGTTTCTTGCTATTGAAAACTAGATGTTACTAGATATGTTCTGAAGGCTTCTATGAAAAGTTATTTCTCATAGTGAGCCTGCTTCTTAATATTTCTCCTCCCTGTGCAATTTTGTGTTCTCTTGTACCTACTTTAAGTTATAATCTGCTCTTAACATCTTAGTACAGCATAGTCGACCAGACTGTCAAGGGCAAAGTAGGGGATTAGAATTTGGAGATTTTTAGAGAAAGGGAAAGGCTTTCTCTGCAAGGTGTTTCCCAAGGGGACCCTGGGCAGCCTCCAGAATTCTTGGCAGTGGGCAGATCCCAGTCTCTCAGGCTTCATGGCCTCACAGCTGGACTGTGTGGGAGCCTCCTGACACTGGTTTTGGTGATTAGCATCAGATTAGTCATCTTTAGAGCTCTCTTCCTCCATGCCTGTCTCCTGCCCAAAAATGTCCGTGACTTTCTATTGCCTATAGGATGAAATCCAAATCCCCTAGGCTTTCTTTTTTCTCTCTCTCTCTCTTTCTTTCTCTCTCTCTCTTTCTTTCTTTCCTTCCTTCTTTCTTTCTGTTTTTCATTTTGTCACCCAAGCTGGAGTGCAGTGGCACAATCATGGCTCACTGCAACTTCAACCTCCTGGGTGCAAACGATCCTCCTGCCTCAACCCCCTAAGTAACTACAGGTGCATGTCACTACGTGTGGCTAATTTTTGTACTTTTTGTAGAGATGAGGTTTTGCTGTGTTGCCCAGGCTGGTCTCAAACTCTTGAGCTCAAGTGATTTGCCCACCTTGGCCTCCCAAATTGCTGGGATTACAGGTGGGAGCCACTGCACTTGGAGGCTTTCTTTCAATAAACTGGTTCCTAACAATATGCTGCCCTTAGGCGCCATTTCCACTCCTTGAAAACTCCTTTCTGACCAGACTCACTGTCTCCTTAACACACCTGACCAAACCTACCTCCTTGCCTCTGTCAACTTGTACTCCACAAATGCCATGGCTTCTCCCGTCTACCCTGCTGAGTCTCATCCAACCTTCCTACCTACTTAAGGCTCAGCTCACCTTGCTGTTCTATGTGTAACTTTTCCTAATCTTTCCCAATATATAGCGTTTTTTCCACTTTTGAATTTCTACAAGTACTTTTTGTACAATTATCATGCTGGTCCTTTGTTTTCAACTAGACTCCTTGAGTGTCCTACTCCTTGTAACTATTTGCTAATTGATTATTCTTTCAGAATCAGTATTTCAAGCATCCAAAATGTGTAGGAGAATATGGACCCAAGAACGGAGCAGAGAGACAAATAGAGGAACGGAAAGTTTTGCCTACAACCATGATGTTCTCAATGTTAGCTGACTGTGTTCTAAAATCCACTCCAATTCCCATTTTGGGAGTTGCTATGTGATGAAGGTCTGCCCCTGTGGTGTTGGGACAACTTGCTCATGGAGTTGCAGTTCTTGCCTAACAGGAACCCACCATGGTAAGAAAAAGACTCAAGCTGGTTTATTTGTTTTTAAGGTTGCAAGGTAATCAAGTCCATAACCACACTTGCTCTCACATTTACCAAAATAGGCCAATCTCAGAACTAAATGATAAAAATGAAAATTAATCAGGGACTCCCATGGGCCTCACATATATGGCAGTTTTGAATCTGTTCTTTTTTTCACTATCATAATTGTTTTTTTAAACTCATTTTCTCTGCTTGAATACACAACTGTAAAAAAAAGTGGGGGTAGTGGTGGTGATAGAAATGAATAAACCCATGGAAACAGTGAGACATCTACAGAGACAAAATTAGGAAGGAAGGAAACAAAAGCAATTTCAGTATCTCTGTGCAAGGCCTGCATACCTTTCCTTGCCAATACCCGTGGATTGGGCTTGTCTCAGGAGGTAGCAGGTGTTTCCTTGACTCACACAGAAAACAAGCCCTTGGGCTTCTTGTGCTGTTAGGGCAAGTTACGTTCAGCACATGAACACTGGACCCTGCTTTGCCTGTCCGTCCTTCCCAGAAGAGACACAGATCACAGATGATCAAGTAGTTGAGAAAACAGTTCAAGAGGAGGCTTTGTATCTTTTCTTTCTTTTCTTTCCTTTTTTTTTTTTTTTTGAAACGGAGTCTCGCTCTGTTGCCCAGGCTGGAGTGCAGTGGCATTATCTCGGCTCACTGCAGCCTTTGCCTCCCGGGTTCAAGTGATTCTCCTGCCTCAGCCTCCTGAGTAGCTGGGTTTACAGGTGCCTGCCAGCACGCCCAGCTAATTTTTGTATTTTTAGTAGAGACGGGGTTTCACTGTGTTAGCCAGGATGGTCTCGATCTCCTGACCTCATGATCCACCCGCTTCAGCCTCCCAAAGTGCTGGGATTACAGGCATAAGCCACAGCACCCGGCCCTGTGTCTTTTCTTAATTTGAGCGAACTTAAAGTAAAAACGCTTCTTAACATTATAAAGTAGGACTATGTCCCCTCCATTGAATTTTTGTAAAAAAGTCGAATAGGGATAGAAAGCAAGCAACCAGATAGAATATCATGCCCCAGAACATCATTTACCTTGGTAGAACATTACCACTTTAACACATAGAAACCTTTTCACACTAGTTAACAAATAGCATTAAGCATGATTCAAGTCAAGATTTTAAAAACTTGGCTGATGCCTCTCATTAAGAGTTGAAAACTATATAAGACTCTTGCTCCAGGAAACTGTGTTCTGACATTTTAATAGTATTGCGTTAGCAAGAGCAGAAAATCCATGAACTTAGATTCACAGAAAGTAAATCAAGAATCCATCCAAAATGGAGTGCCTCTTGCTGAGTGATGGGATGGTTTTCATGTGAGATGTCAGTGCAGCTTCTATACTTGACATAAAAGTTCCCATTAAAAAAAACGGAACTGCTGCTCAATTTTTTTTTCATCAAGCAGAGTTACCTAAAGTGCTTTTTAGAAGAGACTATTAGGAAAGGAATGGAAAGTAGTCATTATGACTAATCTGCTTTAGGAGTTGGGGTAACCAGTATTACAGGAGGGACTTTCAGAGCCATGGGGACCTTTTAGGCAACTCAAATTCCTTCAATTGTTTGCAGTGGTCCTCTCGAGGGGATGTAATGAGTTGACATGCACCAGAACAGATAGAATGCACTGCCAGCTGGTAGTTTACTCTTGTACAGGAAGGCTGCTTTTCTAACACACAACTCTTTGTTGTGTTAAAGAGAAATAAATATATAAAAGCCTAAAAGTAAGCTTTCAATTCTTTATGTCTGGCAAAATTGTCAGTACAATGTGCCTTGAGGATATATCCATGGTGCTGTCTTACAAGGTTATTACGAAAGAATAAGCTCATACTATAATAACCACCCCATACACTTTACAGTTTATGAAGAACTTACATATACATTTTCTCAGTTGAACCTCACAACATCAGTGGGAGGCAGGGGAGGCAGATATTATTATCTCTTGAGAGGGAGTGACCCTGCTGCTGCTGCTGTATATGTGTGGCTTTTGGTTTAGGAAGACTAAGTTGATTGTGTTGTATTTTCAAGTATTTTATATCGTACAAGGATGTTTATTGCAGCACTGTTTATAACAAGGAAAAATTGGAACCTACTCGAATGCTTGCTAATAGGGGACTCATTAAACTATGGTACAAGCTTAGATATGACTCTGTAGTCATTAAGAATTTTGATGAGGTATTAGAAAGAAATGTATTGATGTTGAAGTATATTTATTGATGAAGGAAATTGTTCACAATATTTCAGCCAATAAACAATAGTATATGCATTTTTTTGTAATAGGAAAAAATGCACACAGTAAAATAGTGGTTATCTTTGTGTGCGGTGAATATGTATGATACTTGTTTTCTTTTTCATGCTCACCTATCAATTCTAATCTTAGTGTCAATAAATATTAAAAATGTACTATCTGACATTTTCAGCGAGATTAACTTTTACAATGAAAGTTAATGGAAAATATATGGCTCCACCTCTGGGCCTCACGGGTAGAGTGATCTTGGGCATGTAGATGTGTCAGCCATGGTCGTGGCAAGGCCCTGAGTTCAACTAGATGGCACAAATTGAGTGTGGATCAGGTGTGTCTTACAGTGCTGTGCAAAGGGATAAGGAGCAAACAAGGGTGACAAGGCACCAGACACCAGCAACACTGGGAAGCCACGATCACTCCTAGGGCCAAAAGGACAAAAGGAGGAAATAGAGTTACCAAGTTACCAGAGCCCTGGGGACAGGAGTTGTGAATGAACTCCCCTCATTCCATGGGAGCTACAACAGCAAAGCATCACAGGCTTTGTTAGACACCAGTGAAGACAGGAAGAAGTGCCCTGACCTCTTTCCTCCTGTATTTCCTGCTGGTGCCTTCTGCTGACCAAGCCCTATGGGAAGCCAGCTGGCAGGAGATTCCTAGAGTCAGCCTCCTGGTGCATAGCAAGGGGCAAAGCAGGGCAAAAAATGCGTCTGGCCATTGGGGCTGTGCAGCAAACACAGTGAGCAGAACACAGGTCAGTCCCTGAGAGAAAAGGGTGTTTCTTAGGAAGCTGAAACAGAAAGGAAGAGCCTGTTGGGGCAGGATGGCCTGAGTAATTTGATTTTTTTGCCTGTGCTCAGAGCTTCAAACGTGTGGGAATGGGATCACAGATCACCGAATGCAAACTGAGAACAAAATTTCTTTATGAAATTTTATGCAGAGATAAAATTGTGTACCTTTGGACCCCAATAATATCATCCTTGCTGCTTGAAGAGAAGAGGGGACTGCCAGGGAAAAGAAGACCAAAGTCATCTCAGATGTACCTCACTGCTTCCTGCTGTCCCATCTTTATTCCTATGCTCTCTCTCACTTCAGTGTCTTTGTCACCAGCCCCACATGATAGCTTAACAAGAGGTAGCATGCATCTGGTGAACACTTGCTTAAAGCAAGCAGTGGGGGAGGCACTGTTTGTGGTAGGCACTCAACATGATTAACTCATTTATTTCTCACAACAACCCTATGAAAAAAGTGACATTGTTCCCCAGTCTACTGAGCAGCTAAGAACATTGATAATGGAGCCAGGCTGCTTAGATTTGAATGCTGCCTCTGCCATTTCCCAGCTCTGTGACTCAGTTTTCTCATCTGTAAATGGGGATAATAATAGTGTCTACCTACTGGGATGGTTGTGAGGATTAATTGGAGAAATATGAGTAAAGTGTTCTGAACTGGGCTTCACATAGCAAGCCTAAGTCTCCAGTTCCCACATAAGGAAACTGAGGCATAGAGATGTTAAGGTACTTGCCTCAAATCATAGGGTTGATAAACAGCAGACCTGGACTCTGACCAGGAAGTGGGGTTCCTTCCTTCATGTGGGCTCTGAACCACTATCCAGTATTGCATAAAAGGGCCTTTCCCATTCCCTCCCTGCTACTTTGAGCAGAGAGAATGGGATCACCCTCACTAACTGCCTAAATGAGTCTCTCACATTTTGGAACACGCTCCCCACTGCCCAGATGAAGATCTGCAGAAATCTCATCAATGCTTCAAACCGTATTCCTCCAGGGTCACTTCCCACTCGCTCCAGGCAGAAGGAAGAGTGCAGATCCCCAGCAATGGTCAGCAGCAGATGGGGGCAGGGGTGTAGTGGCTTTTTTGTCTCATCTTCCTTGGGATCAGACAAAACGGAGGCTGGAATTGTGAGGTTTTCAAGGCCCAGGTCAGCAGGTGGGTCTTCAGTTTCCAAAATATACACCATGGAGAGTCATGACTAAAGCACACTCCAGCTCAGCTATCTGCTCTGGGCCAAAATAGGGGATGGGGCAGCCTCCTTCCTTGCATGGAGAATGCCAAGCACATCACCATCATCAGTTAATCCCCTAACCTATGTAGGGTCAGGAGCAGTCACCTGGGTAAAATAATGAGGAAAAACCAACATGAAACATCAAGGTAACTGACAGAACTCAGATGGGAATTGAAGAATTCTTTAAGCCTGGGCCACAGCATGATCTCTCGTGTTCTTTATTTCATTTCTTGAAAACTAGCTTACCTGTATTTCTTTCTTGCCTTCCTCTTAGCCAGGGGCTTTATAACAAGATTTTTTGTCAGTCTCATCTTTCATTTCAGAGTGAAATATGATCAATTACCAATGACAACAGAACACACTGAAAGCTGTGTCACCAGTGAGTCAAAAGTCCTCAATGTAATGTCCATGACTTGTTGAAAACACAACAATCAAGTGGCCATTCAACAAATCTCTTTTCCTTCCACTCTTCTTCTTTCTTTTTTTCTGGCCTCGTATTCAGTGTACATTGAAATAATATGAATGCAACAAGATGTCCTCAATTTCACAGGTGCCTAGTGACCAAAGTCAAAAGAGATTGCCTAGTGTTCATAGAAAACAGAAACTCTTCCAAAAACATCATGCACCAGTGAAAAGTATATAAGTTTGCAAAATGTTGGTTGGTGCTTCATTTTCTCATTTTACTCATCTTCATAAAGTTGCTTTTAGGAAAGGAATCATTTAGTCAATTATAATAGTTCTTCACTGAAACTGAGCTGGGTCACACATACTGCTGAGTGGTGCCCTGGCTGGAGCCTGGCATCTGGCCTGGTGAGAGTAGGAGGCAATACAGAAGAGGCTCTGTAGACAGTTTCCTTATCTGTCAAATGAAAGGGATAGGCTAGCCTTAAATAATATGTAAGGTTTCTTTCAACCAAAAAAACATATGGTTTTCTCCCTAGCTCTGGACCTGAGCTATGTTCTGAGTTTTTAATTAATTCAGAAAATGCTCTTAGCTTTGAACCGAGTGTAGGGGCATCAAGATGTGAGTAGCAGAGATAGGAGAGTAGGTGGATGCTGGGCCTTTGCTGCCCATAGTAGGATTTTCTGGTGATTAGAAAATGTGCCCTCAATCAGGCAAGAGAAAGAAATAAAGGGTATTCGAATAGGAAGAGAGAAAGTCAAATTGTCTCTGTTTGCAAATGACATGATTCTATATCTAGAAAAACCTATTGTCTCAGCCCAAAAGCTTCTTAAGCTGATAAGCAACTCCGGCAAAGTCTCAGGATACAAAATCAATGCACAAAAATCACAAGCATTCCTATACACCAACAACAGACAAGCAGTGAGCCAAATCATGAGTGAACTCCCATTCACAATTGCTACAAAGAGAATAAAATACCTAGGAATAGAGCTAACAAGGGAAGTGAAGGACCTCTTCAAGGAGGACTACAAGGAATAGAGCTAACAAGGGAAGTGAAGGACCTCTTCAAGGAGGACTACAAACCACTGCTCAAGGAAATCAGGGAGGAAACAAACAAATGGAAAAACATTCCATGCTCATGGATAGGAAGAATCAATATTGTGAAAATGGCCATACTGTCCAAAGTATTTTACAGATTCAATGCTATTCCCATTAAACTACCATTGACATTCTTCACAGAATCAGAAAAAAACTGTTTTAAAATTCATATGGAACAACAAAAAAAAAGCCTGAATAGCAAAGACAATCCTAATCAAAAAGCACAAAGTTGGAGGCATCATGCTACCCAACTTCAAACTATACTACAAGGCTACAGTAACTAAAACAGCATGGTACTGGTACAAAAGCAGACACATAAACCAATGGAACAGAATAGAGAACTCAGAAATAAGACTACACATCTACAGCCATCTGATCTTTGACAAACCTGACAAAAACAACCAATGGGGAAAGGATTCCCTATTTAATAAATGGTGCTGGGAGAAATGGCTAGCCATATGCAGAAAATTGAAACTGCACCCCTTCCTTACATCTTATTCAAAAATTAACTCAAGGTGAATTATAACTTAAATGTAAAACCCAAAACTGTAAGAACCCTAGAAGAAAATCTAGGCAACACCATTCAGGATATAGGCATGAGCAAAGGTTTCATGAAAAAAACACCAAAAACAATTGCAACAAAAGCAAAAATTGACAAATGGGATCTAATTAAACTAAAGAGCTTCTGTACAGCAAAAGAGACTATCATGAGAGTGAACAGACAACTTGCAGAATGGGTGAAAATTTTTGCAGTCTACCCACTTGACAAAGTTCTAATATTCAGAATCTACAAGGAACTTAAGCAAATTTACAAAAAAAAACAACAAACAGCCCCATTAAAAAGTGAGCAAAGGACACGAACAGACACTTCTCAAAGGAAGACATTATGTGGCCAACAAACATATGAAAAAAAGCTCAACATCACTAATCATTAGAGAAATGCAAACCAAAACCATAGTGAGATACCATCTCATGCCAGTCAGGATGGAGATTATTAATAAGTCAAGAAACAACAGATGCTGGTGAGGCTGTGGAGAAATAAGAAGACCTTTACATTGTTGGTGGGAATGTAAATTAGTTCAACCATCCTGGAAGACAGTGTGGCGATTTCTCGAAGACCTGGAACTAGAAATACCATCTGACCTAGCAATCCCATTACTGGGTATATACTCAAAGGAATATAAATCATTCTTTTTTAATTATTATTATACTTTAAGTTCTAGGGTACATGTGCACAACGTGCAGGTTTGTTACCTATGTATACATGTGCCATGTTGGTTTGCTGCACCCATTAACTTGTCATTTACATTAGGTATTTCTCCTAATGCTATCCCTCCTCCATCCCCCCACCGCATGACAGGCCCCAGTGTGTGATGTTCCCTGCCCTGTGTCCAAGTGTTCTCATTGTTCAATTCCCACCTATGAGTGAGAACATGCGGTGTTTGGTTTTCTGTCCTTGTGATAGTTTGCTCAGAATGATGGTTTCCAGCTTCAACCATGTCGCTACAAAGGACACGAACTCATCCTCAAAGGAATATAAATCATTCTATTATAAAGATACATGCATGCATATGTTGATTGTGGCACTATTCCCAATAGCAAAGGCATGGAATCAACCCAAATGCCCACCAATGATAGACTGGATAAAGAAAATGTAGTACATATACACCATGGAATACTATGCAGCCATAAAAAGGAATGAGATTATGTCTTCTGCAGGGACATGGATTGAGCTGAAGCCATTATCCTCAGCAAACTAACACAGGAACAGAAAACCAAACTCTGTAGGTTCTCATTTATAAGTGGGAGCTGAACAATGTGAACATATAGACACAGGGAGGGGAACAACACATACTGGAGCCTGTGGGGTGGGGGCAGGGGGAGGGAGACCATCAGGATAAATAGCTAATGCATGCTGGCTTAATACCTAGGTGATGGGTTGATGGGTGTAACAAACCACCATGGCACACTTTTACCTACATAACAATCCTGCATATGCTGTACATGTATCCCAGAACTTAAAATAATTAAAAAAGAAAAGAAAATATGCCCTCCTTGGGCGGAAGTGCCTCTAGGGCACAGGGCTTAGTGAGCTGACAGTTCCTCTTATAAATTAGGAACAGACACCCTTCCTCTGTGTAGATGCAGCTTGTGCCAGAGTGCTCTGCTTGGTGAATGAAGCCCTCACTTACTCTTCAGCCAAGCCCGGTTGGACAGGGCAGCACCTGCGCAACCTACCTGAAGACCAGTGGGATGGGTGCCACAGCCATGAGCAGAATCCTTTCAAAGCCTCCACAGTACCTAGGCTGGAAGGTACTTGTTAACTAAATACACACGCGCGCACACACACACACACACACACACACCCAATGTGAGTAATTTCTTGAACTATAACACACAGACTTCTCACTTTACAGAAAAAGCATGCTTTATGAATAAGCACAAGAGAGATAGTGTCTTAGCCTTAGTTTTCCAGAAAGCAGAGCCTGGTAAAAGTGCATGAATGCAGGTGGTTTGTTTTGGGAAATAGACGCACCAGGAATGGGAGACTGACAGATATCAAAGAGGAGGGAAGGCACTCCATTAAACTGGTCCCTATTGTGGTAAGTGGGCCTCCATCCTGCTTGGCTCTCTTAGAAACTATAGAGATTATATCTTAGGACTGTCCTCCCAAAGGACAGAAGAGAGGAACATTTCCTGGCTTCTGGCATCTATTGGTCAAGGGTTTCCCCTGGAATGCTTACTCCTCAAACATTCTGTGGAAACATGTCGGAATGTAAGTTGTTGGTGGTGCTAGCAGAGGCATTGGGGCAAGGAAGGCAACCCCATGTCCAGATAAGTGTCTATTCTGGAAAGAATGAATCACTGATCCTTCCAGTGTAGAAGGCATCTGATGTAAAAAGCCTATCACCAAGTGACTGGCTGGTCTTCTTCAAGACATGTACAACATGGAGTGTTTCACATCAATCTCTCTGGTGAAAATCACATATTCAGGACAGCAGTTGCTAGACTGGTCTTGGTGAGATGGCACTAATGCCATTGGGGCCATGCAGAGCCTCTGTCCCTGTCCCATGTTCCCTCTGTCATGCAGTGGCTAGGGAGAGAGGCTGGCTGGTATCCTTAGTACATCCTGTCATCTCGTTATTCAGTGCCTCACTTGCAGAGGAGGTTCTCTGGTGGGCCTTGATGTGAGACAGAAATCTACATGCTATGTGTCCAGTGCTATAAGTCCATCTTCTTTGAGGCTTCTGACTCAACCAGCAAGCCATTCGCCACTGCCAGTGGGTCCAGATATAACCTTAACTCAGACCACTTCTCCTGCCCTACAAAGAGAATGAGCAAGTGCATTGTTCTCAGCTCTGCTTACTGGGAGGGGTAACTTTCACTGTCCTCAGGGCCACCCCTCCATAGGACTCTAGCCTGGTGGTAGTCACATTTTTCACTACCACCAGCCTATTAAGGCAGCCCATCTATGAACTAAGTTCAAGTTTTTGTCCTCATTGGTTGGTTATAGGAAATTATAAGACTTTAGGCCGGGCATGGTGGCTCACGCCTGTAATCCCAGCACTTTGGGAGGCTGAGGCGGGCAGATCACCTGAGGTCAGGAGTTTGAGACCAGCCTGGCCAATAAGGCAAAATCTTGTCTCTACTAAAAAAACAAAAATTAGCCGGGCACGGTGGCCCACGCCTGTAATCCCAGCTACTCGTGAGGTTGAGGCACGAGAATCGCTTGAGGTGGAGGTTACAGTGAGCCGAGATCGCACCACTGCAATCCAGCCTGGGTGACGGACAGAGACTTTGTCTAAAAAAAAAAGACTTTAGATGTGAACTGAACAAGAGAGGTAGATAACACAGAAATCTAGGGCAGATGGAATTGACTTACGCCCTCTGGATCTCTTCTGGCCCATTTCATTGTATGATGGATTGCTGCTGTGCCTGCCCGACATTGTGACCAACACTGTGGATCTGAAAATACTCAGCTCAACAGGGGTTGCTCTGGATGCATGGTCACTTGATGTCCCATGTGCAGAAGATTCATCTCTGTCAGAGCTCAGGATGGAGCTAATTTTCAAATGGTATGTACTTTTCTGTTGGAGAAAGAAGGCCTAGTTCCAGAACCACAGGATCTGTGCTGCAACTCTCCTTACTGAACTTGTCAGAGACTCCATACACATAATGTCTTTATTTGCAATAAGTAGCACCATTAAGTCTGCTGGCCATCTAGCATGAGTGTCAGAGCCACTTGTATCACAGCCAGGATCTGCTGCAGATCTTACTCTGACATTCAAAACTGGCAGCCTTGCAAGTTACCCAAAAAATAAGTTAGAGCAATATTCCCAAGAGAAGTATTTGCTATCTCTGACTTCTGAATATTTTTAAGTGGCTTTAAAACACCTCAAAATTATTTGACACTCTTTCTATCAAGAGATGGGGTCTATGTCCTATCCCCTGGAATCTGGCTAGGCTTTTTACTGGTTCAACTAATAGAGTATGGTGAAAGCTACTACACTATATAGTATAGTACTATACTACATAACTTTAGTATACTATAGTATATACTTATGTGTGTGTATATATAAAATATATATGTATATAATATACATACTCACACACACACAATACATATAGTGCAGTACTATACTATATGACTCCTGAGGCTAGATCATAAAAGACCAGGTCACTTCTTTCTTGTTCAGTAGGATCCTTCCTCTTCCAACTACTTGCAAACTGCTGTATTGTGAAGAGTCTAAACCACATGGAGAGGGTATATGTTGGTGTTCCATTCGATGGTCCTCACTGAGCCCAGTCTTCAAGTGACACAGCTTAGGCATTAGAAATGTAAACGAAGATGACTGCAGAAGATTTCAGCCCAGTTTGTGTCACCCCCCAGCCATTTGAGTTTTCCCAACTTAGTTTCTAGCCAGCCTTTCTCAACTAGAGTTTTTTTATCTGAGCTACAGAGGACAGAAAATGGTTTGAATGACTATTTTCTCAGTTCTACCAAGTATGGCACATCACTATATCATTCTGGATACCTAGGAGAGAAATTAGTTCATTTCATATAATTGGATGCTTTAAGGGATTACAGCTGAATTCGATTATGGATGCCGAGTTTAGCAAAGCTGGCAGGAATCTAAAAGTAGAGACAAGACATTCCTGCTGTTCTCTGTCCAGATTCCTGACCCACAGAATCCATGGGTTTAGCCGTATTGTGGCGCTTTACATCAGTAAGTTTTGGGGTGGTTTGTTATGTTGCAATAGAAAGCCAGAATAAGGTACAAGAGCTAACGTCTTGTGCTTTACCTCAAAGACTTTGTGCCAGCATGCCTCAGATTATTGGACTCCTAAAAATGTCACTGATGGGCAGGTTGGGGAATCTTTGTGAGGTTTTATTCTCACCCCCTGACACTCAAGTTGCTACTTCTGTTTAGCAGGTTAAATCTGCATAATGCCATCAAGATAGTGTGCCAGTATAGTCTATATGCCTATGGAATATTAAGACAATTAATATCCCTGCAGACTATTTTGTGACATTGCCCAAGAGGCTTCACATAGCCTTAGGCAAGACTGTCAATGTGTACTGATGTCCTTCTTACTTAGAAGAGACCTGCTTTTGATCCCGTTTATTGATGAGGATTGAAAAGAACATATTCACCAGATCAATGGCAACATACTGAGTGCCAGAGGCTGTGTTGGTCTGTTTAGTAAAGATATCCCATCTGGCTCAGCAGCTGAGATTGGAGCTACCACTTGATTAAGTTTATGGTAGTCCACTGTCATCCACCATGATCTGTCAGTTTATTTTTCCAAGCACCATACAGGTGAATTATATAGAGAGATGCTGGAGAACATCATCCAGCAGAAATGATGATACCAATTCTCTTTGCTGGTGGCACTAATTTTCTTTTGGAATAGTGCTAACTTGGGTACAGTCTCCTGACTGGTGGGGTTGTGCTGGATAGTTTCAGAGACTTCCACTTGTCCCTTCCTACCCTAATGGCTTTTACTCAGTAGGCTAGGGAACCTGTGGGAAGATTCTGCCGCTACTTTGCTTATCCATCCAAATTATTCTCTTGGACAATGGGGAAATAACCACAGGTTGAGTTCATGGGTCCATTTGATCCAATTTGAAGTGTGCTTGTGGCAGCTTTCCTTTTTTTTTTCTAATTCTACAAGTCAAGTACCACTCTAGTTAGCCATTCATCTGTCTCATCAGTGGGAATACCTTGGTCTCTTAGCCACTGCCACAGGTGCCTGACAGCTGAGGCATCTTCCAATCTGATTGTCCATTATAGTAATCATATGTACCTATACTTTGCTACTGTCACTTAAGAATTGCTGCCTGGCCCCTCACATTCCAGAATCCTGTTATCCTGATTGATGCTAAGAAGTCCAGTGTTGTAGCAGCATCTCATACTATCAACCGCAGTTTATGAGAGACAGACACCATTGGCACTTCTCAAAAGAAGCCAGTGCTTTCTCATCAGTGCATTTCTTATTGCTTTAGTCAAAGGAACACCCTCTGGGACTTCCTGGGGAATACAGACAGATGCAGAATTCTCTGATCTCACTAATAAATCCATTTTAACATTTCTATCTCCTTCTGACCCTTCCTTGATACTCCACCAAATTTATTCTAGCAACTCTACCTTATTCACTATTGCCTATTGTGTTCAAGCTTCAAAGAGTCACCCTACCAATGTGTTAGGACTGGATTCAAATGTTTTTGCCAGGATATTAAATTGAGTCATGGAAGAAGACTTGCATATCAATTAATTCTTCCTATCCATCTTTATATTCAGGATTTCCTCGTCCAACTCTCTCAAGATGTATTCCCACTTGTGTTTTCCTGGATTCTGCCAGTGCCTGTTTGCTAGGTCTTGCAAGGCTTTTGGTATAGAAGGAACAGGCATTGTATTTCCTGGATCAGGCTGTGCTGAGACATGACTCCAGCTATTGGTTATGAGAAGAGGGCAAGGTCAGAATTTGAGGACAAGCATTGTCCTGCAAAGCACTTGCTTCAGCTGAGGCCTTTGCTGCATTTCTGCATAAGAGCAGGCTGTTTAGAAACAGGGAGATGATTTTTTCCTTTGAGTCCAGAGTGTTCATAAAGCTGGAGATTTACTATTTGCAGGCTTGTTTACTCAAATATTCTTATTCCAGGTCTCAGGATCCTATTCCTTTCATATTAGGAGTTTTGACTTTGCAAAGAACATCTGTTGAGGCCGTGCATTCCATTGTCTTTGTAATCCTGCATGACTTAACAGTGAATTCTAGTCTTGATTTTCAGCAGAGTCCATCCTGCAACTGCAGAATTTAAGGATATGTTAGGACATTGCCAAGCAGGTTTGATAATCTGGTGGTTAGTTGTCATAAGCCTGTTTGTGACAAATCATATTTTCCAAAGATGAGTGCAACAATATCTTTCATCCCACATGGAACATGTACTTATCTCTCTCCCATTATGAGATAAAATCTTGCTCTTCCACTCCCCTAAATCTGCCGAGCCCTGTGACTGCTTTGATGAAAAGAACAAAGTAGAAATTATATAGTGCCAATTCTGAGTATAGCCACCCTAGTTCTTCTACTTCCTGCCTCTTAGAATGCCTGCTTGGGGGAAACCAGCCACCATGTTCGAAGTGTGACTACCCTGAGCCCTCTATGCTGTGAGAGCCCCAGATGAGTTTGCAGCTGACAGCCAGCATCAGTGCTGGCCATGTGAGTGAGCCATCTTGAACTTCAAGCCCAGAGAAACCTTATGTTGTCTCCAGACCCAGCTACCATGTGTCTAGAACCACATTGGATACCGTGAGTGAGAACCAACCAACTCAACTAAGTTAGCTTACCATATCATAAGAGAAAATAATACATTGTTTTGAGCCCTAAGTTTTGGGGTAATTTGTTACAGAGCAGTAGATAAACAGAATAGCTTATAAAGCCATTAACAAAAGCCAGCCAAGTCCCGATTCCTGTAATTATCACTGTGCCACACTGCTTAATTGGCATAGGTGCCACCTTCCACCTGCTTCTCCTTCCAGTACTCTCCGGTGCAATGCTTCTTTGTGCCATCCCACTTATGACCAGAAATGGGCTCCTTCTTCCTGTCATACTGGTGAATGGTCCATCTTGAGCATTTGACCCTGAGCATCTGATTTCTAGAACCACTTCTAATGCCCACTAGCCATCTGATACCAACTGTCTTAGCCTGGATTTCTCAAGAAAATGAAGCCCGAGAGAAGGCTTTACATGCCAAGGCCAAGGTTTTTAGTTTTATTTTTTCCTGGAGTTGAAGCTCATCAAACTCTATATTTATAATAGGTGCATTTTTTATATGTAAATTATACCTTAATAAAACTGATCTTAAAATAACTGTTTTAGAGTCAAGACTTCCCTGAGTGCAAATCCCAACTTTGTCACTTATTAGTTGTGTGATCTTGGGTAAGCCATTTAACTTCTACAAGCTACTTCTCTGTGATATGGATAATAATAGTACTTATCATATATGGTGCTTGTTAAAAATGGAGACAGTAAATAAATATAAAGTGCTTAGCCCAGGTCTGGAGCACAGTTAGCACTCAATTAACGTTATCTGTTATTATGACCATTACTGCTATTAATAGTACTTTAATATGTAATCAAAGTGAATTAACAGTAATGTATACAGCTTTCATTCTATCATGTGACTGTGATCAGACTCAAGAGAGCTGTTTATTGTCTTCATCAAGTCTGAAATTGAAGAGTCCTTCCTGGACTGGAGGAGATGGAAAACTGAAATGTCACTTTCTTATGTGGCTCTTGATACTAATTAATAGCAGCATGAATGCGTAGAGAGAGCACAGATTTGGAAACAGATAACCGCAGGTCCCAATCTCTGACCCTTATTGACTGTGTGATCTTAAGCAAGTTGCTTAACCTTTCAGAATCTTTGTTCTTTTAAATGAAATAGGAGAATAGAGTACCTAACTGATAGGATTGTTGTGAGGGCTTAATGAGAGAATGTATGTATGGTAGCCATTTTCCAAAGAAAGCAGCTATTCTCCAATAATGGCTCCCCAGTAAGCTTTACCTCCTGGTATTCACACCCAAGACACAAATATGCTGCCACATACCCACACGGAGAAGTCATTCCCAAAATTTTAAGTAACCCATAACACATTTTAGCCCAGGAGGAAGTAATCTCCTCCTACATTGAAATGATACTGCCTTTTGTAGCTAGGTCTTAAGAAGCATTGAAGTTCTCTGCCTTGGTTTCCAGGAACTTGGTAAAGAATCCCAAAGTAAGCAATTGAAGAGGGCATGTGGAGACACAGCGAGGACAGCCAGACCCAAACTGTTCAACCTACCCCAGCTCAGATATCACATACATGAGTGAAGGATTTGCTCTAGAAGAAACCACATGGAGAAGAATGGAGGGCCCAGACAGTGGCCTTTTGTTTTGTGTGGGGAATACCCATCCTCAGCTATTTGAGCCACCCCAGCTGAAGCCACAGACTTTGTGGGACAGAGAAAAACAGTCCCTACTTGTGCCCTGACTAAATTTCAGACTTCCAGAGTCACAAGCATAATACAATAATTGTTGTTTTACACCCCCATATTTTGGGGTGGTTTGTTACACACCAATAGATACCTGGGATAGTATGTTTTTGAAGCTCTTGGCACATAATAAATTAGTTCCCAGCACAGAGTATAGCATTTTAAGAATTCCCTTCTAAGTAAGCAGCCAAAGTGTTTCTTTGTATAGAATTTAGAGGTTGCCATGTTTTGTACCAACTGTCTAGGCTTAGACCAGGGATTGTGTCTGACCCTCAGAAGGTTGGCCTGCATCCTAGGAGATGGCCTGGTTAGGAGCTCTGGGAGAAAGTTATGGGCCAGAGGCTGGGAAGCAATGCAAACTCTAAGAAGGAGAAGCCATGAGGAGGAAGAGGAGATGACAAGATCACCTTCCAGTTCTCCGTGAACTGGGGAGTCTGGGTGTGATGGGCGTTGTAATTTGAATGATGTTCTAGTATTCTGTCTTTCTTCCCTGTGAACATCAACAGTACCCATTAACTGGAGCATCCTGAATAAATGGTTCTTGCATCTGCATCCCCCATCTGTGTATTTTCCATTTTTTGCTGAAGTTATTATTAAAGTTCACTTTAAGCATTACCTTTAAAATTATCTTTAAAGGAGGTTACTCCTAGGCTAAAATGTATCATCAGTTACTTAAACTTTTGGGAATGGCTTCTCTGTGTTGGTATCTGGCAGCATATTTGCTCTTTCTTGCAATAACTTCAGTGTTCTGTGGTCTGATCAGCTGCATCTGTATCCTACATTGCTCTGTGTTGATACTCCAATGATTAAAACAAGATTTGAAAATCAGTTGCTTTTGTTGAGAAGAGTACCTTCAGATTAGGTCTAAGCTAAAACGGCTCCCATAGGGCGGAAGCTTAGGTACACCCTGAGACTTCCTGAGTTATAATCTTTAAATATCCTCTGCAGCAGTCTTAAGTTTCACTGTTTGATCTTTTCCCAATATTTTAGTTACACTTTGAAATGGCAGCAAGTCTAATGTAATAAAAGAACAAAAGTATTTTCAAAATGTTTCTAAGAGTGATGCCTTAGGACAAAAAATAAGATGAGTTGAGCAGGGATGAGAGTTTTATCTGGCACATAGGGAAAGACTGGTCAACATGGATTAGCTGGGAGAGACTCGGCTTTACATCAGTGAAAAAGACTTGAAGGTGTTGGTTGACCACAAACTTAATATACACTCAAAGTGTGGCACTTTTTCCAAAGGATTTAATCAAGTTCGTACTAAATTCATTTTAAACAATGCCCAGGTGAAGGAAGGTCATTGTTATAACTAGACACTGCACTGATCTGACTACATTGAGTAAGTATGTCAGTGCATTCAGCAGTTATTCAGGGAGCCATGACAAGCCAGATATCCAGGACACTGAAATGTCTTCAAATGAAGACTTAGATCAGGGATATTTCATTTCTTCTACACATATAGCTATTCTTTCAACAAAAATTTACTGATCATCCCTATGTGCCAGAACGGTGCTAGGGAAACAAATATGTAGAGCCAGTTTCTGTTTCAAGGTACTCACAGTCCAGTAGGACTGACATGCAAGTAAGTAGACAATTACCATTCAATAATGGAATTCAACATCCTAATTTGCATACACACAGATAGCCTAGGAACTAGAAGAGGGAGTACCCAGCTCTTCTTTTAGGAAGACATTTTTTCTAGAGGTAATGCTTATAGTGGCATTTAAATGATTTTAAAAGTTAATGATTTATTATGTGCATATAATGAATAAAGGCAATATAGAAATAGGGAAGAGTCTAGGCAAAAGCTCAGAGTAATGAGAGAGTGGAGCATATTTAGTAAAGAGCAAATGGTTTTATAAGGCTGGGGTATAGGAGGCAAAGGGGAAAGGGGAGAATGATGAGGCTAGGAAGATAAAGGCAAGCTCATGAAAGGAACTTTATGGGCTCCAAGGAAATTTGAATTTTATCCTGTAAGAAATGGGAATTCACTAAAGGAGCACTTTGGTAGAAGTATGGAGGTTTGATAAGCCTAAGGACAAGGAGACCAGGTTGGACGCTGTTGCAATAGTACACATGAGAAATAATGAGAGTCTGAAGCAGTAGTCATAGGGAAAGAGGGATAGAATGAATGGCCAGGACAAAGAAAAAACTCAGTGATGTGCTCATTAGCCCTTCCAGGCCACAATCTCTAACATTTTATACAGCCCACTGATACTTCATCTCTCCCTTCCATTGGCTCTTCTCACCATCAACACACCCTAGATTTTACTAGTGTATCTTGTTTATTGTTCATCTTCCCCTCTAGAGTGTAAGTAAACTCCATGAGAGGCAGGGATTTCTGTATGTTTGGTTCACTGCTATATCACCAGTACATGACACATAAGTACAAAAGTATGCTTTCATTGATAGAGGAGGTAGACTCATCTTGTATTATTCCAAAGGATAAAATTCACCTAACAAGATATTTAATAATACAAAGCTGAATGTTTTTCCTTTAAGATCAGGAACAAGACAAGGAAACCACTTCTATTCAACATTGTAATAGAGTTCTAGCCAGTGCAATAAAACAAGAAAAATAAATAAAAGTATTCAAAGTTGAAAGGAAAAAGTAAATGGTCTTTATCTGCAAATTATCTATGTAGAAAATCCTATGGAATATATAATACAGTGATTAGAACTAATAAATGAGCTTGGCAATGTTGCAGATAGAAGATCAATCTAAATACTCAATTGTATTTCTGTGTACCAACAACAAAGTATTGGAGATTAAAATTTAAAACATAGTACTCTTTACAATGACTTCAGAAATGTGAAATACTTAGGAACAAATTTGACAAGATTACAAAATGTTGCTGAGATAAAATTTAAAGAGCTAAATAAATGGAGGGATATACTGTGTTTATGGGCTGAAAAACTAAATACTATTTCGATGTCAATTGTCCTCCAAAGTGGGTTTCTTATAGGCAGCATATCTATTTATTCACTCTGCCAATATCTGTCTATTCATTTTGGTATTTAGATCATTTAATGTGATTTATTGATATGGTTAGATTTAAATCTATCTTCTTGTTATTTGTTTTCCATTTTCTCCATCTATTATTTGTTCTCTATTTCCTCTGCCTTCTTTTAGATTGCATGTTTTTTATGATTTCATTTTATCTCTTTTGTTGTCTTCTTAGCTAAAGCTCTTTGTTTTGCTATACAGCACTTTACACATAGCTTAAAAACCTTATAACAAACTACATCCATTATCCTCACATTATGTACACAGGAACAACAACAACAACAAAAACCAAAATGGCAGCAGATCCATAATCCTTCCCGGTTTTGTGCTATTTTTGTCATAGATTTTTCTTTATATATATTATAAACGTTATCATTTTTGTTTAAATAGTCAATTACCTTTTGGAGATAATAATAATAAAGCTTACAAATTTGCCTATGCTATGACCATTTCCATGCTCTTCATTTCTTCATGTAGTTCAGATTTCCAATTTGTGTCATCTTCCTTCTGACTAAAGGACTTTCTTTAACATATTTTGTAGAATAGATCTACTGGTGACAAATTCTTTCTTCTTTTGTATGTCTGAAAATTCTTTATTTTGCCTTCATTTTTGAAAGACCTATTCACTGGTATAGACTTCAACATTAACAGTTTTTTCATGTTTAAAGGTGTTGCTCCACCTTTAAACAATGCTCTCACTTGCATTGTTTCTGATGAGGAACTTCTCCTGTTTTTTTTTTTTTCTCTATACATAATGTGTCTTTTTTCTATGACTGCTTTTAAGATTTTCTCTTCACATTGGTTTTGATTTTGAACAATTTGTTTCCATTGTTCCTTGATTACCTTTCTTTCTTTCCTTTCCTTTTTTTTTTTTTTTTTTTTTTTTTTTTGCTTTTGTTGCTCATTGCCCAGGCTGGAGTACAATGGCACGATCTTGACTCACCTCCACCTCTACCTCCTGGCTTCAAGCGATTCTCCTGTCTCAGCCCCCCAGATAGCTGGGATTACAGGCATGCACCACCATGCCTGGCTAATTTTGTATTTTTAGTAGAGACGGGGTTTCTCCATGTTGGTCAGTTTGGTCTCGAACTCCTGAGCTCAGGTGATCCACCTGCCTCAGCCTCCCAAAGTGCTGGGATTACAGGCGTGAGCCACTGCGCCCAGCTGATTACCTTTTCTTTATGGTTCCTGTGCTTGGGCTCTTGTTCTCTTTCCATTCCCCCACCTACTCTCCTTCTAGACACAAATTACACTATTGATCCACTTGAATTTGTTCCATGAGCCAGTGAGCCTCTGTTCTTTTGTTTTTATTCTTTTTCCTCTCTGTGGTTTGAGAATAGTGTCTACTGCTATGTCTTAAAGTTTCTTAAAATTTTTTCTGCAGTGTTCAATCTACCACTGATTTCATCAGTGAAAATTATATCTTAGAAATTGTAGTTTTCATTCCTAGACGTTCAATGTAAATATCTTCTAAGTTCAATTAAAATATCTTCTATGTCTGTTCTTCACTAGTTGATCACATGTAATACAGTTATAAGAATTGTCTGAATGTCCTTGTCTGTTGATTCTAACATCTGTGTCAGCTCTGGGTTGGTTTTGATTGGTTGCTATTTCTCCTTATTATTGGTCGTATTTTCCTACCTTCTTGCATACCTGGTAATTTTTTTTACTGAGTACCATACTTTGTGAATTTTACTTTGTTGGGTACTGGCTACTGTTGTATTCCTACAAATATTCTTGAGCTTTGTTCAGCAATGCAGTTAATTTGCCTATAAACAGTTTACTACTTTTGGGTCTTCTTTTTAAGATTTGTTAGGTGAAACCGAGAGCTGCTTTCAGTCTACTGTGAATTATTTTTCATTACTGAGAAAACAGCCTTCTGACTAGTATATCCAATGCCCCACAAATTATGAGGTTTCTCAGTCTGGCTGGTAGAAACAGGCATGGTCCTGTTCCCTCTAATTTGTGGAGGTAGGACTTTCCTCGCTGGAAAGTTTCCTCACATGCATTTGTTGATCAGTACTCTGCAGAATATTCAAGAGGGAGCCTTGGTAGATCACTGGCATTCTTTCTCTGTACAGCTCTCTCCTCTTCAGTACTCTATCCCAAAAACTCTGGCTGTCTTGGTCTCCAGGAATCTCATTTCCATCTTTTCTCAGGGAGTTCACTGGACTCCTGTGTCTGGATTCCCTGCAAGAGGGCTGGAAAGTTCTCCCACGGCAGTAAGTTTTTTGGAAAGCTTATTTTGTAGAGGCAATTGTTTGTTTCCTATCACTTGAGAATCACTGTTTTTTTGTTTCCTGACATCCAGTGTCTTGAAAAGTGTTGCTCATTATTTTGGTTGTTCCAGGAAGGAAGGCAAGACTGGTCCCTATTATTCCATGTTAGCCACCAGCGGAAGTATCTCTACCTTTAAGAAATCCAACACTACAGCCGACCTTTCATTTGTAGAACATGTCTTAGGTATCCTGCCATGTGCAAAGATTTTGTGTGCAGAAACCAAGCTGAATTTATCTTAGTAACTCCAGATAACTGACACAGGCCTTTGCAAATCGGTGGTAAATTGAATTGCTATAGGACAAGCAGGTGAAATTTTCACAAAGGGATATTTTTTGCCTTATGCGAGAAAGAAATATCTGATAGTTTAGTAATGAAAACTTTGAAAAGACATAGTGATCTTTCCATTATGAGAAGCATTCAAGCAGAGTGCAGATACTATTTGCCAGGAATCAGCATTTCTGCATTGTCTAGAGAAAGCCTCAGTTTGGTGCCGATTTTTCCTTAATGTCTCTCAATCTTATTCTTTGCCAAATGTGAGCTATTATAAAAAGAATTAGTAAGTCCTCTCTAGATTAATTATTACTTAATTATGAATGACTCTGTCTAGATTAATTATAAAAAGAATATTCCCCTCAAAACTTTTCTACAACTATAGTCCCTACATCAGGTAATCTCAGGTAACAAGGAAGCCTAGACACTGTTATCCCCAGTTGGCTGATTGGGAAACAGAAATGCATGGTGGTTTAGAGGACTTGTTTTAAGTCACACAGTCAACTACAGAACGAAGCCAAGAACACGGTCAGGTCCCTAGATGCATGACAACATCCTTTCCCTTTGGCTATGCTGCCTCATGATACTATAGGAGGTTTAAAAAGTTCAATTATTCTTTTTTTTCCTTTTAACATGGGTTTTAGAAAGGAGGCAGGAACAAACATAGTGGAGCAAGTGTAGAATGCAGATAACATGGCATGCGTTTCTACCATGGAAAGTAGGACTGAAATTGGAGTTGTTCTGTAGCAGAGGTTAAACAATAAGAAAATGGAGTAGGGATCCCCAAGGCCCTGCTGATCTGAAGAATCCAGGTAAGCATTGAATTAAATCAGATAAGCAAAGGTTCAGGTGAGCCAGACAGTTTTCAAAGTAAATAAAACACATCCAGTAATACAACCTTATTTCAGATAACAGAGTTTCTGCATAAAGGAGTTTCAGATAATCAGGGCTTTACAGTATAAACAAACAAGAAGAACACTGGACATGAGAGGAACTAATTGAGGAGATTCAAGTAATGAGGAAGCCTAGTATCTATAACTGCATTCTGTGTGGCTTCAAATTATTAAATTTCAAAAATTCAGCCAGGATGGTCAACAGGATAGAAAATGTAGGGTAATTAAATCATCTAGCCCACATCATTAAGTAACAAAATGTGTTGTGATTTATGAATGTGGAGGAAGGCAGGACAGAATAAAAGCTACAAAGGATGAGGCTGAAGCATCATGTATGTTACGGAGAAGCAAAAGGCAGGAGGAAAAAAGAGGCAAAAGGCTGAAGGCTCTATCAGGGGGTAAAAATTAGATTTCAGGCTTCGTTACACTCCCATGGCACAATGGAAATAGCAAGGGGAGCTAAAGGACTTAACCAGGCACAGTGGCTCATACCTGTAATCCCAGCACTTTAGGAGGCACAGGTGGAAGGATCGCTTGAGCCCAGGAGTTTGAGGTTACAGTGAGTCATGACTGTACCACTGCACTCTAGCCTGGATGGCAGAATGAGACCCTGTCTCAAAAAAAAAAAAAAAAAAAAAAAAAAATTAAAAACAACAACAAAAAGGAATTAAAGGGTGAAACAAGTGTGGATTATTGACTGGGAATATTCAGACTTGCTTGAGAACAATGGGCTATATAAACCACCACCTCCTCCTTTTTCCTCCTCCTCCTCCTTGTCCCCACCACTCTCTCTTCTATCTCCAAGATCCTAAGCCTTCTCACCCACAAGCTGTGAACCGCAGGGTTTGAGACCCAGTAGAATAGAGACAGGGCTCTGGAAGTGGGGAGCAAAGGGGATAAAAGGATCCAAAGGCCATGGAGAAGAAGGAGAAGTAGAGGTGGTCCATCCAAGAAGAGAAAGGGGTGAGTTTTTAGCCAAACCAGAAAGGGGAAGGTAGTGGTTGGGGCAGAGGCTCTATTTCTGACTTCTGTAATACGGTTATTTCTCCCATGGGTTGAAGGCAGCAGGAACTATGAGATAATTTTTATGAGAAAAGTATTCCCTTTTTTATTGCCTTTCCATATTCTGAATAAGTCTAGAGAGAGCCTCAGTTTGGTGCCAATTTTCCTTTAACACCTCTCAACATTTCCTCATCTCCTCCACCCTCTTTCCTTAACAAAGAGGGAACAGACCTCAATTTAAGAGCCCTGGTCGGCAAAACTGTGGTTAGCTGGAATTCAATTACAATGCTTTGTTTTGTATTTATTTCTATTGATGGTGAATAATCTGGTTTGAAATGTATAGTAGCTATAGTCTTCTTTAAAATAAAATTTGAAAAAAGAATTTATTACATTGGAATTTAAGCTGAGTGATTTGAAACTAATTATCAAACTAAAATTCTTCATTGACCTAAATGTCAAGAAAATGACAGGATGATATGGTGGACATAAACATTAGTCTGGGAATCAAGGATCTTCCATGAGCTGTGAGTGTGATTTTTGGTCACAGTGATTTCATTTTCACTTTTATTAATGAAAGACATACAGCTGCTAGCCAGAACTTAGCATGAGACGGCCAAAGTTTGAACATATTAAGTTACTAAAGTTCTAGTCAAAGGCAAAGAAATGATGTTTTAGTGAGTCTGTGCCAATTTAATACACATATAAACTCACAAATATTGAAAGGTCTCATGAAGACCCCCATCCTACAGGGGCTTTGGGATGCCAACATTTGGACTGGATTATTTCTACGAGACCTTCCAGTTCTACAATGCTGTGCCAAATATTCAGTCTGGTGCCAGCAAAAGCAATGATGTGATAGGGAAGAATAATGATAGATATTGTATTAAAATCTAATTTTCCTTATCTCTACTTTACCTATCAAATAGGTAGCCGGGAATGAATTTACTTGAAACAGATCAGATGCCAAGCATAACCATTTCCCTTGTCATCTAAATTCTTCTCTCCTAAGAAAGATTTTTTTCATCAAAAGTTTTACTACACTTTTTTTTGAAGGTCAAAGGAATTGAGGCCTTAAATAGATAAGATGGGCAAGGGGAACAAGCTGGTTGGCTTTTGTCGGCCCACCTTTGGTCTTGAAGGGAGGGACTGCCCCTCTCTCCACTATGGAGCTTCTCCTAGTTGACCTGCCCAAAGAATTGTCTATCTGTGGAATCTCCCTGAGAGCATAATTTCTGTGCCTTCTAGGGAAAACAACAGGGGTTAGGAGAGGAGCTGGTGAGACTGACAGCCTGGGTTCAAATTTCAACTCCTGGAGGGAGCCTCCATTTTATTTAAATTTTCACATTTATCTAGCACAATGACTGAGTGAGGTTGGTTCAATTTCAGGGCAGTTGCTGCTCTTTTTCAAACTTTTGTGTGAATTAGAAAACACACACCTCCTTCCCCAAACCAAAGCATACACATACTCTGTACCCATGAAGCACAAATAGACACCCTGTCCTCAGGGCTGATGCCCCCTCAAGCAGAGCAGGGAGAGGATTCAGCACCATCTGCCTCTGCACTTGGTGCTTTTATGAAGGGCTTCACCTACCAACCCTATGCAGTGACCCTGACAGTCATCACTATTTCCTAACCAGGGAAGGTTAAATATTTGTGTTTCAAATAGATCATCCGGGCTATTTTGTACAAAATAGATTGGGAGAGGATGAGGCTGGTTTCAGCAAGTTGTTAAAAGCCTATGGCAGCTGTCCAGTTGGGAAATGATGGGCATTCAGGTGAAATGGGTGGCAGCAGGGATGGTGAGAAATGAATACATTCCAGGGATGTTAAGGAGACAGGGTTGACATGTCTGAGGCTGCTGTGAGGATCCAAGAGATGATGATGTTGACAGTGCTGATATTAACAATACTATTGACTGAGGGTTTGTGTGTACCAGTTATTTATATAAGTTATTTGAACCAAAGAAAAAAAAATTGACCACATCTCATGCCTGCATAGTTGCTGTAAGGATCAGAGATCACATAAAGTGCCCAGCCCATAGCAGATCCTTCATCATTGGTAAAAACTGGCCTTTGAAACTCCTGTGTTAGTTAAGAAGCCCTAGTTTGTGGACATGGGTGGATGTTGTCGGCAGTGGAACATAATCAAGACAGAGGCTCCATCACCTTCTGAGCATCAGGTTAGATTCCTCCTGTAACTTTTCAAAGCTGCAGATATTCAACCCCACCTCCATTCAGTTAGTCCAAGATAGGGGTCTTGGTATCAGTGTTTTAAAAGCTCCCCAGATAGCCAGTGTTGAGAAGCACTGAAGTTAAAAGAAGTCTTTGGAATCAGACAAATCAGGGTGACATCCCAGCCCTGCCCTTCACAGTAGTTTTCCTTGACTAAGCCTCAGATTTCCTATTTGAAGAAGGAGGATCAAAATTCCCCCCACTCCAGGTTGTGGGAGGATTAAATGAGGTGTTATGTGCACTCCATAGGACCTCTGGGACATCTCTTTTTATACCTAGCTTAGTGTGGTGTCTGGCCCCTAATGTGGGTTCAATAGACGTTGACTGCCATGACTGTGGGGTCGAGAAGCAAAGGAACTTAGTGAGGGCCGGCTCCAGGGGTGAGAACACTACACCTGTCTCCTGGTTTATAATCCTGGCCCAAAATGTGCTTGTTTCTTTCACAGATGTGGAAACCCAGGTCCAGTCAGGGAGTAAATAATCTCCCCAAGGACACAAAGTGAGAGAGCTGGAATTTGAATCCTAGTCTGTGTCCTTCTGCCATACACCAGGAATCAAATTCAGGCCATAGCTAACTATTCTAGAGAAAGACTTGTTACAGAAGTGATGCTACTGGGGAGAAGAGCCCTTGTCTCTTCTGCTTTGAACTGCTGGGCTGAGCCACAGAGTGAAGGGCAGGGGAACAGCTAGCCGCTGGCCAGGACAGCCCAGAGCCACTCAGACAAGAGCTCAGTGGTGAGGGCTGGGCAAGGAGGGAAGTGTAGGGAGGAGAGGGGGAAAAGGATCAGAGAGCTGCTGATTTCGGGGTGAGCAGAGAATCACATATTTCATGTCTGGTCAGATTAAGAATGCAATGGTATATGCCTGCCAATACAATGACTGGTAGACAGTAAGTATTCAGCAAACATTATTTTACCTTTTTCTTCTTTCAGAGCTGCCTCCTGCCCCTGAGGGGAGGAGTCCATCCTCTTCTATAGGATACACCTGTTGGCTTGTTTGTCCTTCCTTCCCCTTTCTGGGAATTGTTCTCCATCAACATGTTTATGGGGACAGCCATTTCTATACAATGTGACCTGTATTGATCTATTTTGTGTTGCTATAAATAAATACCTGAGGCTGGTAATTTTTAAAGAAGAGAGGTTAATTTGGCCCATAATTCTGCAGGCTGTACAAGAAGCATGGCACCAGCATCTGCTTCTGGTGAGGCCGCAGGAAGCTTCCACTCATGGTGGAAGGTGGAGGAGGAGCAGGCGTGTTATATGGCAAGAGCGAGAGCAAGAGAGAGAGCAGAAGGTGTCAGGCAACCAGCTCTCATGTGAACTAATGAGCAAGGACTCACTCATCACCAAGGGGATGGCCCCAGCCATTCCTGAGAGATCCGCCCCCTAACCCAAACACCTCCCACCAAGCCCCACCTCCAAGACTGGCGGTCAAATTTTAACATGAGACCTTCATTATCAATGTTTGTGTATCTACACATCCAAAGTAGATCATCATCTTTGGTCTTTGGGAGATACACCAGAGAAAAACAACTCCTCTGGCCTGGGAGATTTTGACTTTCTGCTTTTCATGTGTGTTTGCTTTTATCGAAGAGGGAATCTGCTACTTGCCTGATGCAACTGCATTTGGATACTGAACTGGGGCCCAAAGAGTCTCAAATCACTGCCTGGGAATGCCAATTTCTCATCATGAATTAGAAATCAATTCTAGCAGCCTCCCTGCTAAGTAAAAAAATTACATAATTCTTTCTGCACTACTGCATTAGGCTGATTTTTTTTTTCCTTTTCCTGAATGTACAGTAAATCTCTAGTGGTTTAAGCCATGGTGCCTCTGCTTAAACACAATATGAAATCGCTACCAAATTTAAATAAAAAATAAATTCTGTGTTGTGTTAGGAGTCTCTCCTGCCAAAAACTCTCACACAATTAACACACTAACAGAATGTGTTGCTAATTTCATGCCACTGGAGTCTTTTCTGCTTCAGAATATAGAAACAAAATCAGGTCAGAGCTCCAATAATAACAGGATTTTGTTAAAATATACAGCCCTGTGTTGTAGATACGTTGTAAGAATGGGTGAAAAGGGGACTCACAGTGATGCACGAAATAGCTCACTACTGCAAATAGAAGTGGGAGAACTTGTCTCCAGCTTCTTTGCAGAGAGAGAGAGGGGGAGAGAGGAGAGAGAGGGTGGAGAGAGATTAGGGGAGAGAGGTAGAGAGAGAGAGAGGAAGAGAGACTGAGAGAGAGGGAGACGGGTAGAGGGAGAGGAGAGAGAGAGGATGGGAGAAAGGGAAAGAGGAGAGAGAGAGGGAGACAAGAAGAGAGAGGGAGAAAGGAGAGAGAGGATAGAGAGAGAGAAAGAGAGAGGAGAGAGAGTTAGGAGAAAGATAGGGAGAGAGAAGAGAGGGATAGGGACAGAGAGGCAGCGAGGAGAGAGAGAAGCAAGAGACAGGGAGAGAGGAGAGAGAGAAGGAGGGAGAGAGAAAAGGAGGGACAGAGAGAGAAGGAGGTAGAGAGGGAGAAAGAAGAGGACGGAGAAAGATAAAAAGAGAGAGGAGAGAGAGGTAGAGAGAAAGAGAGAGAGGAGAGAGAGGTGGGGGGAGAGAAGTAGAGAAAGAGGGAAGAAAGAGAGGCTAGGAGAGAGACAGGGAGAAGAGAGAGGAAAGAGGGACAGAGGGAGAGAGAGAAAGAGAGAGAGAAGAGAGGCAGAGAGAGAGAGTTAGTTCAGCTCGGTCCAAGCCCAGACCCACCAGGTTCTGTGGGAAAGGGTTTCATTATCAATGTTAGTCCATCCAGACATCCGCATACTTTTACAGGGGGAGGCAAACGCCAGGCAAAGAAACTAGGGAAACACAAGCCCAATAAATCACAGCTAGGATTCTGATTCCCCTGGTTCATTCTGAGGCTTCCTCCCTCCACCTCTTAGCCTTCTTACACTGGGCCTCTTCTTTTCCATAACAAAAACAGCGATAATGAAAATATTTTGGCAGCATTGAAGGCCTTTCACATTGTGACCCTGACCTCCAAATCAATTTTCTTTATTCTTAACCTGACCTTGGCATCCATTCTCCCTGGCGTTCAATATTAGTTACAAAATCTTGAACTCCCCGAGACCTTCCCTCCTCCCCAGATAACCAAGGCAGGCCACACTGGGGAAGCTCTGACGAGGACAGAGAGAGAAGGCTTCTCGACAAAGAAAAATCATAACGAGATGAACAAGCCCGATGCCTTCTATAGGAGTCTCATTTGCACCAAATGCTATTAGCCCCATTATTTACTCAGACAACGGTGCAGGCAGCCTGGGCTCCCTGCTTGCGCGGGGCGCTGTGGAGAGCACCATGCATCACCAGCCGGCCCGGGCGCTTCCCTTAAATAGTAATATGTAAGGTAGAGCATGTTACATTTCATCCATCACCCATGGGCTCACCGAGCGCAGAGACTGGAGAAATTGCGCACATTTCTCCGTTGCTGCATTAATACTAGAAAGGGAGTGAACTGAACAGAGAAAGTGCCAATTTCAGCACACATGTTAAAAAGAGAAGCAAAGAATAGCAGAAAAAGAAAGCATCTCCCGTACTGAGATGCTGGGGTGTGGGGGAGGTTTTTAAAGGAGAAGACTGCTTTTCAGAACTCCTGTGCATTGACTATGAGAATAAGGACCCACTGAGACAAGAGTTCGGGGTCAGCATACATTTAGGAGAAGAAGTTGGCTGGCAGGGGCTATTTTTCTGCAAATTAGTTTTCTCTCAAGGGTAACGGTGGGGGAGGAGCAGAGGAAAATGAATTGGAGCCCGTTGAATAATCGCGTATTGTTCGGCCGGTTGCGGTGACCTATGAACTGATGCTCCGAGAAGTGTTTTCAGGCCTTCCTTTTATATGGGCGAGGATGGGAAGCCTCTTACAGCTGTTGACGAGTGTCCTGAAGGGGCAACGATGGGGATGGCAGTGTGGCCCCACGAACAATGGTCACAGAGCATCGGCTCCACTTGGCAAGAGAGGCACCGTCTGCTGGTCGGTACAGCTGACCGCAGGGCTGGACAGGTGGCCAGGCAGGAAGGCGAGAAGAGGCACGGTTCAAACTTTATGCTGATCACAAAGAATTGAGAAAAGGGGCAAAGTGAAGAAATACAGTGTAGCAGGACGCGATGGATCGACTTTCCTTGGGGATTAGAAGGAGCAAGAGCTCTGCAGTGATTCAAACAGTTCAGTGCAAATGGAATTCTTCTAGGATGTTTACAAAATAAAAGTGAATCAGTTCATCTAAAAGTATTTGTGCTTCATTGTTTTCAAGTCCAGATTCTGCCTGGAATGCATAGCATCGTGTTCTTCCTTCAGACATTTTATCATTCTCACTTTGGCATCAGAAAACCCTGCATCATCTAAACCAGGGCTTCTCTGTTCCCTTGAAACACCCAAATGAGATGAACTAAAAGTGCAGAGACTCTAAAGTGAAGCCGGAAGGGACCCTTCACAAGGGAGAGACTTCTTTGAAGTCTTGTACTTGTTCATCTTTTAAAAAGTACCTAAAACTGACATATTGTGCAGCAGTCTGAAATTTAACATTACAGATACCATTTTTAATTCCTTTAGCCATCTCAGTTGTAGGATTTCATTCTAAGATGCAGCTCAACCTGTAACAGGAAAAAAAAGAACAATCACCAATTTAATGCATATTTTGAGTTTAGGAGGACTCCATCTCAGATATCCAAAACTTATAATCTGAAAAAAAAATCTATGTCATAAAAGCAAGAAAATAGAGTAATTATAATCAGGGAAAATGGAAACTTCCAGAAGAAAGAACCAGTTTCATCTGTGGCTCCAGACAAACTGGGCATACCCCAGTTTGCAAAGCATTACAAAGGAGACAGCTATTGTAAAGTGATGAAAAGTAGACTTCCCTGGTTGTAACTACCTTGTCATAAAATGCCATGCCTGACTCACCCTAGGGCTGTCAGAGCACAGTGTAGTGCCAGGCATATAGCTGGTGCTCAGTAAATACTTGTTGAATTGAAAGTTGTTGATAGCGCTCTGCATTCATTTTCCCCTTTAGGTAGCCTGTGGCAGGGTGGTGAGCCTGGGATGGGGACATCTCACAGCCCAGCAGTAGGACAGGCTGTTCTTCCTGGAGGCAAAACAGGTTAGGGCAGCACATGGTCCCTTCCGTCTGAGTCTGAGTCTAAGTACACACTCACTTTTCGTCTCCGCCACAGACCAGCTGCATGATCTTGGGATCCACTTATCTGGGCCTTCCAGCCCTTCTCTAGCAGAAGGAAGCATCAAGCACCATCCTCTCAAAGGTCTATTTAAAAATTCTACAATACTGTGTATTTAGATTTATAAAGGACTTTTCTTTTTCACCAGTTGCTACCTGAGGGCTGAAGCAAGGGGCAAGATAGGGGAAGATAAATCAGCTCTGCTCTTGTCTCCCCTGTGCCTTTCCAGTTGGAAGGGCACAGAGGACCCAGTGTGGTCCCACCTGGGAGGCTGCCCACCTGGTGTCCTTTGTCCTGTTCTGGCAAGAAAAACCTCAGAACTGAAGACAGGCTGTAAAGAGTGGTGAAAAGCACTGCCAGTTAGTTACCTTATTACAAATTTACCTTAGATGAGGTAATTCACTAAGCAGGTCGCAGGGCTTCAGTGTTACACTCCTCCCACGGGCCCCCAGTAGTCAGTCTCTAGAGTTTGGCTTACTTAGTACAGGTGACCACATTCTGGTCAAAGTCAGCAGAGCCATCCTAAGTTAGTGTTCTGTGATATCGGCTCAATGTTTTGTGGTTGTTGAGACTGATTACCTGTTAAAATGACCCATATTTGAGGGTCAAATATTCAGGAGCAAGAAATGAAAAGAAGCAGATTCTGATTTCAAGATTTCAGGTTTTAAACATCAGGCCCAAATCCATACTTTCATTTTGTTCAGTAAAAAGTAAAGCTGGTGATTCTTAGAATGAAAATGCAGTGTTTTCCACTTGAAGAAATCCCAAACTTGCAAAATTAGATAAGTTAGAGAGTTACGTTTTTAATTATAAAGGGATTTTGCTTTCTACAGTGACTCACCCTATGGCTCCCGCTTCCTAGGAATTTAAAGTATTATTTACTCCCCTGCCCCCACAAAAATTCAGATGCCATTTTATATTTTATAAAATCAAACAGAAGATATTTGACTATATTTCAATATAAATAAAACATGGCATATCTCTCTTCTTGACTTAAGATCTCCTTTCTGAAGTATGGAAGTCTTGAAATTCTATCATATTTACTCACCCAAAAAACACTGAGCAGGCCCCGTTCTACGGCAGGCACAGTGCTAGTCCTGAGGGTATATCCTGGTCCTCTGAGACTTTTCTCTTTTCTTCTCCACGACTTCCATTCTCTCTGTGTCCTCCAGAGGCTGGGGCGTATTGTGGGTCTGATCTGCTGGAAGAGGGGCTAATTATATTAGGATGACAAGTCATGCCCTTCAAGACGAGCATTGAAGTTGAAGTTATGGTAAATGGTCAAAATAAACTTGCAATCAGAGGTTGAGAACTTTCTCTCATGGAGATTGGCCAAAAGCAGTGGTTCTCAAAGTGTGATTCTTGGACCAGCCACATTGACATCACTGGTGAGTTTGTGAGCAAAGCAAGTTCCGGAGCCTGACCTACTGAATCAGAATCTCTGGGAATGGTGTTTGAGAAATTGTGTTTTAACAACATTCCAGGTGATTTTTATGCACATTAAAGTATGAGAACCACTGGCTTGAAGTTAATTAGGCTTCATGTGGGCAAAGCTCTGAAAAAGTCTTCTTTCAAATCCTAATAATATTACCAACTGAGTTCTGTCAGCTGCCCAGTGATAACCCTGGTTTAATCTTCAAAATCACACAAGCATCTCCAACCAAGTTATTTATGCAAAGTTCCAACTCAGAGAGAAAAATAGCAAATTCTCAGTGATACTCAAAAGGGAAAATATTTGGACAGGTAATTTTAGGAATGGGCTATGGATCACTATGTACAATAATGAAGTTGAGCAATTAGGTTTGGAAAGCCACAGCACAGAAAATAATTAACCCACAAAGTAATCATCTTGGAAGTCCCAAAGCTAATGATTAAAATAAACCTGAAACAAATGATTGTTTAACTTTTAAGCTGTGCTTGTTTTAGCCACAGTGTACTTCAGGTGTGAGCTCCTGGGAATTCCTCCTGCCTGCCGAGATTGGCTTTAGGACGAGGGCATGTGTCCATTCCTCTGCCTCTCCTTCCCTGGGGATGGTTTCTTTGAGTATCACAGAGTAGCACTCCAGTTTGGGTCGAGGAGGTTGGCTGAGCTGCTCGACTCTGCTGGCACTGAGGGGCATCAAACCCCAGAATGCAGTCTGCAGCTGTGGTGGGCTTCAGCCATATTGAATCCTATATAACCTTGGAGGCTGGGATGCACACTTCGTTTTTATGCAGCTTGCTTTGCACTTTCATTGGCGGTTTATTATTGCAAAGCATGATGCTCCCCTCCCCCACTCGCCTCTCCACCCAAAGAAGTGAATTAATAACTAGAAAACGAGAGAGAAATGAGATCCAGAAGGGTCTGGGCTTCTGAATGTCACTGTGAGCAAACAGCGGTGGAGAGAAAAGGTTCCTTTCCATCTTTATGTGCAGTGCTGTCTGTGCATTGACTTGTTTCCTGACACATGAGCCATGGCTTGAAAGGAATTCAGGCCCCAGCAAATTTTGCATTGCGCTTCAATGTGGCCTCTGGGATTGAATAAGGGCAAATCTATTATACTGTTGCCATGGAGACCCTGGCACAACTGCTGATAAAGAGTGTCTGATGTTTGGTAGGCCTCATAGCATGGTACATACCATTTAAAGGACGGTGTGTGTGTGTGTGTGTGTGTGTGTGTGTGTGTGTGTGTGGTGTTTAGCATGCATGTGTGAGTCTGTAAGGGTGAGCATGCTTGTGGGAGTGGGTGGGGTGACTGGGGGAGGGGAGCGGAGAACAGGGTGCAGTTGGGGAGGAAGGAAGCGTGGCTGGCTTGGCATGTCATGAAGGAATGTACTGTATTTTTACAAGGAATTTGTAAATACTTTCTTGCCTCTAAAAATTAATCCTGCCCTCTAAGAATCTACATGTTAAACAGATGGGGGCAGCAGAAGATGCACAGACTCTCCCCTTGGTCTAGCAAAATTAGTCTTTAATTCATCTGAAAGAGAATTAAGCTAATACAATAAAAGTAAAAATGCGCTCTTTTGCGTCCTTTGACGAATGCTGCCTCCTTTCAACCGTCTGTCTGAGGATCAATAGTGGGTCTGTAAGGAGCGCCAGCATTTGCTAGAGCAGGCAGTGAGATGATGGATTTTAATCATTCACATGATTTTATAACCACGAAACAAAGAAGGCGGATCTGGCTTCCACATGCATAATCTCAGTTTTGCTGTTTTTGATTTTGCCAGTCCTACATGCAATTCCTGTCTGGAAGGTGCATGTCCCGTTTCCAAATTCCATTCCACACCTCCATGTTTGCTTCTCAGTGACCGATACGGGCAACTTGTGTGTTTCATTGGGGCCCTTTTCCCCATTAGCCCCAGACCTGGAGAGGGGTGGCACTGGGAAGTCCTGAGCTGAGCCTCCTGGCTGGCGTTGAGGTGAGTGGGGCATCTCAGGCGTAATCACCTACAGTAAGCAAGCTTCAGAGTGAGCGGCTCTAACAATGGGAGGCCAGGCAATCTGTGACAGTTGATAGGATTATTATTATTACAGAGCGCAAAAAGCTTCTGCTTTCTTTTCTGCTCCTTTGCAGACCTCATAAGGCCTCTCTGTGATTTCTGCATAGTTAATTTGTCAGTTTATAAATTACCACATTATGTTAACGCTGAATGCTTCAAAACACAAATATATGCACAGAGGGCTTGAATATTTGAAGTGTTTTAGTACTATGGGGAAATAATTTTGTTGTCAAGCTGTGGCAGATATAGAACTGCTAGGGGATACATGGCCATTTCATCAGGACTGTGTCGATGATGGCCTGTGAACATCCAAGGGGGAAAATCATCTTTTATCACTATTGTGTACCGTGCCGGTCCAGATGGAGGATAAAACATGCATGAGTTGCCCGCAGCTCTGAAAATAATTATACTCATTTGCCAGAAATGTAGAAAGTGCATCCAACCAAGTTACCACCCATCATAGTGACACTCTGTTTGCATACTGATGAAGTTTAAAGCCAGAGACAATGGTGTTGGTATCAATATTGGGGGGGGGGTGCTAGGCACCACCAGTGCCGTAGGATTAATAGCACCATCATTTTATATTATGCAGCATTTCACTTATGCTGCATATCAAAAGACTACTGCCTCTGAGGTTCACCTCACTGTTTAGAAGATTACAGTTTGCTTTAAGACTCCAAACATTAGCATGGCTTCTTTGCAGGTTCCATAAATGAATGCAAAAATATCTGTGTCCAATAGAATGCCTAGGATGTAATTATGGGTAAATACGTTTGGATGCCATTATAAGTGCCTGCATGTGTATATATGTGTCTGTGAGTGTGGGTGGGTACCTACATACCCACATGCACACGCATGATTTTGGAAGACTGCAATGGGATATGAGATGATAATATGCGCATGCTAAGTCCTGGTGCTGCTGCAGAGTCATTGATGAATGGGTTTTTTAAATGTAGGAAGAGAATGAATACAAGTAGGACCCAAGAGAATAATTCTTTATATTGCAATCAGCTCAGCTTATATGTACTTGCTTTAATCGTAGAAATCAGCAATAAAAAGCATAGACTTGGTTATTTAATCCTTACTGAGTAAAAGTGAACGTCTTATAATGACCCTCTAAAATATTATAAAATATTAAATTATTTTGATATGCCTCTCATTTTTAGACAACTATAAAATGATCAGTGAGGCCATTACCAGAAGATTAATAGACTCCTTTAAATTTTTGAATCCAGCAAACATACATGTATAAACCAAGAGGCACTTTTCTAATGGAACCCTGAATTCTCAAAGGTGTTCCATGGTTTGAAAATAGCCCAGTCATGATGTTGTCATGATGCTTATTTTTAAGTAATGATTTTAATTAAACCCCCTAAAAAGGGAACAATTCTATACTCCTCTTATATGGGCTGTACTCTGATGATTACACAAGTGCAGTTTCCCATTTTACTCTGGTGTCATGGGGGCAAGGATAATTTCCATCTCATCACATGAGAGAGACACTGTATTTCACTCAGCACAAGGCTCCAATGTAATCAGAGGAAGGGTTTTATACTACAAAATTATAACAAAATAACCAAAGAAAAAGTATTGTTTCAACAAAAGTGGTTCAAAGACAAGAATGTAATGCAGGAGATCATAGAATATTTTTATATGGCAACAAAAATAGATTTCTCCAACTCACTGGGGCAGACTGGACCAATAAACTCTTCCAGGGTTTTCCAGTTTGACTTCTTTAAGAATGGTTTTTGAAACACGGAAGGAACAGGGAATCCCCACAGCTTGACACTAAGTAGTTGAGAGATAGAGTGAGGCAGGCAAGCCAGGACACTGAAGGAGTTTCACACAAGTGGGTGGCAGGATGTACTCTTGGTAAATTGAGTACAGAAAGAGGCAGATTTACAGAATGATGCTTCTGCCTTCCCCTGTATTGGCAATAATGAGAATACCATTGGGATGCTGCTAAAGGCCTGAGGACAGTCCCAAAACTGTCAAGAATCAAGATTTTCAGGGAAATCCAGGTAGTGCTCATTGAGTCAAAGACTTCTGAGAAAAGTAGGTGATACATTTATTTAAAGTTCAATGAGAAATTAGGCTAACTTTATGGTTCTCAGAACTGGTATTATTGATTAATTTTACATGCCTGTAGTCTTTTACATGGTCGCAGCTGTCAAAGAAAAAAGAATGAAGAGAGAGCCAAACAGTTGCACGCATGCACACACACACACAATCACACATGGGGCTTTTCCAAGGAGTTAGAAGTGATAGGAATGAAAGTTTAGAGGGTGCTTTACTACATTGCATATACATATATATTTTTTCTTATAACAAAGGATAGATATTGCCACCTATTTTAAAGTTAAAGAAATCAAGACATGCAAAGGCGAATAACTTGCTCAAATTCACACAACTGATAAATTAGAATGATTTGAATGCATCTAACTTCTAAGCCCACACTGATTATAGCATACCCTTGTGTGTCAGCCCTTCAAGAGTCTATCAAAGATACATAAAGAGCTAAATACCATGAGTAGGTAAGTCCTTCATGCTAATGTGAGAATGAAGTGAAAAAGAAAAAAAGGACAGTATCTATCAATTAGTGATCTTGGCAATTATGGCAGTTGAATATTTGAATACTGAGTGTGCTCTGAGTGAAGAGATAGTGTCTTTTGGTGACAATACCCTTTTGGGAATAAATAAATCTGGAAATAAGTTCCCCTACATACTACAGGTCAAGATGTGAGGCACCAAAATGTCCTGCTGAATTCAAATATTCCCTTCTGTTTCTTTACCCTACTGACTATCTTCATTGTCAGAGAAAGTATTAAAAACAAAAAGGAGGTCTTCTTCTCCTCATCTTTTTGTCTTCCTGGACAATTCATTCCTAAGGGTTTTTAGATGATGAAGAGCAAGATTGGCATCTAATCCAAAAGAACGAGGAAGCTACAAAGTCAGAGTGAACATGAGAGCTGTGTGTACTGAGCCTTGTGTAAGGAAGAGCAAAGCTGCTTGACATTGGGTATCAGAGCCTAGGCAAGGTAATGCATGGTCACAAGCATGGAATTGGCCCAGCCTGGGAGTTAAAGCCCAAACAGAGTAAGGAGGATGTCCACACAGGGCAGGCCAGTGTGGCATGGCAAGTCAGAGCCTGAGCAGGATAAAGTGGGCATCCTGGTGTGCATGTGGCCCAGCAAAGGTGTCAGAGCCCCCTTAGAGTTTGGAGGTTGTCCATGCGGATAGGTGGTTGAACATGGGGTGACAGAATCCACATAGCAAGAGAATGGTAGTGGAAATTGATTGGTTATATACAGGAATATTAATCAAAGAAGTAAATCTATTAAGGATGATGCAAGCTGGATTCTTCATGGTTGGAGAAGGGAGTTACAGTGATTGAAAGGGGGAAAACTAGAACAGATTTTGTGGTGTTGGTTTGGAATCAGAGATATCAGTGTGATTCATGTTTTTAATACATATAAACAGACATAGAAATAAGTAGATATGTAACATACATTCCTTAGCTCTGTCTGTTATGAAGACCTAGGAACAGCAACAATCCAATAGTGATAAGCATATCAAGGACCCAGATCTTGGTTTCTAATTTCATCCTCCACTAAAAGGAACCAGGACTCTTTGGAGAAATGGCTGATTTCTGGGTTGAAGTGAAGAAAATACAAGATGAGCCTGGAGTATCTAATTTTGCAGAAAGGGAAACTGAGGCACAGAGAAGTTAAGTCACACATCTAAGAAAACATGGATGAGACAATTCTAAAAGAGTGAAAGGGAAAAAAATTAAAATGCAGAATGGTTCTGCACACAAATTGTTTGACAAATATCTTTAAGTTCTAACTCCTCCTTAGAAAACGGAGAGTAAAAATTAGAGAAGGTGCATCATGACTGAGGCTTACGCAAGAAAGCCAGAAACTAATCAGCAGATCAAGTGCCAAAGAAAAACTGTCAAAAAAAATGTTTAAGGTATTTATATACCACCTTTTATGATTTCCCCACTTTCACTGATTTTATTAAGAAACCAAACAACTCCCACCCCTAATCCTTTGGGATAAAGTGGACTTCCAGTGCAAACTTGATAAAGGCTGTTGCTACATGCAACAGAGTCATGAGCACCCAAGTTAATTCTGGCATGCCGTTGAAGATGTACGTGGGAATGTGAGTGTTTTCCAAGTCCTGAAACTTAACCACTGTGAAGCCTTGTCCAAATCCTTCACCACTTTATGCTTCGGTTTCTTTGTCTGTAAAGTAAGAAACTTGGACCAGAGATCTCTGAAATCCAAGTGAGTTATCACAGTTCTCTTCTGTTTTTCTCTCACTGAGGGGACTGTCTTCAGAAGCCTCAAGAAGTTCATTCAATTGTTAGTTTTAGAGTAATAGGTTCTGCCATGTTGATGAACTGTCTTCCAACCAAGATGGCTGATTAGCTAATCAGGATCCTCTAGTTTTTGAGTGGACCTCAGGCCTGGATGGCTGTCAAGTGACCACATGAAGATGATGAACAAAATGGCAAGCTGAAGATTGCAGCTCTGAATCATGAGACCAGATCCTTAAAGATAAGCCAACATAAATCACCTTTCTCAGCTCCTACTATTCTGAGATTAAAATCTTGTCTCTCCCTTTCTTTCTCCTTCTCTCTCCTTCCCCACAATTTGGAAAATGGTTAATGCCTTTATCTCATTCAGATGACAAGGAATACTATGAACACTATTGTATCTTATAGTCTATTGATCCAAAAAAGGTTTTTGTAGACATAAACTTATTAAAATTTTAAAATAATCCCAAACTTATATATTGCAGTAGAATACAAAGAACTTTTTTTCCTCCTGAACCATTTGAAATACACACTATAGTGTTTGGGGGTACAATAATTTTTTCTTAATTTAAATCATGAGGATGTTGTAGGGGTTAAATGAGTTCATAAATGTAGCAGGCAAAATAATCCCTCCCCTACATCTAATATGGAAAGGGAGAAAACTAGAATGAACTTTGTTGTATTGGTTTGGAATTGGAGTTATCAATGTGACTCACAATTTTCAATATAAATAGCAACTGAAGCAAGTATATACGTAATATACATTTCTTCGCTTCATTGGCTGTAAGCACCCATGGTGATGAGCATACCTAGAACCCAGGTCTTGGTTTCTAATACTATTCCCAGCTAAAAGGAGCCAGGACACTCCTTGGAGGACTTGCTGATTCCAAGGCTGGGGCAGGGAAAGCACAAGATGAACCTGGAACATCTTGTGCCAAAAGCATGGAAGTACTCAGAGAATAATGAGAATATGTCAAAGCCAGCTCAAGGGAAATGCTACTGATAAAGGATTGTCAGTAGGATCCCCCTTAAGGATTTTATTAACAGGTTACAATCTATTAATAGATTCTATTATATATATTAATTATAATTTAATATAATTTATTTACATTATTATATAATATAATTATAATGTAATATGTAACTTTATAATTAATAGTTATATTAATTATAATATAAATAGTTACATATTACATTACAATTATATAATAATATAAATATTTAAATTACATTAAATTATAATATAATATACATAAGAGAATCTATTAATAGATTATAACCCATGAATAAAATCCTTACAGAGATAATAAAGAATGCATTGAAAGTTTGATGAGGAACAGGGTATGTACATAGTTTCAAAATACCTCCTCACAAATTATTTATTAAGTATGAAGAAAAAATAGCTTTACAGGAAAAGTCTTTCTGGTTCCACCTTAATCAAGTGATCCAAGTGAGTACCATCAGGAGGGAGACAAATAAAAATGGCGTGGTACCTGATTAGCTTCGTTGAAAGGAACACAGCCTCACTTCACTTGTATGATCTTCCTGAATAAAAGAATGAGGAAACACTGGACAAATTCAAATTGAGGAATAGTCTATGAAATAACTGGCCTGTAGTCTTCAGAACTGTCAAGGTCATGAAAGTCAATAGAAATCGAGGATCCTTTCCCAATTGAAGAAGGTTAAAGAGACACGGCAGCTAATTACAATCTATGATTCGTAACTGGATTTTTAGGATAAAGAACAATATTGGCACAACTTTTAAAGTTGGAATGGGGCCTGAGGATTAGATAGTAGTAATGTACTAGTGTGAATTTTCTCCTTTTGATGATTATATTCTGGTTATATAGGAGTCCTCATTTTTGGGAAATATACATCTGAATCCCTGGAACCTGTAAATATATCACCTTATTGGCAAAGAGACTTTGCTGATGCAATTATCTCTGATTTTGAGACAGGAGATTCAAATGGATTATTCAGGTGTAATTACAAGGGAAGTGGGAGTGTCAGGGTCAGAGAGGGGGGTCAGAGTGTCAGGGTCAGAGTGATAGAAGCAGAGGTTGGAGTAATGTGATTGCTGGAGGGGGGCCTGAACCACGGAATCTGGGCTGCCTCTAGAAGCTGGAAAACGGAAGCAACAGATGCTCCCCGGCAGCCTTCTGAAAGAACACAGCCCTGCTGACACCTTAACTTTAGTCCAGTAAGACCCATTTTGGAGTTTTGGCCACCAGAACAGTAGGAGAACACATTTGTGTTTTTTAAAGCCATTTAGAACAGTACTTGGCAAGTACTGTTACAAGTAATTAGCACAAACATTGGTTTACCGTTATTATTGTTGTTGTTATTAAGTTTTTTTAAAGCATCCAACTTAGTTTTCATAGAAACAAGGACTCTGTTTTTGTACTTGTTGATTGACATAATATTTGATAACATTACATATCTACAATACAGGTGGCATAAGCAGACTCTTTGTAAGTGCACAGCCTATCCTGGCTCTCTGTTCTGTTTCTACTCTGCGCTGGATCTTCCGAGGATGACCAGATGGACCGTGTAATGGGCCTTCTTGCCCTCTGTTGTAGTCCCTCCAATGTGGTCTAGGATCCCTCTTAGGAGAGTGACTAGGAACTCGGTCCCTGTCCTGACAGGTCTTCAGGGGAGGTGGTTGTGGACGTTTACAGTGTGCCTTTCACGGGATACTTTATCCTGGCAGTCAGCGTGATTCCTAAGCGCCTGGCCCCTGACCAGGTGTTCTTCTCACAGGAAATGTGTTTATTCTGGCAGACGCCCTTGTGGCTCTTGTCTGGTCTGTGTCCAGTTTGTTTTTACCAAGATGGCCACTCCATAGGAGAGCCCTGACCCGGAAAGACATTATGTTCTCGTGTGTCGGTCAGGTGAGACGCAGAGGAGGCAGCACAACAAAACGCATGAAATATCAGAAGTATTTTTCGTTATTTACAGTTCATAGAAGAGGGCAGCACACTTCTCAGGGCCAACAGGAAGTGGGGAGCCATTAGGAACAAGAGTGTTCAACCAGTGAGTGGGAAGCAAGAGAGACAGGCGGAGGGAGACAGAGAGGAACTTACAGGTTGAAACTTTTCTTGGGGTCCAGGGCGTTACCCTAGCAGGTTCTAATTGGTGGATTTAGAGCAAGCAGGCATGAGTTCCGTGGAGGAGTCACACAGTGACTGAGAAGTCGTCACTGCGGCATATCTGCAGTTTGTGCAGGGCGTGGGGGCCAGTGGAGCAAGTCAAACGGGTTGTATCTAGCTGTGCCGTAAGAAGGAGATCACCAAGAGGTGGCAGTGTAAGAGAGGTATCTGGATCAACCACATGGAGAAAGAGGAGGTGGAGAACTGTGTCCAAGCCCTGCCTTCAGTATGAGAAAGTTAAACCTAGATTCAAAATGGATACTGAGGCAAAATAAAATGGGATGTACTGCAGCCTCTGGCTTCAGTTGTCGTCTACAGAGATGCTGGGCAGGAGATCAAGGGACGCAGGAGAGAGAAGTCAGGTGTTTGTCTCCAGCCCCACTCTCCTGGCCACAGTGGCTGTGTTCCTCTTCTAGCCATGCCATAGGGAGGTCCCTTTCCTGCCCCTTTCATGGTGGTTGAAGTGTGATCTGCATTAGAATCACCCACAGAACTTTTCAAAATGCAGACCCCCAAGGCTCTGTCCCGAGAATCACTGCCTCACTTTCCAGGGGTGGGGCCCCAAGTGTGTATAAAGCCATGGCTCCTATTGAGTAGCCCTCTTCATGGCTCCCCACTAGTCTCTGGTAACCTCTCCTTGCTTTTGACCCCTCAGGCCTGGCAGTGGTAACAGTTCCCTGTTGTTGCTAGTCCCTGGTGCTTCATCATCCTTTATTGACAATGCCTTTGCAAATTCATCGAATTCTCCTCCTCAGTTACCCCTACGGTGTGTACTGTCCTGTGTGAATCATGATGGATACAGTAAGTACACATACATTTCCATGGCAGGGCTCAGAAATTTCCTGGGGTTACTATAAGGCCCCTGAGTGGCTTGGTAGCCATGAATGGTCAGCACATCTTGGGCACAGAGGGAGCATGGAAAGCGCTGGTCTACCTGGTGAGCCTTGTCAATGTCTTCCAGCCAATGGCCATCAGGAGCACACCTGTAGCTAAACTAGTTGGATGAATTACTTGTTGCAGTGAGGGAGAAAGCAACCACAGAAATTATAGGGGCATCTCAGTGAGAGAGTGTTAGAAAAGACAGTATAGGATTTGGGCTTGGGTTCAGTGATTTTGGGGAGGATTCAGGAAGTAGGGCTTTGCTCTGGATTGGATGCTGTGAGGAAGCATGAATAACTCTATGATTATGCATGTCAGTAAATCTATAGGCAGGCCAGAATAGAACAAGGATAGATCTATCATTGGCAAAGTAGCGGCAGTCACTCATGTTAGACGGGAGAGGGAGATGTTTGGTGTTTTGTGCTTTGGGCATTGTTCTTGTTTTTGTCTGAGTTCAGATATGGTTATAAGTGGTCTTGTTTTTGTCTTGATTCATCATGGTCAGAATGGCCTTGTCTGATGGCCTTGTTCTATGAAATTGTCTAGTTCACCAAGGCCTACCTGTCAGTGCCAGGCCAGCATCTATCAACACCAAGGTCCAGCTGGGTGTCAGGAGCTGCTTTTCTCTTTCTCAACCCCTTTCATGGAGATTGAAGTATGATCTGCATTAGAATCAGCTGCAGAGCTTTTCAAAATATAGACCCTCCAAGACCCTGCCCGTAGAATCCCTGCATCAGTTTCTAGGGATGGGGCCCGGAGTCTGTATTTTGAATCAGCATGCTGAAGCATTCTGATGCACAGCAGAGTTTGAAGGCCACGGTCTAAAATAGAGACGTCACCAACCCAGTTTCACAAACCTAGATTTGTGGCAAACATTCACGGTGTGAATTTTTAAGCACTGAGCTGTTGGTTTAAATTTCCATTAGTGTCAAGTTTCAGCACTTGCATGTTATAGAATTTTAACTCAGTGGAATCAGCCTTTGAATTTACAAGGTTATCTGTGCTTATATCTTTTGTGTCGGTGTTAGAAAAACCTCAATGAAGGGGGTCAACCTGTAAATGATAGAAGGGGCTGGTCATCTATTACCATAAATCAATAAAACATAGACACCAGTAGAAAGACTGCTGCCAAACAGAGAAAGAGAGAGTAAGAGGGAACATGAAAGGGAGAGCAAGAGAGAAAGAAACAATGAGAAATTGCTTCCAGATTCAGTGAGAACATTTGCCAAGGTGAACCAAAATTCCAGAGATAGAGCTTGTCAAACATGCATGACTGAACTCTCATTTAAGAAGACAAACTATAGATCAGAAACTAGAGGCCTTAACTTAAAAATGTCTAGTGAGATCACTGTGGATAAAAATACAAACATATTTTTCTTTTTCTTTTTCTTTTTTGAGACGGAGTCTCAGTCTGTCACCCAGGCTGGAGTGCAGTGGCACGATCTCGGCTCACTGCAACCTCCGCCTCCTGAGTTCACGCCATTCTTCTGCCTCACCCTCCCGAATAGCTGGGACTACAGGTGCCCACCACCACGCCCTGCTAATTTTTTATATTTTTGGCAGAGATGGGGTTTCACCGTGTTAGCCAGGATGGTCTTGATCTCCTGACCTCGTGATCCGCCCGCCTCGGCCTCCCAAAGTGCTGGGATTACAGGCGTGAGCCACTGGGCCCGGCCTACAAGCATCTTCTTCAAAGGAAAATCCTCAAGAAAGAATGTAAAGAAAGCAGAAATGAAGAAGTTAATTTATTATAAATTCACAACGAGAAGAATAGTTGGCATTTTCAAGTGTCAAGAGATGCAGCACCAAAAGTGTAATAAGACAGAGCCTAATAATGAACTTGATATTGAACCTGATTTTGAGGGACTAGTGAAAATCAGCTCTTTATGATAACAAGAGCAAGGAAACTTGAGGCACAGACATCATCACCAAGTGTAGTTTAATACACCTTTTTTTTCCCCATTGAATTTTCCTGCTTTTCAGATGTGCAAGAACTGAGCCCGCTATAATCAAATAACCCCACCAAAGCTTTCCTAACAGGAATTCATGTAATGAGTCTTTTTAGCCTGAATAATGCGTTTTGCCTTAAAGTCTATTTTGTCCGCAATCTCCACAGGCAGAGAGTCTGCGTCTATAGCTCATTACCATCATTCTGATGATAATGTTACGTCTCATCAATTACTTGGGAGCAAGGTCAAATTTAGCAGCCAAATCTCCCCTTTAGCGAGGCCATCAAGAGCGTATCTATCACTACCCCCTCTCAAGATCTATTCCCCTGCAAAAAGCCTCAGTGCTCATGTTCTCTGTCTCTCTCTCTTCATCTCTCCCTCCCTCTCCTCTCTCTCTCTCTCTACCCCCTTATCCTGTCACAGTAGTACCAGTTACAAAATCCTGCCCGATTTAATCCCTGATAAATCTATTCGTTTTTATTTTTATTTTAGAAAGCACAAGCAAGAATGTGTGAGAAGATCACAGAGACCTAAAGAAGGGGAAGGGAAGAACCCACATGTGAGAGAGAAGAGATTGTCTGACTTGGTAAATAGATATTGAAAACCAGAGGTGTGTGGTTCTCTTAGAATTTGAGTCCATGGGAGGGACTTTTACAATTGAGATTGTGATTGTATAACTCATGCTGCTGAGATTTATTTTGGTCTAGCCAAGCAAGATAAATAAATAAATAAATAAATAAATAAATAAATAAATAACCCCCACACACCCAAAAAGACAAAACATTAAAAAAGTTATATTTCCAGAATTTGGCTTTGTTATAGAGCTGTCAGCCAATCCGAAGTTATCAAAACTGATTTTAGTTTTGTAAGAAACTTACCTGGAAAGTCTACCATGGGGCATGAATCTTTGACAATTGCTCAGGTTTTATATTTCTTTATGAAATTTCAGCTCGATTCCACAATTCATTTACTAAATTTGCTTCCTAGAATCAGTAAGCAAAAACTCAACTTCATAAACACAGCTGTACTTGGCAAACAAACTTAATGAGATGAAAAAGGATCTATTTAATCACTTCCCAGAATGTATTTATAAATTAACCTTGCTTCTGAATAGTTAGGATTACATCAATCCAACAACTACTCTCTCTCTCTCTTTTTTTTTTTTTTTTTTGAGATGGAGTCTCACTCTGTTGCCAGGCTGGAGTGCAGTGGTGCAATCTTGGCTCATTGCGATCTCTGACTCCCTGGCTCAAGCGATTCTCTTGCCTCAGCCTCCTGAGTAGCTGGAATTACAGGCACGCACCACCATGCCCAGCTAATTTTTGTATTTTTAGTACAGATGGGGTTTCACCATGTTGGCCAGGATGGTCTCAGTCTCCTGACTTTGTGATCTGCTCGCCTTGGCCTGCCAGAGTGCTAGGATTACAGGTGTGAGCCACCACGCCTGGCCAACCACTCTCTTAAATCTAATCTTTGTGTGTGGATGTGAGGTAGTAAGCCTTGTGAAAATGCAAAACTCATAGAAGATGTAGCACTTTAGGTAGGTTGCCACCACCTCTGAATTTCTTTATATATTTTTAGTCTATGCTGTTAAGTATATATATATTCAAAAATATACATCTTCCTGTTAAATGCTTTTCTAAGACCCTTTTTATCCATCAAAATGTGTTTTGCTTTAAAAACTAATTTGTTTGATAAATATAAACACAATAGCTTTCTTTTGATGAGAATTGTTGTAATGAATTTTTCTCATCCCTTAACTTTTAATCTTCTGTGCCATTATGTTTTAGATATGTCTCTTTTACACAATTGGATTTTAACAGCCAATCTAAGCATCTCTGTGATCTGATTATTGGCTTTAGTCCATTTATATTTATTGTGATTGTATACATTTGGTTTTATTTCTACCATATTATTTTCTGCTTTTAACCTGCCATGTTTCACTTTGCTTATTTCCCATCCCACATGAAGTATTCCTGTTATATTTGTTTCATATCGTGTGTACCGGACCTTTACAGTCTATCCACCATGTTTCTTAACTAATCATTTTTATTTTCTGTCATTGTATCTTACTGTCACTCACAGTGACCCACTTGTGGAATTTGTGCTTCCCATTCTTACAACTTTAGGCTGTGTGGTAAAAGTTCTGATTCCCAGTGGATGAATGCTGCCACTGGGGGATATGATGAGAATCCCATTTTACTTTAAACTATGTGGCTGCCAACAGGTCTCTTAGGGCTCCTCATCTCAAGAAGCCAGCAGGCAAGGGAAGGACAAACCATCCTTGCAGGAATAATTCGTACTGATCATTTGGAGGAGATTCGGCTAGTATAGCTGCTGTTACATAATGAAGAAAAGGAAGAATATGTTTCAAACTCAGATGAACCACTGGGGAGTCTCTTGATACTCTGTTGCCTAATTTGGATGGTTAATGGGTAAGTGCAATAGACACAGCCTCAGAAAGGCGTGGTAATCAGAGACTTAAATCCTCAGTTTCCATAGTTAAGCTACTAAGATCATGAGAGGTGCTTCCTAGGAGTGAAGAGAATCGGAATGTCTAGGAAGGACATCATGAAAACTAGTTGTGCTCTTAAACCTAACTACAGTTGATCCTCAAGGACTTGAGAGTTAGGAGCTCTGACCTCTGAGTAGGCAAAAATTCACATATAACTTTTGGCTTTCCAAAACCTTAACTCATAATAGACTACTGTAGAGAAGGTTTACCTATAATGTAAACAGTTGATTAACACATATGTTACGTTATATGCACTGTATTCTTATAACAAAGCAAGCTACGGAAAAGAAAATGTTATTAAGAAAATCATGAAGAAAAGAAAATACATTTACAGCTCATTAAGTAGAAGTGGATCATCATAAAGGCCTTCAGCCTTGTCATCTTCATGCTAAGTGGGCTGAGGAGGAGAAGGAAGAAGAGGAGTTGATCTTGCTGTCTTAAAGGTGACAGAAGTGGAGGAAAAGCCACACGAATTGGCCCTGCACATTTCAGACCTGTGTTGTTCAAGAGTCAACAGCAGTTGCAGCAGCAGGAATAGCTAACTTTCTCCACTAACTCCTTACATAAATTTCTCCAGGAATTAAGACCAACCGGAAACCTATTGATGCTCTTCCCAGATGGTTCAAACTTACCACAAAATGCAAATGTAAATGGATCTGGCTAGTTCAAGAGGGCAGTCTGCAGTGGATGTTGTTCCTTGCTGCTTGGAGTCCCCAACTCCTAGACCCCTTTCAGGACCAAGGCACTCATTTCCCCACTGCTGTGTGCATTGGCTGCTGATAGCCCACTTCTGCCTCCCTCTGGAAATTGTCTTTGGCCAAAAGGGGCTATCTTTCCCAAGTTGTTGACCTCTTTCCAGGGGCAACTTGCATTCAATAACTGGCTAATGTTGAGGTACAAAAGCCCAGTCTAATTGTTTCAATTTGGGATGATTCTTAAGGTCCATCCCAGCTCCACAGATCCTTGAAGGATCAACTGAGGTCTCTGTTGCAACTGTATCACTGTATCGTCTTGTTACTAATCCCATTTCTTTCATGTCCTCAAGGTGTTGCGCCTTAAAGCACTATCCAATAAACCTCCTACATGCAAATCTCCATCTCAGAATCTGTATCCAAGAGATTCTACTCAAGACATCATCTTTTCCAGGTGATACTTCTTTTAGTGTAGATTACAGGGTTTCTATCCTAGATTTTTTTTTTTTGCCTATATCTTGGATTATAAACTCACCTTCAATAGAAAGCTTCCTACAAAAATTCTTTGTAGCCTAGACTGTGGAAGTGTCACTTCACAGTGATTTCCTATTCACTTCTACCAGGTACTCCAATGATATGACTGTCCTAGGATTAATTTTTATGTAAATTTATCATCTTGACAGTTTCTAAATCACTACAGAAGTTTACATTCTAACTTTAACACAGCATGAGGCAAAGGCGTGATATTTTTATTTCTCTGGGAATGAGTTTTTTTCTTTTTCGTAGTTCCGAACACCAAATTTCATCCTCTGCCTGTTAAGGTGGGCAGATTTTTTCCCTATGCCCCTAATTACTGAGGCTATATCCCTTTGAGCATCCCAGCTTCATGAAGGGGTATTAGTTCCCAGTCAGTGTCTCATAGGACCCACATCCTCATATCTTGGCCTGATCGTATGTTAAAGCCCAAACTACTAGCTATTACTGAATTTGATAACCACCCATAGGGAAGCTTCGGGATCAGATTCTAAGCTTATAGCTCTTAATTTCAGACATCTTGAGATTTCCATTTATTTCTTGCAAGTTGATATGCATTAATATCATTTTTAACATATTGCCAGAATCTGAAATTACTGCAGAGTAGCTGAATGTTTCCTTGAGCTATGTTTTAGCAAGGAATGGAAATCATGAAAATACTGACCCTGGAACTGAAGTAGGAGAAATAACAGACTGAGAAGGAAATGAAAGAAATTGAAACTGTCCCTTTCATTTCCAGGACAAGCCCTGATAGGCTAGGTATTCATCTGAAAGAAGCTGATCTAGAATCCTAGTGGCCCTCATTTGTCTCCTTCATGGGACTGTGAGTTCTTGAGGGCAGAAACTGTGTCTTGTTTGCTGCTGTATCCCTTGAATCCCTGGAATCATGCTTAGCACATAGTAAATGTTCAGTAGACACTTGCTGACTGAATGAGTCAGCAATAAAGCAGAGCTGTGCCAAATGACCAGATATTAAAAAACAAGAAGCAAGAATATAGCATAACATTACATTAACACAAGTCTAAGGAGAACAATAAAAATTAGTAGAAAAGGAAAATGGTAATTGAATTATCATATTTATTTGTTCCCTTATTGCTCCAACAAATATTTATTGATTATCTATTATTGAACCTGGCATGGGGAATATGATGGCCAGCAAAAAGAAGGACATGGTCCCCCCCCATGTAGAAATGTCAGGGGAGGCAGACCTTAAATGAATATACTAATGAACATAAAAATAATAGAATGACCAAATCTTCTGTTATCCCAGAACAATCTCTGTTTATACCTATTGTCTCACTGTAATTATTAATAGCATCCTCATTCACTCTAAAACGTATCCCAGTTGGATGGTCATCTTGGCTATGACTGAGAGGTACATGGTATTAGAAAAGCGTAAAAAAGGGAGCGTTGCCTGCTCAGAGAGAAGAAGAAATGCTTCTTTGGAAGAGGCAAGACTGAGCTGAAAAATGGAGGATGGAACACATGGGGTATGTGATTGTGTAGGAGTGCCAGTGGGGAGACCCTGACAGCCATAGAGAACAGCAGGCGCAAAGCAAGCCACATTCAAGGAATAACAGAAGGCCTGTCTTGCTAGGTTATCACAGGCAAGAGGTATCCTACAGAGGTAGAAGACCCAGACCATTCAGGCCTTGTGGGCATCTTATGAATTTTGGAATTACCTCTTCATCATTTAATAAAAAATGGAGGTGGGAGAGATGGGAAATTTAGCATTTTGAAAAGATTCCCTTTGACTGCTGTATGGAGAACAGATTTAAGAAAGCCCACAAAGCTAGTTAGAAGGTTACAGTACTAAAGCAATTACGAGATGATAGCTTGAAATAGAATGGTGATAGAGATAAAAGAAGTGGATTTGGAATGACTCTAGAGGGCAAAATGACCAGAACTTGGAAATAGATTGGCTATAAGGAGGGAGAAATAGAAAAGTATGTAGAAGAGATATGTGGCTTACACACCTGGGTGGAGAGTGATGCAATTCACTGAGCGAAGCAATGCAGCTGCAGATGTGCAGATGTAGCACATCTATCTATCCATCCATGCATTTGTCTCTTTAGGAAACCATCATTCCTTGACACCTGGTATATGGCAGGTACTGTAGGTAATCACAAATACGTTTACTATGAAATAAGGAGTAAAAGCCTACAAATATGTATTTTATCAGTTATCATATTTTCAGCTGCAAGTAATAGAAAACTCAATTCAAAATTGCTTAAACAATGAGAACTTTTTTAAGTCCTAAAATGGAAAGTCCTAGCTTTGTTGATTCAGTGGCCCTAATGACATCAAGGATGTTCATTCTTTCAGTCTTTCTACTCTGCCGTTGTTACTCAATTGACTTTTCCTGGATTAGTTCCAAGCACATGATAGCATTCAGCAGCAAAATGATGATTTTTTCCCCATGTATTTCTTTTTCAAAACTAGGAAACCTTCCCTAGAAACCTCTCAATAAGTTTCTCTTCATATCGTAGTGCATGGAATGGTATCACAAGCTTATTCCTATGCAAGGGACTGGCTAGAGGAATAGAATTTCCATGACTTGTCCAGTGAAGCCCAGGGCCAGGTGGAAAAAGATGACTTGCCAAACAAATTTGGGGGTTTATTTACCAAAAGAAAGGATAAATTGTATGTTGGGTGCAACCTAGATGGTGTCTGCTATATCTATGGAGCAAGGAAGTATATAGTATTGTATTAGGAGTAAACAGAGTAGTTTAGGAGATGGAATAAGAAGAAGTCACCTTGGAGATTGGAGGAGAAGAAATATTTCCAAGGCTGGGAAAGATTATTAGGTTTATGTCACTCTGAAGGCAAAATCTGAAGTCTAAGATTACAGCAGCACTTAAAAGAATACTAGCATAAATCCATCTTCACCCATTGATTCTCCTGATTTCAGGCATCCTTACCAGTTTCCTGAATTCTTCCGAAGTCACATAAATATTGTTTCTTATTGTTTCTAAGCTTCACTGAACTGAAAGAAGAATGGTTGAATGGGGTTTTGCATAAAATACTAGAAATATTTGTTACTTAGCTCTGGCTCAATCCAAGCCTGACCTGTTTCTGTCATTACTGCCAGAATAATTTCTCCAGCTCTTGCCAGATTTGTAGTTGTCAGGATAATAATTTATCCATCTTGTTGTCAGATTCACAGCTAGTTTGCCTGACTCTAGGGGAATCTAAATGACTATCACTAGACATGGTGTGCAACTTATATTTTAAATGCATTTGATTCCAGACATTCTCCCACTGCCACACTCCAAATCCAGAGACTTACAAAACTACTCTTGCAATACCATTTTTTCCCATTCTAGAAAGTGCCACCACGCCCAAAGATCAGTTTTCCTCCAGTTTTCTTTAAATGCTCACTAAAATGACTGACAATATTCACTGAACACAGTTACTAAATCAGTCCCCCAGGTCTCTAGGCCCAGAGCTCTTCCCTACTTCCACATTTCTTCCATCCTTACTTCCCCGCCTAACCACTCTCAAATCATTCCTGTTCTCCAAAAGAGTCTTGATTTCCCAGATTGGCATATTACCTTCTTATTTTGCAAAAGACCAATTTTGAAGCTTCTCATTTTAAAGACAAAAAGTCTCCATATTTGCTTTCAAGGACAACCAGAAGTTACTCAGCATGTTTCTTAATTCATCCCCTTCAGCTTCCCCTTTTACAATGGGTCCTTTTCAAGATGTTAACTACAAGTATTAAATTACCCTCCTGACGTATGTATCCTTTTCCTCTTCCTCCAAGGAATGCTTGGAAAGGAATCCAATTGTGGGCAGATGTTAGGTTTTTCTCAAAAGCACTCTCTGTCAAATAACAAGACACAGTTATAGTTCAAATAAAAATACTAATAGTGATTTGCATGATAAGCAAGAGTGCTGATTACTGGCTTTGAAAGCATATCATAATGGCTTTTTACAATTATACTTATACTCTATTATTCTTCCTTTCTTATTCTCTAGTCAGTGTTCCTAATTGCACTGCCCCTGGAAAACGCACGGAGAAGAAATACAGCAAAATACATGAGATGGTGAAACACTCTGGCAACTGCAAGCGGACAGATGGGATCTGGGAGGTAATGCAGGGTCACAGGGCAGTTACACCAGGATATTTGGTTCTTTCCTACTCTCCTTTCCCCACCCTCAATGCTATATACATAACTGCTAGTGAATCAATTTATGTACATATCCCAGATATCTAGGACTGGTTGAGGCGGGTTATCCAAGAGAGTCACAGTGTATTACCATTTTTTATTAAGTACAACCAGACCAACAGAGAACTGATTAACTCAACCACTGAACTTTATGTTTTCCCCCATCATCTATAGAATTGATTTTACTGGATTTTGACATGTCAGTTTATCACTTACTTTATCCTTCAGTGAAGGACACACTAAGGAATGGAGTTATTAAGCTTGTTCTACTGGCTGTGAGGATGTTGTTGAGGGACATTGTTCATGACGTTATGTTGTGTCATTTTTATGAGGACTCAATGGAAGGACTTCTGTCTGATTTCAGTACTGGAAGTAGTCATACTTCTCCTGAGCAACCATTTTCTTTCTCCGTTATAAAAATCTCATTGTCTCTGTGAATCATGTCACTGATCATTTTTCTTAGGACCTTAAGGTGTGTGTGTGTGTGTGTGTGTGTGTGTGTGTGTGAATAGGATCATTCATTACTCCACCCTATTTTTCCCTATACTTACTTTATACTGTTCCAAGTGTATTTATTTTTTTACCCAACAGAAATTTATTTCTGGTTCACATATTTGCTGAATGCAGGTATTTTGCAGGTGACATTCTGTGAGGTAATTTGGGGCCCCACAATCTTTTACCTTTTTTTACATTTTTAATTTTTATGGATACATAACTGTTGCACATATTTATAGAGTACATATAATATTTTGATACAATCATACAATGGGTCATGATCAAGTCAGGGTAATTGGGACATCTTCACCTAAAACATTGATCATTTCTTTGTTTTGGGAACATTCCAATTCTACTTTTCTAGTTATTTTGAAATATACAATAAATTATTACTAACTATAGTCACCCTATTGTGCTATTGAACCCTAGATCTTATTCCTTCTATCTACTTGTATTTTTGTATCCATGAACCAGCCCGTCTCTATTGCCCCTCACCACCACCCTTCTCAGACTCTGGCACCATCATTGTACTCTTGATCTCCATGAAATCAGCCTTTTTAGCTCGTATATATGAGTGAGAACCTGTGATATTTGTCTCCCTGTCTTTCACCTGATGGATCTACCATCCTCTAGGGACTCCCATCTTCTGCATGGCATCAGCACAAGGGTGAAGAGGGAAGATAAAGGATCATGCAGGGAGTTTCATGGACTAGGCCTGGAAGTGCCATATTCCACTGCTGCTTGTGTTCCAGAAGGCAGCCGCACAGCCACAAGGGATTGTAAAGGAAGCTGAAAAATATGATCGAGCATTGTGTCTGGGAAGAGAGGGAAATGGGTATGGTGCATGACTAACCAGTGTTTGTCACAGCACAGAAAGTAAGGTATAAAGGAAACAACTCACTCTGTATTCCCTAAGACAGTTGTGCTAATAGCATTAGCAGAATTGTTAATGTTAGCAGAAATAACAGTTAATTGTTCAGGTGTAGAACCCCCAGGGTGAGCTGGGAATTCTCTCTTGAATGACAGTCTTCCATTTTGTCTCTTCTTCTTAGTCTTTTCTGCCATTGCCTTTGTTCAGATCTTTTCTACCTTGTGTCCAGCTTGCTGGAACCTCCACCTTCCTGGCCTGAAAGAACTAGCTTGTGAACATGTATCATGTTTGCTTTCTTCTGCAAGTTGGCTCATACATTTTATTATTACCTAATGCTGCGTAAAAACTCATTCCAAAACTCAGTGGCTTAAAACAGCAGTAAATTTTTATATCTCTCCTGGTTTCTGTGGGTCAGGAATTTGGGGAGCAGCTTAGCTGGGTGGTTTTGGTTTGGGGTTTCTCTTGGGGTTGAACTGAGATATCTGCTGGGCTCTGCAGTCATCTGAAAACTTACTGGGGGCTCAAGGTGGTTCACACATGTGGATGGCAAGTTGGTACTGGCTGTTGGCAAGATGTCTCAGTATCTCTCTAAGCAGGCCTCTCTTCACGGCTGCTTGAGTGACTTCATGGAATGGTGGCTGAATTCTCCCAGAATAAATGATTCAAGAGCCAAGGTAAAGCCATATGCCCTTTATAACCGGGCCTCGGAAATCCCTCACTGTCACCTCTGCCATACTCTACTGTTCATGTGAATGACCCTGATTCAGTGTGGGAAGAGACTATGCAGGGCATAATACCAGAAGGCAAAAATCACTGGGGGCAATTTGGGAGGCTGGCCACCACACAGACTGCATTTCAACTATGCACCTCCCTCAATCTCAACTTTTTCCATACTCTCTCACTTTCTCTTCCACTTTCTGTATTCAGATCAAAGCCCATCGCTTCATGAAGTATGCCCTGACCACTCAGCAACTAGCACTCCCATTGCAATTCATTGTTCTTGCCACATATATGGTCTTTATAATTTAACACCCTGCTTTGAAGATGTACACGTGTGTCTTTTCTTTCAGATGGAATTTAAAGAATCGTACACTATACTCCCTGTCATATAGTAGGCACTCAATAAATATTTTTTCTACGGATGAATGAATGAGTGAATGAAGAGTACAAGCCAGAATCCCTGTGTCCCTACCTGTGGGCTTTTCCCTTGCTGCTTGACCTTAGTGAAGTCACTCCACCTCTCAGTCTGCTAACTCCTTCATAAAATGAAGATAATTATACCCACCCCAGCTGTCACAGACATGCTTTGACATTTGAAAGAGGCAGCACTTATAAAAGTGTTTTCGAGTGTATAAAGAACAGGGCAAGGTGGTGTTAGTTACCTGGTTCACAAGTGATGGCTGACATGTATGGCACTGTCATGGGATTCAGATCAGTCAATCCCTCTGACTCCCGCCTCAAGAAACAGTTCACACCTACACCAAGCTACACAAAGAGTCTTTGTTCATTCCAACAGCTGCTCCTTCAGCACGTCATGGTCACGATCAGGAGAGGCCCTGGGCAGAGAGAACTGCCTGGTCCGGGTTGCTAGGCCCCTTCACAGTCACACTCTGGAGATGTCAAAGCCCAAAGGCAAAGTTTATTTCTCTAGTAGAATTCTCAGGTTTCCTTTCCCTTCGTACACTCTGGTTTTATAATGTTTTTATTATAGATAATTGTCTAGGGATAATTTTTTTTTGCATCTAACTCTTTTAAATAAAAATTAACATAAAGTAAATTAGTGTCTTTTTTTGGTGTACAGTTCCATGAATTTTAATCCATGGGTCAATTTATGTAGCTACCGCCAGCACAATCAGGACCCAGAGCAGCTCCATCACCCTCAGCAAAGTCCCACATTCTTTCCTGTTGTAGTCACACCCCTGTCCCCACCCACACTGATGTCAATCACTGATATGTCCTCCATCACAGTTTTGTCTTTTTCAGAATATCACGCACATGCAATCATACAGTATGCACCCTTTAGAAATTTTTTTTTTCACTTGACATACCCTTGAGATTCATCCAAGCCTGTTTCTCTTTATTACAAAGTAATATTCCTTTGTAAGGAAGTACCTCTATTTGTTTATTCACCCACCTGTTGAAGGACATTTGGAGTGGGATTGTTGGCATATATGGTAAATGTATGTTTAACTTTCCAAAATCTGCCAAACTATTTTCCAGAGTGGCTTTAATGTTTTCATTCCCAAAAGCATTGTGTGAGATATCCCAGTTGCTCCTCATCCTCACCAACACTTGGTATTGCATTTGATTTTTGAGCCATTCTTATAGACATGTTGTGGTATGTCATGGGTTTAATTGGCATCTCCCTCAAAAGTAAAGTGTTTGTTCAAGTCTGTGCACACTTTTTAATTGCTTGTTTTCTTATTGTTGAATTTTGAGACTTATTTATGTGTTCTGAATACATGTCCTCTGTCGGATACATGATTTACAAATATTTTCATTCCAATCTGTGAGTTGTCTTTTCATTCTCTCAACAAGGTCTTTGTAGAAAGAAATTTTTAATTTTGATGAAGTTCAATTTATTAATTTTTAATGTTACTGATTATGCTTTTGGTAAGATGTCTAAGAATTCTTTGCCTAACCACAGTTCGTAATACAGAAAAGTTTGTAATATGGGAAAATACAGGCTGCTTTCTCCTACATTTACTTTTAACATTTGTATTTTTTTAATTTTACATTTAGACCTATGATCCATTTGGAGTTAATTTTTGAATAAGGTGTGAGGTTGTGAGAATTTCAAGGTTCTTTTTTCTTTTCATTTTTTTGTATATGGTTGCCCAATAGTTTCAACACTATTTATTGGTTTCAGAAGTTTTCCTCTAGATTTTCTGGGAATTTCCACATAAGCAATCATGTCGTCTGGACTAGAGACAGTTTTATTTATTCCTTTCTAATCTGTATGACTCTTTTTATCTTCTTCTTGATGCATTGAACTAGCTAGGACTTCCAGTACAATTCCAGTAATAAAAGTAATGTAAGTGGAACCGCTTCTCTTGTATCCAGTCTTAAGTGGAGGGCATTCAGTGCTTCACCAATGAGTGTGATGCTAGCTGTATGTTTTTTAATTTTGTAAAGTGCTTTGTCTGCATCAATTAATATGATCATATGTTTTTTCTTCTTTAGACTTTCAGTATGGTGGATTGAATTACAGTTTTAAATTCACAAAGAAAAGGGAACATTTACACACTGTTGGTGGGAGTGTAAATTAGTTCAACCATTGTGGAAAGCAGTGTGACTATTTCTGAAACAGCTAAAAGCAGATCTATCTTTTGACCCAGCAACTCCATTACTGGGTATATACCTAGAGGAATATAAATCATTCTACCATAAAGACACATGCATGCAAATAATCATTGCAGCACTGTTCGCAATGGCAAAGTCATGGAATCAATCGAAATGCCCATCAATGGTAGATTGGATAAAGAAAATGTGATACATATACACCATGGAATACTATGGAGCCATAAGCAATAATGAGATCATGTCTTTTGCAGGAATATGGATGGAGCTGGAGGCTATTATCTTTAGCAAATTAACTCAGGAACAGAAAACCAAATACTGCATTTTCTCAATTGTAAGTGGGAGCTAAGTGATGAGAACTTAACTAACACAAAGATGGGAACAACAGACACTGGGGTCTACTTGAGGGTGAAGGGAGGGAGGAGGGAGAGGAGCAGAAAAGATAACTGTTGGGTACTGGGCTTAATACCTGGGGGATGAAATAATCTGTACAACAAACTCCCGTGATATGAGTTTACCTATGTAACAAATCTTCACATGTACCCCCAAACTTAAAAGTTTTTAAAAAAATTATCAGCTTAGATTAGTGATTTGAGATCTTGCTTCTTTTCCAATATAACCATTTAGATTAGCGATTTGAGATCTTCTTTTCAAATATGACCATTTATTGTATTAAAAGCCTTTTAAATGTTTTGTTTCATTGACAAATTTTGACATGTTGTATTTTTATTTATATTTAGTTAAAAATATTTTACAATTATTCTTGAGATTTCCCCTTTGAATTATGAATAATTTTGAAATGTGTGGTTTAATTTCTCACTGAACAATTTGCTATTCTTGTTCTGTTATTGATTTTGAGTCTAATTCCATACTTTTAAAGACTTCAATTCTTTTAAATTTTTTATTATTTGCTTTATGACAAAAGATATGATTTATTTTGATGAACATTTCATGTGCACGTGAAAAGATTTGTATTTGCTGTTTTTGGTAGAGTAGTCTGTAAGTGTCAGACCTACTTAATGGTGCTGTTCTTTTCTTCCATATCCTGGCTGATCAAATGTCTACTAGTTCTGTTGATACTGAAAAAGAAGTGTTGAAGTCTCCAACTATGATTTTGAATTTGTCTATTTCTGTTTTCAGTTTTGTGAATTTTTGCTTAATCTAATTTGAAACTCTGTTGTTAAATGCAAATACATTAGTTAGATGGTATTTCTTCTTGGTGAATTGATCAATTATAATTATGTAATGTTCCTCTTTATTTCTAGTAAGTTTTTTCCTTTGAAGTCTACTTTGTCTGATATTAATATTGCCCTTTCAGCTGTCTTTTGATTTGTGTGTGCATAATATTTCTCTTTCTGTACTTTTCCTTTTAACATACCTTTATCATTATAGTTAAAATGGATTTTTTGTACGCAGAATATTGTTGGGTCTTTTTTTATGCATTCTGATAATCTCTGCCTTTCTGGGTGTTTTTAGAGCACTTACGTTTAATGTTATTTTATATGTTTTACTTAGGCCTCTTTTAAAAATCATTTTTTAAGTAATTTCTCCATTTCTACCCTAATTTGTGCCGTTTAAACATGTCTTCATTTTATCTTCTGTGTTTTTGGCTATATTTCTTTGTGTCAAATTCTTTTTTTTTTTGAGACAGAGTCTCGCTCTGTCGCCCAGGCTGGAGTGCAGTGGCACAATCTCGGCTCACTGCAACCTCCACCTCCTGGGTTCACGCCATTCTCCTGCCTCAGCCTCCCGAGTAAACTGGGACTACAGGTGCCTACCAACACACCCGGCTAATTTTTTGTATTTTTAGTAGAGACGGGGTTTCACCACGTTAGCCAGGATGGTCTCAATCTCCTGACCTCATGATCCACGTGCCTCAGCCTCCCAAAGTGCTGGGATTACAGGTGTGAGCCAACACGCCCGGCCTCTTTGTGTCAATATTTTAATGGTTGCTCCAGGGATTGCAATACTTAACCTTTCACAGCCTACTTAGAATCAGTATATCTTACCACTTTAAGTGGAATACAGAAACCTTACCACCATATAGGCCCCTTTACCTCCACTCCTATACATTTAGTTGCTTGTGTATTATAGTCACATACAGTCTATATAGTCACATAAAGACTCCAAAGGAATAATAGTCTATGATATTTACATAGATATTTACCACATCTTTTGCTCTTTATTCATTTCTGTTGTTACAAGTTTTCTTATGGTATCATTCCCCTCTCTCTGAAAAATGTCTTTTAGCAATTCTTTTGAGTAGGTCTCCTGGCAACAAATTCTTTCAGTTTTCTTTAATCTGAGTATAACTTTATTTCATATTTATTCCTGAAGCATTTTTCCTGGATATATAATTATTTGTTGAGTATTTATATTTTTCATCACTTGAAAAATTTGTGCCATTTCCTTCTGGCCTCTCGGGTTTTCAGTAAGAAATCTGTCGTCATTTCTCTGGCTCTCTGGAAATTTTCTTTTTGTATCTCGTTTTCAGTGGTTGTATTATGAGATGACTAGGTATGCATGTTTTTAAAATTTGTCCTATTTGGATTTGCTGAGCCTCTTGAATCTGTAGATTTATACCTTTCACTAAATTTTGATGTTTTCAGCTAAATATTTATTCAAATATATATATTTTTTACCATATTCTCTCTCCTCTCCTTCAGAGACTATGATGACAGGAATGTTACACCTTTTAATATTATGCAACAGTTTTGTGTCTATGTTTATTTTTATCCCAATCTTTCTTTCCATTACCATTGTTCAGAGTGGGTAATATATTTTAGTTCACTGACCTTTTCCTCCTTCAATTCCATTCTTCTCTTGAGTCCATTCAGTGAGTTTTGTATGTCAATAATTTTTTCAATAATATCATTTCCATTTGATTTTTTCTTTATGTTTCCTATGTGTTTGAGGCTACTGAAGGTTTCATTCATTTGGGAGTTGGAACATTTTTATGACAGCTGCTTAAAATCTTCATCATCTCATCATTGACATCTATTGATTGCACTTTCCAATGTGAATTGAGTGAGATTTTTCTATTTTTTGTATGTTGAGCAATTTTGGATTATGTCCTGGACATTTTGAGTATCTTGTTATTAGACCCTGGGTCTTATAACATAAATCCTATGGAGAATGTTGATATTTTTGTTTTAGTAAACAATGTTCAAGTTTGGGGTCAGGCAACATAGTCCACATAGTCTCTTTTAGGTATGATTTCAGTGTCAGTTTTGATTTCAAAGCCCTTGCAATGCCACTTAAGTTTGTCTCACATATATGCCATCCAGTGGCCAATTTGAGATCTGGGTGGTGTCTGCCTCATAATTCAGTTCTCCCAGGTTATTTAGGGTATGCTGTTTATGGTCAAATCTACATATTACAACTCAAGAGTGAGCCCAGAGTTCATAAACAACTTTATGAGATAATTTCCCAAGCTTCTTCCCCTATACAATCTCCCTAGCAGTTTCTATTGACCTGCAGATCCCCTTTTCACCTCTCTAGTCAGAATAATGGGGCCTTATTTACCCCACTCCCATTATACTTCTTGCAGTTGTGCACAGGTCCATGGACTAGTGGCTCACAGGCAGATATGGAAAGAAAAGTGACAGTAGTTTTCCAACACCTTCCTGGTGTCACAGATCCACTGACCAGAGAGAAAGGCAACCCTACCTCTGATTTTAGGTTCCTATAGGCTGCTGAGCTGTTGCCACCATGAGATTCCTTGGAGGCTAGGGTATAAGAAAATGGAGACAAGAAAAAAATGGGGGACTATCTTCCTATCTGAGTGTTAGGAGAGCCTTTTCCTGCTCCACAAGCTAGAACTAGCTTGCTGCTCCAGGAGCTGTCTGTGCATACCATTTCCCGGTTTCAGCCTACATGGAATCCAATCTGAGGAATATCAGTGGGAAAAATACGATGCTATAAATTCTGGTGTTCCTTGCCAGTATGCTTGCTCCTATTTACTTTTCTAGTCCTCAGTTCTTTCTACCCATTTTTTTATAGATGTGAGAGAAAGATGCTTACTACATCTTATCCAGAACTGGAGCCATTAGATGTAAATCTTACCCTTCCTATTCCTTTAGATCTCTGGTTTCTATACTCTTTGAGGGTTGGAAGCAAGGCTTATCTTCTCTGCATTTCCCTCTGGGCCTACTGTAGTAATTTGAATGAGATTTTGTGAGTTAAGTATTCAATCAGGGCATATTGGGGGACTTGTATATACAATGTTTGGGACCCCAGCAGGGGTGGCTCAAATGGATGGACATTTTGGGGACCACTTGGCTATGGTCGTGTATCTGAGTCAAGTTCTGGCTGTTGGCTGAATTCCTCTGCTCTTTTCCATTCCAGCCTTTGCCTAGGCTAGAATGTCTGAAATGACTTCGTATGCATCGTTCCTGAAGTAGAATAGGCAAAACAGCTAGGGGATGACTGGCAGCTCACTCTCCATATGATTAGTTTGGGCTTCCTCACAGCATGGCAGTCTCAGAGTCATCAAACTTCTTACAGTAAGTGTATTCTTCAGAGAATCTCACTCATTTATTTTTAGTTTTGTTCTACTTTGTGATGCATATGCATTTTTGTCAGCTACCTTAAATTCACTTTAGAACAAGGTGGGATATAAATATGAAAAACAAGTGAAACAAAAATTACATATCAAGGGAAGACAAAGACATGTATTGTAGTTTTCTTAAAGGAATTTAGAGTCAAGCTGGATAGAAAAATTGTAGTCATTAAAAGTTAGCTAGCTGCAGGAGGTGGAGAACATTTGTTTCCTAAAGAGTTGTGTAGACAAGAAGTGTTATAATTGTTTGCAGGAAGCAGTGAACCCGTTAGGCTTCAAGAATAAACTGGATTTGAGATTTTTTCCTTAATTTTAAAAGATAGATAGGATTTGGGCCAGCTGAGATAATTGGGAAGGATTCAAAAAGGGAAGTGGTTTATTAAAAGGTTGATATGTTAGAAAAGCCCAAGGCATATTTTGGGCCCTGGCAGAAGTGCAGCTTGGCTGGAGAGTCTGTCCAGTGGAACTCTTGAGCAGTGGACTTCTTTTCTTGCCTAAGTATTCATTCACTCATGATCTGGGAACTGGACCTGAGTTTCCTTTTGAGCAACCATCCTCCCACTACTCAAGCTCTGAAGTGAAGCATAGTCTGAGGCCTGGGCTGAAAAGAAGAGAAAATATTGGTTTAGAAATGGAGATATGAGTCCCCCTACGCCAATAATATACCAAGAGAACTTTGCTGAAACTTTCTGCTGTACATGAACCTGAGGGAATACAGAGGTGGGGTCTGCTGCTGTCACCTTGCCACCATGCAAAGCCTGAGATGCTAACTCAGCAAAGGCAGCTGAGGGCACAGACTAGAGATAGAGAGAAACTGAGTCCTGATGGCATAATTTGAGTCCCAAATCCAGCCATACCTGCAGCCTTATTCCAGAATAGTCAGAGACGGGACATTACACAAATATGAAACAAAAATTTGAACCAGGTATCTAAAAAAAGTTAGGAGGAAAACAACCTATAATTAGAGAAAGGGAGAATCATGGGCTTAGGGGCAAATGCCATAAATATTTTCAGGCTTACAAAGTTTTTCAAAACCCAGTACTAGTCCATCATTCCATTTTTGCCTCCCTGGCATTTCTCTTTCCTCACCATATGCTTTACCCATTATGAACGCCAAATTCCATTTTCTAAATATTCTCTGTGCCTTCGTAACTCTGTGCCTTTGCCAATGCTACTCCCTATGTGAAATCACCCTTTCCTTCCTTTTCAATCCGGAGAGCTCTTTCATTATCCCTGAAGGCTCACCTAGGGGAACCTTCTTGCTATATGCTTGTGTAATTGTTTATACACTTCTCTAAAACAGCATTTACTTCATTGTTTGGTATTGCTTCTGACTATCTCTCCCATTATTCTGTGAATTCCTTGAGGGTAGAGACCAAGTCTAGTATGCCTCAAATACCCTTGAAGCATTTAGCACAGTATTTTATATACAATAAGAGCTTAATAGATTCTTGTAGAATAGATAGTGCATGAATGAATTAGAAATGGCCAGTAATAAATGAAGAGAGGCCCTTGCCAGAGTTCCCTGGCTTTTGCCACGACTATTCTTGGAAGCTTCCCCATCTTGGTCTACAGATTGCTAGGAATTTCTTATTTGTTCACCATAACTTGTTTCTCCTATCTTTTCCAATATCCCTTTAATTTGGTGTGGCCATGGAACTGTTTTCGTTGCAGTGGGGTGTAGAAGAAGGGATGTGTACCACTTCCAGGTCTGAACTTCAAAAAGTCCGTACTCTATCCTCCACATTTCCCTTTCTGCTGGCTGGAGAATGCCCGGGGTGAACTTGGAAGCCAAGATTTGAGGGCAGCAGAGCCTCTGTTATTCTGAATCTTTAAGTGACTGCTTGAAGTAGAGCCCTCCCCCTACCCCATCAATTGCCAACCAAGAACACCTGCACTGAACTGTTACATGAATAAGAAACTTCCATTGCATAAAATCACTGCAATTTGGGGTTTTATTTATTCATTTATTTATATTTTATAACAACTAACATTGCCCTAACTAGTACAGGACCCAATAGAATTTTCTTAGGTCAAAACAGGTTCTGAGTGTGGTGAATATTATATAGAGGGCAGAGCTATATTCTGGCAAGCCTCCCTGTTGTCTCTGGCCTCCCATTTTTCAGAAAAAGGTCACTCGTGGTATGAGGCAGCTGGGCAGTTTTGGCATGGTAGGCTGGGGGTGAGAAGATTAGGATCTATTTCTGGTCTGTCTCCCACTGGCTTTGGGTTTCCAGCCAAGGAAAATTACAGCACGGATGCTAAAACAACCCACCTAAGGGGAAAATACATAAAAATGAAAACAATTGCCCCAGCAGAAAGGCAGGTGATGATGATTTCTGCCACAGGAGAGCATAATGAATGCTCTTATGACTCCACTCGTTCAAGCTTCAGTAGTCCTAATGCACGATGCCTTCAAATCCTGCAGAAGCTGCTTACTGATTCCAAGCCTGGCCAGCTAAGAGGAACATTTTGACCTTTCTTTGGTGCAGGCAGACTGCAGATGTACCAATCAAAATGTCTCCGTCCTTGTCAGTGTCAACTTCCTAAGCCATAGGATGAATATTGAGTTTACTTAGTTAAAAGACAAACAAATAAAAAATGCCAGAAGGTGCAGCATATTGCTGGAACCCACCAATCAGTGCTCCCGGAGGCAGACTTTTCGCCTGAAGTGTAATCTGTTTTAAAGCAGGTGTCCCATCACAGCCACATCCTGTGAACCAGCTCCTTGAGTGTTCATTGCCCACTCAGAGGAGGGAGAGCTATTTCTTATCTTCACCTACCAGACTTTTCTGTGTTTGCTTCTATGGGGAAGGAATCACAGCAATTGTTTTCTAGGATCAAAGTTTTCTCAAAGAGTCAGAGATTCTTAATTCCCCCATGCCAAGGATTAAAGATTCTCCCACCCTTCCTATCAGTATCTGCCACCATATTAGTTTCTTTTTGTGTCCCTAGGACTGGTTGTCCCATCTGACCCTCAGCCATCACTGACATTTAAGTATCTAGTAGGCATCAGAATCACTTGGAGAACATCTTACACATGAGTCTCATGGGTCTCACTCTTTGGGATTCTGATTCAGCACACATAAGATGAGGATCGGGATTCTGCCATTTTGATGGATACTCCAGGTGAATCTGGTGCTGATGGATGTGAGACCACACATTTAGGAACATCCTTTCCTTATGGCTGTGGGTGATCTTTCTATAACACAAATGGGTTCATAATATACACTTCAGAAAATTCTTTAATGGTCTCTCTTGCCACCAGGTCAGGTCTAAACTCCTTAGATGGAAAATGAGTGCTCATTAGGAACTGGCCCTTAATCATTTCTCCAGCTTCAGTTCTCATCAGCTCTCCCTTTGTCTTCTTCACTTCAGTCATTCTGTGTTACTTTCAGGATCTGCTGTACTTTCTTTCACTGCTTTGTGAGTGTTACTCCCTCTCTGCCCGAAACTCTTCTCTCTGCCCTCAGTCTTTACATGGCCAACTTACAGTCAGATGAGACCTCCCTTCTCTTTCAGAAACTTTGTCACTCTTTCCTAAGGAAAGGCCTTTCCTCTATGTGCTTAGAGCTCTCTTTCTGCCCCCACAGAGAGTACTTCTTACCAGGTGTGGTGTCCACCCTTCACCTGTAGGTGGAGTGTCACCCACTAGAGCCAGAGCCCCTTGTGGCAGGAATCATGTACTCATTTTCAGGTCTCCAGGGAGTTGGGTTAAGGGACAGGGCTGTGGACGGTGGGCAGAACTGGATCTGAAGGGCAGCTGCCCAAGCTCCCCCTCCGTAAGAGGAGCCAGACATCACTGGAATCACTTGGGAACAGTTTCTGCTCCCATGAAAATAGGAGTCTCAAGGAGACATGATAAAACAGTCATGCTGGTGCAGGCCCAATGCTGTTGAGTATTTTTGCAAGATCATCTTGCTCTTGCAGTCAATGCAAGTTGGAAAACTGAAAAGAAGTGGCCCAGCACTGTTTAGAGGAGCACTGGATTGTTGTTACGCCCGAGATGCTCTTAATTTGGATGCTTCACCCAAACATTCCACCACATTAAAGTACCTGCGTCCTACATTGAACTAAGTGATAGCACTTGGGATGACAGAGCACTAAGGTGGAAGGAACACAGGTCTCGAAAAGACTGGAGAAGAGCTGGCTGCCACCCTCGCTCCTGTCAGGACTGTCACCTAAGAGAGAAAGACCTTTCTCAGTAGGACACCGTATGGTTGGGTCTGTTACAGAAATTTAGCCTTCACTCTAATACAAATAGCATCATGCCCCCTATGCAAACTTGTCAGGAAGAAGAGCCTGACTCAGGAATGAGTTCTCCATCTCTTGCCCAAAACGTCTCCTGCAAGGAAAGCTCTGCAGAGAAAACAAGCTGGTGAAGCTTAGCCTGACTGTTCCATGCACACACTTAGTAATCCACACAATTAACCCAAAAAGCCTCATTCCCTCTTTCTTACCTCCCCTGAAGAAACAAACAAAAGAAATGAAAAACGAACATTAGAAATGTCAAGAGTAGAAGCACTTTCTTCCTTTGAGAATTCAGAATTTGGGTGCCCACCATCAATTAATACCAGGGAAATAACAGGAAATTCTCTGGAGGGGAATGTGAAAAAAGGAGGTACTTGCTTTTCAGTTCTCTGACTAATGAGTCTAGGGAAAGCCAATATCTTTCTTTTGCAGGCAGTTGCTACCTTCTCACAAACACCCCTACTGCATTTACATTCAACAGCTCCTAGCCTCCCAGGAAACAACAGAACCTTGCCTTTTCTGGCTTCTCTAGAGCCTGCAAAGTAGACATCACTGATCCCATTCTCTAAATGGGAAAACGGAGGCTCAGGGGTTGAGTGATTTACTTAAAGTGCAGCATAAGCAAGCAAAGAAGCCAGCAGGAGATAAGAGCTTGCCTAACTCCCCAGTCAATTTTTATTTCCCCAGATAACACAGCACCAAAATAAACCTACATCAACACCATATGGTATCAGCAAAGCAGGGGGATATTGGGCACTCGTATTAAAATGGGCTATAAAGGAAAGATAGTTGGGATGCATGAGTAGTCAGGGAGCAAACTATCCTTTTGATAATTCTCATCATTTTTAGTTCAGTAAACCAGGATGACATGAGTTTGGAGGGAGGGGGACAACTTTACCAACACCTATCCAGTTCTTGTTCTCAACACAAGTTATAATAAGTCACAATTGTTATGAATGCCTGATAGGCAACAACTTAATTCAGCAGGCTTTGAATTCTTGCTTGTGAAACATTCTTCTTGGCTAGCAATCTTGAGGTACCTTTAAAGGACTTTTCTTGAGTTTTGTAATGAAAATGCATTGTGTTCTTTTGGGATAAGCTGTTTCAGGATTTTCTTCAGTGCTAGTATGAAACTTAGATTTAGTAAAACTACTTTGCAAACCTGTTAACATATAACAGCCACCAACTAATCCAATAAACAGTCTCCTGCACACACAATGCATCCCACTAGGCTGCCGTAAGGGGCAAATACAATTTGTCTATAGAATTAGTTTTCGCAGTTAGAGTCCCTGTTTTGGGTGTGTGATATCCTGTGAACTACAAGCAGATTTAGTGTCCCTAAACAGATGGGCTTTCCCTTTATGGGCCACTTTTAAGTTTTCTAAGCAAACCGCAGCTGCGCTAACGTCCCTTTGTGTAAAGGATTGTATGTTGAACCACTTCCCTTTACCTGATGTGTATTCCCAGTTTTGAGCCAGGAACAACTGGGATATGACATCTACAGAAAAAGAAGATTTGTTTCTTCATGCTCTTTAGGACTGGCTGCTATAGGCAGGAAAAGCTTCTCTGAATATCAGTGAGTATATCACTAGTTGCAAACAACAAACCGACCTAATCTAATTGAAGCAGGAAAGGCAGTTTGGTAAAGAATTTTTGGTGGCTCAGGGAATTTCTAGGAAGCCATAGAATCAAGCTAGGAGGGTCTAAAGATAGAAACTGCGCCCCAGCTGCACTGCCGGACTGCTGCATGGGTCAGATACCATTGCCTCCCCGCCTGCTTGTCCTAAGATACCATGGCCAGGACCTCTGACCACGCTGCCCCTGAGCTGCATGCCTGTCTGCCACCTGACGAGAATGTACTCGTCGTGGCATCACCTTCTTCGTGACCTTCTCTTTCAAAAGGAAATCTCATGGTGCACATCTGGTCCCATGGCTCGACTCTAGCTGTGCTGGAGGCTGAGAAAGCAAGTGTCTAACCTCTACCTTCAGAAGGTAGAGAAGGAAGATCTCTCAAACATTGGAAGGCTGTTCAAAGGGTAAATAGTGATCCATAACATAAAACACACCCACACATTTATCTTTTGGCTGTGCAACAGCCCTAAAAACCTTCTTCTGTACTGAAATTCTCAACAATTACAATCACAAGAACAAAATGCTTCTGCCTAACGTCATGCAATTATTTCTTGTACAAATGAAAATGTGCACGCTCTCTCCTCAAAGGAGGGGCAAGACAAAATCTCCTCAGTTTTTTTATCCCAGGAGTTGTCCACCTTCTCCAGTTTAGCCACAATGCCATCTCGGTGTTCTGTGATCCAGGCACTAAAATGCAGTTATTTACCACCCTGTTCCTACCCATATATCCTATACAACTGTAAAGGAAGCAGAAAGGAGGAAAAAGAGAAGAATAGTCTGTATATAGACACAGCAAGGAAGAAAAATGTTTATGCTATTGTTTCTGCAAGTGGTCATGTGGATATGGGTGGTTTTTATGGCATCCTTTCTCCACAACTATGCTAATGTGGTTTAGCTCTGTGTCCCCACCCAAATCTCATGTTGAATTGTAATTCCCAATACTGAGAGAGGGAGCTGGTGGGAGGTGATTGAATCATGGGGACAGATTTCCCCCATGCTGTTCTCATGATACAGAACTCTCACTCTCATGAGAGAGTTCTCAGGAGATCTGATGGTTTAAAAGTGTGTGGCACATCCCCCTTCACTCTTTCTTCTGCCGCCATGTGAAAACATGCTTGCTTCCCCTTTGCCCTTCTGCCATGATTTTAAGTTTCCTGAGTCCTCCCAGCCATGCTTCCTGTACAGCCTATGGAACGGTGAGTCAATTAAACCCCTTTTCTTCATAAATTACCCAGTCTCAGGTAGTTCTTTATAGCAGTGTGAGAATGGACTAATACACATGCTGATACGGTTTGGCTTTGTGTCCCCACCAAAATCTCATTTCCAATTGTAATCCCCACATGTTGAGGGAGGGATCTGTAATCCCCACGTGTCAAAGGAGGGAAGTGATTGGATTATGGGGGAACTTTCACCATGCTGTTTTCACATGATAGTGAGTGAGTTCTCATGAGATCTGGTGGTTTCATAAACGGTAGTTTTTCCTGCATGGACACTTCTCTCTCCTGCCACCATGTGAAGAAGGTTCTTGCTTCCCCTTCGCCTTCCACCATGATTGTAAGTTTCCTGAGGTCTCCCCAGCCATGTGGAGCTGTGAGTCAATTAAACCTCTTTCCTTTATAAATTACCCAGTCTCAAGTAGTTCTTTATAGCAGTGTGAGAACAGACTAATACACATGCCATGCTCTTTTTGCCTTTACAACCAGCATGTCAGCATGTCAGCATGTCAGCAGGCTAGGATTCTTTACCTGATGAGGTGACTCTTACAATCTTTATTAATGGAGGATAATATCTCTTTGTGATCCTTCCTGTATGTGGTTGCTGTAGTCTTCCACTGAGCTTTACCACTGGACATGGCAATACACAAAGGTGCCCAGAAGGATCTCCCAGGTTCCAGAAATACTCCTTGTATAAAATGGTATAAATTACCCTATTTTGTCTTGTTAATCAGAATCAATTGCCCCAGTCAACACTGAAAACTCCTTTATTGCTTAATTTTCCAGTGGCAGGAAGAATTCAAAATAGCCTCTTCTTGACAAGAAGAAGTCTTATTTTCTAATTCAATTGAAACATTCTGCGTTCCTAGTGGAACCATTCTTCCCCTGGGCACTAAGATCTTTAAGTTGGCAGAACTGAGAATTACAGGGATCAAAAGCAAAATATTGGAATAGGGCCATTAGATGTAATATTGAGAAGTACCCCTCCTGCTTTCACCCTTTTGTTCTGAATTCCATGCACTTTGATTATAGAAAAGCAAATAGTAGCATAAATTTTGCATGGTTCAGAGAAATGCACCACATCTTAAACACAACACCAAACTCATAAGGTGTTGTCTTCCAGCTGGCATAACAACTACTGAGGTTTCAATAAATATTTTCACCATTCTGCAAGTCTACTTCCTTCTTGGTAATGGACTAGGACCAATAACAATATTCAGAATTTTCCAAATCACTGAAAGCTTCTTATATGTCCTCAATTTCAATTCTCAAGGTCCCTTTCTTTTATATTAAAGCCCTAACTCTGACATAAAAGACTTGATAAGGCTATAATTTCCACTGACATTGTAATTTGGCAACTCCATCAGGATGAAACTCAGGCTTTAGCTATGTACCTGAAAGGGATGGTTTATCATAGCATTAGGTGGTCCCTCTATCCCTGACCATGCCCTAAGCTGGGAATTCAAACTCTCCAGTGCAGTCAGAAGTAACCCTTGAATTATTCATGTCATTCATATTGTTTAAATTCCTCATGCCACTGTATCTCCCAAGACTGACTTTCATAGGTAACCACAGGAGAATATTTAAAATACTCTACTACTATCCATTCTTTACTACTAGGTGGGGTTTTCACTGCCTTCTTACCTAGAAAACCAATACTAGAGGCCCATTTATTTGTGTCTGGGGCCTGAAACCACTCTTGAGATCAATTTCTGTATTGGTCAAGGGGTTCTTAGTTGTAAACAACACAGCCCACTTTAATATATGCAGATTTGTAATATGTTAAACCTTAAGCAGTTCACAGAGAGCCAGAAGATTAGACAGAGAACCAGTGGAACTAGAAACAATATCTAGGTGATACCACAAGCCTGCTCCAGTGGAGACTCTCCTGTTCCTGCTGCTAGCGCAGTATTATAGTTTGCCTGGTTGATACGGACACAGGACACCCGTGCTGGAACCTTTAACACCCTTCTTCTGAAAGATGACCACTTCTCCATCACTCTCTCCAATGTAGAATCTATTCAACATTTCTTTCTTCACATCACCTTTTCTAAGCTTAAATCTCACAAACGTATGTTTGATTCTAGGTCCTGGTCATATAACTGTGCCCTAGATTGCAGGGAAAGTTCGGAAACACAACTTCCAGCTTCTGTTTAGGAAATGGCAGAAGTCACAAGTGGGAAAGTGCAGTAGTATATGAAAGATGTTCAAAGCACGAATAATGTCCACTTCATATGTGGCCATCTCCCACTTTTCATTAGAGTGAAATTGTTTAATTTTGAGTAATCTATTATATCAACCTGCCAGCACATGTGAAATCATGAACACAATCAGAGAAAGGCAAGACTTCCAGAGAGTATCTGATTGAACCTCCATCCCCATACCTGGAAAGCAGAGAAATATTTATTCCCATTGCACATGTGAAGCGAGTGAGTCCTAAGGAAGCCAAGTGCCCAAGACTCTAATATACAAATTCCCACTGCAGTGTTATCTCACTTTGATTAGGATCTTCGACATCCTTGAGTGAAAGATCATGGTATACCAATCTTGGAAATGTAGAATAATCTTGCTTATAATCTTTTAAATTCTGGTCACATGTCCATGCATAAGAGAAGAATGAAAGTGTGAATAGAGACAATGGGATGCTCCAGGATTTCCTGTAGTTTTCTAAGGGAGCCATGGCAATTTTATACAAAGATGTAAGAAAACAACTCAAGTGAGCACCTTTTGCCCTGTGCTCAGCATCCACTCCCCTTTGTTTTGTAATGGTGTTTCTCTGTCACTGGGGGAATTCTCCTCACATCAGTCATGTGGTTGGTGGGACTATCAGTCCCTCCCTGCCTACAGCCATGGGTGAGTACACAACAAGGCACTGACCGACCAGCACGTTCCATCCTCCTGCTCTGGTGATGGTCACACAACCCGCCAATGCATTAAATCATAGTCTTCAGTTGGGACACTGGGTTGAGAAACTCCTGTGCTTGAAGCAGTGGGATGTATACATGGAACAGAGAGAGCTTCCTGAGAGTAAAATCAACATAGAGAAAGTCAGAGCTGGGAGCCAGTGAGAGTCTGAGTGCTGCTATGTTCAAGCTCCTGTGTCTAGTCTATCCCACCCCAGGAATGAGTTTTAGCTGCTTCAGCCACTAAATTTCTTAGGTTTATTGGTCATTATTTTTGGCTTTCATTACCTTTTGTTATGTGTCTGACACTTGCAATGGAGGGAGTCTTACCTGAAATACCTAAGCAGACTTCAGCATCATGTGTGGCTTCCGTGGTGACCTTTGGTGAGTCGTTCACCCTCTGAGATGGAGACACGGAAGACGGAGGGCCTAGAGGTCACTGAGTCTAATTCCCTGCACTTGCTATTTCCAGTTCTTCCATGAAAACAAGCGTGAAGTAAATCATTCCCACTCCCATCTGTATCAACTTGGTTTACATTCCACACAAAAAGCCGACAGGCCACTTTATTGAAGTAAAGAAATGAAGTCACCCTGGTGTGTGAATTGTTTTGAAGAAAACTCCCTTAAATCCTTGGAATTTCAATTTCAGAAGAAGAAAAAGCTACACAAATTAGTGCATTTTCCAAAAAATAAAAACTTCCTTTTATTACCAATATGGTGGAGTCTCCTATTACAGAATTCCTTGAACATCTCAGAAAAAAATTACGTACAAAACTCAATGTTTACCTTATCTACAACATACATATCTTGTCACATCACAGATCGTCTTGGCACATGAGGTTATTTCTAGCCTGGGAGGGGAAATATCTCTAGCAGAATGCCAAGGAATGTGGTACAGCTGGATGAAAGAAGCCCGGCAAGAGGAGAGTATGCATCAATGTGTCCGTCTATATAGAATTCCAGAAAATGCATGCTAACCTACAGGGGCAGAAAACAGAGCAGTAGTCACTAGGGACAGGGTGGAGGGAAGAAAGAATTGCAAATGGACACAAGAACACTTTTGGAGGTAATGGAAATGTTTGGTATCTTGATTTCACAAGTGTTTATATCTGTATGTATGTACAAGTATATGTCCAAACACATCAAGTTGTACACTTTAAATATGTAAAGCATATTGCATAGAAAATCTACCTTAAGAGGGTAGCAAAAAGAAAAGAGTATAGTACCAAACTAGGTAAATGAAGCATGAAATGAAAGACAAACTGAGCAGTGAGCTATATAGGAATTTAGAGGAAGCCTTCACCATCCTGAGTAAGTTCCTTACACCTAGAGAAGCTTTTCACAAAGTTAGATAATTATCCTTAGCATTTTCTTAAAAGACCTCTACACTAAGTTTCTCCTCCACCTGTGTGTAGTGGTACCTGCAGTTCCCACCAGTATTGTCACTCCTGCAGGGCCCCTGGAGACAGGAGCATTTAAACAGAGTGTCTGCATCATGTTGCATCATTAGCTAATGCCTTCCTTGATTTACACTGGTGGCTCCCAACCTTCCCCCTATAAACTTTATACACCAGAGAGAATCTGTGACTTTAAGGTTCAGAGGTAGTTCATATTTTTTTAAAGCAAGGAGTCTTGCATGTCAGGATAATTACCAAAACTCCCAAGCAGATCTTAAACCTCGGGCTGCACATACTGTCTGCCCAGACTCTCTATGCCCAATGTCCATCTTTCACTGCTCAGATAGAAATGAAGATGGACCATCATGGTTGTGACCACTGCTTTTGACACTGGCATTGTGTTGCCTAGAATCATGGAGCTGGCTTCTCTTTTTAGTTGTTTCTTGCCTATATAACCCCTTCCCCAAACCACACACACACACACACACACACACACACACACACACACACACACACGATAAACAAAACAAAACAAAACAAAAAAACTCCACCATACCCCCACTCCCCCTTATTCTACTTTGATTTTTTTTTTGGCTACAAAATTAGTAAGCCACTCAAATAATGCTTATGATCTTCTGTATAAATCGTTAGAAATTCTACTTTCCATGCTGACCTTGGACTGCAAAACACTAAGGTGACTAACATTGCAGAATGATCTCCTTGGATCTATAGCCGTTTAGCTGAGAGTTTGGCCTGTGGGAACAAAATATAGGACCAGTAAATTTAGACTGTAGGAAGAACATTCTAGGAGGATAAAATCAGGACCAAGGGGAGTGCCAGGTCCTGCCGGGGGTGCTAGAGATGGGAGGATGGGGTGTTGGGAGGACACGAGGGGACACTGCCCACCTTCCCGAGATTCCTCCCCTGTTCTCTATCTCAGTGGTTCTGAAGTGTGTGGCAAGCAGTCCAGACCCCCCCGTCTGGGCAGAATATCCTCCTGGGAGTCTAGAAATCACATGTCTTGTTTCCACACAGAGGAAGCAATTCAGATTTAAGTTAAGCTTTTAACTTAACCATATGCCGATCTGTGCATCTTGAGGGGGGACAAAGTGGAACTTTCACTTTGCTCTTTTTATCTGTACCCTCACACATCCACACACACAAGCCTCATTTGTGAAGATCTCTTTGAAATGTATTCACTGAAGATAATTATAGAGGTCTAACACTTCTGCTCTTCAATTAATGCTATAAAATTAATGGTCCTTCATTTTTACATCATATGCAAATGATGGTGTCATCTCCAACTGTAAACCTCTCTACTCACACACTGAATATGATTAGTGTCCCTTTAAGCAGAATTCGAGCATGTGACCTTCTGGGGTATGTCAGGAGCGAAATCTCTGCATGCTATTTCCAAGGTTTCATTATAAAACATTCTTAAAAAAGCAGAATTTCAGAGATGACATCAAAACACGTTTTAGTCACTGATCTTTTGGGGTCGTGGCCTTAGGAGAGAGCAGACAAGAGGCGGGGCACACTTTATAAATCTACTATTCTCACCTGAGAATTACCAGGCTTCACAATAAACACATTTCCAAACCAAGAACAGATAGATTCATGTAATATAACGAGGCAGGTATAGTGGAAATGCGGTAGCATTCAAATATTGTACCCATTAGAATATCCTTTTGCAAACAGACCCAGGGGAATGCTTGGTCAGAGAGTAGATGTATTTTCTTTACAAAAAGTTCTGAAAACTAATCAAAATGGCTGACTCAGTGGTTCAGAAAGGAAAAATTAAGATGTTATGATTATTTTACTTCAAGGACTGCACATCAGGGGTTTGTGACCCTGTGGCTTCTGATGAGAATGTTGGCATCTTGCAGGAATCACTGCGTGCATGTGTCTGTTCCAGGAGGTGCATTTCTACACTTTAGGCACTTGGCTGAGTTGGAAATATTGCATAGTTTGAGTGCACCCACACTCAGAGTCAATATCTTCACTCATTTGGAGAGCTTTTGTCAAATAATAGAATACCATCTGGTATTTGAGTCCTAGGGAGGGGTGTACAAGTTTAAGAGGACTGGAGGCTAAGGAAAGTGATAGAGGGACATGAAGAAAAATAAAACTAAAACAACAACAACAGAAAACACTGATCACCTCTTCTCAAGTGGGGAAAAAAAGAATTGTAAGCAGATTCAAGATACCAGGCTGGAATTGGGTCCTAGGTTGATGGATTCTGCAGTCTCTGGCAGCCTGGATTGCTTGGATTGATGGACACACTCCTGAAGCCAAGTTCAAAGAGAGTGTGCCTATTTATCCTTTGTGATCTGCTGAATTGGATGAAATGAAAATATTCAGGGATTTTTTTTTTCTCTGTGGCAAGGGAGAATTCCTTGGCTGCAGGAATACTGTCTGCAAGTTGAGGAAATTTGGGTGTCAGGAAGAGGCAGGTTTAAATAGTCTGACTTTAGCCATAGGTTTGCCCTGTGGGCGATAAGAGTTGCATATGGGAAAATTGCTAAGCTTTTGCACCCAGGTAGTGTTGTATTTCAACAAAATTTAAGAGTCTTCTAGTGTGGGTGGCATCACTTTGCACAACCCTGTTGCTGTTTTCTGGGCAGCTGTGGCTGCACCAGATAAGTAGCATTCCTGGTCCCTGCTCTGTTACATGAAGGAATTCGGGGAGATGCCCCCAGCACACTCTTCTGTATGTGTAGGATGAATCTGGGGGCTGGAGCAGAAATAGGGGCTGACTGTTACATACTTAAAATGAGGTAGAGAAAATTGCATTAACCAGAATTCCTCTGAAAGAGAGCCCTGAATATATCTGGATAAAGAAATACTTCAGCAAGTCATTTGGGGTGGAGGGTGAAACCCAAGAGTATATTCAAGTTTAAAAAGTTATTATTAAACTGCTCTGCATGAGGTAAGGAGAGGAATTTGTCACACTCTTAAAAGGGAGAGGAAAGAAAGAGAGTGAGGGGAAATGGCGGTGGGAGGCGGCAAGAGAGAGACCAGCAAGTGGTAAAATCGTGTACTCTGTGTGAGGTGAGCCACTCTACATGGTCCTGCCCTCCCATTCTTAAATAAAGTGACAAAGCTCACAAAATGCTGGGTGTGAATGGAGGTTTGTGGAACCCCCTGAAGGAGCTAAGGTTAGTGTCTGGCTGCTGTAGATGAAATAGAGGTAGCATACATGATTGCAAGCATCAGAGAGGAGGACCCCATAGGGATATTGGCCCTGGACAGTTGCAGAAACCACAGCAAGAACTTTGGACATTAACGGGTGATGGAACTGGCTGTGAATCAAGTTTATCTTGTTATCCCAAAGGTCGGGGTGGGAGGCAGCTGAATTCCAGGTAATATGTGGATAACCTTGAAGCAACCAGAATATCTAAAGATGTCTGCTGCTTCTGTGTTTTCCATGAGAAATGTTATCTAAAGTATAATGAAATCTTATAGAATCAAATATAATGACTACTTATAGAAACCAAGATATTATTTAAACAGAAAGCAAGTATAATTTCCTGTTTAGTTAGGCTGACCACTATCCAGGTAAACAGACAGCATCCAAGGCATTATGGGAGAAGCAATTCCATCCAGGCCCACTCCATCGGATAGAGAGTTTGTTTCTGGTATTTAGGGCAATTTCCAAGTAAAAGTAAATAACCCTATAGGATGTTCTAAATGATGCACTCTCTGCAATGAAACAATGTTTTTTCCCCAAAATAAATAGTCTACTAACAACTAAATGTAATAATAATCTTGTTTGGATCTTGTTTCACATTATCAACTATATACGTATATATACATATATATTTTTTTTTGAGAGGAGGGAAATTTGAATTGGGAATAAAACAAGCAAGAAATTATTGTCAACTTTGATAGGCATGATGATGGCATCATGGTTATGTAAGAGAGTGTTTATATTTTAAAAGATGCATACTTAAATACCTTTATTTAAGAGATGCAGGGTAAGATGACACAATACCCAAGATTAGCTTTAAAACACTTCGGCAAGAGAGAGAGAGAAAAAAAAGAGAGAGAAAATGGATTCAGCAAGAGGATCAAAGCCACAACAATTGTTGAATCTGGTGGATGAACATAAGGGGGCTTACTGTACTATTCTGTCTACTTTGTGCATATCTGGAATTTTCACTAACAAATTTAAAAAACAGTTCAAACAAAATAAAATTGGGCCCTCACAGTTTTCAGTGCCTTGAATATCCCAAGGGAGCTAACTTTCACCTCCTTTTACTCTTCCTTATATCTAAGGCTTAGGAGACGGTCATCATCTGTCTACCACAGATACATCACCTGTTTTCAAGTTAAAAAAAAATTTGGAAGGTGTTGTGGGATGAACTTGTCCCTCCAAAATCCGTATGTTGCAGTCTCAACCCCTAACACCTCAGAATGTGACTATATTTGGAGATACTGTCTTTAAAGAGGTAATTAAGATAAAATGAGGTCACATGGCTGGGGGCTAATTCATGTGACTGTATTTGAGTACAGGGTCTTCAGAAAGGTGATTAAGTTAAACCGAGGCTATTAAGATGGACCCTAATCCAATACGACTGGTGTCCTTTTAAGGAGGAGAGATGCCAGGGCACGTGTACACAGAGGGATGACTGTATGAAGAGGGAGCAAGAGGATGGCCGTCTGCCAGCCAAAGAAAGAGGCCTCAGCAGAGGAAACAAAACCAACCCTGCCGGCGCCTTGGTCTTGGACTCCCAGCCTCCAGAACTGTGAAAAAAATGCATTCCTGTTGATTAAGCCACCGGTCTATGGTATTTTTTTTATGGCAGCCCTTGTGAACTAGTTCTGAAGGGAATTGAACTGATAATGGATTTGCCTCAGTGGAGCTGCCTGAATGAATTCCAGGCTATTCTCTCTTCTCCCAAAAAGAAACTCACAAAAAGAAGAGGATTCCATCTTCTTTTCTCCCTTCCTTTCTTTGCTCCTGCTACAATCTCCTTCACATTGCCCGCATTCTGGTTCTGGTGCTGTTACATCTGCCAAAATACCAGGAAAAACACCACCTCCTGATTCGAGCTTTTGAATCTTCTGAGCCTACTCTGGTTTTTCAGTCCACGTCCTGATCTTTCCTTGTCTTCTTTGGACACAAATAATGAACCCTTGAAAAGGATAAAAAAAAGTTTTAAAAAGTGAACCATTCATGGAATTAGAATATAGTGGTAGCCTATAATTCTACTTTTCATCCCTCTTGAAAGAGAAACATTGTCCTAATACTTAAAGTATTTATTATATCTTAAAGGAAGGCTCTTATTTCTGGTTCAGAGATTCAATGTGGCAGTTATAATTATGTTCTGGATACAACATTGTTAAAAATTTGGATTTTCAAGCTAAAAATGATTTTTAAGTATGTAATTACCTATTAATTCCCCTGAAATTGTGATTTGCCATTTTTTTGTCATAACTCATCTGAAAAAAACTATTTTTAAAGAGAAACTCTGAACTGACACACGAGTGCCTGGGTCTTGGCATTGCTGACTCTGCAACACATGGCGATTTCAGCAGGAACAATAAACTGAAGTCATAACAATGGATAATATTTTAATATAATGGAACATAATCGTTAACTTTGCTCAACAGGAAGGAAATGAATTTTCCTCATTGTACACGAGAAAAGCAGGTATAAGAAACTTTCAAAGGATGTTCTACCCAAACAGAATGGGTTTAAGAACCGTCACAACAATAGCCTTATAGCATCTGGTGTCAGCAAACTGAACAAATGGTGCTTCTGAGGAAAGAATGTGGCTCAGTGTCTCTCAGAAATATATGTAAATGAACTTGAAATTTTAGAGGATGATTAATCCTACCCAGTAAAGTACCTTTCCCACGGGTCTTTCTCAGATCTCAGGTAAATCGTTCTTTTTATCACATTTGTCCACCCCACCCACTCAAAGTGAATATCCTATTAAACCTCCACAAACCTGTTTCAAATTAAAATGGTGCATGGTAATATTAAAGTGTGCATTTATTAAATATTCTGTGTAAGTCATAAGAAATTCAAAATATTTTTATAAGACACCTGCGACTGTGGTGTAAGTTGCTTTTTAGAAGTAATGAATCTTCAAAATTCTCTTTGATACAATTTTGATTTTGTCCTGGTACTTCCTGCTACTGTCCTTCATTGATTCTTACCTTGGCCCACTTCTGGTCATCTCTATTTCTTTTTCATTTTTCTGTCTTTATATTTCTCAGCTTCCCCAATACAAACAACTGTCTAGAATTGATACATCCCAGAATTCTCATCCAAACATTTACATCCAAGTCAGACCAAAAGAGAACAGAGACCAGATTCATTAATTCAGTGATCCAACATCAGTTAAGTAACTAAAAAGAAACCAGACCAATTTTTAACCCACTGGGGCAAAGTGACCAGTTTCTTTGATTTTTCTTTTTTTCAGTTCAGCGTATTTGGAGATCATGGACATGCAGCCACAGTTCTCTGAGGGTCACCACATAGACCTCACACAGTTTGTTTTATCGGTCTATAAGCTGGTGCATATTTCACAGTCATTCATTACTATAGAAATGGAAATATGCTACCTGTGCTCCTCCCCCACCATTATACAAGAGCCTGATTACTTGATGTGGATCAAATCACCACCCACTCCCAACGTAACTACTGCAAGTGCTGTAGTCTCATGTGACTGAGCATAAGCCCCTGAGCCGGTGTATGCTCCTTTCCTGAACTGTCAGCCCCCTACAGTGGCTATTATGACAACAGCCCTTGCTGAACCTTGTTTGTAGCTGGCAGGACTGTCTGCAACTTGCATCATTAATAAAAACTTCTTCACACCTCTACAGGTTGTCATCACAGATCAACATTTTCCCACCTACTTTACTCTTCTCCCCTCGGAAAGAAATTTCTTCTGGACACACTTGTACTCTAAGTCCTTGTGAAGCTTTGGCAAACTCTGCAATGGGCCCCCACCTTTCCTCTCCTCAGCCCTTTCCCTCCTGGGGCAGAAAGGACAGAGAAAGCAGGAGGTGGACTCCCCAAGCCACATTCCTGCACTCCTGCCAGCCTGGCTGGTGGTAGCGGTGCTTGGCTTCCCTCCAGCCTAGGGTACTCACTGCCTGGCAATAGAGCAATTTTTGAGGGGCACAGGGTTTTGTGACCAAGAGACAAAAATAAAATTAATCACAACCTTACAAATGGCAAAAAAGAAAAACTGACAGAAATAAACAAACAAACAAAACTCTGGGTTTTTAAAAATGGAAGTCTGGCTTCAGTCTTGAATATTAGGATTCTGATGAATTATGTATGAAATGACATAGTTCATGGAATAGATTTAATATGCCATATTCTTCTTTCCCCTTACCCACCGCTTCCCCTCCCCCATTCCAACAAGGCCTTGAGCTTTATGATGAAAGGTGAAATTGGGTCGGGGTTGGAGGGAACTGAGAAAGAACAGAGAAGCCAATTAAAATCAAAATAAAAATGTCTTCTTATCCTTTCCTCCTCACTTCACTTGACAATTATCTTGCACATATGAAATAGGTCTTCACTTGACCCTTCTCTAACTAACAAGGGCATCATGAGACACCAGAACTTATTTTTTTCTCTATTTGAAGCCTTAATTTTTTTCATTAGTATACTAAATACAGAGAGGTCCTGAGATATAGAAAATGCCAAAAAGCAGGCCGAGCAACTGATGGGTCATGAAGTAAAGGGAGGAACTGAAGTAATTAACTCCACGAAGACAGAGACCATGTTCTTGAAATAATCAGTAAAAGGGACCGTCTCCCAAACCCAGTGTAGATACTCAGTAATAAGAACAGCAAGAAGGACAAACCTAACATGTTGGCTGGTGATGTTCATTCATGCCTCACTTCCGTTCACAGAACTCCCTGGCAGGCATCCATAGTACCATATGCTTTGGAGAAGTGGGAATGCTGATTGTTGTCGTTATGGGGAATTGAGTCTCATTGCTTCATGAGATTCCGGGTGGCAGAAATGTTCTGAGAAAGAACGTGTCCCAATAGGTGTGCCATGGGAATCTTAGCACAGGATAGAACTTCATAGAGGACCTCCTCTAAACTCTCAATTATAAAGGTGAGGAAATGGAGGTCCAGGGAGGCAAAAATGGAGGCTCAGGGAGCTTGCCCAGCGGTCGAAATAACAATGTCGAGCTTAGCGGGAGTGATGGAATTAGGATCTGGAACTCCCGATTCTCACACTCTTTAGGCTGACTCACCACTTTCAAGCTTCAGGCTCCAGGCTCCATACTGTGGCTTTTTTTTATTTTTTAAATATATTTTAGGGGTACAAGTGCAGGTTTCTTTGATGCATATATTGTGTCATGAAGCCTGGCCTTTTAGTGTGTTCATCCCCTGAATAGTGAAGATTGTATCCAATAGGTCATTTTTCAACCCTCACCCTCCTCCTACCGCCCCACCTCTTGGAGTCTCGAACGTCTATTATTCCACTCTGCATATCCATGTATACTTATTGTTTAGCTCCCGCTTATAAGTGAGAACATGCAGTATTTGGCTTTCTGTTTCTGTGTTATTTCCTTGAAGATAATGGCTTCAGTTCCATCCATGTTGCTGCGAAAGACATAATTTCATTCTTTGTTTTTAATGGCTGAGTAGTATTCCATGATGTATACATACCACACGTTCTTTATCCAGTCTTCTATTGATGGACATTTAGGTTGATTCCATACCTTTGCTATTGTAAATAGAACTGCAATAAATATGCGAGTGCAGGTATCTTTTTGATATAATGATTTCTTTTCCTTTGGGTAGATAGCCAGTAGTGAAGTTGCTGAATTGAAGGGCAGTTAGTACTATTTTTAGTTCTTTGAGGACTATCCATACTGTTTTTCATAAAAGTTGTACTAATTTACTTTCCCACTAACAGTATATAAGCGTTCCCCTTTCTCCGTATCCTTGCCAACATCTGTTGTTTTTAGACGTTTTAATAATAGCCATTCTGACTGGTGTGAGATGGTATCTTATTGTGGTTTTGATTTGCATTTCTCTGATAATTAGTGATGCTGAGCACATAATACCTGTGTCTAGTCAGCCATCTTCATCCCTCCCCCATCCTGTGACTTTAATGGCAACCCTGTAGATGCTGATTCTGGTGTCTCCAATATTTTTAGTCATTGAGATATCTAGAATCTTTTTGCTCTCTTAATATCAGACAAATAAAACACAAAGGAAGAAAAAGTATAAAGAAAAGAATGTGAACTTTGGAGTCAAAATAAATTGCAGCTCTTTATAGACAATAGTTTAAACTCTTTGAACCTCAGTTTTCTAATCTGTAAACTGGGAATAATCACTATCGTAATCATAAGGTGTAGAGATGCATGTTTATAGCAGCACAATTCGCAATTGCAAAAATACGGAACCAGCCCAAATGCCCATCAATCAAAGAGTGGATAAAGAAAATGTGGTATATAAATGTATATACCATGGAATACTACTCAGTCATGAAACGGAATGAAATAATGGCATTTGCAGCAACCTTGATGGAATTGGAGACTATTATTCTAAATGAAGTAACTCAGAAATGGAAAACCAAACATCATGTGTTCTCACTTATAAGTGGGAGCTACACTTTGAGGATGCAAAGGTATAAGAATGATACGATGGACTTTGGAGGACTTGGGGAAATGGTGGGACGGAGTGAGGGATAAAAGACTACACATTGGGTACAATGTACGTTGCTCAAGCGATGGGTGCACCAAAATCTCAGAAATCACCTCTAAAGAACTTATTCATGTAATCAAACACCACCTGTTCCCCAAAAGCCTGTTGAAATAAAAAAATTAGAAAGAAAAGAAAAATATTGTGTGTAGAGCACTAAGCATACCAAATAACTAATGGTAGCTGAGCAGGAAATCTCAGAGCAAACCCTGTATCTGAGAGGCTGAGTCAGTAGGACAGAGACCTGAGTCCTCCTCTCACAAGAAAGAGCCCTGTCTCACTGAGGTCCCTTCAACTGCTATCACACCCTGAGCACTTAACATTCTCAGACTGAAGGCACTTCTGTGTGAACACGTGTATTGGAACCATAATGTAACGAGATGATTTACCAAAAAACACCCCAGAGAATCTGTCTCTGAAGTGGCATCTACAGAGAAAGAAAGCGACTTTGTAACATTAAATTGATGCACAGAGTCCTGGAAAAATAAAAAGAGAGAAATAAGCCTGGGACTAACAAAAAATTAAAAGAAAAAAATGTTTGGGGAAGAACTGTTCTTGAAGCCAAAAGAGGGAGATTCAAGTCCTGACTTTTCTCTAACTGCTGTGTGAGTTGGGAAAGTCACCTACCTTCTCTGAATCTGTTTCCTCAACTATTAAATAAAAATAAAATAATATGCCTTATGGGTTTGCTGAGACAATTAGCATACAGAAAATGTTTTTAAAGAAGCAAAATGTGCAAGTTTGCCCATTTGAATTATGTAACAAGGATATTATAAACAGCTTTTCAGAATTGCTTGTATTTCAGAATTGTCTTTTTAAAGAACATTTCTGGCATAATGAAGTAGGAATGAAAAAGAAATGTGTCTTCTGGTTATGAAGTCTGAGGCTCAGTTTAGTTTTCTCTAACTCAGGACCACCTGATTTGCAACTGTCTCTTTCCTGAGACTCAGCCCAGACACGAGTACAGTGGGAAGAATATGGAGGCAAGGCCAGTTTGAGTGACAATCACTGGAGTTTCTACTAGGCCCACATCTCTACCTTTCTCCACTCACCCCTACCCTAAGGTACAGTAAAGATCTGGCACCTTCACAGCCTGCAGAGAATAGCAAAGGAAGGTTTTGAGGGAAAACAAGAAAGTTTTCTGAAAATACGGCGGTTCCTTTTGAACGTGGAAAGCAGATGATCTTTGTTTTGAGTTATGCTTCCCATCTTAGAATGGGATCCCATAAAGGTAGGCAGCCTTGTTGCCCCTGCCTCTGAGAGAAGCAAGGCCAGGTGTGCACACATACACAAGTGCACATGTGTGTACATGCACACCCACATACACAGCCCACAGGTCTTCCTTCCTTTGCTAAGCGTTTGCATTCTGAGCTCTTCCTGCTCAGACTCCTGAAGCCGGTGAAGACATGAGCTCTGCTTCCATGGACAGCATCCCTTAATCGTAATTTTCATTTTGGACCTGGTCTAATCAAGAGAGCCACCTCACCAGTATAATACTCATTTCTTCATTAGAATTATCTGAAGTTGCACCCTTGGTGATCCAATCACCCAGAGACTCAAAGGCAGGAGAAAAAGGCAAGTAATTAAAATACAAAAGACTGAAGAGGCAATTAATGGCATACATCATGATCAATAAAGTGACAATTTAAAAAAAAACAAGCTTCCCACTGCACCCTGAGGCTAGCACAAGGAGTCTCTGTCAGTTTGGGGCAGGCAAAAATTCCTTTGGGCAAATTTTGCCAAGACCTGCCAGGTTTTCACTCCTCACAGAAGGAATTTAGGAACTTACAGCAAGGCACTGCATTTTTTCTCTACTGTTGTGTGGATACCTTGGGCAAGAGATCATCTGAAAGGGGTGATTCTCAACCCTTTCTCTCCAAAACACATGTAAACATGGTGTTCACAAGCCTGGTGCACTCCTAAGGAAATATGCAGGTTTGATTTTTAAAATGAAGAGTTTGGGAGGAATTAATCTCTGTGATAATTGATAGCTGCCAAAGACTAATGGTACATCACCAGTGGCTGTTCCCTACTGTCTCAGGCCAGCTGGACAGGCTGCAGCCCAACCACCACTCTTTAGGATGCTGGCACCTGCACCACTCAAGAAGGGATATTCTAAGGCAAGTGAGAAAGAGAAGAGTTCCATTGGGACAATCTTGAATCTGTCCAACTTGTAAAAAAAAAAATAAAGTTTATCTCTTAAAAATGTACTTAAGATAGTAGAAACAAATTTCTTGCCATGGTCCTCACAACTGGTTGAAATCCCACTGTGTGACACACTGTGGAAATTAAAAATGACTTTTCCCCAAAGAGTGCCTTAGGGGCTTCTTAGACCACACTCAATCCTTTTAGTCATTCTTGCAAGGAAAGTGAACATCTGGCCTGAGGGTGGAGCCCAGGACCGTCAGCCCTACAGCCATTAACGCTGAGTGTTGACTATGAGCAGAGCCATGTGCTGGCTAATGTGGAGGGAGAGGTACAAATGGAAACAAAAGGCCTTATTCTTGTCTTTCAAGTGCTGATACTCTATAGGGATGGGCAAGACAAACACACATGAAAGACCAAAAGACCATTCTCAGCTTGGCTAAGGACTACCCCCAATTCTGCCTCAATTTATATGGTATTTTTATATCCCTAGAACTTAGCAGAATCTCCAGCACTGCAGCAGATTCCCAGCCTATGCTTGTTACATTAAAACCAAACATAAATAGCATAGTATACACAGGATCTGTGAGACAAAACAAAGTGGTCGATTAGATGACTGCTGGTAGCTTGAAAGAGGTTAGTTTGACAGTAGACTAATTGGGGAAAATAGGGGACGGCATTCTTTAACGGAAAAAAAAAAGCATATGGGCAGACACATATGAATTTGGAAGGGAGGATGACATGAAGATAGGGCTCAAAGAAGTGGCCCCTGGCTTAGAGTAGGGGGATCTCCAAATTGATGTAGGTCGTATTTCTGGAAACTATGTGAGAAGGCAGATGGCCTTCCAGCCAATTCCTATCCGAGTGCTTTCTACTCCCTTAGCCCACGTGTGTATTGGCCAAAGGGAAGGAAGTGAAGTAGAGGTCTGTAGGGCAAAGCTGAGTGCATGGGATGTTTTGACCTTTGATGGGGAAGGAAAGATGCTGCCTTGACATGAGAACTGGGAGTGGTTACAGGAGGCTTGGTGGAGAAGGGAAGGTCTGGGATGGCCTTTGGGAACACCTGCTCTGGGAGAGTGGTTGCCATCTGCAGGAGCAGTTGAATTCCGGGATGGCTTTTGTACACCTGGTCTGACCCTAATGCATCCCTTTAGGGCCCTGAAGCAGAAATAAACAGGAAAGTATTAAGAAATATATGTATTCAGAAAAAGTAAAAGCAGAGGTTTACCTTGGGGAAATGTCACATAGTGTTGCACAATGCCAATGCCTCCGCTGCCCCCCAGAAGTTCACATGGTCTGAAGCCCTTATCTTTATGTTGGGCTTACTCTCCTCCCAGGCAAGGGTCTGGGTTTGGGTGGGTGGGCCTCCTAGCTGCCAGACTTGCTTTTGTGCTGTGAGCTCACCAGATACTGACCAGAGAATCTAGTGGAAATCCCCAGGTCCCAGAGCGGGGCCTGATAACGGCATAAAGATGCACTTTCTACAATTTAAATGAGACTCTTTTCTCAGCCAGCTCACACTCATGAATCCTGCAAAAATTTCTTTCTGATCATAAGATGCCTGAACCTGTGACTAAAAGAAAATGGGTCAAATCCCATCCTAACAAATCTCAGGGGATGTTCCTATTCTTTGGTAGTCCTTCATGTTGCTTACATTGGGTATTTGCTTGAAGGAAGTAGGGCTTGGATGACATCTGGTTCCACAGACTTTTGGAGGCAATTTGATGCAATTTGTTGGTAATAGGATTTGCTCTGTACTAAATCTGAATGTCTGTGTTATTTCAATGGATTTAATGAAGTTTTGTTTGTTTTTAAGATATACAATATATCATTTCTCATCCTGTCTTCTGTGGACTCCAGGTGGCAGTGATCAGGCAGGCTAATAATAACAGTATGCTTTATAAGGAGGAATTATTTTGTCAAAGAGTTCAAATACAATCTCATTAATATCTTACCTTGGGGAAAGCTGGAGAGAGAGGAGATGAGTTGTTCTTAAAACACACACACACACACACACACACACACACACACACACACACACACATGTGAAAGCAGCTGTGATATAAGGACAACCTCACCAATACTGCCTGTGATGGTTAGTTTCCAAAGATGGTCCCCTCAATGGTTCATGCTTCACCTTAATCATGCTTTATGTACTCGCTTTTTCTTGATTCTGCCAGGTTCTGTGACTTGTGGTTGACCAGTGAAATGGGGCAGAAGTGACATTGTATGACTTCTAAAGCTTGCACATAAGAAGTCCTTGTAACACTCACTTTTGGGACACTACCCTAGGAACCCAGCCACCACATAGTGAAAAGCCCAGCCCATGCAGAGATGACACACCCAGGTGCTCCAGTCAACAGCCCCAGGTGACAGCCAGCATCGATTAGCAGCCTTGTGAATGAGTCATCTTGGACTTTCAGCCCAACTGAACCTTCAGATGACTCCAACCCCAGCCACCATCTGCCCACAACAGGGTGAGACAGCCTGAGTGAACACTGCTCAGCTGAGCCATGGAACTGTCAGAAAAATTAATACAGTAAGTCTCTAAGCTTTGACATAGTTTATTAGATCGCCATAGATAACCAAACCACCACTCTCAACATTTGAGTAGATGCTGCTCTAGAAAGCATAGTCTAGCCTCCTTGGAACAGCTGTTGCAGACAGGAATCTCTAAACAAGGTTTCCTTGGTGCCTTTTGGAGAGGTCTTCCGTGTTGTTTCTCCTAGCCCCGGACTTCCTTACTCACTTGCTTCAGAAAAGGCGAATCTCCTGTCTATGGGAAGGCAGCATAGTGGTGGTCGGGAGGTAGTGAAAGTAAAGTGGGAAATAAGTGGCAACTTTCTCAGGTAAATCCCTAATGGGCCCCATTTTCAGCTAATGTGTACAAACTCAAATGCCCACAAGGGCTAGACAGGCAAGGCGACAGAATGACGACAGCACGAGGCACTCGGGAGTAGTGAAGACTGTGTTGAATCAGTGAGCACGAGACTGTCTACAAGGGGCAGCTGCTATGGCCCCAGGTGGCCATTGTGGCCACTATTGCCAGGTCTTCTAATTTTTGAAGTGAAGTTAGAAATCTATTTTTTAATATAAAATTTTGGCAACAAATGTTATATGTTTTAAAACACCATGTTAATACAGCATACTTGGAGGTCAGGGGCTGCTATTTGGATGCCGCTACCATAAAGGGTAGGATGAAATCCAAGCCACCCTCACCTCAGCCCCTATCCCCTTCCAAGGAGAATAATAATACTCTCGTCTGTGTAGTATGTTGTGATTTACAAAGTGCATTCATGTCCACATTTGAATTGAACTTCTCAATAAGGAGAAATAGGTGAGCCAGGCATCTTTTTGAAGTCCCTCACTTAAGAAAACAGGCTCAGGGAGTGAGCCTGCCTGAGTGGGCACTGCTGAGGCAGAGGACTACAGCTCACACCATTTCTACTCTATCTGGACAGAGGGATAGGGGTGGGGGGCAGTTGAGCCCTGCGAATGTATTGAAACTGTGATAGTGAAAGCAATTCTAGGCAGCTAAGAGACAGAGAGGAGGAGAGCTGAACAAGGTGAGAAGCTGCTTTAAGAACCATCTGAAGTCCCCTGGATCTTATGTTCCATAGTCAGGATTGACAGCCTTGACTTTCTCCAGAAAAAAGAGATGAGTGCTGGTGTCTTCAAGCTTGGCTGAGGGCTGGGCTATGGCAGATGCCCTCCTTGTTGTGTGTGATCACTGAATCTGAATAGCTATGACCTCAGGTTTAAGGCTCTTGAGGGAACCTGGAGAGATAAAGGGACCTGAATCCATTCCCTTCCACAGGCATAGCAAGGGACTCCATTCTGGCTCCTTGTGGCTCCCATCCCATCTTTCTCTGGGCTAAAGCAGGCTATGGGAGGCCTCTGAAGGTCAACAGGTCCCTTATGGCCAACATGTGTGGGTGGATAGGAGGGAACGGGCTTCTTCATCCCAACAAAATATCTAAGACTGAACCCAGAAGATTCTGAATCCTAGATTTCTGATGAGGACAAGGAGGCCACTCTGGGGCCAGACTCTGACCTTCCAGTTTCCAAACCTCTGGAGAGGACTTTTTCCCGGTGCCCGCTGCCCCACCACACAGTGCGCCCTTCAAAGTCCGGCCCGTTACCTTATCTCTCGTGGGTCCCTGTTGGACACAATGCTACAAACGACAAACAAAACAAGGAAAAGTAGCACAGAAAATGTCACATATGTAGAAATAGAGACTTCAAATTATTGTACTTTATTCTCCCATTCCCAACCAACATTCCTCTCCCGGAGAGTACAAGCAGGACATATACCCTCCCCTACCTCAGCCTCCTCCCCACTCACCTACTGTCCAGGCTTCCCAGCCATCTTCCTTCATGAGCTGCAGTGAGCTGGCTTTGATGCAAACAGCAAATATATGAGAAAACACCTTTTGTTTTTTAAAAATTTTACTTTAAGTTCTGGGATACATGAACAGAACATGCAGGTTTGTTACATAGGTATACATGTGCCATGGTGATTTGCTGCACCTATAAACCCATCATCTAGGTTTTAAGCCCCACATGCATTAGGTATTTGTCCTAATGCTCTCCCTCCTCTTGCCCTCCACCACCCGACAGGCCCTGGTGTGTGTTGTTCCCCTCCCTGTGTCCATGTGTTCTCATTGTTCAACTCCCACTTATGAGTGAGAACATGTGGTGTTTGGTTTTCTGTTCCTTTGTTAGTTTGCTGAGAATGATGACTTCCAGTTTCATCCATGTCCCTGCAAAGGACACGAACTCATTCTCTTTTATGGCTGCATAGTATTCATGGTGTATATGTGCCACATTTTCTTTATGCAGTCTATCATTGATGGGCATTTGGGTTGGTTCCAAGTCTTTGCTATTGTGAATAGTGCTGCAATAAACATACGTGTGCATATGTCTTTATAGTAGAATGATTTATAATCCTTTGGATATATACCCAGTAATGGGATGGCTGGGTCAAATGGTATTTCTGGTTCTAGATCCTGAAGGAATTGCCACACTGTCTCCCACAGTGGTTGAACTAATCTACACTCCCACCAACAGTGTAAAAGCATTCCTATTTCTCCACATCCTCTCCAGCATCTGTTGTTTCCTGACTTTTTAATAATTGCCATTCTAGCTGGCATGAGATGGTATCTCATTGTGGTTTTGATTTGCATTTCTCTAATGACCAATGATGATGAACTTTTTTTCATATGTCTGTTGGCTGCATAAATGTCTTCTTTTGAGAAGTGTCTGTTCATATCCTTCACCCACTTTTTGATGGGGTTTTTTTTCTTGTAAATTTGTTTAAGTTCCTCACAGATTCTGGATATTAGACCTTTGTCAAATGGGCAAATTGCAAAAATTTTCTCCCATTCTGTAGGTTGCCTGTTCACTCTGATGGTAGTTTCTTTTGTTGTGCAGAAGCTCTTTAGTTTAGTCAGATCCCATTTATCAATTTTGGTTTTTGTTGCAATTGCTTTTGGCATTTTTGTTATGAAGTCGTTGTCCATGCCTATGTCCTGAATGGGATTGCCTAGGTTTTCTTCTAGGGTTTTTACGGTTTTTGGTTTTACATTTAAGTCTTTAATTTTTGTATAAGGTATAAGTAAGGGGTCCAGTTTCTATTTTCTGCATATGGCTAGCCAGTGGAAAACACCTTTTCTAAGAGGGGTTCAGGTTGCCTGGCCACGCCTAGGGCTTAGCACATCCAGCCACCTTACACATAGACCACTGGGGGTCACAAAGCCATGGCTCTAGTACTCTGTTGGTGTCTCATTCTGCCCTTGGCCTCGGGGACCAAAGACAAAAGCTGATCACTCTTACCTGGCTATTGGATATGCCTTACTCCCAATAGCACTCTCAGGAAGAGAAACTCACATTTAGGATGACAATGGGCCAGCATGGCCACCTCATCCCCTATTTAATCAGACTATCAGCCTGTGAGTTGGCCATTGCTGTACCTGGTCAGTTAGTTAGAGGCTGTGTAGATTGTTCAGGATTGTACAGATTTATAAGTGGCCCAGTAAATATATGAACCCAGGTGAGTCTGCACCCAAAACTATTCCCTTTCCCCAAATTCAGGCCTAGATATCAGTGCTACTCTTTTTACAGCCAGTGCTACAAAGGGCAACAGTGCAAGCCGTGAACTGCCTAGCTCTAGAGAGCACTGTTGTGGTGGTCTGTGCCAATAGCCCTCCCTAGAGCTGTGCGGTGCACAATCTGCACACCACAGGTGGCAGCCCTGCCCCCGGCTGCAGCAAAAAGAAATTTCAGCCAAATAAAAAATTCTTTTTGGGGATCCCTGAGATAAAGTGTTTAATCAGCTACCTCAAACTTGGTCTTCTATGAAACATCACACTATTTTTTTTGGTTTAACAGAAATTTCAGTTTTCAAGTTGTTGTTACTTATTAATTGATGTATGTATCTCATCTGCACCCAAGGAGTTTATGACCATCAACTTACAACACCTACCTTGGAACCAGAAGGAGCCAAGCTTTGCCTTCTAGGAATTGAACTTGTGTTGTGAGAGTCTGCTCAGCTGAATTGGGGGCTAAGGAGTCATTGCCACAAGCAAAGAAAAACAAACAAACAAACAAAATAGAAAACAAAAAACAATCTAGATAGGCATAGTTCAGCTCCTTCCAGTGCACCTGACCAGAAGCTGGCAAGAAGAGCCAGGGGTCCGACACATCCTGCAGGCTAGCCTAGGGAAGGAGAGCTGTTAGTTCCCCAGGATGAACTCCTGGAGGAAAGTTTCTAATCAGAAGAGAAGGCTCTGGCATCAGACACAGGAAGGGAAGCAATGAAAATGTGTGAGGAGGTATCATATCTGAAAAGAGAGTGTGATGTGCCAGGCAGGATTTTTAATATTCAGATTGAAACGGGTTTTAGATACGACTTGGCATCATCGACAATAATCCACTTTAATTCAATTTGCCATAAAAAGATGCCACTTTTGCTTTTTACATAGACACATGAGAAAATGCTATGCTTGCCTTGCTGAGTGCCTTGACTACACTCCTGTGGCCAGAACACACTCCACAGGGAAGGCCCCCTGGGTCTGGCCATGGTAGCTGTGTCAGCTGTGGCTCTCTCCTAATCCATGAGGCTCCAGTCACTATACTTAGTTCTATTATTTTCCTTGGAAGATGCTTCTGAGGGTTCACTGCCTCACAGGGATAAAATGATATCCAAACTATGATCATAAATTGTTCCTTGCTTCATTTCACTTTCTCCTGGCACCTGCCAGGCCACCAAGATAAAGAGAGCTTCTCCAATGCAGCCTGTTATCACGAACCCAGAAAGGCAATCCACGTTCAGTTCACCTAACTGCTCTGGATTTCCTGTTTCTAAATACACAATATTAATTTGTACATAGTACATGTTGCCTCCATAGCCAATGGGATCAGACGAACAACTGGAATGTTAGCCATTCTGTGCCTGTATTCCATGGAGATTAAGAAAAAATTGCAGATCTAGAAACAATATGTGCAAGGGTGGTCTCCTGGCAATTTGCAGCCAATTACAAGTGTACATTGCTTTGCACAATGGATGTGCTACTGAAAAGGTTATATGCAAATCAAATTTTTGTAAATTGAATTATATTTAACATGCACCAAGGGAACTGGCTATTTTAGGGACACCAAAGTTGAATTCATTTTGTGGAGCAGGGAACCCTTTGTAAAGCAAATTACCATCCTCCAATTCATATATTCTTTGATAAGGTCAGGTTTTATTATTTGGGATTTTTTTGAACTAGAGCATACCTACAGTGTTAAAATGGTAATAATAAGATATTTAGGGCCTTCAGCAAATTCTAGAAGTAAGAGAAGGAGAGATGAAAACTAACTGAATTTCCTTTTAAAGAAAGGAATGAACTGGAAAAAAGAGGAGATGTTCCAGCATCAATTGGCTGGAACGCCCATAGTGCTATTCTTATTTCTGTTTTGAACCCAGCTGACTCACCTCAGCCATGGCTCTCTGTGCCTGTGTTACATTATTCCATTTTGGAATTGCAGCCTTCTAGACTGGTAAAGTTAGAGTGGAAAATGACAACCAGCCTCACCAGGGCCTTGTTAAACCTTCAGTACTCTTATCACAGGGCCTGGGGCCCATCAGCTTTTTAAGGGCCCACGCAACTGTCTGAGACCTGAAAGAACACAAAGAAAAACTGCAAATCAAAATTAATAAATGTTAATTAAAGAGCTACAAAATGTAACACTGTGTCAACTTCATTAATTGTTAAGTTTGTTATTCATAAAATTTTGATTACCCAAGAATTTGAAAGGAAGAAACAAAACTATCACTCTTCATAGCTGCTATAATGGTCCACATAAAAAATCCAAGGGAATCTATGCACAAACTGTATTGGTCAATAGAGCCTGGATTATACTGAGGTAACAAACCCTGAAATGTCAGGGACTTAACACAATAGTAGTTTATTTCCTTCTCATGCAGTTTGTTGAGGTTCTGAGCCATGTGGTGATTCATCAATTCAAACTCTGCCACCTAAACACTAGGCGTTTATGTCCGTATAAGCAGAAGAAAGGGACCAAAAAAAAATGCAAGAGCTTTTCATTGCCTTAGCCCGGAAGTAACAGCATCACGTTCACTCTTATTTCATTGGCTGTAACTGGTCACATTTTCCCTGGCTGCAGGGTACCTGGGAGGTATAGTGTTTTCTATGTCCGGGGAGACCTGGTGATGTCTACCATGTATGCTATTAAAATTGATTAGAGCTCAGTAAGATCAATATACCCAAACCAAAAGCATTCATGTATACCTGTAACAAACAATTAGAACATGTAAATTTAAATAAATACCAATTTAAAATGCAACAAATGCCATTAGGCACCTAGGAACAAATCTGACAAAAGATATGACAGATTTTTGTAGAGGTTATCATGAAACTTTATTGATAGATGGAAAAGATGTCAGTCCCCTCCAAATCAATTTGTAAATTAAGTGGCAATTTTGATTGAAACACAAATAGGGTTTTTAATGGTGGTTTGTAAGCTGATACTAAAAATTTACATGGAATACTAAATAAGACAATTTTACAGAAGGGAAAGAAAGGCTATGGGTGGCTGGCAGTGTGGTTGTATTCTCACAGGCAGAGATAAGCAGAAAAATATTACAAAACAGAAATAAGCCCTTGTATACATGTGAACCTGGTATTTGACAAGAGTGGCATTATGAATCAGTGAAGGCAGGGGCTAACTGGGTGTTGGGATAATTGGATATGGAAAAAAATGATTATGGTTTGTAAATATTTGTAAATATTTGATGTAAATAAAATAATTTCAAAACACAAAAATATGCAAGTTTCTTCTACTTTTTTTACAGCAAAAATGATATTTTTAGTGTGCAATGGGCATATTTTAATATGCTTTATATGATATGGGATGGGCCTTTAAGAATAAGAAGGGTTTATCAAAGTAATAAATCCTGTTTCTGTAATTGAATTTTCTCTGTTTGGTCCCCACTAAATATCATGAGGTCATTGTTTTTATACTTCCAGGAATGATCTTGGGGAATCAACAGCTCTCCAGAGAGCCCACTTCATCTTGTCTTTGGTATGGAGCAAGATGGACCAGTAGGGGATGTACAGTGAGAGGTATATTACAAGCTGCACACCTGCCCCTGTTTGTGCAGATTTGGTGACTCCATGGGCTAGGGCCTGTTGAGGACTATTGACATGAAGGGCAGCAGAACTTTCTGAAAGGAAACCACTTTAAGGAAGAGAAAGTCAAGGACTCCAGATTGATCAGAAGACTAAATCATGGGGAAAAGGAGGGAGTGATTGTGAATCTCTTACTGTGCATTGCTCAGGTTGACTTTCTTTTTTAATGGATTATTCCAGAACAAAACTGAGTCTTCCTTGCCAGTTTCCTATAATTCACCACCCCCAGCACTTCAGCCTTATCTACTGAGCAGCTTCTTCCTGCTCCAAGGGGGCACACTGTCTAACCCCATCACACTTTCAGAGTTGCTCTTGTTCCCTACTTACCCCCGCCACCAATCAATGGCCATCCACCAGAAGGCCAGTGCAGGTGTCCAGATTATTCTTCTTTCCCAGAAGACTGGAGAGAACCACAGACAGAGGCTTTCTCTGGAAGATAGGAGAACCCAGGAAAAAAGGAGAGGATTCTAGAATATCCGACTGGGGAAATTCACAGAACATTTCACTTTCCTCCTTTTTACTTAGAGCTGTCCTGTCTGCTCCAACAGCACACAGATGCAGGCTGTGTGAAGAGCCCAGTTGCCCTCCATGACCATGGCATAACGGTGTGTCCAGCTTCGTGGGGCACGGAGCACCACTCTCATAGGAACTAAGCAACCTGCCTAGCAACATTCTCACAGGAGGTATTTTCTGGTCTTTATCTGGGAATATCAGAATACAGTCTTAGCCTTTTCAGCAATGGTGTAAGAAAGCAATAGTCCCACATGAGAGTCAAGTGAGTGGTGGGGGAGGTATTTGGAGTGGAGACAGCTCACTAACTTATACAGGGTTTCCCAGGGTGATGCTTTGAAAGCCGGCATTCATCTGTATCGATGAGGTATAACAACAAAATATTGTGAATGATTTTTGTCATTGGCATGACCTTATAAGATGGTAACCATAGAATTAGACAAAACAATAAGAGGTTTAATTACGAGTTGTTTAAATACCTCTTTGACTTGTGGCTCTAGCATAAAGAAATAGAAAAAAAAACTATAGAATGAAGTAATAAACAGCAAAGTTGAATCCAAGCAGGTAGTCAAGCAATATGCAGGAATCAGAAATTTTAAATCAGACTCAAATATTAGGTAATGATATAATTCAAACATTTCAAAAGTATTGACATAGCAACTATAAACTTGGGATGGATTTTACATGTCCCCATCAGTCATAGACACAAATCCAGCTGGCATTCTCGCCTATGGCCTCTTTAATCACTAAAAATCCCAATTTTGCTAAAAATGCAGCCCAAAAAATGGCTCATGAAGGTTACTGAAAAAATTTTGGAATAACATAATTTTTTCTTAGTGAATATGCATCTTTAAACCCCAGGAAGATTTAGAAGTAAGTACATATGTATAGATATTAAGAAAATAAATTTTCTAATATTAATATTTGGGTATTTAGGAGAAATATATGCATATTTAGTATTTTTGGAACTTGTAATTATGAACAGAATTTAGCTTATTAGAATAATAAGTCAGCATTACAAATCCAATTTAAAATGAGTAGACTTATAATTTTAAGCTGAAACCTTTTTAGAAAAATGTGTGTACTAGTCAAAGGTTATATTTTAAAAGAAAATGAATATATTAAATTTATATGCTCAGTTTAAAAGGCTTAGAAGATTTATTCATTAATTTGTAAATCAGATCAAAAATTAGTCAAAGGCTCCCTAAAATTTACTAAATTTTGTAATAAAAATATTATTTGTAAGTTGGGTTTGAAAGGCAAATACTTTTAAAAGGAATAACCTTAATAAACTAAGTATTAATTTTCAAAACAAAAATAACTCCCTGAATAATCTTTCCTGAGCTCCCAAAGTTGCATCAAAGGCACAAAAAACTCTTATTAATCTTTTAAAAAAAATAAATTAAAGCTTTCACATGAAGTAAGTACTATCCTTTAAAATAGTCCCCTCAGAGGTCCCACACGTAAGTAATGCTTCTAATGCTCAAAACCCTCTTCAGACTCACCTTTGAGATTACTTTCCCAGCCAGTTTAAATTCTTTTTCTCTTTGTCAAACCCATTCAAGTGTCTTATAGTTGGATGATAAAATTATCTATCACCAAACTTAACATGCCATCACACCTAGGTACCTGCAGTTTAACATGGTCAACCCAAAAGAATGAATATCAGATGTGGTGGAAGAGTGTTTCTTCTCCAAAGGTACTCTTGGGACCTCTCCAATCATACCTCTTAGGCAACTGACTTCTCTCTCTTCCGGAAGAGTCAAGAGAAGCATTTCTAGCTGGAACTCAATTTATGCACAGATTAGAACTGAAACTAAAAATTACCAAAGGTTTGGATTGAGGTTGTTGATCCAGGGGCGCTCACAGCAGTGAGGATGTACGAGGGATCATGGTTGGGCTTGGAGGTTCTTAAATGTTGACACTGTGGGTGCGCTGTTCAAAGCCACTGCAAGAAGCAAAAGCAGGTAGTGCTTGCTGCTGGACAGGGACAAGCAGAGATGTCTGCAGAGGCAGTAACAAAATGACCCCAAAGACATCTTGACTCAGAGCACCAAATCCATTAGCAGGTAAAAGAAAATAACCTTCTAGGCGTGGTTGGCCATACATTCCTTTTGGTTTTAGCAGCATAAAACCCAGGAGATTTGAGTAAAATATGGGGAATGGGGAGGCGGAGAGAAGAGGCAGATTACAGGGGAAAAATTTGCAAAAGAGAAATCCATAAACTTGTCTTAGGGCCTGAACCACCTCTACATAATTTAGGCACAAAGGAGCCACTCTTGTTTATTTTTGTGAAATAGAAAACTTCATACAAGCTGTGTTTCCTCAGGGGCCTAAACACTAGTAAATCACTAGCTATATAGGACCTCCCATCTTTATTTAATTAGTCAAAAAGTGGGTTATGGAATGGAGATTGCTTCACCTTCAATAAATAAAACAGAAAAGTATTAAAAATTATAGATTCACACTTTTTTTTCTCCTCATGAAATCAATGACAATGAACAAAGTGACTCTTTAGTATTTGTTATGAAGTCGATTGCTCTTAATGCATGTCAGGTAATCCTAAAAACAAATTCCACCAACCTTTGTGGGAAATATCAGACAAATTCTCACCACGAATATAAAAAAGCATTTTCACAAAGAGCTGTGTGTACTTTGCACAAGCACTGTAGGCTACCTTCCAAGCAGGGCAGTGCTGACATGCCCCACCTGCTGTTTATTCTCCTCCCACACGAGTCTATATCAATAGCAATGACCTGAGAAGATCAGATAAGCCTCAGAGACCCTTCAGAGACATTCATTTGTTCATTAATTCACTCATTCACTCAAATCAAGTCTTCATTAAACACTTAATATGCACAAGACACGATGCTAGGCTCAGGATGTCATCTATTCACAAGTCTGCAAAGTTTTGCATTTTTTTCTCTGTTTGAAGTACTATCAAGGACACAACACCTCTCTGGGGGGACTGTTCTACTTAGCATTGGAAATTGCAGTGTGGCTCCACAGGCAAAGTAGATTACTAGTGATTAATAAAGATTACTAGAGTCTAAGGGGGTTCTAAGTTCTCATTTATTCCAGAATGACCCTGGGACCTCAATTTGAATATACGGATAATGGCAGAAATGTTTTCTGTCTTAGGAGTAATAATGCCAAATTTCTAACAAAAATGATGACTAAATGTGAGGCAGGGGAAGCAGTATGATGTCGTGGAGGTTGCTGAGGAGCCCTGGGTTCACAGGCTGGCTCCAGACTTGAGCTATGTATGCAGGGAAATCATTCAGCTTCTCTGTGCCTCAATTTGCACATCCTTAAACCAGGGATTGCAATGCTGTCCTCGAAGGTTATTGTGATGATCAAGTAAGATACCATGAAAGAAGTGCTCGGCATAATGTCTGGCACATGGTAGGACCCAGATAGCACTGAATTAACAAACAAATGAATACAAGAGCAGCCTGTGTAGAAACCAAGTAATAAGGAACTCCAAATGTGAAAACACAGCGTGTCTTTTTCTTCTTATACTTGCTCTCTTTTCTCTCTGGCTTGTGCAAAGATGGGCCGGGAGGGCCATGGGGGAAGATCCAGTGCTAGGATGGTGGTTAATGGTGGCTTTTCTGGATTAATGTGGACACATGGGACGAAGTGGAAGTGTTCTCTGAATTGCTCACTCAAATAGGACAGTCCTAAGTCTACAGAAATTCTAGAATTTCAAATATTCTTCCTCACAGACCCTTGTAATTACACTGAAGCAATTGTCCCATGTTTTAGTTTGGAAACTGTGGTTGCTGTTCACTTGGATCTCTTCTGGAAACCAGGACCCTAAGATTTCTTCTAGTCACTCAGTGAATTTGTCTAATCATATTATCACCTTACTCTCCCTGCTGCCCTGTGTATCTTCCTACTCTAGGAAATGATGCAGGGGTGGGGTGGGGCGGGGCATTACGTCATGTGCTCAGGCTCAGCCCTAGACAAAGAGCTTGGAGACATAACACCAGCTGTCTCTGAGGAACTTTCTCCCCAGCCTCTCCTCCCTCCCACATCACAATTTCACCTGCTCTGCTCCCAGATATTTTGGGAGATGCCATAGAAGATCTTTTGCATATCTGTAAAAACTTCAAAAGTCAAAGTCATTTTTAAAATGATTTCAAGCTAATTACTTAATGCATTTTAGCTGCAGTTTACTGATCTATATAAAATGGGGCATAACACCTTTTACATTAGATGATGAAACAAGATAATGTAGGGAAAACACCAGTCACAAACTACTTGCTAAAGAAATGTTCATTTTGATTCCTACAGTATCTCACACAAGCTTCTGATCCTCAGTTCACTGTGTAGAATGAATCAACGGACATGTGTTTCACCAGCGTAAGGCAAGCTGGAAAGAGATAGTGTCACTAATGAGTGAAACAGGAGAGCATCTACAGCCTTGGGCGTGGCCTGTGGGGCTGCCACTGTGGGTAGGTTCCTATAGGGGGCATGTTTCCACCTTCATGGAGAGGATCCCCTGTGGGTCAGCAGGTTGAGCCATTTCCTGCTGCCAGTGTCCCTTGGGCACTACCTTCTCCAGCTGACTGTCCCCATAGGAGGTTGGGCATGGACTCTGACCATGGCCATCTACTTCCCAACCCTTGACATGTCCCCAGCCTCAGGGACAGGATACACAGAGTCTAGATCTACAGAGTAAACCTATTAAGAGTCTAGACTTCTTCAAGCAACACATGAAAAATTTGAGCAATCAGAGAAACCCAAGCCTGCAAGCCTGTACTGTAGCCCCTAAATTAGGGTGCCAAGATGCAGGAAACCAGAGTCAAATTCCAAAACCTTGTTCTCCTTGGCTCGGGGGCAGGAGGATGCTTGCTGGGAAGTGTGCATCCCATTTCCCGAGCTGTTTTGTCCTGAGCTGCATTTTACGCCCATTAAGTGGACAGACCGTGTTCCCACCAATTCCCCATGCAGATGAGGACTTTGGAGTTATTAAGAAAAGAAGCTCAATTGTCCCCCCTGGCTTATCATTACTAACCAGGCAGAGGAAAGCTTCAGCCCACCATTGATTTAGATTAGCCCCTTCGTTTCAATATTATTAATTACCCAAGTTAGCATACAGCATGTCAACATCAAAACCCAACTTTTTTTTTTAATTAACTGTTTCCTTTGCAGCTCTCTGGCCATACCTGTTTTCTTTCGTGCCTCCAGAACCCACACAGAAATGCCTTACAGATATGGTTTCAACTGTCATCAAGCGAAGTTATTACACTGGGGACCAACACAGGTCACTTCTTTCATGAGAGGCCACCAGGCTAATCTTTTGAGGTGACATTTCCGTAATAACTTAACATTTGCCAGAGTTCTCCATTGCATTCTGTGCAAAGCAAACAGAAGGGTTAATTTAGTTCTCTAATCTCTTGTTATAAGCCTAATTATTTTACATGTCTTCATTTCATTAATGAATTGCCGCTTTTTACATGCAGCTCCTTCCCCATTGCTTTTGTTTAAACCTCCTGGTGGGAAGGGATAGATTAATTTTGTTGTGCCTTAATGAAACTGTATGCTACATTAGATTTAACCATTTGGCATGCACTGCCAACATCACCATTATGCATAATGAATTATTTTTTGTGACACCCAAACTACTGTAGACCTTCAGTGTTCTCCTTCAGATATTGTGACGATGCAACTGGCAGGCACACAACAGCACACTCAGTCACTGTGCCTGGTGTCTAAGGAAACTGCCTTGTGGCTTTTTCCTTTCTGTCACCTGCATGGGAGCGTCTAGATTTCTGCTTGCCATGGGGAGCCCGGATATCCAGTTGATTTCCAGTAAGTATCTCAAATGAAACCAGCAAATCGGTATTGAGTTTTGAAGACAAAGCACTGTGGTAGGCACCTTAAGGCAGGCCAAAATGTTGTTTGGTCTTTGTCTTCACAGGAATCATTCATTGCTGCTCCTCCATCTGCAGGCCATCTGGGGTTGGGCAGGTCTAAACCAGGCTTGGCTCTGCCTTAGGCTGCAATGGACAGGGCAGCTCTGGTCCTCCTGTCCCCATTTCCCTCCTTCTTCTCATAGTGATTGTAAAAGCTTAGGAGGGCAGGTGGAAAGGCACATGCAAGGCTTTGTAAGGTCTAGGCGGGGAACTGACATACTTTTACGTATTTATTATTGGCCAAAGCAAGTCACACGGACACGTCCAAAGTCAAGAGGCTGAGAAGTCTTCTCCCCCATGAAGAGGCCAGGCAAGGATGTAGTTGCAGGAACTGGCAAATAATTGAGCCCAACAATTCAATTGTTTATGTTTCTAAAGGTTGGCTGGGTTCTGTGTTGTAGCCATCCCCAAATTTTCAAAGCTGAAGCCATTTAATCTCACAATGAAGGTTGATCCCAGCCTAGACTTGGGAACCCATCTTGTCCCTAGGCAGGGGATCATCCCAAAGATCTCAAGCTAAAACTCCATGGCTCGTCAATGAGTTAACCCTGATCCAATTAGTCTGGAACCAAGTCCTGTCTGAGTCCTAGCTGCTCTGGTAACTGCATTTCGTTCTCCTGAACTTGGCTTTTCCAGATATCTGCCGCCAGATCTGCCCTAACATGCTGGTTAATGAGTCATCTCCTTGGATTCCTAAGCTGCTCTGTTGTCGGACCTTTTCTGAATTGACTTTGTAAACATTTGATCTGAAAATCACCACTACTTGTTCCTTGCCTGGCTGCCCTTTCAGAACACAGCCACAGTCCAAGAAGGATCTCCAGATTCAGGACTGGCAATACCCACCATTTTCCCTGCACTAGAATTTGGCTTTTCCGTATCCTGGGAGTTTTCCTGAACCTACAGTCCTGGCCTCCCTCACTACTCCGAGGTCTGGCTCTCAGACTGAAAATCCAGCCAGCAGTGAGGGCCAGTCAATATCAAAGGCAAAGCAGAGAATGTTGCATTCCCTTAGCTCAAAGAAAAGTGGGCATCATGAACTGGGGCAGGCTGGGGCAATTTGCTTGAAGGCAAAAAAGATGAGGCACCAAAGGGGAGAGAGATATTCAATAAAATGGTAGCTCATTTGAAATTGTGTTATCGTCCAGGTTAAGTGGCAAATGTGGCCACTAACACAACGAGCTACAAATTCTACCTTGTGGTGCTGGGAAGAGTCTTGAGGACACGTGTGCTGGTTCTTCAGCATCACGGTGGACATTTTCCGGGGTGAGAGGCTGCTGTGCCGTCCCATGGACAGCATGGCTGTCTCCTGACTCAGGGCGTTTATTTGACCTTGCTTCTCCCTCTACTGAAAACAGTTCCCCCTGAGATTTTCATGGCTGGTTCCCTCACCTCTTTCATATCTGTATTCAAATATCATCTTTGTAGAGATGCCTTTCCTGACTTCCTTACTTGCTGCTGCAACTCACCAGCCGTAGTTCAATAATCTGTCATCGTTCCCTGCTTTATTTCTCACCCAGGGAACTCACAACCATCCTACACACTGTGCATTTTACCTTTTGTTTTGTTGATTGTCTGGCTCCCTTTACTAGAATAGATGCTTCATAATTGTCTGTTTTGGTTTATCTGTCTCTTTGCCCTTAGAACATATAACAGGTGCTCAATAAATATTTGCTGGATGGAAGAAGTAAGGAAGGAAGTACAGACGGAGTGACAGGCTGGCCAGGGTGGCTGGGGACAGGGACAGGCAGAGAGATAAAGGCCTGATGTTTAGATGCATGGAGATGCACAAAGTCACATACAGGACTCCAACGAGGTCAGCCCAGGAGCTCAGAGGCACTGCTGGCCTTCGACATCCTCCTCTCTGCTGGCTTCTCATCCTCAGCCAATCAAGCATGCTCAAGTTTCTCCAATTCTTGATCCAGAGCTGTCCTTAGGTTCTCTCCTCCTCCCCACCTCATCTGAGCCTCTTGAAGGCATTGCCTGAGTCCTTTGTTTCCACTTGCTCACCTCCCACACACTTTGAATCAGGCCCCAGCCCAGGTCTATCTGCTATAGATCTCCCTGCAGGGACCTCAAGCTTGACAGTTCCAAACCAAACTGAATATTTTCTCTGCCCTCATTTAGTGAACATCCCCCTCACTCCAACCCCTGCATTCACAGGCTTGGTTGATGACACAGCATCTGTTTGGATTCCGAGCTAGAATGCTGAGCATCCTCTTTTACCTCCCAAAGATTTCTTGACTTCACCTACTTGTTTCACTCTTTCCACGACTGCTGCTCACATCCCCATCATATCTTAATGGGCAACAGGGTTCTAACCAGCTCCCTGCTTCACATCCTCGTCAGCCTTGTCCACCTGCACTTCCCCTCACCTCTGGGACAAGGTCCAAACTCATTAACATGGCATAGAAAGCTCAGTGTATTCTGATTGCCCATCTCCAGCATCATCTCTCTTTCCTGTTCTCATGCTGGATTATCCCTGGGCCTTTGCACAAGCAGCCCCTCTGCCAGGGGGGGCCTTCCCTACTCTCATTTATCCTTTCAGATTCAGCTTTTGTCATTATAATGTTGTCCATGTTGCACAGTACATGTTCTGATGTATATTCACTTTTTAAAAGCTTTATCTTCAATCTGATCAATATTGTCTAGGAAAAAATGGACTTGAAATTTTTTCCTGATACATAATAAATGTATAGTTATTAAAATGAAAGTATTTATACCCCCACAAAGATCACATTGTATCCTGCCACAATTACCCCCATCTTTTTGAACCAGTGAACTAGGCCATCTGGGCTGTTTAAAATCACTGAGCTGGAGAGGGCTAGAGATTCTGTCTTTGGCCAAATCACTGCTTAAGTGGCTTGATATATAAGTGGTTAACACTTACTGAGCACTTCCTACATTAAAAACACTGTTTTACACACCTTAAATGTATTCACTCATTTAATTCTCATAATAACTATGAAATGGGACGAAAATCATCTCTATCTTACAGAAAATAATATTGAGACTCAAAGAGGTTCATTAACTTGCCCAGTTTACATAGCTACTAAGAGGCGGACCCAGTATTCAAACTCAACCATTTGACTAGAGTCTATGCCCTTACCCTATTAATATAATATCATCTCTATGAGGTTTTACTGCTCTAATATCTTGCAGGTGAGACTGTCCTCAGCTCCCAGACTTTGTGGCAGTGGAGCCTGTTCTTGTTGTGGGAAGGAAGAACGGTTGGTTGGAAGGCTGGCAGTCTACCCAGAAAAGGTGGCCTTCCCCATGGAAATCAGCAACTTGGCTTTCTGTGATTCTCTAGACTTGGTTGAAGAAGTTCTTTGTGGCAGGAACCAAGTTTGTCTCATTTTGACAGAATCCCCAGCTGTTGACTTTTTCTGCTATCCTGTGCATTTTTTCATCTCCAGAGATATCCGGAACTTTCCAGCTCTAAGCAAGGAAGCTTGGAACCAAATCACCCAATTTCTTCCTAATACTCACAAGCCCAACCCCAGTTGAACATAGCAGAGGACTGTGTACTATAGAAGGACTTCAAGGTCAAGTGCTAAGGTTCCTGCTTCAAGGTATCTACACTTCACTTGCCCTTATCTTTAAAACAAAACAAAGTCCTAGCTTGAATCATCTCTGCACCTGATTGTCTGGGAGTTTTATGGAACCTGTGCATATTAATTAAACAGCGCATGCCTGTCACATGCCTGTCACGTTTGCTGGGAGCCTGTTTGTCACAGCTTTTGAAATGACACAGCCCAGATGCTATCGACCAGCTCAGTGTCTCTCAGAGAAACCCATGCTCAACTATATCCCTGTGGGTAATAAACAGGATAGATGCCCCATCCCCTGATAAAATATTATCTGCAAATGTATAACTGAAAAGGAATTACCACCAATATTCTTTTAATTGGAAATATCTTTCTTCCTCCTAAGCAGATTCGTGCAAGTTCTTTCCTGCAGAAGCCATCTATAGAAAAGGAACATGTGTGTGAAATTCGGCCTGTTTAATCTGTCCCTGTAATCAGCTTCCCCAAGCCTGAATGCTGAGTCTATAGAAGTTGCAAGACCAGGCTGCTTTTCTGCTCATTCCTGCTTGAGATTTGCTTGGCCTGCCGGGGCCCTTCTTCCTAACCTTAGCAATGGGACTCCTTGAAAAGCCAGCGTTTTCCACCCCAAGTGAGATCTTCCATCAAAATCAGACGCCCTAGAAAAATAGAGCTTAGGCGAAGCAGCTTTTCTGATCCCATTATTGATAAGCTCTTAGAGCTCATCAATGAAAATTAGAACTTGTTAATCCTGTACATTTCCCCCCTTGATTTTTAATTACAGAAGAAAGAAGTAATGGATAACTTCTGGGGCTGCAGAGACACTGAGGCTGTCAAGAGAAAATTAAATTTACAGTCAGAGAGTTTTGTTTTCTCAAGTGTCCTTGTAAAATGCAAAAGAGGCTCCTGGCATCACCAAGGCAATTCAACTGGTTTCCTAAACTGGCAGGGTTTTCCTCGAAGAAGCCCTCCTTCGTTTGCCAAGAGAGTGTATTAATGACAAGGACTGGACCTAAAGGGAACTCATTCAGAAGAAAACTGCATTAAAAGAACATTAAGGGCGATGTTTTAAAGTCTGATTTAAACTCATGAAAGCAAGGAGATTTATTGTCGAAGCCAAATCGCCGCGCTGACGCGCCCTGCCTGGTAATGCATTCTGATTGGTGCACAGGGGATTGAATCTGTACAAAAATATCGCTCACTGTGGCCCAGGAGCTCCAGCTGGGGGAGATGGGAGATAGCTATAGGGGGATATGAGCTAGGGACAGGCACATTTCTCAAAGCAGATGGACTAACATCCCACAGGGACCAACTCACCAGGGAAGTAGGAGAAGGGCACTGCCAGCTGAGGTCAGCCTTAACATTAGCAGACAATTTAGCAGGCTTTGAGCTTCCCAGCATAGGCCTGGGGCTTCTGGGGAGATACTCCCTGGGAAACTGGAGGCTCAGCAGGAGGTCCCAACCCCTCTCCTCTGAATCCCCAGTCCCTCCTGCAAATCTTCTATTTGGTAACCCCTCTTGCAAGCACACCAACTCCACAACAAAGTAGCCACTCCTCCTACTCCAACCGACCGCTCTATCTCACTTGACCGTACTCTGTGTTAGAGTAATACAGTGCAGGTCTCTACCTGTGCTGCAGCCCTGGACTCCAGCCAAAAAGCCAGCTGCTTGCCATCTTGCAAGTCAGGATCTGATTTCTAGATTAGAGATGTTAGTACCAGTGTTGGCAAGGCACAATGGAGTCAGTCTGGAAAAATCAAAGAATGCAGCTTCAAGCGTTTGGTCCAGATCTGCTCCTCTCTTAGTGCAGCAGCATTGCCAGGGTACTTGTCACCTCTTCCAATGCAGTTAATATAGTTCAGCCTGCCATAGCATCACATTCTATTCTGAGTAGCAGCAACCCCTGCAATATGGCTTAGTACTTTTTGTACCAGGCCTTGGAACTGATCCAATTTCATGCTTTTCTTGGTGTCCCAGTGCCTGGACAGATGTTCATTTCCTGGTGTCTCTGGGACTCTCTGAATCTTATGGATTCTTTATCATGTATGGATATAGGGTTGTCTATTCAAATGGTTGAATTTGGACAGCCAAGGGACAGTAAGGATGTGCATACAGGGTAATCCCTCACCAGAAGCAGAGGGGCTGAGAGCATCACACGGAGGGAGACACAAGTCTTCAGTGAAAGTAAAACCAGGAGTTTGAGACCAGGAGAGCCCCCTGGAGTAAGGGTGCAAATGAGATCCATAGAACAGAGTGGGCAGGAGGATCAAAGGTCCAGGTGATTAAACAAAGGCTGTGCATGTCTAGTTATTCATATATTGAGTGCTTCACAATGTCACTGAGAAAGAAGCCATGTAAACAAATAAATATAGTAAGATTTGATACATAACATAATAGAAGAATGTGCAAATTATAAGCAGAAACAGCTGGGAAGAGGGTTGGGGAGGGCTTTCCAGAGGAGGTGGCAACTGAGTTGGATTTTGAAAGGGAAGTAAGTTTGCCAAAAGGCGAAAGGGGTAGGGAGTGGGGGTTGGATGAGTAAAGCTCAGAGCGTGGCCTGGGTGGGAATGTGGTCAGTTACTTTGGGCAGGTGGGGAGGGATTATGGAAGACGAGACTGGAAATGTAGTTGGAGTCATCATCACAAAGGTTCTCTGGGTGATGCTAAGAAATATGAACTCTCTCGTACAGTTAAAAGGAAGCCATTGAATAATTTCACAATCAGTCTGAGGTAGCTGAAAACTCACAGCTAATCATGTTGCTACCCTGCTTGGGTAAAAGGGATAAGCCTAGAAGTGGGGCCCGCATTAGTTTGGAGGGTTCGAGACTCTGATGAAGGCTATAGACTCCCCTCCTCTCACAGAAAACTGCTCATATGCTCAAAATTTTGCATGTAATTTCATGAGTTTCATGGACTCCCTAAAGCCCATCCATAAACCTCAGTTTATAAGCCCTCACTGTAAAGATATTTGTGGGAAATAATTTGTTCTCTATGGAGAATTTTATAGTTCTTAGGAGATGAGTGCTGTAGCATTTAAAGATGATGTGTCACCAGTGTCTGAGACTCACTTTCAAATGGTTTGCAACACATTTTTGAGAGAGAGAGAGTGTGCGTGTATTAGGCAGAGAGAAAAAGGAAAGAGAAAGAGAAAGTAATTGAGGCAAAATGTTAACAATTGATGAATCTAGGGAAATAGTATATGGGTGTTCATCACAATGTCTTTTAACTTTTCTGTTCATTTGAAATTTTTAAAAATAAAAGCAAAGCAAAACAAAACCCTCACTCAAGGCAGAAGTAGCAGGAATGAATATAAAGTGATGAATTTTATTCATTTATATTCTTTTGCCATATACTGTCTGAATACCTACTATAGTTGTTCAATATTTAGTTGGAACAATCAATAGGACTTAGTGCCTGACGAAAGGTGGATGGGGGAGATGATGGAGGAGGCACAGTTAAGGAGCCCAAAGTGGCCGAGGTAAATGACGGGGAGTTCAATTAACACAGAGACGAGAAGGCAGCAGGGTGGCAAGCCAGAGGAGGGGGGAATGAATTCAGTTCCACAAGAAGCATTTTGAAAGGAGTTTTTATGAATTGCAAAGGGTTTGAGGGAGACCACCAGAAGATAAGTGGAATGAAAGTGATGGCAGGGAGAAACAGTGTAGACTGCGGACAGAGAGCTATTTGGGAGGAAGTAAGGGTTAGTGGTAAGATAAGTTTGGCCATTTTCTGCAATGTCAAAAACAGTAGATGTGATTTGTGTGGCTAAGAGGACTGTCCTTGGAGGACAGGTGACAGCTACAGAGAAAGATTTGAATGCAGGGTGTAGCAGGAGCTTTGTCCCTACTTCACTGATAGACAATTTCTGTGCCAGGCCAGAGTCAGGGATGAGTAACGGTCTCACCCTCAAGGAGCACCCAGTCCAGTCAGGGAGGAAAACATTCATAAGCTTAAGTAGTTTGGTGTTGGAGAAAAGTTTCATTGCTTGATACAGACCTTCAAATTTATATAAAATGTATAACTGTCTATTCTGTATCATCTGTTCCATCTAGGCACTTAGGACTCCAAATAACAGCACATACAAAATTCAAATGGCGTATCTGTGGCAAATATAAATCCCAGCTGTCCAAATATAGCTGTCCCAGCTATTCCCCAAATTTCAAGGTCCCTCCCGCACCCCTCCTACCTCTGTAACACACATGTGCAGCTATAGAGGACTGGCCTTCTAGTGTTATGTTTGAACTCAGTCCTGAAAGAAAAGTAGGAGTTTTCCAACAGGGAGGCAGAATATAAGCTAAATCATCTCAGTTACCCTCCTCTGCCCTTTTTCATGGAAATGGGTTTGAGAATTGAAAGAAACTCTATCAAATAGAATCCTAGTTTCTCCTAAACTGAGTCTGTACCAGGGTTGTTTATTTACCTCCCTGGTTTAGGGGCTTTGTTACAGGTCAGGGGATGTAGGTGAAAGCCCAGGAATTCCCTTCTGGAGGTGTTTGAACTCAGCCACCTTCAAGATTTGGCAGAAGCCCCCCAAGTCTTACTGTGGTTTCAATTGTAAACTATGTCCTAAGAACAGTTTTAGCTGATTCCCTCATTTCCCAAAGGAAGATATGAAAATTGCTTTAAAACATTCTCTATAGCAAGGCTACGTTGTTGTTGCCATTCTCTCCTCCTCAACATCTCCATGGCTGACACGCATTGAGCGCTTTCTCTGTGCCGGGCATCTTGTGTCTTCTTTACGTGCATCCTCATAACAGCCCTATTCATGCAGGGCAGGTGAACCCCCAAATTGGGGCTTAGCCCAGGAGGGTTCTTGGCTTTGTTCAGGAAATAATTCAACGGCAAGCTGGTGGTGTTAGACAGCAACCTTTATTGAAGCAGCAGTGCACGGCAGCAGCAGAGGTACAGCTCCATGCAGAGTAGGGCTACTCATTGGTTGTGTGCCCAGAGGAGCAGCTCAGGGGAAGTTCTGTAGTCATATTTACACCCACTTTTAATTTCATGCCAACTAAGGGGTGAGTTATTCAGAGTTTTTTAGAAAAAGAATAATACTTCCAGGTCATTGCTGTAGAAAGGGGCAATAACTTCCAGGTGTTGCCATAGCCATGGCAAGCTGACATGGCACTGGTGGGCATGTCTTACGGAGAGGTGCTTACCCCTTTTTCCTGTTTCAGCTAGTCTTCAGTCTGGTCCAGGGTAAAGTCTCCCACTTCCAGAGTTGAGGTAGGAGACCCTCCTACCTCACTATAAGGAAGATCCTATGATTATCTTCTTTTTCCAGTTAGGGAAACTGAAACTTAGAGCTCTTTAAGCAATTTGTCCAAGGTCACACCACCAGGATGTGGGAGACTAGGTGCCGGGATCCACATGGGATTGACTCTGGAACTCAAGTGCTTACAAGTCCACACAAGCCATATTGGCTTGTTTCTGAGGGCCTCAGTCTGAAAACAATAAACACTGACATAGTGCTACTGTGTTTCAGGCTTTGTTCTAAGAACTTCACATACATAAATTCCAGGAACTTCAAAACAACCCTATGGGGTAAACACTATTACTATCTACTTTTTAAGAAATAAACAAATTGAGGCACAGAATGGCTAAGTAACTGGCTTTAGGAAGGAATTTTAACTTAGGCAGTTGGTTTTTACTTATTATGCAATATCACTATGCTTAAAAGAAAACCATTAGGGTGGGTGCAGTGGCTCATGCCTGTAATCCCAGCACTCTGGGAGGCCAAGGCAGGCGGATCACCTGAGGTCAGGAGTTCGAGACTAACCTGGCCAATGTGGCAAAACCCCACCTCACCTAAAACTGCAAAAATTACCCAGGCGTGGTGGCACATGCCTGGAGTCCCAGCTACTCAGGAGGCTGAGGCAGGAGAATCGCTTGAGCCCGGGAGGCAGAGGTTGCAGTGAGCCGAGATTTAGCTACTGCACTGCAACCTGGGTGACAGAGTGAGACTCCGTCTCAAAAAACAAAACAAAACAAAACAGAAAGAAGCCTGGCCAACATGGTGAAACCCTGTCTCTACCAAAAAATTAGCCAGATGTGGTGGGGGTCACCTGTGATCCCAGCTACTCGGGAGGCTGAGGCAGGAGAATCACCTGAACCCGGGAAGTGGAGGTTGCAGTGAGCCAAGATTGTGCCGCTGCACTCCAGCCTGGGCAACAGAGTGAGACTCCATCAAAAAGTAAAAAAAAAAAAAGAAAGAAAGAGAGAGAGAGAGTGAGAAGGAAGGAAGAAAGGAAGGAAGGATGGATGGAGAAAGAAAAGAAAAAAGAAAAGAAAAGAAAGGCGTTGACATACACAGGTATGACTTTCAAAGAAGGATCTTTTCAGGAATGAAACACACCTGCCATGGACTTAGGGCACCTCACCTGGCTATGTCCCCTACACTGAGCTCAAAAGCAGAGAAAATCTGAATGATCATCATGGATGCATCCATTTGTAGGCGTCCTTGTTTCTGGAATCTCACACACTGTGAGAGTGGATTTATGACTATTTCTTGAACTATATGAAGGGCTTAATTTTCAAGCGTGAATAATGTACAATTCAGGAGAAACATATTCATACTGGGAAAATCCTGAAAGATAATAAGGTTTTAAAAAAATTAGCATAGCTACTCTCAAAGTTAGAAAAGAGAAAGTTTCTTGCTATTTGCATTTATAATAGTTTGTCTCATCTGAAACGTAAACCATTTTGGTTTGGTACCCTCCTTTGCCCCCACCATTAGTGAAAAAGAGAATCACTGATTTGTATATAAAGAAAGGAAATAAGGGAGAGAGGGAAAAAAGATAGACAGGAGGAGGAAGTAAGTGGAGAAAGGAAAATGAAGTAGCTTTTTTTCTGAGAGTGAACTATGACAGCACGGAAATGGGAATATAACTGAGCACCTGAAATTATCTGCCCTTGTTGATTAAACAAACAATTCCCTTTCGTCAAGTGATTATTTTTACCTTTATAGAAAATGTTTGTTTTAAGATTTGCAATAAATGTAACCTTCCCTAAGTCTTAGAATGGTATGTCCTAGGGTGACCTTCAGAATTTGTTTGCAACCAGTTTGACCAGGGCCCCAATCAAGTGAGAGCAGAATTCTCCCTGGTAAATAGAATTCAGGCAAACTCACAGGATCTTATCCTGGGATGTCATTAATCTGGAGTTTTAAAATGAGACCAATGGGAAAATAATATGGCAACATATCACTTCTCTCAGATCATTTTTTTTCTAGAATTTAAATATTCTAAAACATAGCCAAGAACCAGCAAGGCTCAGCAAAAAGACCACTGAGCAGCTAAAAGTACATAGAAGAAAGTCTGCGTATCAAAGTTCACACACTTTGCTCATAGAAGAGTTTATACAAGATAGCCTATGCCAGTGGTTTTGACTTTAAAACCACTGTTAATATTTGCCTTGTTTTCATCAATCAGCAGACTGGAAACTGCAAATGGAAACTACAGGGGAAAGGATTACTACTGGAGATAGTACACAGTGACAACAGCAAAAAGAGGCAAGAAAACAAAAGAGTAGAAAAAAAAACAACAACCAGACAGTAACTCTAAACACACAAGGATCTGGGGTCATTGGATGCAGGGGCAGATAGCCCTGTACATCCCAATCAACCCCCCACAGGGCAGAGCATCATTACAATTACACATACTAATGACTGCACCACCAAGAAAAGATGAATTTGTGTTCTGGGTAGAAAAGAAAAATCAGACAAGGAGGAATGCAATGAACAGAAAATTTTATATACGATTAAGTGGTCTTCTTCTGCTATCACCACCACCATCTACTATCAAACCGATTAAAATTAAAAACAACAACCACTCTAGGTAATCCCTAAAAGAATGGCTTGTTATGTATAAATGCCTCTCAGAGTATGAGATAGATAATGTTATTACTGTGTTTATCAGTATGTTCACATATAAACAAGAATAGATTGTTCCATAGAATAAAGGAAATGGTACATTCCATGAGAATGCTGATTTTCAGTGAATTAATAATCATAATGAGGGAGACAACTGTATTTTCCAAAATTCCAGGGAGGCTGAACAATCCAATCACTTAGTTCAAGCTGCTCTCCACCCTAGAAGCAGTTGAACAGGACGGGGAAAGACTGGGTTGCACTTTCCAGGGATGGGGCTGCCTGGGTCGTGAGTTGCATGTTGCCAGCCTCCCCTTTTGGAAGACAGCGGGGTCTGGCCGCGGGGGCGGGGAGGCAAAATGACGGAAGTCAGTGAGGGACAAGACCCGGTCTCTCATCAATTGTGAGTCTCTAATCAAGTTACCAGATTCACAATATTCTTGTGAGAGGTTGGGATTTTTTTAGGTGCAGAAAATGGTTAAGGACTTGAGGTCTATGTACTAGCTCGCTGGGCACTAAATTAACCTAAGACTCTTAGATTTAGAAGAATTGGAAGAAATCATTAGAAAATAAGGTTATGAATTTGCAGGAAATGTAAAAATAAGTGATGGGCTTCAGAATTTAGGGCTTTGAACAAATTTACCTAAATCTCTGAGGAAACCCAGGAGAAATCTGGATTTCTCTCTCTGTCTCTCCTATGTATGTTTGCATGTATATGTTTACATTTTTTAATGACTAATAGTTATTGTGTACCTACTGAGTAATGTGTTATGCTGAGTGGTTTCACATTCATGATTTTATTTAATCCTTAAACCAACTTTTGTGAGGTAGGAATTATGACAATGAGGAAATTGATGCTCAGAGAGGTTAATTAACTTACCCAATGTAAAAGTCACACAGCCAAAAAGAGAGCAGTTATTATAAAATATTCATCCTATGAAGCCCCAGGTGAATTTTCATGCACTAGGAAAAGCTGTTCTTATTTTTAAGCCTACGTTCCCTCAAACAGCCAGGGTGTCTGTCTTCTGGTTGTCAAGTTACTAAACCTTGGCAACAATGAAGGAGAATTTTAATGTTCCAAGATTTCAATAGATCTGGAGTTTCTGTGGGAAATTGAAGACGCAGTTTCCATGCAGGACAAGGAGGACAGCCATATCTTGTAGATTTAAGGCATTTACCGTGTATATGTGTTAGGAGTCGTTTTCTTCTGCTATCACCACCGCCAGAGATAAAGAATGAATGATACCGAGTTTGCAGGGCTGATATCTATCTGCAGCGGTATGCATTCCAGCCTCACAGGAATAAATACAAGGATGTGCTGATAATTACGCCTTGATACACGACAGAGGATATAAAAATGCTTTCTCAATTTGTCTAGCGCACGGTGAATAATAAGGTTGTCCATGTGTTTATAGGAGGCAGAGTACTTAAAGCTCTATTGTTATTTCCACAGGAAAACAACTTTGAGAAAAGCATGTTTTCTGTGTTAACCTAGGAATGTATGTTTATCTCACAGTGCCTTGCTTGCCTTTTCTTTTCTAACCTGCATAAATTCCTTGAATTTAAATTCGACAGAGACACTCTACCTTCACTTTGAAATGAGAGAGCTGCACAGAATGTCAAACAGAGCCAACATTTCCTGACTTCTGACCCAGCTCAGGGTATTTTTTTTTTCTTTACATGACTCAGACAGGCTCTTGGAAGCCTAGAGATAAAAGGCCCTATTAGAAGTGCAAAATATGACTATTATTACCTCCTTTAATAAGGCTTCTTGCCAATTTTTCAAATGACTAGAGTCTGTTTGCTAATTATTACTCCACAGTTTCTGCATTCATTTTCTTTCCCTGAAGGAGCCTGATTCCAATGAAGATGAAGGAAAGTGCTAAAAAGTGTGTTTACTGCCATCTATGGGATGCAGCCGGGCTATCAGGGCAGCGGAGTTCCTTCCCATGTAACACACGGGAAACTGCAGTTCCAAGGCCACGCAGAAAAGCTCATGCATTGCAAGCACTCCACGTGAAAATACCATTGGAAAATCATTTGTTTAAAGTTTTCCAGAAATAAGAGTTCATATTGCTACTCCATAATGAGGGAGCAAATTTTCCTGTATTTAAGGCAATTATGTTTATATTTACAGTAACATGTCGGCCCTGGGCTCTACTCACAACTAGGGCTTCCAGCCTATGATTAACCTCAAATGTTCTAGCAGGAATACTAGAAGTAAAAATTCATTGGCTAGACCACTCTGAATATTCTGAAGAAGGTCAAGGACCAGAAAATAAAGGCTCCTGAGTGACCAAATAGATGTGTAAAGTATATGTGCTGTGGTCTATGAATTTGACTCATGAATCAGTCAAATTTCCAGTCTATTATAGCAAATTTTACTGTTTTAGTATCAGAAACCCTTAGTATCAAAGGCATCAAATTACAAGAAGAAGGCAGAGGCTTTGAAAGACAAACGCTTAAGAGAACCAAGAAAGGATGGTGTATATCCTAAACCCTGGGGAGAGAAAAGGGAACTATGAAAAAAGAGATACAAGATCTCAAAGGAGCAAAGCAGTTTGGACAATTGTGGTATAATGTAGCAATCTATGTTCACATTAATGACTCAATTCTCAAATAATGGTTAAATTTTGTTAGGTTTACCTAGTCATTAGTATGAAAAGACCAAGGGATACATAGTGCACAGAAAGAGAAATATACATGGCCCTTAATATCTGAAAAGATGCTCATAAACCTCACTCATATTAAGAGAGCTGCAGATTAAAAGTAATGAGATAAAGACAAATTACATACTGGGAGAAAATATTTGCAAAACCAAGATAAGGGACTTGTATTCAAAATATACAAATAATTCTTAAAACTAAACAATGAGAAAATGAACAACATAATTAAAAGGTAGGCAAAAGATCTGAAGACACCTCACCAAAGTAGATGGCAAGCAAGCATATGAAAAGGTGCTCAGTGTCATTAGAAAAATGTAAATTAAAATGTGCAGCGATATCAATGAGATATCACTGCACATCTATCAGGAGGGCTAAAATCCAAAATGTTGACAGCACTAAACGCTGACAAGAATGTGAAGCAACAGGAACTCTCATTCAGTGCTGTTGGGAATTCGAAATGGTATAGCCACCTTGGAAAACAGTTTGGCAGTTTCTCACAAAGCTAAACACAGCCTTACCATGCAATCCAGCAAACATGCTCCTGGAGTTTTATCCAAATGAGTTGAAAACTTATGTCCACATAAAAAACTGCACGTGAATGTTTATAACAGCTTTATTCATAATTGCCCCAAATTGGAAGCAACAAAGATGTGCTTTAAAAGGTTAATGGATAAACCAACTGTGGTACATCCAGGCAGTGGAATATTATTCAACACTAAAAAGAAATGAGCTGTTAAGCCATGTAAAGGCATGGAGGAAACTTAAATGTATATTACTAAGTGAAAGAAGCCAGTTTGAAAAGGCTCTATACTGTATGATTCTAACTATACAACATCTTGGAAAAGGCAAAACAATGAAGACAGTAAAAAGATCAGTGGCTGCCAGGGGTTCTAGAGAAGAGTGCAAAGGAGGAATGAAAAGGTGGAACACAGGGGACTTTCAGAGCAGCAAAGATATTCTGTATGCTACTATAATGGTGGAAACACGTTATTATACTTGTCCAAACCCATACAATGTATAATACCAACAGTGAACCCTACTGTAGTTAAAATAACATATCAACATTGGTTTATCAATTGTAACAAATGTACCACACTAAAGAAAATGGAGGATGGACAAAAAGTTACAAGAAAAATGAAAATGGCAAGAAAGCAAGCAAGCAAGTTTTACAATCCTCATGTTAGACAAAGTAAAATTCAAACCAAAGCATATTAGAAGCACAGAGAAGGACAGTTTATAAAAGCCACATTCCATAATAAAAATATATTTTAAAAAATTAAATGCACTAGTATCCTCTACTCACTGATTAACAACAATTTTAAAGAAAATTTGGTTGTATATTGTATTGATGACAGTGTGGGGAAACAAGTCCCCTCATACAGTGATAGCAAGAGAAAGAAATTGATGCAAACTATGAAAGGTGGTGTGATAATAGTTATCACAATGACAAAGACACATAACCCTTCTTGGAGACAGCGATTCTCTTCTGGAAATTTAACCTATAAACATATTCGAATGTGTGCAAAATGGAGTAAATACAAAGATTAAAACTGTAGCATTTTTTTATAATAGCAAAAGATTGAAAATAACTAGATGCCCATCAGTAGGAGATTGCTTTATTAAATAATGCTGCATCCATACAATGGACCAGATGTTGCCTTTATATAGAATGAGGCGGCTTTTTGTGTATTGATGAAAAATGATGATCAGTACATAAGTCCTTAAAAACAAGGTGTAGTAGAGCACCATGGCATGTCACCTTTGGGCTTGTATACATATAGACTATCACAGGAAGGATATGCCTGTAGCCTGGTAATGTTGACGCCAGTAGCCTCTGTTAGGGATGGGGAAGTGAGGGCCATAGTGCTGGGATAGAGAGAAGACTTAATGATCACTCTCTACCCTTTTGTTTCTATCCTGGAAAAAAATGCTAAAAAATAATTTTAAAATAAAGAAGGCAAGAGGGTGTATAATAAACTTTGGGATGTTTCCATTTACTCTTTTAAAAATGTTGATCTTTAAAATGTTGGTTAGCTCTAGTTATCTGGACAATTTAATTATGTGGAACACCTCATTTCCTGACAGTGCTGAATGGATAAGGCATTACTCTGGTTTGCTGACTTATGCACAATTACAGAGTTAACATTATCATCATAGCACAAAAGAGACTGGAATTTAGAACAAAGGATGGGGATACTTTTCAACAAAGGCATTAAGGCAGAAGGAGAGCAGAGAAAATGGAGAGTCTGTAATTCTCACACTGACGGAGGGATGGAGGCAGAATGAACAAAATCTATGAGCTTTGGTGAAGTGCCGTGCTTCTGCGCCTCACAGGCAAGGCTCTGTCCACACAACAGCACAGCTGGCTGCTGCCTTCCTGGGAAGCAGCCCTGACAAGGAGAAGAGGTGTTTGGAGGGATTGTAAAGAAGGCAGGGAGCCTAAATCCTGGCATCAGCTGCAGGCACGCACAGGACTCAGGCATGTAAGCATGCCCACCATACACTAACTCAAGTGTCAAGCAACTGCCTTGACAGAATAGAGCAGAAGTTGACCATCAGGCAGATGGAGATTGCAGAATTATTCCTCTAGCATGTTTTTAAAATATAGATGTTTCATGTAACAATTCTTGTTTTTAGCTTTGTTTAAAAAATTGGAAAATCTAACAATATGATGCCTACTTTCCTCACATGTTAACAACACACTGGAGCAGAGGAGGGACTGTCTCCCTTTACATGGAACACCAGCTCAGCAGGTAACCATGGTCCCCAGCACTCCCTCTCACCCTACACGTGGCCCACCTCACTCAAGTACTTGCTGGCCTGTATAGGCATTTTAATTTGCAAATCCTAGACTAGACTTGGAAAGGGTTGTTTTGGGGAATTGTCTCAGAAGTAGAAGATGCTTGAACAGATTTTGAAAGGCAGAAGATAGTGGTTTTGGGGATTGGGTATGCAAGGCATTTTAGAATGAAGCTTCCTGGAAGACTGGAGTGTTTCCTCTTGTCCAAAAATTGGGCCAAGCACAGGGCACCTGTGGTTTGGGGAGATGATGGATGATTTTGAGTGAGCAAGGTCCTAGTCATCTTAGTAAAAATATTTACTGAGCTCCTACTCTGTGCCAGGAATTCTATAGCAGCACACCAGCGAACAAGACGAATGGTTTCCTACCTCACAAGGCTTACAATTTAATAGTGGAAGTAGCCAGTCAATGAGAAAACAAATTATTACATGTCAATTTACAAACTGTAGCTAGTACTATGAAAGACATAGACAGAATATTGTTGTCATAGAGAATTATAGTGAAGGTGGTCAGGGAAGGTGACATGGAGGCTGAGGCCTGAACAATGAACAGGCTAGGCTAGATGAGAAATGTGATCAAGGGGATGCCAGGTGGAAGCAACAGTACGTGCAAAGGCCCCACAGTGGGAGGGGAATATTTCAGAGGCTGGAAGAACAACCAGAGTGTCTCCAGCCTAGTGAGTAAGGAGGAAAGTAGTATGGGATGATGCTGGAGAAGGAGCAGAGTCAGACCACAGCTTTCCTTTTTTTTTTTTTTTTTTTTTTTTTTTTTGAGACAGAGTCTTGCTCTGTTTCCCAGGCTGGAGTGCAGTGGTGCAGTGGCATGATCTCGGTTCACCGCAACCTCCACCTCCCGGGTTCAAGAGATTCTCCTGCCTCAGCCTTCTGAATAGCTGGGATTATAGGCACCCACCAGCATGCCCAGCTAATTTTTTGTATTTTTAGTAGAAATGGGGTTTTGCCATATTGGCCAGGCTTGTCCTGAACTCTTGACCTCAAGTGATCCACCCACCTCGGCCTCCCAAAGTGCTGGGATTACAGGCGTGAACCACAGCACCTAGCCAGACCACATCCTTCTGAGTAAAAAGAGCTGTACTCTACCCTGAGAAGAAGCTTCAGAGGAGTGTTAAGAATAGGAATGACATGATGCAATGCACATGTCTAAGGGACTGGAGCAATCACCCCAAGGAAAGAGAAGGCAGAGCAACACAGAAGGGAGGCAGTGAGAGAGTTAGCAGAGCCACCAGGGCCCACTGTTCTGTCCTTTCACCTGTCCACAACTAGCAGCAGAACACTGGTCGTAGCTCCTCCCCTCCTGACATCCTGCCACCACCCTCTCCTGTGTTTCTCTTTCATCTCCACCCTTGATGCTCCTGCTTCAGAGCTTTCCCCTACAGTAGAATGTGGAGGGACAGTGGCTGGCTCCCCTTCTCTTTTCCTACTCCTCCTGCAAACACACGCGCGCCCCTACACACACACCTCTGTGAGAGTGCACACGCACAGTGATTTCAGATAACTGCATGGGTAGGGATGGCTGTACAGGTGCAAAGAAGCAGGTGGAAGAGCTCTGCCAGGCTAGAGCAAAGCGCGTGGGCCTGAGCTGAGTGAAGCCGGCTGTTAGGTAAGGCAGCGCTAGTTGGTAGTGGGTCTTGAAGCCTGAGACTAGAGGAGTTTTAATATGATTTGGGAGACAACTGGGAGCCTTTATGGGCAAGCAAAGAGGAGAGCGATGTGATCTAAGTGACGCTGGAGGAAGATGATTCTCGATGATGTGTGTCCAATAGAGGAGAGGAGACCCCCAGGCTGCAGGAAGGGGAGCTAATTGGGAGGCAGGAGTCCAGGTGTGAAGTGATTATGGCTCGGACCGGAGCTGTGGGAAGGCTAAGGAAGACAGAAGAAGAAACGGCAGGATTTAATGTTGAACTGAAAGTGCCTCTGGGGTTGTGCTGGGATGGGAGATGTGCTACAATTATGAGGAAATAAGATACTGGGAACTTGTTTAAGAGTAAATGGGAACTAGAAAAGGATTTGGGCCAGCGAGATAGGAAGAACAAAGGTAGGAAGGCAGGGTGCCATTACACGGGAGTTGGTGCTAGAGCCAAGAGAAACATTTAACAGCCCACCCGATACCATGCCTATGGGAAGCTGTTCCTCCCCTCCCCTCTTCTCCCACCTTGGATGGTCACTTTCTTCCATGTTTGTATCTGCTTCTATTCTCATATCAAGCACAAATGTGTGTTGTAATACGTCTTTGTCTGTCTATGCCTGCTACTAATCTGTGAGCTCCCTGAAGACAGAGGCCCTATTTTACTCCCTTTCTACTCCCAGGGCTTAGTTAGCACAGGGACCAGCCCTTGGCTAGCACTCATCACGTTTTGGTGAATGAGGAAATAAATGAATGGAAACTTTCCAGAGGTGTGCCGTTGAACCCCAGCCACCACACAACACTGTAAAACTTACAAATTTTGTGGCAGCTGCAGCATCCCTCAAACACTTGTGCAGATCAGGTTACAGCTGAGAGCCTCACAAAACCCCAGCCATTGCAGCAATTGACAGGTGGTCCTAGATGTAAGACTGGGATTGCCAGACAGGAGGCTGGAGTAGTTAAGATAGTGCTGGGGGGATTTGAGATCAAATTGCAGGGTTGTTTAAACACCTTAGGGTTACAAATGGGTTTTCACCCTTAAAATCCCATTTGCAAATATGTAGCCTTAAACTGTCCAAATAGTTATCTTAATGATGTTAAATCCCTGGGTTGGTAGAGGTCATAAGAAAGGCCTTGCATATTTTCATCCTGTTCCTTTCACTGAAATTACATTTGTGTTACAATGAAATGTGAAAACTGGAAAATACATAAAAACAAACCTTTCCCTACCACATGCTATGCCACCAGCCAATACCAACTAAATTTGCTAAACCTTCTAGATAACTACCATTTATTCAGCTTTTACTATGTGCCAATCACTGGGTTTTATACATCTTATAGTATAGCATTTAATATTCATAAGTGCATGAGATAGTCACTATTGCTCCCATTTTATAGATGAGCAATCTGAGGCTTAGGGAAGTTAAATTACTTGCCTACTGGGTGTGTGATATCATGAGCTCATCATTTGGTTGTGCAACCTTCCAGCTGACAACAAGAGAGACAAGCCTGGGAAGGACTGAGAGGCACGGCTGCAAAGATAGCTGGGAATTTGTCAGGAAATGATCACTAATGGGAACCATTGAGCAGCGCAGTCCTCCCAGAGAGCACGTGCAGAGGGAGAGAGAGTGCTCCAGACCGCAATTTAGAGTAGGACCCTGGGGAACACCTTGGGAAATAGAAGAGAAGACAGCATGGGGCCAAATGACTTTTCCAAGGAACAGTTGGGAGGTCCACTCGAAGATCACAAGAGTCCCTCTGCAGCCTCAGCACACTGGTAGCAGGGCCCCTAGCTTCTGCCTCTATTTCTTCCCACCTATCCTTTTCCTATCCATTCTATCCCAATGTATAAATGATTAGATTGGATGACAACAGTATTTTCAATTCTATCCATGGAAAGCAGCTTGTGATTTTAAAGGGAACATGGACTTTGGTGTTTGCTATACTTGGATTCAGATCCTAGCTCCATTCCTTGCTGGCAGTGTGGCCTTGGGGAGATACTCAGTCTTTTTGAAACTGCTTCCTTACTTACATCATGAGGTTAATGAACCTGCCTCACTAGCTTTACATTTGACAAGGGGATTTGTTAACAAATGTGAGGACTTCTGTTTTCAGAAATATGGCAGGCTAGATGTGCAGAAGCTGCTCCCGAGAAGTGACTCCCTAAGATCCTAGATGAAATGTAATAAGTACTTTTTAAAAGCATGGCTATTCTGGCAATAAAGTAAATAATTGAAGGTCAGAAGTGACAAAAAAGGAGAATTCCAAGAGATAAGCTAGTGATGAGTAACAAATTATCCTAAAACTTAGTCTATTAAAATGATAAACATTTATTATCTCCTAGTTTCTGTGGGTTGGAAATTTGGGAGCTGTTTGGTTGGGTGGTTTTGGCTCAGAGGCTGCAGTCAAGATATTGGCCATGGCTAAGATCATCTGAAGGCTTTCTGGGGCTGGAAGATGTGCTTCCCAGATGGCACACTCACATGGCTTTTGGCAGGAGGCCTCAGATCCATGCCAAGGTGCCTCTCTATAGAGCTGATTGAGTGTCCTGACACTTTAGTAACTGGCTTCCCCCAGGATAAGCAATCCAAGGAGAGCAAGGAGAAGGCCCATAGTGTCTTGAAAGTTGCGTACCATGACTTCCACTATTTTCTATTCATTAGAAACAAGTCATCAAGTTCAGCTCACACTCTAGGGGAGTGGAATTTAGTTTCCACTTTTTGAAGGGAGAAGTACTGGAGAATATGTAGATATATTTTAAAACCAGTACAGCTAACATTTTTCCCAAATCCAAGAATTATCCTGGTGGCCTAGAGTCACATTCAGAGGGGACTAGAGACAAAGCCTGGGGCTCTGAATAAAACATCACCCTTGAAGGGTTACACCCTCAGTAGGATAACCTGCCTCACAGAGCAACATTTGTCTGCCTGAACCTTTGCTTGGGGGATTCGGACACACATTTATGCTATCTCAATGGCCTAAAAACCCCAAATTAACCATGTGGTTAAAAATAACTCCAGGTTGATGAGGCCTCTCTTTGAAGAACACGGTGCTCAAAAAATTATTATAAATAAAATTTCAGGGAATATGAGATGATGAACAAAAATTGCTAAAAACATGATAAAATGAGCAACATGAACAAGAGACAACAAAACAAGAAAAGACAGGCTACCTCCACAGGAACCATGATCAAATTGGCTGCCGACTTCTCAGGATCAACCCTGGAAACCAGCTGACGATGTTACAATAAATGTAGAAGTGTTTATTTCAGATGTTCTTTAGTTGGAGCTTGGAGAAAGGCTGGAGTAAGTACAGTCAATCTAGAATCTGGACTCTAAATGAAAGCATAACGGGACTTCAGAAAAGTGTAAAATATGAAGGGATATAGCAGTGAAGGTGGTAAAAGGTCATTTATTTGCCTTCCAAGAAGCCAATGAAGCCCCAAGAATGGCACAAAAAGAGCAAAACTGCACTTTCTTTTGCCATTTTGATGGCAAAGGATGGTTTTGTCCATGTCCAGAGCACTTAGAAGCTTCCCACTACCCAAGGCCAACCAGGGCAACAGTAGTGAAACAATGAAGGGCAAACAATTGCCCTTTAGCATGTGACTTTTCACACAGCGCCTGCAGAAATTCAAATGATGGTTTTAAATTGAACTTTTCTAAAACTCAAAAGAGATATAGGTGATTTGTTTGATGGAAGCTGTTTTGTTGATTATAGTAAAGGTGAAAAGATCTTAGGAGACAACATAGTTCAAACTCCTAATTTTAAAGGCCAGGAAACTGATTCCCAGAGAGAAGAAGCAACTTGCTTATGGTGAGATTTACACAGACCAGAAACCAAGTTTCTGGTATGTCCTGCTGGATTACTTCCCCCATGAGACATAGGAGAGTTAAGTACCCAAATAAAAGCATTATCTCAGCCATGATCTCCAATGCAGTGATTTCTTGCTTCTTGCTCCTCACTCAAGTCCAGGCAGCTCAGGAGAATATCTTGGATGAGCCAGCGGGAGCATCCTGGAAGCCTGCTCTTGGTTGGAAAACCTTGGTCAGCTAGGACTAAGATCAGGACCACCTACCTACCCAGGATTCTACAGGAGTGATGAGGGAATCGGGTCTTATTTTTGTTATTTTTCAAGTTAATTATGTAAATGGGCATCTATTTAGTGCACTTGGCATTCAAATCAGATTTAATGGTAAGAGTGATTTGCTTCCCATACTGCTCAGTGAAGAGGAGATCATTTCCAATATCTTACAAGAGTTACAAAGTATTCACACAAACAGGACATTGTCTTTATTCCAAATCCCTTACATTTTCTTTACCTGGATTTGAAACTGTATGGAGCTAGACATGCCCTGTGTATACACCTCCCTATGTGTTTCATCCTAGAGTATGTGTTGAATGTAACCTTGATACACTCATATACCAAGAAAATGTTAGCTGTGCTGGTTAGATGTTGAATGTAACTTGATAAACTCCATACTCCCAGGTTTCACCTTCTCTGCCTGATTCTAGGAGACAGCCATTTTTTCACTAGGGAGCTAGACCCATGAAGCCACGAGACCTGGTAACTGAGGGTTGCATGACGCACAAAGCCCTGTCAGTTACCCTGATAAGTATCAGACATCATTTTGGAAGTTTCTCTAAGGCAGAATCCTCCACCCCACTTTGGGCTGCCCTCCAACTAACTGGAAAACTGCTTCATTTTGCTAATGATGACCTGGGTTTGGGTTTCTTATCATTTTTGTTTCCTGGAGGCCAGTAGCCACAGATATGAATCAAACAAGAAAAGAGGGCAAGTCAGGGTGGAATTTTCCCAGCCTCTGTTTTCCTTCCAAGTGCAGATTCCCTGACTGGGGTGTAGCAGCCTGCAGAAATTTTGACCTGAATGAAAGAGGAAACGTTGTGCTCAGAGGGACTGCATAGGTACTCTAGGAGAAGGTGCTCTATAATAACCACAAAGCCCTAAGTATAAGGGGCTTATTAAAGCTCATATCCTTTGAGGCAACCCTGGAACTGTTCTTTCCCAGCCCTTCTCTCATGTCCTCCCCCTTTCCCCTCTGGCAAGGACTTTCTGGGATAGAACATGCTCTGTTCTAGAAACTGGTCAGAGCTTCTTTTTCATTCTGAACATAGATTTGCATGGTTTAAAAAATAAATCCAAAAGAGTAAATTGGAATAGACCTTCCGGAGGGAAACTGCAATATGTATGAAATCCCAAAAAGCAGTTACATTTGGGGAAATTTATGCTGAAGAAACAATCAAGCTCATGCATAGAGGTCTAAGTGCAAGGATATTCATCTGGCCTTGTTCATGTGAAAGTAAAAACAATGGGATTCCAGAGTTTCTGCTGAGTGGGGTCAGGCAACACCTCTCCCACCTTATATGCACCTGCATCCACGAGTTTAAGAGGCTAAACACAAGTCTAATTGAAGAGCTGAAGAGCCTCTTGGGATAAAATACTTAAAACCATTTCTCTTTTTTTCTTTTTGAGGTTGAGATATAGGCATGCATGTCTGGTGAATGTGGCTCTGGTGAAAACCGGATGGGGGTAATCCTAAGGTGAATTCTTCAGAAAAGAGAAAGTAAGCCCCTCACTTAGCAACAGGGCCTCATCATTAGAAGGAAGCAGTGGTTCCAAATACAAAGTGTTAGCTAATACCAGCACTTGAATCAACCCCTCTACTAGAGAGACCAACTATTCAGATTTGCCTAGGATTGAGGAGTTTCCTGGGACATGGGACTTACGGTGCTAAAACCAGAAAAGTCCCAGCAAACTGGTCATTCTGCCCTCTACTAGGGAGGTGTGGGTGGCCACTCAGATAAAGTGGTTAAGTGAGAACTGATAGAGTGTATAACAACAGTGGACACATTGGGCAGCAGGCAAGCTCGCTGTGGGATCCTAGCTGAGCATAATGAAGACATCTTTTCCTTTTCACCTCATAGGGCTTATCACAGCAGAAGAGATTGCCAATTTTGAAATGCATTAGTGGACACATTTGGAATGGTGGATTTTCAGAACATGGTGATGAGGTCAGTAGTACAACAACAGGGGCACAGTGCCTGACCAGAGCATGTCCTGTGGAACTGTCCGGCTTGGGGATGCACTGCCTTGGTTCAGTTGGCTAGAGAAGCAAGCAACAGGAATGATCCACGGACACATGTAAGCACTTGGGGATTCTTGGAAATATTGAAGGAGGAAAATTCTGAAAATGATGGGAGTTGGGCCATTAGAGATATTAAATGTGGGGAACTAATGTTACTATATTTGCACTTATTTGCTAGTAATGCCTGGGTCACATTTATGAGAAAAAAAATTAAAACAACTGTTTGATAATAGGAAATTGATTAAATAAATTATGGTATTTATAGTCATTTGGGATGAAGATATAAATGGGTGTATACACACACACATACGTATATATATATGAGAGGGAGATGTAAAGATAATTACGATATTATTGAATGGAATAAAATTAGCATGTAAAATATGGCCCTATTTTATTACAGGATGTCTACATTTTTAAATTTAGATGCACGTATATGAATGCCCAAAAGAGTCCAGAAGATTAACAATTAAATAGACTCTGCATAGTGGAATTTTGGGGCACTTACATTTTTATTACTTTTTTATCTCTCAATTTCTCTAAAAGAGCATGGATAACTTACATGACACACAAACACACACATACACACTTAAACTACTGGCACGTGCCAGACAGCTGCAGCTTTCTAACACCCTTTCACAAAAAAGGCATCATATCTACAATTTTAAGATGTGTTCAAATTGAGCACTGACATTTTGAATAATATATTCAAGAAGAACAAATCACCTGTAGGCCTGAGCTAAGTAGTACATGTGTTTTGAGGCACTGGGCGGGGGGTGGGGGAAGCATATATCTCAATTTTCATGACCATCTAGGTTCAGAAATTGGCAAAGAAAGAAGTTAGAATTCCTTTTTCATTTTGTTGGCAAAAGTTTCTTCCATGCCTGAAATTGCATGACTACCAGGCCTGGTGATCTGGATAAGAAGAGGTGGCACTCTAGTCTGCATGGCATGCAAGGGAAGCCTAACAAGCTTGGCAAATAGTGAGTGGCTCTGGGAAGAGCATGGGTGGAGGTGGGGGTCCATGCGGGCTCTGCCTGGACAAAAGCCCTAATGTCTGTGATCTCAGAGCTTTGCAAAGCATGGACATGAGGCAGACCTTCCATATGTGCTTGTTACATTCATTAAACAACACCAACAACCACCAGATGCCACAAGCACTTTATTGTGTTCCCTATGCTAGGGACCTTGCATGACATTTTATGTATATACATGTATATATCACCTCTCTTTTTACCACACCTTTAAAATGGCATTACTCCCATTTTAAAGGTAGGAAAATTGAGACCCCCACCAACTAGGGGCTTAATAATTTAATCACCACTATGTGATCTGCTGATACTATGCAGTGACATTTATAATCCTAGATTTGCCAGCCTTTTATGTTCCTAGCCCAGAGAAGTAACCAAAGGAGGGTAGCCAAGTAGCTATTTTGAGAAAGGGCACGTGCAGGCACTCTCTATTAGGATGCTGTGCCCCTGCTCACTGATGGCTCAGACAGTGGAAATTAGAGGACCCAAAAGCTCCTCTGCTTGTCGTCTGCAGCATGTTTTTACTGTTGATGAGCAGAATTCAGAGAGCCTGAGAATTGCATACTTAACAGAAGCTCATCCAAACCTATTTGGTCTGGATAATGGGCTGGAAATCAAGCTCTTGCTGAGAGTTTCTGGTTCAATCAAGTCAGAAAATTACATGAATCTCAATTTTTAAAATACATATGTTTTATAATATGATTGAAAGAGTACCTTGGACTTGAGTTTTTAACCAGCTAGTCCCCATTTCTCCAACCCTTACCCAGCATCAAAAAATTCACAGGGATTTATCCTAGAAAATTTAATTGTATTCAAGCTGCCAAGAAAGGAATACTTGCTTAAGGTACTTGGTCCATCAGAGGGAATCAAAAACAGGCTGACTTTATAGAAATATAGGAATTTTTATGTAAAAGTATGCCCACTAAACTATTTATTTTAATCTTGTTTTATCTTTTTTATTGCAGCACTTTATTTTTCCTTACACAATGACATGTTGCTGGGGCCTAATGTCCTCACATAACAGTAGAAAACAAAAATTTGTTTTCATTTCTTAAAGAATCCAGAATTGTGTACAAAAACTTTCATAAATTAAAAGGATGAATACACTTACAGGGGCGAATGCAAACCACTTCTAACTCAAGGCAAGCCACCGTGTTCTGGCAGGAAAACATCAGGTAAGAAAGGAAACTGGGTCCTAAGGCTTGGATTTCTCCAACCCTCATAGATCGGAAAGACAGAAAGGACAACTGGTTCAGAAGTTTTGTCAGCCTCTAGAGAAATCCTGAAGCACTCCATTCTGACACATTAATACCTGCACAGATTGAGAGACTGCTGGTCACGCGGACTCACCAAGCCACAGACTTCTCCTTCAAAAGCATGTTTTCACCTCAGCCATGAAGTGACTGAGCCACATGTACTAAGGGTTTACATCAAAGATATGTACAGGGTGTTAAACAAATACCAAGGGAACAATTAACTTGAATACAAGGTCAAAATCAGCAACAAATTCTATAATCCAGTGCCAATATTAGATACAAGCTTCAAGGACCAATTTCTTTTCAAAAGCTTATTCCAATTTTGTGAGGTTAGCATGTGGTGTATACATTTGCCTGGGGCAAATTTATACTTCTGAATTAACTCATGCAGCAAATGCTATGCATCTGCTCACAGTCCATTTAGAAGCATTTGCAGTGGATGATGGAGGGGCCAGCTCATCACACTACTGCTTGCTGATCTGCGTCAGCTGGAGGGAGGACAGCGAGGCCAGGATAAAGCCACCAATCCATTCCGAGTACTTGCCCTCAAGGGGAGTGGTGATCCTGATCCTCATGGTGCTGGGCGCCAGGGCAGTGACCTCCTTCTGCATCCTGTGAGTGATGCCCAGGTATATGATAGTGTCACCAGACAGCACTGTGTTGGCAAACAGGTCCTTGCAGATGTTCACATTATACTTCATGATGTAGTTGAATGTGGTCTCATGGATGCTACAAGATTCCACGCCCAGGAAGGAGGGCTAGACACTGGAACTGTTCATTGCCAGTGGTGATTACCTGCTGTGTGGAAGCCCCTAGTTCTTCTCCAGGGAGGAGCTGGAGGCTGTGGTGGCCATCTTCTCTGGAAGTCCAGGGAGAGATAGCACAGCTTCTCCTTGATGTTGTGCATGATTTCTTGTTCGGCTATGGAGGTGAAGCTGTAGCCTTGCTCTGTGAGGGTATTTGTAGGGTAGTCAGGTCCCAGCTAGCCAGGTCAGATGCAGGGTGGCATGCAAGAGGGCACAGCCCTGGTAGAGGGGCACCATGTTGGTGACCCCATCACCAGAGTTCATCATGGTGCCAGTGGTGCTGCCAGAGGCGTGCAATAAGCACAACCTGGATAGCCACCTGCATGGCTGGGATGTTGAAAGTCTCCAACATGATCTGGGTCATCTTTTCACGAGTGGCCTAGTGGTTCAGGGAGGCCTTGGTCAGCAGAACCAGGAGCTCCCCAGAGGTGATGCGCAGCTTGTTGTAGAAGATGTGGAACTAGATCTTCTCCATTTCATTGTATTTGGTGATGATGTCATGCTCAATGTGGTGCTTCAGGGTCAGGCTTTCATGCTTGCTCTGGGCCTAGTCACCAATGTAGGAGTCCTGGCCCATGCCCATCATCATGCCCTGGTGTCAGGGGTGCCCAACGATGGAGGGGGAACATGGGTTGGGGGACGTTGTGTCCAGCAAAGCCAGCTTTGCACATGCTGGAGCCATTGTCAATGACCAGCCCATGATCTCTTCTTTCACTGCTTTGGCCAAGGAGCCAGGTGTCCCGGCTGGGAGAGAACGTGGAGCATGGGCCAGTCCATTGGTGACTGAGCCTATTAGAGTCTTTAAAAATACTGTTTGTAGAAACTACAAATTGCAAAACAGAAGCTGCTGAAAGCAAAACCCTTCCCCTCTTTTCCCTAAAAAAGAAGGAAGGAAGGAAGGAAGGAAGGAAGGGAGAGAGGGAGGGAGGGAGGGAGGGAGGGAATGAATGAATGAAGGAAGGAAGGAAGGAAGGAAGGAAGGAAGGAAGGAAGGAACGAAAGAAAGGAAACAAGAACATTAAGAATGTAGTCAACTGTGTAAGTAATGGCCCCTCTCATAACTCTAGATCATTTTTCTCCCTATCAAAGGTACTAAATTATGTGAAAAGCCATCTCATCTACTATATACAAAGGAAGAGGGAGCATAAAACAAAAGAGAAGATCATACTAGTAGTTCAAATTCCTTAAGTGATGAGGATTTCTGGAAATATCAGTAAACAGAATCATGTTCTCCAAAAGGCTGAGCTTTCAGTTCAAAAACCCTGTAAAAGTCTCTTTTGGATTACCTGGTGAAGAGCTGCAACTTGAGTTGGAGTCAGCAGCTGGGAAGCCATAAAGTTTTCAATCTAGGCATTTTCCATTTTTTATGGCCTAGTTGGTATCTCTAAGGAAATTTGCAAAATTACTTCTAGTCATTTAGTTTTCTGAATCTGCATGAACCACACTCATTTACTTAGGCCAATATGTCTTAGCTCATATTGTTCTCTCATTATTTTTTCTATTTTTTAAAATTAGCATTTACCTATAGGAAAGACAATGAGGTCTTCTTTTGCCCTGAATTCAAGTCCTTCAAGGCTCTCAGAGTGTTACAACAAGCAGAAATCTTAGCAATGAAGTTATTACAAACCCTTGATTTTACAGGAGAGGAAACTAGGGTCAGAGTAGGTGTGAGACTTATCTATAATGATTTTCTAAATGATTTTAGACTTATCTATAATGATTATCTAAAATGATTTTCTGTAAAACATAAATTAGCATGGGTGGTGGAAAATGACAGGTCTCTGAAGTTAAACAGACTGTATAAGAGTCCCAGCTCTACCTGTTGCCTTTGTGGCCTCAGGCATAACCACATAACCATAATCTCTATAATGTCATCCATAAAATGGGGATAATAAAATACATATTAGGGGTTGTGTGGACTGGCTTAGGACAGGCTTTCAATAAATGTCCATTTTCTTTTTTTAAAAGACAAGACACCAAAACAAGTAAAATATCCAGGAGATTAAGATGGACAAATTTCCCAATTTATTTTAGGCCACATGAAAATGAGGCAGGACTTCTATTCCTAGTTGATCTCTGTAATTCTCTTAATTTTCTAAAAACCCCGTATCTCCACAGGAGCTCCACAGGAGCTCCCTGAAAAAAATATATTTCCACTAATAGAAGAACCTAGGGTTCTTACACTTCCCTTTTGGTGCCTGGGAAGTGGGTTTCCCTCATGCTGTGAGAGTGCAAGGACTCCTCGACATTGGCCTATATTACTTAGGATGTTGCTCAAGATCCAGAGGATGGGCCCCTTCGAATTTGATGAGCTTCATATAGTAATCATCAGAAATCAGGCTGAGCACTTGGTATGGAATCAGGAAAATTAGCAGATGGATGGACTGGTGTGAATACGAAACATAGCCTGATTTTGGAAGTAAGGAAGAAGAAAAGGAAGATACTGGCAATAATTGCCCTGTAAACATCATTTCCAATCATATTCATATATATACACATCTCTAAGTAGCAGGAGAGTGATGATATCAGGAACAATAAGTGATGTAGGCTTCAAAGAAACAAATCATTCCTGCACAATAGCTTTTTTTGACAGAGTTATGAATAGATGAAGGGGAAATGCAAGAGATGTAATATATCTTATGTTGGTAAAGACGATATGTCTCAGGAAATTTTATTTGCAAAATTAGCTACAAGATCACAAAGAAAGTTTATTGATAAATTGCAAAGTTTCTGGTCGTAGGGAGCTGCAGAAATGGCTGTTGGGGATGCTCTTATTTAACACCTTCATCATTAATTTGGAAGAAGGAGTGAATCCCTCCCTGTGTTCATGAAAATTACAGTTTATACTAAATCAGGACGTGGTGTGAACACTGATTAGCCAGAGACTGACACAAAGGGGTCCCAAAAGGGGATAATTGGACAGACGCAAGAGCTAACTGAGGAAAGTGTCTTAAGGTGTGTTTTGATTTACCTTTCTTCACAGAGAACTGAGTTAGAATCTGACAGCAAAGCAGGGCCACACAGACTTGGAGGAAGAGGTGGACAATGGAAAAGAATCTGTTAGGTACAAACTCATGGGGACTAGTATTTGGCGGGGGCCCACCCTGTGCAAAGTTCTGCACTCAGACTTCCACAATCTGAGAGGGTGCTCAGAGGAGACTCAAAGAAGTTAAAAATCCCAGAATAGAAAAGAAACTCAAAATTTTTCATAATCCAACCATTCCCCAGTGATTATAATTTGACATAAATTTGACTCCCTTGACTTCTAGGAATGATATGGTTTGGCTGTGTCCTCACCCAAATCTCATCTTTAATTGTATCTCCCAGAATTCTCATGTGCTGTGGGAGGGACCCAGGGGGAGGTAATTAAATCATGGGGGCCAGTCTTTCCTGTGCTATTCTCATGATAGTGAATAAGTCTCATGAGATCTGACCGGTTTATCAGGGGTTTCGGCTTTTGCTTCTTCCTCATTCTCTCTTGCTGCCACCATGTAAGAAGTGCCTTTCACCCTCCTCCATGATTGTGAGACCTTCCCCAGCCACGTGGAACTGTAAGTCCAATTAAACCTTTTTCTTTTGTAAATTGCCCAGTCTCGGGTATGTCTTTATCAGCATTGTGAAAACAGACTAATACACCCAGTAAGTATAATTTGACATAAACTTAACTACTTCTAGGAGCTTGGATTCCATAGTAGCACAGAAATCCCACGGCAGATGATCAATTGTGTACTGAGATATGTCTGTATACAAACAACATATACAAAAATAACTTTTTTCAATCTTCGTAATTAATATGGGGGAAATGAAGCAAGGTTCTAAATGAACTGTGGCAGGTAGCTCAAGAGAGAGATGGTGGAAGGTGTTCTTGTGACACAATTTGCAGCCACATTTGATTGAGAGAGTTCGTGAATCACATCAGAAGAGGCTAGCTGATGATTTGCTGTTGTACTCAAGTCCCACAGGATTTTGAAAACAAATCAAGAGAGAGCAGGTTTGTTTGTGATAGTGAAGAATGTGAAAGAGCAGTGGACTTGGAGATAGTTCTGGCTGTTCCTCTGACCAAGCCAATTCGGGAAAGTCACTTCCCATCCTGGACATTGATGATCTCATCTTTAAAATGAGAAAGGTGGGCTAGTCTAGGATTCATGAACTCAAATTTCTTCAGGGTCCAGATAAATAATGTAAACATGTAAAGTTTCCACAGGTAGTGGTAGGTCTTGTAGGAATTGGAGAGTTATCACACCAATTTTGGGAATTCAAAACTTGGAAAGCTTTGTACTGTTTAAATAAAACATCTCTGTTCACGGATGATATGGTTTGCCTGTGTACCCACCCAAATCTCATCTTGAATTGTAGCTCCCACAACTCCCGCGTGTCATGGTAATTACCTCCCAGTAATTGAATCATGGGGGCAGGTCTTTCCCATGCTGTTCTCATGATAGTGAATAAGTCTCATGAGATCTTATGGTTTTATAAAGGGGAGTTCCCCTACACAAGTCCACTCTTCCCTGCCACCATGTAAGATGTGACCTGGCTCCTCATTCGCCTTCCACTGTGATTGTGAGGCCTCCCCAGCCACGTGGAACTGTGAGTCAATTAAGCCTCTTTCCTTTATAAATTACCCAGTCTTGGGTATGTCTTTATTAGCAGTGTGAGAACAAACTAATACAGTAGGCAAGATCATTATTCCATTATATTATTGTATTCCCAAGGAGATGAAGGGAAGAGAAAGTGGGAGTGGGTACAGAAAAACAGAGAGTGATGGAGAAAGCAGTATCCAAGGTTCAGGAATGAATCCCAGAACCCAAGTTTAGTCTGTTCCAAAGAGCTGAGAGTCAGAAACTTGGAAAAGCAGAGATACCAGACACTGCAGAACTTTATACCAGTGCTGTGCAGTAGAAACGACATGTGAGCCACAAATGTAATTTTAAATTTTTCAGAAGTCACATTTTAAAAGTAAAAAGAAACAGGTAAAGTAATTTAATGCTATATTGTATTTAATCCAATATATTAAAAAATTTATTTCAAACACAATTAATTTGCATATGTCAATAAAACAGTTTACGTTTTTTTGTTCTAAGCCTTTAAAATCTGATATGTATTTTACACATACAGCACATCTCCGTTTTGGACTAGCCACACTTAAAATGCTTTATAGCCCCACATAGGTAGTGGCTATAGTATTGCACAGTGCAAGTCTAGAAGGATCAGAAGAGAGAAAGGGAGGTGACCCACAGGCTAATACAAACATCCATGGTTTGGAAGTCAGGTGTGTCAGAGAAGTACCAGGAAATGTGTTATTGGGAAAGATAGCAAAACCTACTGTATTTATTTTTAAAACTTATTTTTAAATTTATATATGGTAAAATCCACTCTTTATGGTATACAGTTCTACAGATTTTGACAAATGCAGAGTCACGTGGTAGATACATCACTCAGAATAATCGACACAAAACAGCTTCATAACACCAAAATATTCCCTCCTGCTGCTCCTTTGCAGTCAAACCCTCCCACAACTCCTAATTCCTAGCAACTACTGATCTGTTCTTTATGAGATAGCTTTGCCTTGTTCAGAATGTCATATAAGTGTAATCATACAATATGTAATTATTGGGTCTTTCTTTCACTTAGCAAAATGCATTTGTGATTCATCAGTATTGTATGACTCATAGTTTATTTATTATTGTTGTAGGTAGTATTCCATTGTATGGATAGACTACAGTTTGTTTATGGACATTTGAATAGTTTTCAGCTCTTTTATAAAACCAAGTTTATAAATTTATTCTTTTTTTATAGATAGTGCTTTTGGTTTCTTATCTAAGAACTTTTTGCATAACAAGATCACAAAAATTTTCTCTTTTTTAAAAAACAAATTGTATAGAGGTGGGTCTATGATACATGTTAAGTTTCATAAAAGGTGTAAGGTATGGGTCATTTTTTTTTCATATGGACATCCAGCCCCATCCAATACCCTGAACTGTCCTTCTACTTTTGTTAAAAATCAGTTGCCACATGTTTATGCGTCTACTTCTGAAATCTTTAGTCTGTTCCGTTGATCTATATGCTCATCCTTTTACCAATAATTTACTGTTTGGATTACTATAGCTTTATAGTAAGTGTTGAAATCAGCTAGTGTGAGACCTGTAACTTTGTTCTTTTTCTAAATTGTTTTGAGTATTTTAGTTCCTTTCCTATTTTATATAAATATTACAAATAGCTTATCGATATCAATAAAAGATTCTCCTAGGATTTTCATTGGGATTTCTTTGAATCTCTAGATCAGTTTGGGGCAGAATTCCCATGTTAGCAATATTTAGCCAATCCAAAAACAGAATCTATCTGTCCATTTCTTTAAATCTTCTTTGATTTTTTTAAAATTTTTTAAAAATTTTTTAAAAATTTTTTTAAAAAATAAGTTTTGTGCTTTTTGAGACACAGATCCTGCACTTGGTGCTATTATTAATGATATTGCTCTTTTTAAAATATGAAACTCTGATTTTTAATTATTTATATATAAAAATACAATTAATTTTTACATAATGATCCTGTACATTGAAGTCTTGCTAAACTGACTTATTTGTTCTAGAACTTCTTTTGGAGACTATTTGGGATTTTATATATAGACAATTATGTCATCTGTGAATAGTGCATTTTATCTCTTTATTTCTAATTCATTTGCCTTCTATTTTTTTCTTTATTGTCTTGTTGTCCTAGCTAGGACTTCTAGTATGATGCTGACTAGGAATAGAAAGAGAGAAAATTCCTACCTTGTTGCCGATCTTAGGAGGAAAACATTCAGTTTTCATACATGTTGTTAGCTGTAGGCTCCTAGTAGATGCCTTTTATATTGTTAAGAAAGTTTCCAGCAATTCCAAGTTTGCTGGGAATTTTAAATCACAAATAGATGTTGAATTTTGTCAAAAAAGTTAATTTATTTTGAGAATCAAATAATTATTTTGCTTTCAATACTTACTCTGCTATCTTTTAGAAGATTTTAAAGTAAGAAAATATAAATTTATTCCATTCCACAGCTCTCAGTTTTTATATATCCAAGTTTTGTCTAATACCATATTCCTTCTGCCTGAAAACCTTTAGAAAATTACTTCAGGGTAGATAAGCCAGTAAAAAATAATATATTTTTGTTTGTCAAATAAAATCTTTATTTCTCTTTCATTTTTAAGTGATATTTTTCCAGGTGTAGAATTCTAGGTTGACTTATTTTTTTTCTTTCAGTTCTTTTATCACTCCAATACCTTTTGGTTTATACAATTTCTGATAATAAGTTGGCTGTAATTCTTGTCTTTGTTTTTATATGAAATTTTGTTTTTGTTTCTCTCTCTCTGCTGCTTGTAATGTTTCCTTTTTTTTAACCCTTTGGTTTTGAGCAGTGTAGATATGATGTGGCTAGGTGTGTGGTATTTATCTTGCTTAGTCTTCTCCAAACTTCTTAAATCTGTGATTTCATACCTGTCGTTAATTTTAGAAAAATTTCAGCTATTATTTCTTCTCTTCGTTTCTCTCTTTCTAGAACTCTAAGTACATACATGATAAATCATTTGACATTTTCTGACAGCTCTTAGGTGCTCTGTTCTTTTTTTTCCCCCCTATTAGTTTTCCTCTTTGTGTTTCAGTTTTGGTAATTAATATATCTTTTGGCTATTTACCTATCTTCAAGTTCACTGATCCTTTTCTCAGCTGTTTTGAGTCTACTGATGAGGCTATTGAAGGCATTCTTTATCTATTATTGTGGATTTATCATCTTAAGCATTTCCATGTAACTTTTGCTTTTAGGTTCCTTCCTTTGCTAAAATTACCCATCTGGTCTTGAATATTGCCCCCCCCCCCTTTCTTTTTAGAAACTTTAACTTATTAATCATAGTTATTTTAATTCCTGTCTGAAAGTTCCAACATCTGTGTCATATCTGAGTCTGGTTCTGTTGTTTACTTTGTCTCTTTGCAGTATGTTGTTTTTAGTTACCTTTTCACCTGCCTCATACTTTTTTGCTGAAAGCTGGACATTTTGTACAGAATAGCAGAGAGTGAGATAAATAGTTTTATGTCTAAAAATGGGTGTATCTTTCCTAGGCCTTTAATGCGGAGTTTTAAATTAATCTAGTCTGAGTTGAGCTGCGTTTAGGGTTTGTTGTTGCTATGGCTACTCACAGTGCACCACAGGCTTCAAATTCCTCTAGTAATGACTTGTGCTAAGGGTGGGGGCTGGATCAACATAGAGTTTTTCTCAATGTCTGCTTCAACCTTAGCATTAGGTCATCCCTATTTGCTGTATGTCAGAGAGGGTCTCCTTCCACATTCCTGCAATCCTCTAAGAAGAGCCGCACCATTCCTTAATATGTGTTAGCCTGATGATGATGACAGCAGTATTCTTGGTGGTTCAAACAATGTGTCAGACTTAGGTAATCACTGTGCCCCCGAGTCTCACGGGCTTTCACTGCTTTCTCAAAGCTTCTGCGCCTCCCCCAAGTTTAGAAGGTTGATTTTTTTTTCCCATCCCCAGTGGGTTTTTTCAAGGATACCTAAAGTGTTTGCTGCCCTTCTTCCCACAGTATAAGACTGTTGTTCCATAGGTGAGGTAGGGGAAAGGGATCAGGAAGAAGGGGATCCTCCCTTTCCCATAGCCTTGCCATTCACCTCCTGCAAGCATGGCCTTCAAGGGATGCTTTCTCAAGACTGTCACCATTATTTTTGTGTGCAAGTACTTGGTAAGGTTAGTGGAAAAGTGGGTGAAAAACCCCCTTATATCTGTAGCCCTGGAGGTTCTATGTTCTCTCCATTATTAAACTACATACAAATTTTACTAACCTATGCTCAGTTTTTACCAATTTGTTAACAAATTTAGCTAATTTATTCTTACAAGTGTTCAGCTTCATACGTCCTAGGTAAGAAAATGTTCTCACCTCATCTCGTCTCACAGGCAACTATCATTCCTTGGCTCTCCGACAGGGTAAATGAAAGTTGTAGATTTGGTGGGGGGGGGGGGGTTGTTTGTTTGTTTTTCTTTTGGTGTGTTGTTGTTGTTGTTGTTTTTGTAAGTGTACGAGTGATGCTCTTTCCAACTTCATGCATCTCCAGTGGGATAAGAAGTCTCCCTCTTCACTTAGGATGAGACAACAATCAGTCTCATCTGTATTTGAGACTGGATCCCTTTCTGTCTTTCCATGTGTTTATCTTTTCTTTGATAGCATTTACAGGGATTTGGAATTAAAGGTCCTGAAGGAGAACAGAAAAATATACTTTTGTTGAGGGTAAAATGATGCTACCTTCCCTGTTGGTTGGAATCTTTTGACATTTGCTATAGAGTCTATTTTGTATATTTTCCATTATTCTCCTTACCAAGTCAATAAAATCTTCAGAGATTCTCTTATGTTGAGAGAGTCTGAATTACATCATTACAAATTTATTTACCATTGATAACACTTCACAGGAGCTTTTCTAAATCACATTTCCCATTTCAAAAGTATAAAGCCAACAGGCTATTCTGTTATTTCAAGAAAGAAATCATTCAATTAGTAGTATGTCAGATGAAAGGGACACTTTGAATTGTGGCATTATTCTGAACGTATGAAAAGCAAAGTCTGCACCTGTCATAACTATGGGATGAGACATGAATATTCTGTACATTTCTGATTAATCAAAATCCATGCAAAAATATCAGTCAGATCAGAAGAGTCAGAACTGATTAGACCACATTTAGCTTATCTGTATTGTCCGGGTATCACACAGATTAGAATAGAACCCAATGTGATAGTGTGGGAACAAAAGACTTATCAACCTGACACTATTTTCAACAGAGAAACAAACTGGATCTTGCAAACCAATTCTGATTAACTCAATCTGACTCTGCCTTGAAAAACATAATGGTATTTTTATGATTTTAATATGGTTATCAGCACAGCCCTTCTGAGTTATCTAGACACATAATCTTCAGGTAGTGGAAATAACATCTTCAATTTGAAAATAACATGGACTGCAGTATGCCAGCCACATAAAGAGACCACAGGGCAAACTTATTTCTGGTGTGATTAAAAGCTCACTTGAAAGGACCTCTTTGCATGTGGAACTTTTCTGGGCAAAGGATAGAGGGCTTCTTTGTCTTCAAAGAGCTTCAAAAGATATACAGAAAAAAAGCATGTGCAAACTAGGAAATCAGATGTGTGAGGTAAGGAAGTATTAACATTGTACACTCAGATGATACCTAGCATCTCGAGCCTCTTCTCCTTGGCTTCTTCCTTTCAGAAAAATCCATTTAGATAGAAGGGGGAAGAACAAGACCTGACCTGATTTCTTGCGTTGCTATTGTCCTTAGGGAAGCAAAAGGCTTTGAAATATTGGGTGTTCATAGCTGGTGGAGGAGGATGCAGAAATGGGGACAGCTGCAGGGGAAGATCCCCTAGTCTGGTTGTAGAGGGCACTGTGGTGGGCAGATGTGGCCGTGCACACTCAACCTGACTAAAATGCATTGTGGAAACAGCTTCTTTGTCATGCTTTTTACTGTCATATCACCCACTTGAAGATTAAACCTCATACACTTCTGAGATCAGGAAGGAAAGTTGAACACACACAAGCATGCTACTGCTTTTCTCCTCCATTTTCTCTCTCTCCTAAAATTCAGTTCCATTTGGCTCCTACAGCCCATTCCTCACAGAGCTGGCAGCCTCCCTCCCTCCAACAATGCACATCAGCATTTCTGATAGAAGCACCTGTGAATCTTCCCACCCTGGTTAGCAGAGGGTGAGGTGGTGAGCTGTTCAGTAGGGCGGTCTGTATGCTTTAAAAAAAAAAAAAATCCATCCCTGCCAAAAGCTATCAGTTACTTCAATAAAAACAATTCTCTCTTTTGTTTTTAAGAAGACAATAGATTTGGGGACAACACAAATTTTAAAAATCCACAGTTTGTTCCATTCAAAGCCTATTAGCAAACAGAGCAACATAGGGGCTTTTTTTCAGGCTTCCATAACATCAGTATCACAATAGCTTTTCCAAAGCTAGCCAAGTTGAAATATTCTCACCTGGTATGTCTTCTGTTTTTAGTTAATTAAACCCCTCTCATTTCTCGATTTACTTTTTTAAATATCCACAAACATCATGCATTGGCAAGCAATGGAAAGAAGTGTGTGGTGTTATTGCATTTACAAAGTAGGGCCAATGCTTCTCATTTGAAGCTCATTGATCACTTCTCTATTTGAATTGGCTGTGAAATTTCACTTGATAAACCCACTGGTAGAATTTTTTTTAAGCTAAGATATTTTAGAGTCAAACTTACCACAAATTATTTGGATAAGAGATCCATTTTAAAAATAATTTATCTAATTACAAGCTGAAAAATCAACACTTAGATTCTTAAGGGAAGTGAGGTCAAACTACTCCCCACAAACTGGAAAGACAGGCAAGTACAGATAATCACAACTTATGGGAGCAGAAAACCCATCAGGAACCAGTGCCAGGGTAGGAAATCCTTAACTGTAATTGATGAATTGCTGGAAGCTCAGTGTGGACAAGTCTGAGAGTTAAAAACTCCAGGGGAACCAAGTAATCAGGGGCCCCCACGCCTTTATAAGTTTTATTTCCTGGAGCTCTACCAGATGAGAACACAGTTAATATTAGAGAAAAATCCCCTCATGCTTCCAGCAGAGGGAAAAGGAACCATTGTGAAATATACCGGAGTATTCTGTTCTTCTTAACAGTCTGTCCTCAAGCTATTTAACCAGAGTTTAACATGCTTTGGTTTTATCAAATTCTACTGGGCCTCAGAGAAGGGAAGCATTCAACTCCAGCCCACTCTAGCCATCTATGTGAAAGAAGCAAAATATCCAACTCCAGCCCTCTCTAGCAATTCTATCCCATCTAAGTGGGGGTGGGGGTAGGGAGGAAGACTAAGAAGCACTTGTAAAGTTTACAGTCCAAAGGCAATCTTACAAAAAGACTGAAACCTAATAATAGAACTCCCTTCTCCAAAACCTTACCACTACATTACTAAAGGCCCATTTTTACAGTAATTTTTTTTAAATCCTGTACATCATGTCTTGTTATCAAGAAAAACTTATAAGGCATACTAAAGAACGAACAAACAAAAAACAGTTTGGAGAGAGAGAGAGTGAGCATTCAGAATCAAATTCAGATATGGCAAGAATGTTGGCAATTATCATATTGGTAATTAAAAACAACGATGATTAATACACTAAGGACTTGCTATGGTTTGCATGTCCCCTCCTAAACTCATGTTGAAATTTAATTGCCATTGTCATGGCATTAAGAGGTGGGACCTTTAAAAGGTGATTAGGCCAGGAGGGCTCTGCCTTCATGAATGGATTAATGCCATTATCATGGGAGTGTATTAGTTATTACAGGAGTGGGCTTCTGGTAAAAGGTTACATTTGGCCCCCATTTTCTCTCTGTCTCACGTGCTTACTTGCCTTCCTGCCACAAGATGATGCAACAAGAAGGCCCCTGCAGATGGCCAACACCATCCCCTTGTACTTCCCAACCTCTAGAACTATAAGCCAAATAAAACTCTTTTATTTGTAAATTACCTAGTCTGTGGTCTTCTGATATAGCAGCAGAAAATGGACTAAAATAGAAAATTGGCACCAAGAAGTAAGACTGTTGCTGTAACAAATACCTAAAAGTGAGGACGCAGCTTTGGAACTGGGTAATGGGTAGCGGCTGGAAGAATTTGGAGGAGCAGTTTATAGAATGCCTCTATTGCAGTAAATGGAGCATTAAAGGTGATTCTGATGAGGGCTTCAAAGGAGATTTGTGAGAAAAGTGAAATTTGTTAGAGATTAGTTAAGTGGTCATGATCAGAATGTTGGTGGAAATGTGGATAATAAAGACCATTCTGATAAGATCTCAGATGGAAATAAGGAACAAGGTATTGCAAACTAGAATAAAAGCCATCCTTGTTACATAGTTGAAGAGAACTTGGAAGAAGTATATCCATGTCCTAGGACTTTATGGAATGCAGAACTTAAGAATGGTGAACTACAACACCTGGTGGAAAAAATATCTAAACAGCAAAGCATTCAGGCTGTTGTGTGGCTACTTTTAACCACATACAGTGAGATGCAAGACAAATGACTTAAAGATGGAATTTATAATTAAAAGGGAAGCAGAGCAGAAAGATGTGGGAAATTCATAGGCTGGCCATGTTAAGAGGGAAAAGGTGTGTTTAGCAGAGCAAATTAAGGGTGTAGCCAAGCAATAACTTGCTAAAGAGATTAATCCAGAACTTAAAGTATAATAGTATAAAAAAGAAATAAAGCAATTTAACTGTCAAAAAATAAAAATGTCTACCTACCCTTCCACACACACACACACAAATAATATGAATAGGAGGAAATTACATGCTGTTCATCAAGACAATGGGGGAAATACCCTGAAGGCGTTTCAAAGATCTCAAAGGCTGCTTTTCCTCATCACCGGTCCAGAGTTCTAGGAAGGCAGAAAGGAATGAGAAAAGAAGCCGAGGGCACTCTCTAGGGATTCATCGCTGAAAGTTGCCTCTGGACACTGCTCCCTGCATTCCAGCGTAGCACTCTTTGGCCACCCCAGTCATGTATCAAGTGGGCCCAGGTGTGATTCAGGCCACTACTCTGGAGGGTACAAGCAATAAGCCATAGCAGCATTCACATGATGCTGACTCTGTAGGCATCCACAGTCCACAAACTGTGGAGGCATGGCTTATCATACCTAGATTTCAAAGCATGTATTGGACAACTTGGGGCCTAGGCAGGAAATTCCCGCAGGAAATTCCCACAGGAAGCTGCCATAAAGAACCCCTAGTAAGGTAACTCCTGGTAGAGCCATGGGAGTGAGACCACCACCAAAACCCCAGAACTGTAGAGCTACCAGTGTGCAACTCCAGCCTGGGAGAGCTGCAGAGAAGAGACTCCAACTCAAGAAAGTTAAAGCACATGGGCTGAGCCCAGCAAAACTTATGATGTGGGACTGCTCAAGGCTTTAGGGGTCTAACTCTCCTAATGTGCCCAGGATCCATGACAGGGAGTCAAAGGAGATTATTAACCGACTTTAAGATTTACTGTTCACGCTGTTGTGTTTTGGACTTACTTGGGACCTGTTACTCCTTTCTTTTTTCCTGTTGCTCCCTTTTGAAATGTGCATGTGTATCCTATGCCTGTTCCACCATTGTATTTTGGAAGTAGATAACTTGTTTGGATTTCACAGGCTCAGAGCTGGAGGGAATTTGCCTCAGGATAAATCCTGCTTTGAGTCTGATCTATATCTGATTTGGATGAGACTCTGTACTTTTGACTTTTGAGTTGATGATGGAACCAGTTAAGACATGGGAAGCTATTGGTATGGAATAAATGCATTTTTGTATATTAGAAGAACGTGAATTTTGGAGGGGCCAGGAGTGTAATACTGTGGTTTATATGTCCTCGACAAAACTTATGTTGAAATTTAATTGCCATTGTGATGGTATTAAGAGGTGGGATGCTTAAATGGTGATTGGACCATAAGGACATGGGTTGATGCCATTATCATGGGAGTGAGTGAGTTATCATAGAAGTGGGCTCCTGATAAAAAGATAAATTTGACCTCCATTTTCTTTCTGTCTTACATTCTCTCTTGCCTTTCCACTTTTTTTAATGGGATGATGCAACAAGAAGGCTCCCACCAGATGACCAAGCAAATGCTGGGGCCATGTCCTTGGACTTTCCAGCCTCCAGACCCATGAGCCAACTAAATATCTTATCTTTATAAATTAGCCAGTCTGTGGCCTTCTGTTATAGCAACGAAAATGGACTATGACAGGGATTGAATGAATAAAGTAGACCCCATGAAAGAACAGATGGGCAAGGTAGGCAGAGATGGAAGTTCTAAGAAAGAGCCAAAAAGAAATATTAGAGATCAAAAACACTGTGACAGAAATAAAAAAAAAAAAAGCCTTTGGTGGTCTTATTAGTAGACTAGACATGGCTAAAGAAAGAATCTCTGAGCATGTTGATATCTCAATAGAAGCCTCCCAAACTGAAAAGCAAAGAAGAAAAACAATGAAAGGAAAAAAACAGACTATCCAAGAACTGTGGGACAACTCTAAACAGTGTAACATGGCAATGAGGATACCAGGAAAAGGAAGAAAAAAAGAATAGAAGAAATACTTTGAAAAAATGATGACTGAGAATTTCCCTCAAATTAATGTCAATTGCCACACAACAGCTCCAGGAAACTCAGAGAACACCAAGCAGGATAAATGTCAAGAAAAACTACATCTGGGAATATCTTTTTTAAACTATAGAAAATCAAAGGTAAAGGAAAACTGAAAAAAAAAGCCAGAGAAAATAAATACCTTACCTATGGGGAAGCAAAGATAAGAATTACATCTGATTTCTCCTGAGAAACCATGCAAGCAAAAAGAGAGTAGAGTGAAATATTTAAAGTTTTCACAGAAAAAAGATACCACCTTAGAATTCTGTACTCTGTGAAATTACTCTTCAACAGAGAAAGAAAAATAAAGATGTTTTAGACAAACAAAAATTGAGAGAATTTATTGTCTGTAGACATGCCTTGAAAGAAATGTTAAAAGACTTTCTTTAGAAAGAAGGAAAATTATTTAGTTTAAAAACTCAGATCCAAATAAAGAAAGAAAGAGCATCAGAGAAGAGATAAGTGGAGGTAAAGTAAAAACATTATTTTTCTTATTCCTAATTGATATAATAGATAACACATTGCTCAAAATAATGATAGTAACAACACATTTGTTTAGGTATGTTTATGTGTGTATAAATATATTTATGTATGTTTATGTATAAGTAAAATGAATGACAGCAATAATACAAGAAATGGGAGGGATGAATGAGAATTATTTTGATGTTATAATGTATTCACACTACCTGTGAAGTGGTATGGTGTTTTCTGAATGTGGACTTAGATTAGTTATAAGCCTATATTGCAAACTCTAGGATGACCACCAAAAATGAGTAAAAAGGGAAGTGTAACTGAAATGCTAAAAAGGGAAAGAAAATTGAATCATATAAAAATGCTTAACTAAAATGATAAAAAGAGTGAAAGAATAGGAACAAAGAACAAGGGCGACACATAGAAAACAGTAACAAATATGGTATGTATTAATCCAACTATATAGCCACTTCAAACATGAATGCTAAATGCACTCATTAATGGAGATTGTCTGAGTGACTCAAAAAACCATACCCACTTTTATGTTGTCTAAAAGAAACCCTCCTTAAATATAGAGACACAAATAAATTAAAAGTAAATGACTAGAAAAAGATATACTATGTTAACACAAATTGAAAGAAAGTTAGAGTACCTATATTAATTTTAGACAGAGCAGACTTCAGAGCATGGAAATTTATCAGGCATAAAGATGGGCATTACATCATCATAAAGGCATCAAATCTCCAAAGAGACATAATAATCTTTAATGTGTATGCACCTAGCAACAGAGGGTCAAAATATGTGAGGCTAGAACTACAAGAAGGAATAGATAAATCCACTATAATAGTTGGAGACTTGAACACCCCTATATCACAAATAGACAGATACAGCAGGCAGAAAATCAGTAATGACTTAGTTTAACTCAATAACACCACCAATCAACTGGATATAATTGGTATCTGTAGACTACTTTATTCTACAACAGTAGAATACACATTCTTCTCACATGGAACACTTACTAAGATAGTCCACATTCTGGGCATAAAATACACCTTCATATAATGTCTTCTCTCAAACCACAATGGAATTAAACCAGAAACCAATAACTGAAAGATAGCTGGAAAATCCCCAAATACTTGGAGATTAAACAGCACACTTCTAAGTAACACATGGATTAAAGAAGAAATCTCAAGAGAAATTAAAACATTTTGAATTAAATGAAAATTTTAAAACTACTTATCAAAATGTGTAGGATGTAGCAAAAGCAGTGCTTGAAGGGAAATTTAGAACACTGAATTCATGTATCAGGAAATAAGAAAAATTTAAAACCAGTAATTTAAGCTTCCTTAGGAAACTTTAAAAGGAAGATCAAATTAAATCCAAAATAAACAAAAAAAGAAGTAATAAAAATGAGAGCACACATCAATTAATTTGGAAACAGGGACTCAATAGATAAAATCAACAAAATTATAGGCTGTTTCTTTGAAAAAAATAATAAAATTGATAAGTTTTGAGCCAGGCTAAGAAAAAAGAGAAAGGACACAAATTACTAGTATCAGAAACAAAAGAGAGAACATCACTACAAATCCCACTGACAGTAAAAGAGTAATAAGAGAATACTATGAACAACTCTATGGTTATAAATTTGATAATCTAGGTGAAATGAACCAATCCTTAAAAGACACAATCTTCCAAAACCTACACAAGAAGAAATAAGCAATTTGAATATGCCTATCTATAGAAAAGAAATTGAATCAATAATTCATAACTTTCCAAAATAGAAAGCACCATGCCCATGTGGATTCACAGGTGACTTCTAACAAATATTTAAGGAAAAAATACCAATGATCTATAATTTATTTCAGAAGCAGAGCAGAGGAAATATCTCCTAGCTCTCTATGAAGCTAGTATTACTTTAATACCAAAACCAGGCAGACGTTACAAGAAAAAAAGAAAAACAAACAAGAAAAAAACTACAGACCAATATCTCTTATGAGCACAGATGCAAAATATTAACAAAATAAATCCAACATAAAAAGAATTATACAACACACCAAGTATAATTTATTCCAGCTATGCAAAGCTAATCCAACATTTGAAAATCAATTGATGTAATCTATTACACAACAGGCTAAAGAAGAAAAATCACATAATCTTATCAATAGATGCAGAAAAAGCATTTGACAAAATCCATCACCCATTCATGGTAAAAACTCTCAGTAAATTAGAAATAGAGGGGAACTTCCTGGTAAGGAATACCTACAAAAAACCCCACAGCTAACATCATATTTAATCGTGAGAAACTAGAACCTTCCCTACTAAGATTAGGAACCAGTAAGGATATCCTCTTTGCTATAGTTTGGATGTTTGCCCCTCTAAACCTCATGTTGAAATTATCCCAGTGTTGGAGGTGGGGCCTAGGGGGAGGTGTTTTGGTCATGGGGGCGGGTCCTTCATGAGATGGATTAATGTCATCACCCTGGGGAAGGAAGCAGTGAATGAATTCTCATGCTATTAGATCCCATGAGAACTGGTTGTTAAAAGAAGCCTTGCACCTACCTTCTGTTTCTTGCTTCCTCTCATGTCATGTGACCTCTGCACATGCGAGCTTCCATTCATCTTCTGCCATGAGAGGAAAAAGTCTGAGGCCCTCACCAGATGCAGATGCCAGTGCCATGCTTCCTGTACAGCCTGCAGAACCATAAGCAAAATAAACTTGTTTTCTTTATAAATTACCTAGTCTCAGATATTGCTTTATAGCAACACAAATGAACTAAGTCATTCTCTCACCACTCCTTTGCAACATTCTATTGGAAAATTTAGCTACTGAATTAGACAAGAAAATAAAAGCCATGCTGATTAGGAAGAAAAAAATAAAACTATCTTTGTTCATAGATGACATCATTATCTAAACAGAAAATCTGAAAAAAAGACCAATAAAACCTCCTGCAAATAAGTAATCATATCAGGATACATGATTAATATACAAAACTCAATTGCTTTCTCTATATACCAACAATGAACAAGTGGAATTTGAAATTGAACACACAATATCATTTACATTAGCACCCCCCAAATAGAATCTAAATCTAAATCTAACAAAATGCCTATGGTATTTATACGAGGAAAACTACAAAACTCTAATGAAAGAAATCAAATAAGAACTAAAGAAATTGAGAGATATTCCATGTTCATGGATAGAAAAACTCAATATTGTCAGGACATTGGTTCTTCCCAATTTGATCTATAAATTCAATGCAATTGTAATAAAAATCCCAGGAATTTATTTTGTGAATATTGACAAACTGATTCTAAAGTTTATATGGAGAGACAAAAGACCCAGAACAGCCAACACAATATTGAGGAGAAGAACAAAGTTGAAGGAATGACACTATCCAACTTCAAGATTTAATATAAAGCTATAGTAATCAAGACAGTATGGTACTGGCAAAAAAGAAATGACAAATAGATCAATGGAACAGAATTGGGAGCCCAGAAATAGACCTAAATATAGCCTATTAATCTTTGACAAGGGAGCATTTTACGGACAAAGGCAATATAATGGAGGTTAGTCTTTTCGACAAATGGTGCTGAAATGACTGGAAATCCACATTCAAAAAAATGAATCTAGACACAGATCTTACGTTCTTCACAAAAATTAACTTAAAATGGATCACAAGACCTAAATGTAAAACACAAAACTATAAAACTACCAGAAGATAACATAGAAGAATATCTAGATTACCTTGATAGTCATCTAGTTTTCCTCTTATAAATACTGTACACATTTTGTTCGATTTAGATTTAGATTCTATTTTTTGGTGGTAATGCAAATGATATTGTGTTTTTAACTTCAAATTTCATTTGTTCATTGTTGATATATAGAGAAAACAATTGAATTTTGTATATTAACCATGCATCCTGATATGATTACTTATTATTTCCAGGTGGTTTTTTTTTGGCAATGACTTTTTAGACACAACACGAAAGTCAGAATCGATCAAAAAAAGAATGGATATGTGAAAGATTACTGTCAAGAGAATAAAAAGACAAACCATAGACTGGGAGGAAATATTTGCAAAAGCTGTAACTGATAAAGGACTATTATCTAAAATACAGACATAATTCTTAAAACTCAACAGTAAGGAAAAGAACAACCCAATTAAAAGATAGAAAGAAAATCTGAACAGATCACTCACCAATGAAGATATACAGATGGCAAACACGTATATGAAAAGATGCTTTATATTATATGCCAACAGAGAAATGCATATTAAAACAACAATAAAATACTACTACACACATAGTAGAATGTCCAAAATCCAGAACACTGATAGCACCAAATGCTGGCAAGGATGTGGAGCAATAATCCATTGATTCATTGCTAACTAGAATGGGAAATGGTACAGACACTTTGGAATACAGTTTGCAGTTTCTTATAAAACTAAACATACTCTTACCGTATAATCCAGTAACTGTGCTCCTTAGATATTCATCCAGATGAATTGAAAGCTTGTATCCACACAAAAACTTGCACATAAATATTTATAGTAGCTTTATTCGTAATTGCTAAAACTTGGAAGAAACCAAGATGTCTTTCAGTAGGTGAATGAATGAATAAACTGTGGTATATGCAGACAATTGAATATTATTTGGCACTAAAAAGAAATGAACTATTAAACCATGAAAAGACATTAAGGAAACTTAAGTGCATATTTCTAAGTTAAAGAAACCAATACGAAAGGCTACATACTGATTCCAACTATGCTACATTCTGGGAAATGGAGACTAAAATAATGGACATTTAAAAATATCTGGGAAATTGAGACTGAAACAATGGAGATGAAAAAGTACCAGTGGCTGCCAGGCATTTTGGGGAGGAAGGAATGAATAGGTGTAACACAGAAAATTGTTAGGATAGTGAAACTACTCTGTATGATACTATAATGGTGGATACATGTTTTATTATACATTTTTTCAAACCCATAGAATATATAACACTAAGAGTGAATCCTAAGGTGGCCTATGGACTCTTGGTTACAATAAAGTGCCAGTGTAGGTTCAGCACCCTAATAGGGTATGTTGATAATGGGGAAGGCTATGCATGTATGGGGTTAGGGAGTGTATAGGAAATTTCTGTACCTTCTGTCCATTTTTGCAGTCAACCTAAATATGCTCTATAAAGTCTTTTTTTAAAAAAGGTATTTTATAACTCAAACTAAATCTGCTCTAGTGCATATTCTAAAATGTATGTCCTGTTCTGAGTGGGGAAAAAGTCAATTTATAAATGGGTAATGTGTTAATACATTTTTGCATTGCTACAGGGAAATATCTGAGGCTGGGTAATTTATAAAGAAAAGAAGTTTATTTTGGCTCACAATTCTGCAGGCTGTACAAGCATGGCACCAGTATCTGCTCACATTCTGGTGAGAGCCTCAGGAAGCTTATGATCACCGCAGAAAGCAAAGGGGAAGCCAGCATATCGCATGATGAGAGAGAAATCAAGAGAGAGAGAGGAGGTGCAGGCTCTTTTAGGCAGGGTATTTTAATGTAAGAAATTTAAGTAATTGACAGAAAAACATGAGGCACATGGTGGGAGGGTGTATAGAGAGAGAATAGAAAAGGAAAGAGAAGGGGAAGAAGAGAGGTGCACAGAGAGAGAAAGTGAAGATGAAGGTTTTTGCGCAAAGAATTGGTTTGATGTTTTGTAACTTATGCATACCAGGGGTAACAATGAAATAAGACGGACAAATATAAAACTCCTATTTCAGGACTAAGAAAGAATGGATCTTGAGTGAAATCATGAACATAAAATAGAATTAAAGTATTATGTCTTAGTGTGGAAAGGTTGTAATTTACTATAGCAAAAAATGGCATTTATTTACTGAGTAGAGAGATCCGCTTTGGAGACTGTCAGCTCGGTTCCATTCAGAGGTTAAACATTGGTCTATGTTTCCTATTAAGTGTAGTGGGCATTGTTGGTGTCCTACCCAGCATCCCACTCTACTACCACTTTGCCAACAGATCTCTTGAGTTTGTTGAGATACCCCTCAGGCCTCCACACACCCAGTGAGACTTGGGGAACCTTGACCGCACTGCACATCCCAGAAGAGTGGGCCACCCTGTTCTTGCAGACCAGGGGTCAGCAAACTTTCCCTGTAAATAATTAGATTGTAAATATTTTAGGCTTTGTGATCATACAGTCTCTGTCAAAACTACTCTGCCATTATAGTGTGAAAGCAACACAGACAATGCACAAATGAATAAGCATGGCTGGGTTCCAATAAAACTTTATTTGTGGACATGAAAATTTGAATTTCATAAAATTTTCATATCATGAAATACCATGCTTCTTTTGATTTTTTTTGGCCATTTGAAAATGTAAAAACCGCATTAGTTAGTAGGCTATATATAGACACTAGGTAGAATTTGGTCTGTGGGCTGTAGTTAGCCCTGCTTTAGACCAACATGGTCCAATAGTATTTTCTGGGATGGTGGCAATGTTCTGTAAGTCTGCCAAATGTGGTTGTGCAGTACTTGAAATGTGTCCATTGTGACTGGGGAACAGAATTGTTAAGTTTTATTTAATTTTAATTAACTTAATTGTAAGCAACCACATTTGGCAATTGTATGGAGTAGTCTCACTCTATTTTTTGACGTTTGACTGATGTCAACTTTTAAGTCTTGCTCCTCTCTCTTCCCTTTGTGCCCCACATCTGTACAAGCTGATAAGAAAGCCTGGGTACTCACTCCTTTGGCACTGATGGGAAATTCAAACCACAGAAGCCCTTCCCCACACCCATGAGCACTCATGCCAGCCCCACATCTAACTACAATACAAAACCAGGCCCATTCCCTTTCCCAGCTCTCTCAGGGCATTTCGGACTTGCTTGAGAGGCCTGCCCTGCTTCTCCAGAGACCTCTATTACATAAGCAATGAAGCCTTTCATGCCCTTTTGGTGTGCATGTGTTGTCATCAGTCTCAACATCTGAACTAAATTTTGGGTGGGAGTCCATCTGTCTCTCTAGGTAACCACAACAGCAAGTCATGACTATATTGGACAACACAGCTATAGACAGCAGTTCAAGGATGGTCAGGGGACTCAGTTTGGACTTAGACTGTTGACAACATAATAGGAAGTTTGCTAGGGACAGCTGGAAAATTTCTTTTTGATTTTTGGGAAATAATCCTTTGCTTTTGACTTGATGAGAACACAGAACTCTAGCCCGTTTCCTGCTGGCATCTGTGTTTTACCAGGAAGGGAAACCAGCCTTGGGATGAAGTTGATCCTGTGATAAGAGAGTGGGTCCTTAATGAAAATATTGATTTCTGGATCAGCCTCTTCCTGAAGCCAACCCTTTCTATTGGTTTCTAGGTATGTGATCCAATGCATTTGTGAATCAAGTTTCTGTTGATTACAGTCCAAAGCAGTGTAACATATACCAATGATACTAAAAAACATATTTTCCCCTCAATTAAAAAATCTCTAAAATTGGGATTAGTTTTATGATCTATAATTTATATGGTAGAATCTGTTCCTTTCTTTAGGGTACATGAAATAATGGCATGTCTTATTATAAGTGGCATCTTAGATCTGATGAAATGATTTAGATTTGATGAATACTTTAGGATTTGGGGTTTGGCTTCTGTCTTTTTTTTCTTTTTCTTTCTTTCTTGCTTCCTTTTTTTTTTTTTTTTTTGTACTTATGGTTGCTGAACTTTCTAAGTTTCTTTTCCAAGATAGGTTTTTCTTTGATTTTTATATATCCCCCTGGATTATGAAGCAGCATTTTCATGTCAGCATATATTCAGAGCATGCCTGACTGAATTTTAGTACCAGAATAAGATTTTATTACTTGAAGAATACATTCTGTTTTGTGAACTAAAGGCAATATGCAAAACGTCATTCAAATTTAGAAAGATCATTTGGGAATATCAACTAAATTAAAGAAGATTGTTAAGGAGCTGACATATTCTGGTAAGGCCTAGGCACTGAGTGAACCTGCCTTAGATAAAATAAAAAGATGGGAATCTGCCTAATTGTACACTTACCGAACTGCATCATCCGCAGCTACTGAAGGACAATTTAGTTATGAATTACATTTCTGTTATTATTAGATGTTTAACATTTTTTGTTTTATTTTAACATTTTAGCATAATGCAAACATATTATTATGGATTCTAAGTCAAGAAACACCAATCATTGCCATTAATTCAAAGATACAGAAATCCAAAATAAAACCCACTTTCATGAGCCAAAATTCCCAATTCACCTCGAATTCTCTTATTAAAAAAAAAAACCCCTTCTTGAAATTGTTCCTTCTTTTCCACCCCCAAAACTCTCTCAAAATGAGAATAAGAAACTGCAATGAAAAAATGCAGTCCCATTTTATAATTTCAACAAAAACGACAAGATATCTAGGGAAGTATGTGACCTTTTTTTGTAGAATACTAGAAAAATTTGAGATATATAAAAGAAGTCTTGAATAAATTGGTATAATGTTTTTGCATTGGAAAGTGATACCAATCTTTCACAAAATGCTTAATAGACTTATGGAATCTTCATTAAAAATCTAAGATAGATGGGAAGATGGGAGTGTGACAAAGTGATTTTAAAGATAAAGGGAAAAAACAGCCAAGAATATATTGAAGGTAAAGACTAATTGAAGAAACTTACCCGACCAGATAATACAACTTCAATAATTAAAGTGGTGTGCTACTGACAAAAGAATTGGCAGGCAGATCAATGTAATGGATTTGATAGCCCAGAAATCGACCCCAGTATAGATGCAAACTTAATATATATTAAAGGTGGCATCACAAATCAGTGAGAAAAAGAAAGATTATTGAATAAATGGTCTGGGACAAACTATTTGGAAAAAAAGTTAAATTATCACTCTAAAATAAATTGCAATTGGTAACCTTTAACCCATTAAATACTAGAAGTAAATATAGAATAAAAAGTCCTATTTAAGTGTAAAGGAATGGGACGAAATCACAAAGGAAGATTAGATCACAACAGAAGATGAAGTATATGTGTCTCTCTCCCCTCCTGTTCCCAGTGCCTATGGAAATAATAGAAAGAGTAGCTTGAAAGAATAAAATCTGCCCCAAAACAAATAAAATAAATACTATTAGTGTACCAGAAATTCATAAAGTACGGGAAGAGGGAAAGTGGGGAAAAAACTATAGCTCAAAGCAAAAATGAGAAAAGCTACTCTACAGATAAGACCTGTTCTTCGCAATAAAACTCTAAAGCAGGGGTTTCCAAAGGGTGGTTCCTGGACCAACAGTAGCATCCTCACCTGGGAACCTGATGGAAATGCAAATTCTTGAATCTCACTCCTGACCCACAAATCTGAAATTCTGGGGGTGGAACCCAAGGATCTAGATTTTTACAAGCCTTCCTGATGATTCTGATGCACATAAAGTTTGAGAACTCCTGTTCTAGGGAAACTCCATGTTTGTAGTCAAATACAGATACTAAAGGGGTTCTAGGACAGTCATCAGGATAATTAAATAAAGGTTTACATTCCAAGGAGCTGGGCCAGTAGACCTTCTGTCCACTGTCCTCAACACTGAGCAGGGGGTAGCCAGGGCATATACCCTCAGATAAGGTCCAATAAATTACTTTCAAAATAAATACACTTTCTGTGTAGGGAAGTCTCCTAAGGTGAATGTTGGGGCCAGACGGAAAGGCAGCAGAATGTGAGCGTTTCCTATTCTCTAAATGCTAGCTGGCAAAGAGAAGAGGAAAAAAGAAGAGCTGTTTTCTCCCTAGAATGATTTATGTACAATAGGGTACTCTGAAATAGTAGTTCAGACAAGGACAACTTCCAGAATTGCCTTGGGGTTGAGGAAACAGACATGTGTCCCAGATTACTGCCACCAGGTGGAAACTGAGTCTGCTCATTCAGAAGTTAAAACATCTACCTTGTCTTCCATCCTCATCTTGCCTGCTACACTCACCTGTATTCAGAAATTTATTTACCAACAAGTAAATGCCATGTTATTTGGCTGTGAAAATTTTGTATTTAATTTAGAGCAGCCATTTTTTTTCTGTGAACAGTCAGAGTAAATACTTTTGGCTTTGCAGTTCAGTTCCCTGTTGCGACTACCCAGTTCCACCACTGTAGAACAAAAGTAGCCGTAGAAAAGTGCCCATAGACAATATATAAAAGAATGAGTGCAGTTGTGTTCCAATAAGACTTTATTTATTTACAGATCACTCAGAACTTGCCAATAGTGGTGATGATGGCAACATGTCTATGGCATTCACAGCCCTGAGGCAGCAAGGCAGAGATCACTCCCAAAGAACTGAAATCATAACAAACAATCTCTCAGACCACAGCACAACCAAATTAGAAATAAAGAGTAAGAAATTCACTCAAAATTATACAATTACATGGAAATTGAATAACCTGCTCTTAAACAACTTTTGGGTAAATGATGAAATTAAGGCAGAAATCAAAAAGTTCTTTGAGACTAATGAGAACAAAAATACAACATACCAGAATCTCTGAGACACAGCTAAAGCAGTGTTAAGAGGGAAATTTATAGCACTAGATAACCACATCAAAAAGTTAGAAAGATCTTAATTTAATGACCTAACATCACAAATAAAAGAACTAGAGAACCAGGAGAAAACCAACCCCAAAGTTATCAGAAGACTATATATATTGTACATATATATATATATACACATATATATATACACATATATATATGTTATTAAATACAAAGTATTTGTACAAAGTGTTCAGTGGTTCAAGTAGAAAAATGGGCAAAGAACATGATGAGATGATTTACACAAGGATAAACAGAAATTACTAGTTACCTTCCATCAGGTATCATGACCATAGCCAACAGAATTTGACAGTCTCACCATTTGGAGACATATCACTTATTCCCCACCCTGAAAGGTCACAAAACTCAGTGTTTGTAATATGGAAGAATACCAGTTGCTAAAATAAATTTATTTCTTTCACTTGCCATAGTGTCCTGCATGTATATCTTGGAAAGGACAATCTCATGTGCAACAGCAGAAGTCAATGGTTCTCAAACCCTAGTGTGCATCCAAATCACCTGGAAGGGTTATTAAAATTCAGATTACTGGGGATGTTGGTCAAAGATTACAAACTTTAAGTTGTAAGTGAAGAAATTCTGGGGACTGAATGTAGAGCATAGGTGGGGATAGATGTGTTAATTAATTTGATTGTCATAATCATTATACAATGTACATGTATATCAAATCATCATATTGTACACCTAAATATGTACAATCTTTGTCAATGAAATATCTAAAAATTTTAAAAATTCAGATTATTGCAGATGTTGATCAAAGGATAAAAATGTTCAGTTATAAGATGAATAAATTTTGGGGACCTAGTGTGTAGCATGCATGGTGATGGATTTGTTAATGATTATGACAATCATTATACAATGTATATACAGATAAAATCATCATGGTGTTTACCTCTAATGTACAATCTTAATTATCTTTAAATGATTAATTTTTTAAACATCAGATTGCTAGACTTTGCCCTCAGAGTTTCTGCTTTTCTTTCTTTTTTTGAGACAGGGTCTCACTCTGTCACCCAGGTTGGAGTGCAGTGGTGCAAGCTCAGTTCACTGCAACCTCCACCTCCCAGGTTCGAGCAATTCTCCCACCTCAGCCTCTTGAGTAGCTGGGACTACAGGAATGTGACACTACACCCAGCTAATTTTTGTATTTTTAATAGACGCGGGGTTTTGCCGTTTTGGCCAGGCTGGTCTCAAACTCCTGAGCTCAAGCAAGCCGCCCACCCTGACCTTCCAAAGTGCTGGATTACAGGAGTAAGCCACTGCACTCACCCTCAGTACTAAGAGTTTCTGATTAAGTAGGTCTAGGGTGGGGCCTGAGAATTTGAGTTTCTAACAAGTTTCCAGGTGATTCTGATGCTGCTGTTCTAAGGAACCACACTTTGAAAACCAAAGACATAGGTCAGGAGTTGGCAAGCTTTTACTGTAAAGGACTAGTAGTAAATATTTTAGACTTTTTGGGGCATGCCATCTTTGATACAAATATTCTGCTGTTGTAATATGATAGCAGCCATGCCACAGACAATATGCAATGTTGTAGGCTACATTCCAATGAAGCCTTATTTATAAAAACACTGTAGACCAGATTCGGCCTTCATGCCAACTTCTGATATAGATAAACAGAATGCAAGCTAGATGACACACATCTATAAAGATGAAAATTGAAAGCAAGAGTTCTAAACCTAAGTTCAATGAATGGACTTACTAATCATAAATTGTCCTTTCCAAGACACACTTGTAACAACAATAGAGATGAAATGGCTTTCATCAGAAACTCACTGGACAATGAAATGAAGAAAACCAGGAAGCAGGGCAGTGGACAAGGAGCCTCAGAGTGCACTGGAGAGATATTCTCAAAGCCACAGAAGAGGTGGCAGTTTGGGTTGCATCTAGCTAAATGGTTCTCATGGAAACCAAGCGTACCAATTGCATGAGAAATAGCTGAAGGGCCAAGGAAGAGGGCTGCTTGATCCTGACAGGTAGCTGGTAATTAGCAATCAAAACCTAATTGAGATTAACAGCTGTTTTTCTAGTACAGTTACTAACAGGGAGGCAGAAATGGTATGAAGATCATCCAAGCTCTACAAGCTGCTTTTAACATCAGAAAACTATGAGAATAGAGCAATATGCCAAGCAAGCAAGGAGATGAAATCGAGCTGTGTACATAGAGCTGAACTGACAGGCCAAAGAGGGCTGGATCCAGAGGACCAATTAGGACATCTACAGGGGTGCTGGAGGCAGATTAAAGGGGCAGGATGCAAACAACACTAGAGAGTCTATTCACTGGCTGGTGTGGTTGAGCCACTGCCTGGTTCTCGTGGAGAGAAGGGCACATTGGTGCAGCTCTCCTAGCTGTCATGGGGGCCCTGGGGTTAGACTGGAAATTCTTTCAAACGCACTCTTTGAGCACCTTCCCAGCATTACTACTGGCTGTAGAAATATCTACTGTCACACCATGGGGCTGAACCTGTGACATTTCCATCAGGTGAAGCATATCAAATGGTTAATCTCTCTCTCTTTGACATCCTTTCAGTGGGTTTTCTTTTTCCAAGGCAGTCTCAGTGGCTCTGAATGGGCTCTCTTAATTAGCAGCACTAGCAAAACCGGTGGCTGCCACCAGGAGTAAGGCACAGGACCTAGGAGAAACTAAAAGACTGGGTAAGACTCAATCAATGTGGCTTGAAGCTGTTAGACATATGACTGCCTTGAATGTTGGAACTTACTGAAAACCAGAGGAATATAATGTAGCACCTACTATGTGCCTGGCATTGGTCTAAATGCTTGACATTCTTACTCATGTAGTCCTCACAACACACCTAGGGAGCACCTGTATGCTGCTATCATCCCCATCTCACAGATGAGAAAACTGAGATAGGTTAATTAATGGGCCCTTGTTTACACAGCTTCAAGTGTTGGAGGCAGAATTTGAACTCAGGTGCTCTGACACTACATCTACAACCCAGCAATATTCTCCTCTCCCGGAAACTCAGTAGAAATGCAGAAGCTCCAACACTACCCCAGATCTGCTGAAATAGAACTTGCAGTTGACAAGATTCCCAGGTGATTCCTATTCACATTAAGTTTTAAGGAACTCTGCAGTATGCTATATGCTGTCATCTAGATATATGTCATATGTGTGTGTGTGTGTGTATATATATATATATATATATATATGAAAGGAAGTGTATATGTATATATATAGAGAGAGAGAGAGTTCATCAATTTTAAGAACATAAGCCACTTCTCAATAACAAGGACACACTGTAGTTAGAGTAATACAAAAAACAAGGGGGAAAATGTCCTGTATGGAATATTTTTCTCTCTTTAGACATCAGTTCTGTTTTTCCTAATTGTTGGCTTGTTTATTAAACAAAGGTTGTTTATTTTCCTTCCAACTCTTCCTGCCACAGGCCTTTTTTATAGCCTATAATTCCTTTCATTTCAGCAAATATTTGCTGTTATTTTAAAGCGATAATTTTAGAAGCGTTTCCGATTTGGGGTTTTTGCAAATATATAATGAGATATCTTAGGGATGAGACTCAACTCTTAACATGAAATTCATTTATGTTTCATATACACCTTATACACATAACCTGAAGGTAGTTTTATACATTATTTTAAATAATTTTGTGCATGAAACAAAGTTTGTGTACATTGAACCATTGGAAAGCAAAGGTGTCACTAGCCACCCATGTGGACAATCTGTGATTGTTTGGCATAACCATTATTTATGACTCTGAATGTATATGCTACTGATAAGCAATAATTTTCTTATGCTTATTCACACATAAGTACTTAGCACTAAAAGATAGGGTACACCATTAATATAGTGAAAAAATAATGTTTCAGGATAACTAAACAGCATAGTAGCATCACCGGAATATCTGTTGCTATTAAACAGCAGCAACAAACAACAGCAGACTTTCAGTCTTCATCTATGAAGCTGTGTTTTGATGAAAAGGTTACCATACACTGTATTTTCTTTTCTTAGGTGAGACAAAGCATCAGAACCAGTTGAGGGACCAGGAAGTGGGTCGCCTAGGAATGAGAAAGGAGTTAAAACTCCTCCTCTACTGGAGGAGTTTTAAAGCTGTTTCCTCCAGAGTCATCTGTTTCATCCACAATTTTTTTTGTCTTAGAAGTCTCTCTGATTTTATAAACTGACATAATTTCTTGTTGTTATGAATGCATGCTGCTCTAATCCTAAGCCAATCACACGTTTTCATCAGGTTCATTATAGGCAGTTTTTCTGCAGTGTTAACAATGTCATTTTTGTCATCATTATTATCACAATCACCTTGATTCAGAACCATTTTGGAGGCTATTTCACCATTTGTCAATGAATGAGTGATTGGAATCTCATCAGTGTTAAAAACTTCTATATCCACTTCTTCCAGCTTTCTGATGGACTCTAAAGGTATATTTTTTGCATATGTAAGAAGAACAGACATCATTTTTTCTCACTTGACATATGGAATCCTTCAAAGTCACCACCTTATTCATCATCATCACTGAACATAATTGCAGGCCAGAGGTTGTGCCAGGCATGGACAACTCTATCTTTAGCCACTGTGTTCCAAGTGTTGACAACAGCATAATATGGCATTCTTCATGCTAAACTCCTTTTGAAAACTTTCTACACCCATGCCTATATTCCCTGCTGTAGACTTGTTCAAGAAAGTGTTTTTATATTTACTCTTCATTGATATAAATATACAAGAGGCTGAATTAATGAAGTCAAATTTTGGGGAAAGTACATCGTATAAACATTATTTCTGGTGAGAATTTTAGCTGGAGGGTGAGCAGAACAGTTGTCAAGATATAACAAAATGTTACAGCATCATGCATTCCAGCTTCCCCGCAGTGAGTAGAAGCGGCTGGTATAAAATGTTTGTGAAACCAATCAGAAAAGATGTCCTTGGTGATCCATGCCTTTTTGTTAGCATAAGAATGGACTGATAAGAAATTCACTCCTTGAAAACAGTAAGGACATAAGCTTTTGCCTATCACAACAAGTTTATACTTATGCATGCCTGCTGCATTAGTACACCCCAGCACAATTATTCTGTCCCTGGCATTCTTAATTCCTGTAGGGGCTGTCTCATCAACTACAGTCAGTGTCTTTCTGGAGCAATAACACCAAAACAGTGATGCTTTATCAGCATTATAGACTTGTTCGGGCATCAGATTTTCGTCAGCAATGACCTTGACAAACTTTTCAATGAATTTCTCCACTGCTTCATGATCAGCAGATGCTTTATCACCACAAATCTTTAAAAATTTAATGCCATGACTTTTCTTGAATTTCAGCAACCAATTTGTTGAATATTCACAGTTCCCTTCAATCTTCAATATATGATGATCTTTGCTTGTTTCATGATCAGCATACCATTAAGTGGCACATGTTCTTTGTGACACTCACATACCCACTCTTTCAATACATGATCGAGATCTTCATTAATAGCTTTATGCAAATGTTTTTCTATTTTTCATTAACTTCTGTTTATCCTTTTCAGCACAGAACTTCAACAGTATATCCTTCTGTTTCTTCAGGTCATATATAATGGTCATTCCAACACAACACTCTTCTGTAAGATGTTTCACACTTACACTACAATCCAATTTCTCCAACAGCTTGACTTTCTGTGATATGGGTAAACATAAATTCTTCCTCTTTTTGTTTTAATCAACTGTTACCCATAGGGATTTCTGCGGGCCTTTTTGAGGTTTTCAACAATATCTTTACACCACAGAGTGAAGAATATAGCAAAAAAAAAAACACAGTGAGTCACGTATGTAGGTCTTGGCCCTATGCAGGACATCATGGGGAACCCGCATTGGTGTATCCAGCCTGCACTCCTTTTCTTACCCTTTGTGAGTGTGCTTGCATTGAGGAATCTGAGTGTGTGCAGAAAAAAATGTATCACAGATGAAGGGGGCTACGAACGTCTTTTCTCCCTTGGGGATACTAAATAAACTGTGCATTGTGCAGCTGTGTTTTGACCGTGACCTATCACATGAGGTAAAGTGTGGAATATTGCACCTGACCTCTGATATGTGGTGTCATATCAGAGCTCAGAAAGTTTCAGATTTGGGAAAAGATGTCCTTGGTGACATCTTTTGGATTTCAGATTTTGGATTAGGGATGTTCAAACTGTTTTACCCTAGAGAAACAAAAACTATGTTGACAGAAAAGCCAGAACACGAATGTTTATAGCAGCTCTATTAATAATTATCAAAATATAGAAACAATTCAGATGCCCTTCAATGAATGAATGTATAAACAAATTATGGCACATTCATACAATGGAATAATGAGCAATAAAAAGGAATGAACTACTACGACGCTTGGCAATATGGATGAATATTCAAAGCAATATGCTAAGTGAAAAAAACACAAATGACTACTCCCCGTATGATTCCATTTATATGAAATGCTAAAAGAGTAAAAGATATAGTAATAGAAAGCAGATCAATGGTTGCCAGGGCAAAGAGCACAAGAAAATATTTGGGGATGACAAAAATGTCTGTATCATGATTGTGGTCATGGTTATACTACCTTTCGCATTTGTCAAAAATCCATCAAACTGCCCTTTTAAAATTAGTGAATCTCACTGTATGTAAATTACACCTTAATAAAGCTAATCAAAAACAGGAGAATTTGAGATTCATTGTGGGTTGAAGAGGAAGAAGAGGAAAGAGCGTCAGATCCACTGAAGCAGCTGGTGGTCATCATCACATGATTAACTAATAAAAGGAACAGCCATTCAAATCCCCAACACTGATGGAGGAGTAGTCTGCTCTCTGGAATAGTCTGACTAAATTCAGTACTTAAAGAAAGCACATTCTAAACATGCTTTCAGTATCCTGAGGCTTTAGAATCTGAAATGACTTCTGTATAGATACCATAAACATCTTGTAATTAAAGAGATGCTAAATGTCAGTTGCATTAATGCTAACAAAATATAAATGCTACATTAGTGTCTAGAGCCATTGAGAATCAGTATCTCTTGAATTGATTAAAATTCCAATCTCAATGGACTCCAGCTCTCCCTTTCCTTGACAAGAGGAAGATGCTTTCTGTAGAATTCTCCTCCTGAAATATTTCTGGGAATTCCAAGGCTGTGCCTATGTGTGTGTGCAAACTGGCCTGATACCTGGTCAACCCCTGAGTCTGGACTGGCTAGCCCAGCCTCCTGTTTCCACAGAGAGGCCACTCTGAGGCTGTGGGCCTCTCTTACATGGCCATCAAATCCAACACCATTTATAAGAGAGATTTATCCCACCCATCTTGATAATACTGAGCAGGCATCAATATGCTTTGGGCTCAGAATTTCATCATATCTCAGACAAATTGAGAAGAAAAACACTCTTGCAGTCCCATCACTTTGGGGATTCCCAACCAGGATTGCTTAAGCCCCAAATCATTCGTGTCCTTAGCAAAGCAGCCCTTTAATTTCTCAATTGTTCTTCTCTTCCTGATGCACAGACTGACCTGGGATCATTTTCAGTACTAGCTGCCACACAGTGCCATGAACTAAAACTTTCTCTCACAGTGAGGCCCTCCTGTTGAGTGTGGTGTGCTGGGCCAGTCCTGTTTTTTTTCCTTGCAGTCCTTGCTCATGAACCAATAGAAACATCACCCTCCACTCTGTAATCTGGCTTTCACCAGAGCTATCCCAGTTCACCCTCTATCTGTACATCTCTGAATCTTAATTCTGAATAGAGTTTAGCCTAAGAGTCTCTTTGGCCTCTCTAAAAATCAGTGGCAATAAATAGATGCCTAAAGTGCACATGCCAGAAGCACCGAGTTCCAACTCCTGCTCAGCCATGAACTCCTATAATTCAAATAAAACTCTTCTCCAAAGACAGTTTGTTCTTTATCACAAACTAAATGCTTTAGACGTCTGTGAACTATATTCTAGAACTGAAAAGACAGCTGAATAATTAGGTTCTGGTAAGGCAAGAACTTGAACAGCTCTTGAGCTCTAAGGAACATACATAAATGTATAGTCATATTTCAAACCTAAAGAACAAGTATAGGAAACTTGTAGTGAACAACTGTACCTATTACCCAGCATTATCAAATCACACATATAGCTGTTGCTATATTTGCTTAAATAGTATATTATATACCCATTGGGAACTCCCATTATCTATTGGGATCTCTATTATCTATTGCATAATAGATACAGCAACTGTGGATGCAAATTCTTTGCAGCTCTTCCATCAAGAGTCTATTTCTCCATCCCTTGACTCTGGACTGACCTCATTACTGCTTTGAACAACAGGATGTGATAGAACAACATTATATTACTTCTAGGCCTAGGCCTTGGCCTTCAGGGAGAAGCTTCACAACTTCCTCTCTCACTCTCTTGGAATGTTGTAATTTTGTGAACAAGCCCAGTCTGGCCTCTTTGAGGATGAGAGGGTTCGTGAGGAGAGACCTCATAGAAAGGGAGAGATCTAAGCATCAAAGCTTAAGACCAAGACCTGTGAGTGAGGACATCTGGGTACAACAAGCCCCAGATGACAAACCAACTGGCCTAAGATGTATGAGTGAGCACAGCTAACATCACGTGGAACAGAGATGAGTCATCATAACCAGGCCCTGCCCAGTTGCCAACCCACAGAATCATGAGCAAACACGTAGTTGTGGCTTTAAAGCCATTAATTTTGGAGTGGCCTGTTACACAGCAATAGATAATGGAGACACCCTGTGTACTCTCCCCAAACCCATTCTTCCATGTCCCTCCCTCTGAAAAGATAAATCTGACCCATCATTCCAATGTGTGCTTGTAGAATTTCACTACAAATTTGTGTTTCCTTTTAAGAATATATAGTATTGTTTTGTAGTGTTTTTAACCTTATATGAATGGTATTAACACTATTATTTTATGACTTCCTTTTGGTACATTATTATATTGAGATTTACACAGGTTGATTTTCTTAGCTTTAACTTATTCAATTTCATTACTGTGTAGTATACCATTGTCTAAATAAAGTACAATATACGATTTCTTTCTTTCATTCCTTCCTTCCTTCCTTCCTCCCTCCCTCCCTTCTTTCCTTCCGTTTTTTTCTTTCTTCCTTCGTCCCTCCCTCTCTCTGATGGGTATGATGGTTTGACACACAACATCAGTTTCATCCTCCTTGTAGCATGCCTTCATGTAATACTGAGATTTGAAAGCTAAAAACTACATCTCCAAGATTCCCTTGGAGATAGTGATGAGAATGAAATTTGGGTCTGGCTAATCAGGTGCACTTGCATGAGGTTTGAAAGGAGTGATCTCAGTCATGGCTTTGGTCTTGCTGCTTCCACTGTTCCTGTTGTTAAGCAGAAACATGAAGGGGTCTGGTTTTCTGCAGCAGTGATGGATACCCAGTGTCCAAACACCAGTTGGTAGGTACTGAGAAGGAGGGCATGAGGCCTCTATTCTGCTGGGACCATCTTTGCAGGTGCAGCAGGGTTCTGGAGACAGCAGCAGTAGTGACTGCAGTATCCTGGGTCTAGCAGTTTACTGAACCTGCTGGCTTCCTGATTACAGAACTGGAGTCAGTTGTGTGCTGATCACAGAAGAGGTTGCAGTTCCCTCAGTGACCCAGTTCTGCAGCATAACGTTCCGTTTTGACTAAAAGTTACTCCAACTGTTTTCAGCGTTGTAGCCCTTCAGTCAAAATTCAAGTTGCAGACCTAGGGCTTGGCTGCTTTCAGCTGGGCTTGGCTGCACAGCTCTGCTTCAAGCTGCGGGTATAGCCAGGTTTATATCCTAGGGTCTGGCTCACCTCATGTCTCCTCCGTGTGTGTTCATTCAAGGGCCCAGGCTGAGAAGGCAGCAACTGCCTAGGGAGAAGTTCATCATGGCAACGGCAGAAGAGCAAAAGCACCAAGATTTTTTTTTAGGTTAAAAACACTTTTTAATAAATTGTTTTTAATCTTTTTTAAATTAAATTTTAAGTTCTGGGATACATGTGCAGAACATGTAGGTTTGTTACATAGGTAAACATGTGCCATGGTGATTTGCTGCACCTATCAACCCATCACTTAGATATTAAGCCCCACATGCATTAGCTATTTATCCTGGTGCTCTCTTTCCCCCCACCCCCACAGGTCCCAATGTGTGTCGTTCCCCTCCCTGTGTCCCTGTGTTCTCATTGTTCAGTTCCCACTTATAAGTGAGAACATGGGAGAAAATACTTTTTAAAATTTTGAAACAAATATATAGAAAAGTTGCAAGTTCACAATTAAGAACTTCTTTTCTCTGAACCACTTGAAAGTAAACTGTCAAACATATTTCATCACATCACCCCTCAACTTTAATGTGTATTTCTACAAACAAGGACATTCTCCAGATAAACAGGATTCAACCATCAAAATCAGGAAGTCTGCATGGATTCATTAGAGTCTGAGGACTCTAATCCTCAGGCTTCTTTCGCATTTAGCCAGTTGTCCCAACAATGTTCTTTATAGCAAATGGACCCAGTTTGAATGCACATTAGTTGCTATGCCTCTTTAGTCTCCTTCTGTCTGGAACAGTTCCCAGTCTTTTCTTAACTCTCATGACTTATTTGAAAGTTTTGACATGTTTGAAGGCTATCAGCAGGTTATTTTGCAGAATGTCCCTCAATTCACATTTGTCTGATGTTTCCTGATGACTAGATTCCAGTTAAGCATCTCAGATGCGAATCTCACAGAAGTGAGGTTGTGTTCTCCTTGCAGTCTATCAGATGGCACAATATCTCAATTTGACCTGTAACTGGTGATGTTCATTTGGCTTGCTTGATAAAGTGACATTGCCAGGCTTTTCTTTGTAAAGTTATTCTTTGTTCCTTTGCAGTTAATAAGCATTTTTGTGGGGAGGTATTACATAAGTATCCTCTTCCTCATAAAACTTTCTATCAATTAATTTATCTATCTATCTATTTGTATGAACTCTAAATTGCCTATGTTACGCAATGGCTAAAATCTTTTGTTATCATTGATCATGTTGATCTTAACTTGTTGCCATTTTTCCAGTGGAAGCCACTTCAGGATCACCTCTTGTCATGGTGATATGTCCCGCATGAGCACTTCTTTGCTTTCTGGCACAGCAGATGCCAGTTTCATCTTATTTTTCCCTGCCTACAGCACTGGAATCTGCCATTTCTATTGGTTTCTTTTGGGAAAGAATGCTACTTAAAAGACAACTTTGTGCTAGATGTGTTCATTGCTGTTGAACTGTTGCTGTTCCCAGGCCTTTCCACCCCCCTCAGTAGACAGAGCTATGGAACACGTGTGTGAAACTATTATATGTACATGCACAGTTATACCTATGTTTGTTTCTATTAATATATAATACTTTTATATATGCACTCCATATCTTCAATTCCAATGCAAAACCAGAGGGTTCATTCTAATGTTCTCCCTTTCCATATTTGTAAAGTCCATCTCTCAAAGTGAGCAGTCCAGTTCCCCTTATTCTCAATACATTTACTTCTCAATACATTTACATCAATCTTCCTGAATGGGAGAAATCTTCCATGCCATGGCTGTCTTGCCTCATCATGTATGCCCTGCCCAGCCTGCTCTGACCCATGCAGGTGGCCTCCTCAGCCCATTTCTGCTCCTTCACGGCCCCTTTCCTCACCCTACTGGGACCTGGACCCCACAGCAGTGCCCTCCTCTCTGTTCCAGCAGCCTTGGGTGGTGTCTCTCTGTTCCAGCAGCCTCCCTCCTCCTCTCCCTCCACATCTTTGGGTTCCTACACCTGGCACTGCCTGCCCTTACCACTCCTTCCCAGGCTCTGGAAGAAGGAGAAGAACAGAAAGGGTGAAGTAAGGGAAGGAGACAGGGAACCCATTGTGTGTTTATTCCTCTCCCTTCTCTCTTTTTGGAAACTTGATTCATCACTTTCTCTTTTTGTATACGGGCCTATTTGTGTTCTATTCCTCTGTATTGCATTCTCCCTTCAGGCTACTCTTATCCTAAAATCATCTTCCCTCAAACTTCTATTCACCTAAAGCTCTCACTCCGGACACATTTCATAGCCAAATTTCTACAGAGGAGACTCTCTGGTTGCCTCCACAGCAATCTGGCATCTGCCTCTCAAACCTACTGAAATTGTCCACTCCAAAGTCACAAACAACCTGCTCATGACCACATCTGGTAGCTTCCTTACAGGGTTTGCCTGCCTCCATCTGCTATCATAGACTACCCTCTCTATCTTGACAGTCCACCCTACTCCTCCTAGGGGAGCACTCCTGATTTTCACCTCTTCCATGCCCTCTCCATCTTTCTCCGTCCCTTCTGGCAGCTCATCCTCTTCCCATGTTCCCCAGGGATCTGTCACTGGGTGTCTCCTCTTTTTTTGTCAATATTTGCTCTCTGTGAAATTTTATTTTGTCAGTTCCTTGACAAAATGACTCTAAAATGGACATAAGTTTGACCTCTCTTCTGAACTGAAGGATATTTCTCCATGGTTACCATGAGCTAATTCTCCGTCCTCCCAGGTACCTCAAATAGAAAATTTATTCAGTGCCTCAAATTACCAGGCTTGTACTAATTACTATGAATACATAGGTTAATAAAGCATAGTTTGCAAGGAAGAGGACTTATCCAAGCTGGAAACTACAGTTATTTTTAATACTTCTCTATCCTCACTCCCAGTCTCCCACTTATCATTCACATCACTAATCGTTAGCTTTCTAAGGCACAATTCTGATCGTACTACTTCCTAACCCAGAAACTTTCAATATCTTCCCATTGTCCATGGCAAAAAAAAAATGCAGCCTGTATTAGTCCATTTTTCATGCTGCTGATAAAGACATACCTGAGAAGGGGCAATTTACAAAAGAAAGATTTAATGGACTTACTGTTCCACATGACTGGGGAGGCCTCACAATCATGGCAGAAGGCAAGGAGGAGCAAATCACATCTTACATGGATAGTAGCAGGCAAAGAGAGAGCTTGTGCAGGGAAACTCTTCCTTATAAAACCCTCAGATCTCATGAGACTTATTCACTATCATGAGAACAGTATGGGAAAGACCTGCCGGCATGATTCAGTTGCCTCCCACTGGGTCCCTTCCACAACATGTAGCACTTCCTAGATACAATAGGGGAACAAGCATTGGGTAAATGCAGCCATTCCAAATGGGAGAAATTGGCCAAAGCAAAGGGGCTACAGACCCCATGCACATCTGAAATCCAGTGGGGCAGTCAAATCTTAAAGCTCCAAAATGATCTCCATAGACTCCATGTCTCACATCCAGGTCATGCTGATGCAAGAAGTGGGTTCCTATGTTCTTGGGCAGCTCCACCCCTGTGGCTTTGCAGGGTACAGCCTCCATCCCGGCTCCTTTCGTGGCCTGGCATTGAATGTCTGCAGCTTTTTCAGGCACATGGTGCAAACTGTCAGTGGATCTACCATTCTGGGGTCTGGAGGACAGTGGCCTTCTTCTCACAGCTCCACTAGGTGGTGCCCCAGTAGGGACTCTGTGTGGGACTCTGACCACCACCACCCCCATTTCCTTTCTGCACTGCCCTAGCAGAGGTTCTCCATGAGGGCTCCGCCCTTGCAGCAAACTTCTGCTTTGGCATCCAGGCATTTTCATACATCCTCTGAAATCTAGGCAGAGGTTCTCAAAACCCAATTCTTGACTTCTGTGCACTCACAGGCTCAACACCACATGGAAACTGCCAAGGCCTGTGGCTTGCACCCTCTGAAGCCATGGCCTGAGCAGTACCTTGGCCCCATTTAGTCATGACTGGAGTGGCTGAAATGCAGGGCACCAAGTCCCTAGAATGCACACAGCAGAGGGACCCTAGGCCCGGCCCACAAGACCATTATTTCTTCCTAGGCCTCCAGGCCTGTGATGGAAGGGGCTGTCACAAAGGTCTCTGACATGCCCTGGAGACATTTTACTAATTGTCTTGGTGATTAACATTCAGCTCCTCATTACTTTTGCAAATTTCTGCAGCCAGCTTGAATTTCTCCTCAGAAAATGGAATTTTCTCTTCTACAGGCTGCAAATTCTCTCAACTTTTGTGCTCTGTTTCTCTTTTAAAACTGAATGCCTTTAACAGCATCCAAATCACCTCTTGAATGCTTTGCTGCTTAGAAATGTCTTCTGCCAGATACCCTAAATCATCTCTCTCAAGTTCAAAGTTCCACAAATCTTTAGGGCAGGGACAAAAGGCCCCAGTCTCTTTCCTAAAACATAACAATAGTCACCTTTGCTCCAGTTCCCAACAAGTTCCTCATCTTCATCTGAGACTACCTCAACCTGGATTTCATTGTCCATTTCCTGATCAGCATTCTGGTCACAGCCATTCAACTAGTCTCTAGGAAGTTCTAAACTTCTCCACATTTTCCTGTCTTCTTCTGAGCCCTTCAAACTGTTCCAACCTCTGCCTGTTACCCAGTTCCAAAGTCACTTCCACATTTTCAGATATCTTTTCAGCAGGGCCCCACTCTACTGGTACCAATTTACTGTATTAGTCCATTTGCATGCTGCTGATAAAGACATACCTGAGACTGGGCAATTTGCAAAAGAAAGAGGTTTCATGGACTTTTAGTTCCATGTGGCTGGGGAGGCCTCACAATCATAGTGGAAGGCAAGGAGGAGCAAGTCACATCTTACACGGATGGTAGCAGGCAAGGAGAGAGCTTATGCAGGGATACTCTCCGTTATACAACTCTTGGATCTTGTGAGACTTATTCACTATCATGAGAACACAGGAAAGACCTGCCCCTGTGATTCAATTACCTCCCACAGAGTCCCTCTCACAACACATGGGAATTCAAGATGAGGTTTGGGTGGGGACAGAGCCAAACCATATCACAGCCCTCTCAGTACGGTCATCTCCTGCCACTCCTTGCCTTTCCTGTTTCCAGTCGCTAGACTCCTTCTCACAAACCAAATAAAATATTCATTTTATGCCTTTAAGCCATTGTTCATACTGTTCCCTCACAAAGGAATGTTCTTCCTTTCTTTCCTACCTATTGAAATCTTACTTTTTCTTTAAAAAAGGCTAAACTCAATGGCGCTTTGATTCTCCCTTTTTTTGCTTCTAACAGAAGGACACATGAGAATTCCTAGGTCTTTGAATTTTGTCTATATTTTGGTTATGGCAAATATCCTAGTTTACTTTTAACAGTGGTTAGCAGTACATATGTCTCTCTGAGCAAGTGGAAGGCAGAGAGCTGGTCTCATTTAAGTTAGTTTCCCTCTAAGAAACTCATTGCCAAAATTTTTGGCTCATGGTTCCCCTAACATGTTAGCAAGTTTTTCATTGTGCCTGTAGGTCAAAAGAAATGCTTGATGGTTCTATTTATTAAATCGTCCATGCCCACCTCCCCAAAAAATTTATGTCCTAAAAATTCAGTAGTCTTTTAGAAAAAAATTCAGATTGAAGGTAAAAATAATATATTTATTTCATTCCTAAATAACCACAATTAATTACTAGTGGGATATGTGTGCTTGTTGGGCATTGTACAACTTCTTAAACCTTGGAATCAGATGGAAATCCACAACTGTCATTTCCTGCTCCATGTTGATTTTCATGCAGTACTTCCTTTTTTTATCACAGCTAATGCCAGAACCCAGATTTACAAAGTCATGATATCTCTGGAAAGGACGTGGTGTGATCTACCATGAACTTGTGAACTACCTTGAGCTAGTAGTTCTCATGGGGTCTGACACATGTTGCTGCCCCATGAGTTTGCATCCCCATCTCGAGCTCTCTGCACAGTTTGGGAGCTGCAACACCAGAGCCAGGCACTATGCCAATTACACGTTGAATCCTACATGGATTGAATTAGGTCCTGTTATATTTATGGATTATTAGATAGAGATTCGTCTCCCATCTGAAGCCCACAAATAACTTTTATAAAGAAAACAAAATTATTTAAAGAATATGTAGGACTAGGAAAATTATTATCATAGCATCAAACTTAAGCAAGGACAAAATAACATTACGTTGATATATTCTTTTTTTTTTAAGATAGAGTCTCGCTGTGTTGCCCAGGCAGGAGTGCAGTGGCGCGATAGCTCACTGCAACCTCCGCCTCCTGGGTTCAAGTGATTCTTCTGCCTCAGCCTCCTGAGTAGCTGGGACTAGAGGCATGCACCATCATGCCCAGCTAATTTTTGTATTTTTAGCAGAGATGGGGTTTCACCATATTAACCAGGTTGGTCTCGAACTCCTGACCTCGTGATCCACCCACCTCGGCCTCCTAAAATGCTGGGATTACAGGCATGAGCCACCGTGCCCAGCCTACATTGATATATTCTTAAGAGCCATATTTTCATTCATCTAGCCACTGCAAATGAAAGCCTCATTTGAGTTGCTACTTTAAGCCATAGAATGGATTCTTACAGCCAGGGATGTTAACTTGGAGACCATTTATGCAACATCTTTATTGATTTGAAGTTTGTATATTCTCCTGAGGACGGTGTATGTAGCTTTTATGAAATCCTCAAAGTGGTCTGTGATCAAAACAGTAAAATTTGATCTATAACATTAAACAAAATACAATTTTAAAATTAGCTAAGACATGTTACTATTAACCCCAATAATGACATTTGCCAAAGTAGGTCTTATTGGTAGAAACAGTTGTAAGGGTTTTTTTCTTTTTTTTCCCGGAATTAACCATTTTTCAATGTCAGAATGAAACAAAGATGATTCACTGCTTTCTTATTTTATTATGCTTTCATTCATTTTTCTGTGCTTTATAAATATTCCCCTACTTACTAGACATAATTTAGAACATTTATAAGTCACTTCCAAAATGAACAAAATAATTTTTCGTCTCCTTTTGTTCTGAAGATCTTAATTTTTCTGATATCTAGCCTTAAATAAAAATTTATTCGGAAAATGACATTTTCCAAAATACATATCCTTGTGTGATCTATCATCTCCATATGGGATCCTAGCTAAATTGATGGCACATAATATTCTCTCTTGCGTGGATAGAGATTGAAAACCCTAGTATGAAAAACAAGCCAAATGCTGAAGCTGTTACTATGGGATATCAAATTCCCAGATTAAAAAAACTCACAACTCATAATTTACTAGGTTATTACAAAATATTCCAGTGTTATTGTGTAGACCTAACCCCTAAATAATTGCTTGAATGAATACAAGTGTCTCAGGTTAAATAACCTCTGTCAATAATCAATATGTAAACAGAGTTTGATTAACTTGCCTATTCTTCACTTTTCTGAACAATAATGTTCTTGTCTTCCTGTGCAGCTCAGCTCATGTCCCAGAATCTCACTATCCCTGGCTTCACCAGCTCAGAGGGAACACTTCCTTCACTAAATTATTATACACTTCTAATCTCTAATGGAAAGTGTAAGACCTCACCCCGCCTCCACCCAGCCCCAAATTACATATATTACTTTAAAGAAACCACCTTCTTCTCAGCCTGAAATTTAGATTTATCTTCCATCTCCCTTACACCAATACTCCATATACATTCAGCAGGCAAGACCTAGAGAGTTAACTTTTGTTACATATTTGAAAAATAACCTTTTTTCCCCATCCTACTGTCTATCCTGGTTCAAGTTCTTATTTTCTATTTTCTAATACAATTGTAATAGACCCTCCTTAACTAATTTTCCTGCCTGTTTTCTTCTCATTCTAATCTGCTTGACACAACTTTCTAATTTATTCTCTATACCAGATAGCACAGTTAGATTGTTCTGTTTTTTAAAATCCCATCGTGGCACCCATTGCCCAAGAACTTTTACAGCCTCACCTACTACCAGTCCCTTAAAATTCACAAGAATTTTATCTGCCCCCGAACCTGTAATCCTAGCGTTCAATTTGTAGTATCTTCTCTACTTCTATACTTTTATAGCACTGTGCGTTGTGGTCATTTTCTACCTAACATTTTATATATACACATATATATTTGTCCTACCAATTTACTCTCTCTTAAGCTTTTGCCATATAGTAAAATTCTTTCGTTCATCTATAATTTATTGTTTACCTGCTAACCTTATGGCTATTCTGTAGATCCAGGGTTTCAATGAGCAAGATGGATCTGCCTAAGCCCTGCATATAGTTAGTGCCCCCAAAACATTTGCTGAATTAAGTTTCTAATGGTTTTTGTTCGTATACATATATAAAGCAAATTTTTTGTTGAATTGAATTCTACTTTGTATTCCCTTAAATTTACTTTATGCTAGTCTGATATGTTCAAGAAGGGGAACCCTGTCTTATTCATTCTTTGTGATCCTCAGGTCATACGCTACAGGTAGGCCTACAATGGATTTTTAATAAATCCATTTTGATTGAAAGATGAATGCTTTGTTTCTTCCATATATGTGATGCAGTGTGACCTGAGTCTATCATGCATGATAGGCAAGTGTGACCTACTGTGGAAGTGAGGGAACCTGAGTTTATTAGGCACTTTAATGCAGGCAGAGCGTTTGATGGTATTTTATTTTTACTTGCCGTTTGAGTTTTCTGAAACCAAAAGAGTATTTAGAGTGAGTTAGCCTGTCACCTGATCCTTTAAATAGCTCAAATATTGGTTTAGTTCTTGTTTTGTTACCAAGACATCCAAATATTGGATAAAGACGTATCTAAATGGAAGAAATTATTCCAAAATGCCTGTATACATTTGAATAATGTTCAATATTAACTTAGTTTTTATAAGATTCCTTTATATGATTGTGTATGAATAGAGATGCATTGATACAAATATTTAAAATTGAGATAATATATCCAAGCCAACAACACTTACCAAGTAGCCAATATGTTAAAATGCTAGATTCAGTAGGAGAATACTGCCCTCATGGAGGTCATGTATTAATGCACCAGTCAGGTGTTTTGTTCTTGTGCATTATTGTGAGTATATTCAGGGAAACATAAATTAAACTGTCTGAAAACCAAATAAATTACAAATTTGTCATAATTGTTGCTAATCCTTACTCCAAATGAAATTATTCCTGTAAAGCACCTTACATAGTGACTACCACATAGTAGATACTCAATAAACATTCATTACCTTTCCCCTATGGGGTTAGAGTAGAATTAACCAATTATTTATAATGGAGTGGAGTGCATGAGAAATTCATCATGGAAACTTTCATTTATCCAGAAGGACCCAAATTTTTATTGTGCTTTAATAGAATTTATCAGCTAGCTGTTTCATTCATTACTTCCCCTGCATGAACACAGAACTAACTATATAATGTGAAAGAAATAAAATGAAAGAGAAAGAAAGAAAACTTTAAAATATAAACTGTTGAAACTATTGTGAAAATTGTAAGGCACCTAAAACAGAAAATAAAATGCTAAAAGAAAGAAGAAAACATTATAAATGGCCCTCTTCTGAAGATGCTAAAGATCCAACCTTGATGTAGACACAGCAGATTTAACACAGCAGATTCACTGTAAATACACAGAGTCTGCTCGATATTGTAGTGTAACTCGTTTGCCTACTGAACATGCCGGTAATATTTAATCATAAACAAAGTAGAATGTTATTCTAATTCTAAATTCTAGAAAAAAGCAGGATTGCACAGCATCCTGCAAGATAGCTTGAGCTTTGCCTGATGATCCATGGGGAATCTTCCATTCGGTGCCTTTCAGAGAGGTTGGTTTGTGGGTGCAGGAGCACAGGCCACAAGCAGGGGCCTGAGTGGCTGGAAACCACCCCGAGACCTGGCATTCCTGAGCTGCTCCGTTCTGCCAGGAAACTGCCCAGCTGGATAGAGACAGACAGGGAGTTGCTCTTCTGGTCCTCAGAGGAAAGGAAGTACAGTGATGTCAGCAATGACCACCACTGACATCTCTACCTGGTCAAATAGCCAAACTGTCCCAAAGGAGAGCCTTGGTAAGCACCCGCGGGAAGAAGAAAATTATGCTCAAGCAACAGGGTGGTCTTCAGAATGGTGAGAACACATCACACTGGACACACTCTATTGCTGTTTGTGTTAAAATCACAAACATGATGAGTTGTTGGTAAAACCGTAATGTGTGTCTAGATTTATTGAAATAATAAGGAATCCGCTCTGTAGTCTCATGACATTTTATTGGCAAATTCTGCTGAAACTAGTTTGGATCTGATTGTAGTCATTGTGTAGGCTGAAAACTGGCTGGAACATATTAAAAACAGAGCTTCCTGATCCCACAGAAATCAAGCAGGTGCCCTCAGGGTAAATAGCAAGTCTCAATGTGGCTTCCTTTCCAAATCCGCAGCCTCTAAAAGCAGTTCCATAATAACTGCAGCTTGGGTTCCTCAACTAACTCTGACCAAGTTACTTAGACAATTACTCTGCTAACTCTATGTCTGTCCACCTTGGTTTTGACAAGAAAGTTCTAGAAAGCAGACATCATTTCTGTTTTTCCTGCATGTACTGTCTGGACCCCGGGTTCTACTGGCAAGGTCTGAGAGGAGTGAGATAGATGATGACACTTCTTAATCGTTATCTACCAGGCACTCTGTTAAACATTGTTTATACAGTATCTCATCATATTATCTCATCAGTTCTATGTGGTAAGCATTATTTTCATTTTATGAAGGAGGAAACAGGTCCAGAGAGGCTTAGAATTTTCCTGAGTTCATGGCAAATGAGTCTGCCTCATTCCAGAACCCAAATTGTCCATCAATCCCATGTCCTGCTGCCTATGTAGGATAGAACAAAGAAGATGGGTGCTTTCTGTGTTCTAAAAGGAGAAAGAGGTAATCGCTTTTTTTACCTCCCTAAAGAACTCAGAGTTGGAGTGCACCTAGAAGAGATGTTGCTGCTAATTTGAGAATGGGTTTGGTCTGATGGTATCTGGGCCTTCCAGAGTTCTGAAACAGGTATAAAGTTTATCTTTGTTATCCCCTCCTATCTTTTTTTTTTAATTTTAATAAGCTTTAATTTTTGGAACAATTTTAGATTTACAGAAAAATTGGGAAAACCGTACAGAGAGTTTCCATATACAAACCCACATGCAGTTTCCTGTATTATTAGCATCAATATTAGTGTGGTACATTTGTCACTGATGAACCTATGTTGACTTTATTATTATTATTATTGTGAGACAGGGTCTTGCTCTGTCACCCAGGCTGGAGTGCAATGGCATGATCTTGGCTCACAGCAACCTCCGTCCTCCTTGGTTCAAGCAATTCTCATGCCTCAGCTTCCCGAGTAGCTGGGACTACAGGCAGGAGCCACGATACCTGGCTAATTTTTGTATTTTTAGTAGAGACAGGGCTTCAACATGTTGGCCAGGCTGGTCTCAAACCTGACCTCAAGTGATCCGCCTGCCTCGGTCTCCCAAAGTGCTGGGATTACAGGCGTGAGCCACCGCATCTGACCTTCAATGTTGACATATTATTATTAACTAATGTCAATACTTTATTCAGATTTCCTTAGTTTGTATCTAATGTTCTTTTTTGTCCCAGAATGCCACATTACATTTAGTTATCCTTTCTCCTTAGGCTCCTCTTCACTGTGACAATTTATCAGACTCCTGGTTTTTTATGACCTTGACAGTTTTGAGGAGTATCAGTCAGGACCCAAGAAATACACAAGGTGAACATTGATGTTCCCTCAATTTGGATTTGTCTGATGTTTTTCTCAAGATTAGACTGGCATTATGAGTTTTGGGGAGGAAGACCCCAGAAATAAAGTGCCATTTTTATCACATTGTATCAAGGGTACATACCATTAACATGAACTTTATTACTTATCAATTACACTGCTAATGTTGATCTTGATTATCTGGCTAAGGTAGTGTTTTCCATCTTTCTTCACTATAAAGCTACCATTTTTTTTCCCTCTTATCATTATTGCTCACTTACGAATTCACTATGCACAGCCCAAACTCCCCTCTCCTTAAGGGTAAAATATCTACACAATTTATTTGGAATTCTTCTGCAGGAGAGATTTGTCTCTTCTCCTCTATTAATTTATTTATTCAATCATTTACTTATATCAGTATGAACTCATGGATATTTATCTTGTACTTTGAGTTATAATCCAATACTACTTTATTTATTTTGTTGTTCAAATTGTTCCAGCTTTGGTCATTGGAAACTCTTTCAAGTTGATTCCTGTGTCCCTTTGACATACCCCATCATTGTAGCCTTTTTTTCTTTTTTTCTTTCTTTCTTTTTTTTTTAGCATTTTGTTACTTTCTGGCACTACAAGATGCTCCAGGTTCATCTTGTGTATGTCCCCAGTCCTGGAGTGAGCAATTTATTCAAGGAGTTCTCCTACCCTTTTTGGGTAAGGAAATCCAAAAGATCTTGAGGGCAAAGGGATATTATGAATAATATTAGGCAGGCAAGTAAAATTGTCTGATCAGATTTTCATTTTAGAAGGATTGTTTCTGGCTGGATAAGTCTAGAACTAAAGGCAGAAAGTCAGACCAGAGAGGAGGCTACTGTTGCAGTCCACTTAAAAAGAAAAAAGCAAAAAAGCAACAGAGAAGGATAGACATTTGGGAGGCACCTTAGCTTACATTCCTAACAGAGCCATGGTAGTCTGGTCCTGGGATTCAGTCTACCCTGCCACAAAGCGCACAGAAACTTTCTGAATGGAGGAGAAGGATAATTAGAGTAATAGCTAATATTTATTGAGCACTTACTATATTCCAGGCACTGCTCTAAACACTTAATATATAAAAACTCATTTAGTCTTCACAACAACCCTTTATGCTAAGCACTATTATTATTCTAATTTTACAGTTGCAGAAATTGAACAGTGAGAGAATAAGTGGCCCAGAGTTTCACAGTGAGTATGCAGCAGCCAGAGACACCAGCCCAGGGGCACTGTGCCCAGCCCCGCACTCTTAAACACGGTGCTATAGTGCCTCATGCTGAAAGATGGCTTCAATGTTGACAGCCCTTACTGCTAGAGCCTCAGCATGGCTGCCTGGACCAGCTGACAGGATTTCTAATCCTCAGCTGCCTGCAACACTTCTGTTCCCTCTGATTCCTAGCTTATCCCCCAAAGCCAGTTCAGACTGGCCAACCATCGTGCCTGACTCAACATCTGCATCTGGATCTTCCCAGGCCCTGCTGCCCATTTGATGTGACTCCCTTGCTCATTTTCAATGTCAAAAGCACCTCTATTGTCTGGCACTGTCATAGGTGCTGGAATACAGAGGGTGTAAGTGATATTCCTGTCCTCAAGGGGCTCACAGTATGCACATGTGAGTGTGTGTGTGTGTGTGTAAAAATAGTGTCATATTTAGTTCTGCTTACTTGGTAACTCCTAACCATGGTATCTGTGCCTCAGTGCTGGGCTGCCCACTTGACCTTAGAGTATCTTCAAACTCATAGCATCCAGGCTTATGCCCAGGTACTACCCCTCCTGGGTCTGTCACGACTCTGCTTTCTGCTTGTCTGTGGGGCTTCCGGTCCATGCTGTCCCTCACCCACACCTCCGCCACTAGGAGCCACGTGGCCAGCTTCCTCTCTCCCCTGTTGTGAATGGAGTCAGCTGGGGAATGTGCCCAGCCAACCCAGTCTTCCAGACTGCTCTGCTCTGACTCATGCTAATTTTGTTTCCAGAATTTGTTTTCATTCACAGCACTGTGAGAGCTTCAGTCTCTTCTTTTGCTCCAGAAGAAGTAGGAGGTGAATTAGAGATGATTGGCAGTCAAATTTCTTCCACCACTCTCTTCAGGCCCATCTGGATTTTTCTATTTGACTATTTTCTAATTTGAGCCTGAGTCATTCTCCCACCAAATAGTGAGACCGTTTAAATATTCTGCATTGTTTCTCTGATGCTTCAAGTTTCAAAATCCATCTCATACACATTAATGTCTCCCAAAGGGATACTGCTACTGCCTACTTGGTTTGGGGAAACTCCTTTACTAAGTCTGACATAGTGAAACCATTGCCATGATGGTGCAGGGAGATGCAAGGAGATGGGTAATCTCTTGTGAAACTTTTTTTTTTTGAGATGGAGTCTCGCTCTGTCTCCCAGGCTGGAGTGCAGTGGCGCGATCTCGGCTCACTGCAAACTCTGCCTCCTGGGTTCACGCCATTCTTCTGCCTCAGCCTCCCGAGTAGCTGGGACTACAGGTGCCTGCCACCACGCCCGGCTAATTTTTTTATATTTTTAGTAGAGACAGGGTTTCACTGTGTTAGCTAGGATGGTCTCGATCTCCTGACCTCGTGATCCGCCCGCCTTGGCCTCCCAAAGTGCTGGGATTACAGGCGTGAGCCACAGCACCTGGCCGAAACTTTTTAAAAAGGATGCTAACAGTTCTCTCTCCATTCTCTCCAAAGATTCCAAAAATATTATGCAGTTAGGTTATGTGACATAATGTTCAGTTAAGTAACACACTTAAGACTCACATTTTCTTCATCAGCTTATTTCTAGACATCTTAAAGACATCTTTTATTTTTATTTTCCCAGTTAGAAATAAAGAGCCTTCTTGGTCCTTTCTCTGGCCTTTCTACATTTATGGAAGGGTAAATCTAGATCAAAGACTATGGCGAGGGTGGAAAGGAAGGAAACATAGAAAAATTCTGTCTTATTCTCTTGTTAGACACGTGACTCTCCTTTCACCGCCCCCTCCCCCCGCTCTGCCAACATGTCACTCACTCTCTGGGACGGTTTCCTCATTGTGCTCCCATAATCCACTGTCAGAAGTTGCTTTGTGAATTATTTGTAGCAAATAAATACCAAAGTGAGAAAATAATGATTTCAATACATGATTGTGAATTCAAAGTTAAAGCTAAGATAGCGTGGCTCGCATTCTCTTACATGCGACATTCTCTTACGATCCACTTCCTTGAGTGGGAGGGAAGGTGGAGGAGTTTCAGTGTGTGCAGCAGTTGCACCTAACCCACTGCAGTGTGTGTCTTGTGCAAGCTTCATGGAGATTTGATTGACAACCACAGACCAGGGTATCTTTTCCACAAGTGGCATCTATTCACTCCTCCAGGGCAAGAGCTTTCTGATATTTTCAGTGGGTTCTGCTGAGAGCTATGAGGTAAGTTAAGTCCTGACCCCAAGCAGAGACCCTCATCCACTTGTCCTGTCTGCAGGGTAGAAGCTCTGTTAGCAGCTTCTGGTCATTTCTGGCTACCCTAAGTCCCCACCAGAAAACTCTCAAAGCCATAGTAAGGTGAGAATGAGCAGGTCACCATGAAGATCAGCTGTGCAATGGGCAATGAGTGGACAACCACTGCTTGGACACATTCTGTGGACACAGCCTCTCTGATGGGCCTCCCCATGCCTGGGAATGGCTGGATATGGGGTGTAGCGAGTGACACATACAGCTGCTTTGAACGAGTCAAGAAGGAGGAGAGGAAAGAAGAGTTTAGTTTTCTATTTGGAGGAAGTAGATCAGGTCCATAGATGCCTGCAGGGACTGGAGATAGTCTTTTAAAGGTTTTTAGCAGTGGAGAGAAGAGTAGCCAAGAGTGTTGTGTTTGTTGCTTGTTTTCTTTTCTTTGCTTTTTGAAGAGGAATTGCACCACCTGTTCTTCCCCTGCTTCCACCCTTCAAACAAGCCCAAATGGACGTTTCCGTGCAGGTCCTTTCCATACAGACAATAAGCATCAAAGAACAGTTTGGAACAGCTGAAGCAGAACCTTTGCAGAAGCCCCTTTGTACCTCAGGCCCTCTGTCGAGTCCCCCGCCCTGCAATCAGGAAGCCTCTATGTTAGGCCAAAGTGTTCACCAAGAAAGCTGCAGCCAGAGACTAAGGCTGGGAAGGACAACAGGAGAATATTTTCGCAAATGCTTTGCCTCTGTCCTCCCTTTCTGCCAGTAGCCACAGGAGACCCACAGTCAAGCAAATTCTGCCATTAGTTCCTGTATCTGTTTCAGAAATCAATATTAGCCAGTTTTTCCTCTACACCTTGTAAACTTCAGGCACGGCTGTCAGCTGCGCTCTGTGCTCCCTGAGAGTGAGCCATCGGAGGGCTCCCCCAGGGCTGGGGAAGCGAAGGGAGGCCAGTCTTCTGTCTTGCTTGCCTTTATTTTTTAAAGTGCATTTTCAAACAGTTTGAAAAGACTGCTGGCTGCTGCTGGGCTCTGTTTCTGGCTGGTTGCATCTGATCCGCTAGATAAATGTTGCCTCTAGCAGGAATTGCGGTGTGTGTTCAGAAACATAAAGTTGTTGCTTAATGAGACCAAGGAGGTGACAGGGCCAGCCTTAGCATGAAAGAATGCTGAGGAGGAGGTACCTGTGGGGTGTGAATCAAGTCCCCTGGACAGGAATGGAAATTCTCATCACCTTAATTCCATGGTGATACATTCTAACTTCCTGTATGTAGCTCACACAGTAGCATGGAGGAAGTAATAATGATAATAATAACATTATAGTACTTTAAGGTTTACAAAATACTTTTACATCATTGCATTTTTGTGGGATGGTCCCCACTTAGTCAAGCTTCAGATAAAATTGTGTGGGTGCTTCTAGAAAAACCTCTCCCTCATTGTCCTACTCTTAAAACTATTTCTCTGAGTGGTTTGCATGGTAAAAAGGAGCCTATCAGGAGAAAGTATTTGTTATCAGTCTCTGGGAGGCACAGCAGGTGACATAGGAGAGGTCAAGATGTTAGAAAAGCTGTGACCTGTCCCCACCCAGCCCCACAAACCAGTCTTTGGGTCACTGATGGAGGAGATGGGAAGTTGCTATTTTTCTCTGGGGCTGGAACTGGTGGTCCACACAATGCTCTTCGAGATCCAAATGACTTTCCATATAGCACAGAAGAACTCCAAATAAAACATGTAGATACCCCCCTGCAGGGGGTGGAGCTTAAACCCCTCCCACAGAATGTGGGCTGGACTTACTAACTTATTTCCGAAACATAAAGTATGGAAAGGCAAAAGAGAGCAGAGTGGAGAAAGCTGGTTAGCAGCAGCAGTGATACGTTATGTTGATTTCAGGGACCCTCTGATCAGGCCATATCACCACTAGGTTTTCTTCCCAGCATCTGAAAATCCTATCTTAATCACGAGAAAATATGAAACAAACACAAATTGAGGAACATTCTACAAAATCACTGAAGAGTAGTCTTTAAACTGAAAGGTCACCAAAATAAAAAAACAAAAAAAAACCAAAACCAAAAAACCAAAGGCACACACACACACACACACACACACACACACACACACACACGAAAAGAATGAGAAACTGTCACAGATTGGAGAAGACTAAGGAAACATGACGACTAAAGGTAATGTATTATCCTGGACTGGATCCTGGAACAGAAAAATGACATTAGTGGAAAAACTGGTGAAATCCAAATAAAGTGTGTACTGTAGTTAATAGTATTTTACCAACGTTAATTTCTTAGTTTTGACAAGAGTACTGTGGTTATGTAAGATGTTAATATTAGGGAAAGCTGGGTGAAAAATATACAGGAACACTCTGTTCTATTTTTATAAGTTTTCTGAAAATCTAAATAAAAAGTTTTTTTTAATGTTTTAAATTACTAGGAAGCCAGAGTACAAAGACAACTGGAGAATACACACGTAGAATAAATAAGCTGAGAATAATGGAAAGTTGGATGAGAGAATTGACATTCCACAAAGGTTTTACTTCTCCAAAAAGTTGTTCAGATCATCTTGGGTCATCTGGATTTTGGCCATTTCGTCACAGGAAAGGCAAGCAAAGAGTAACAGTGATCTGTGTGTGTGTGATGGGAGCAGTGGGGGGCAAGGGGGAGATCAGAGATTCCACCTAAAAGTTTGTTGTTGGGGAGATATGCTTATCCATGCATTGGGGAACTAGGTTTAAAACTAGTTCTTTGGGAATGTCTTAGAAGACCAATCTAAATCAAAAACTGAGTTAATGATGTTTTTATCTACCATTTTTCTCTAAGGTCTTGAGGCTTTGTTATCAGAGAGGTTGGGATTCTCATTTGTTGAAGGCATTTTGCCCTGGCATTGTGCCAACAGTATAGAAAAATCAAGAAACCTTCCCACATATTTTCAAAAGATGATACCCACTTGTACATTTCTGTTGGGACCAAAGCTAGCCTTTCAAGTATATGTGAATAATGGCTTAAAGGTTATCTCCAATTCAAGCTGATCTATTACTTTAAAATCCTCTATTAACAGTTTCTTTTTTATGTTAAGCATACCTCTTGCCAGCCTCTGTATCTTTTCCTCTGTGTTTGACGGTGCGACTAAACAGACTTAGAGTCTCTTAGGTTTGCATGCAAAAGGTTTATTTGGGTGTGCTTTTGGAATTAACACCTTTGAGGGGTGAGGAAAGCAGAATTTAGCAGGGAGAAAAGTTGAACCATAATGCAGTTGCAGTAGAGGTCTCAGACAAACCTACTGATAATGTTGGAGCTGAGATAGCCCTTTATATTTCAACACATTGAGGAAAGAGAGTGAGGGTCCAACTTATAACTAATTATTAGATATGTGCCAGGCAGTGATGTAAACTTGGGTAAGGTATCTCCCTTTGGCAGAGGGAGATTGCTGGAGAGGGATTTGAGTATGAGCTGTCAACAGCCAACATTCTGCAGCTAGAAAAATAAGTACCTTGATCCTGAAAGGGGATCTCAGAGGCATATCAAAGCATCCCTACAGTCGTATCATTACAACACTTGAATATTCTTCCAGAGGGAGTTAAACACATGTGGAAATAGCCTCAGGATTTTGGTTGGTTTATCTTTATATGAAAACTTACAATATGGTAATAGAGTGAACTGTAGCCCCACCACTGTAGCTGATCTCGAAGCCAAAACTGGTGTCCTTCATCTTCTGTCATTACCCATTCTAGATTCTTTTCACTCTCTATTATATCTCTGATAGTCTTGGTGGCTAAGCTGAGAGGGCAATCAGTCTTTATTCTTGAGTGTTGAGGTACTGGTCACCATGCCCATCTCAGGCAATAGCTGCTATTTGAGTACATTTACTGAAGATTGGCCAGAGGAATACCAAGAGATGCTCCAGTGAATCACCTGTGTGTCATAGTATTCCCTGTCCTCATTGTGTAACTTCCCCAAGAACTGGATCAATTACCACTGCCAAGATGGTGACTCCTTTCCTTGCCTGCTAGTTTCTTGGTGTAAGAAGAACAAAGTGACTGGGCCGCAATGATAGCTTACAGTTTAATAGGATTCTTGCTGTATCTCCTGGTGAAAATAATCATAACTTTTGGATCCAGCACCTTTAGACCTACAGAACCTAGAGCTGCAGAAACAGAATGCAGAAATTCCTTCAATCACTGCAAGTAATGCTACCCCAACCCTGGATTCTTAGACTTGTTCATGGGGAATATGTTATTGACTTTGGGTACAAGTTACATCCTGGAGAATGAAATCTGATTCTGTTAGGGTATCTTCTTTAAGATGTCAAAATCAAAAGGTTCTTCCCTGTCAAAAGGTTGTTACAGAAGTTCATCAGATCTGGAAGGTGAGGAATATGATAAAACTAGTGAATCCTAGGATTCCAAATTGGTGGCATAGAAGTAAGCTGGCTCCACTCCTCACAATAGAAAACCAAAAACAAATATACAACACTGAGATTATCACCAGCAATATCCCAGAGCTCAAATATGAGAAGGGGACAGTTTCTGGGGCCACAGAGAAGTGAAAAAAGTCCAAGAAGATGGGAAAGGAATTGGATGTCCACAATGCCCCCTGCTCAATCTGCCCAGCACAAACGTGAAAAATTTGCTCCCAATTCATAGTTTCCACACTGGAAAAAATGAAGTCGAGGTGGACAGCAAGTTTTTCCACCATCTTGGGTTGCCTGGCAGGAGACCTATTCCTGCTTCAATCCATGGAAGCATTGAGAGTACCTGAAGAGAGAAATATTCCTGAGGACAGCCAGAGACTAAGGGAGGGAAATGGGACCACCATCCCCAGCTCTGGAAACTCTTCTCTGGAACTTGGCCAAAGGAAACAGCAAAGCAAAGTGGCTGTTCAGCAGCACCACACTTTAGGGGGTTCATTCCATAGGTCCCCTGGGCATGAACCCCTAGCCAGCCTGCACACATTACTGGGTTATGCTTTTTGTGACCTCCCCTATTCAAGATGGGTGGCACTCTGTTTACTGCAGTAAAGGCAAAGCTGGGCTTAAGGCATCATTTAGTGCTGAAAAGGAGGTAGTGACCTAGCAGGAGGGGAAAAAAAAAAAAGAAAGAAAATCAACAGGTAAATTAAGCAAGAGAAAGAAATAAAGAGCATTGGAAGAGGAAAGGAAGTCAAATTAGCCTTGTTTGCAGATGACCTGATCTTATACTTAGAAAATCCTAAAGACTCCACCAAAAAACTCTTAGAACTGATAAACAAATTCAGTAAGTTTACAGTATACAAAACAACATACAAAAATCAGTAGCATTTATATATGTGAACAGTGAATAATCTGAAAAAGAAATTAAAAAGCAATAGCTACAAAGAATAGAAAATACCTAGGAATGAATTTAACCAAAGAAGTGAAAGATCTACAAGGAAAACTATAAAACACTCATGAAACAAATTAAAGAGGACACAAAAAATGGAAAGTTATTACTTGCTCATAGATTAGAAGAATGAGTATTGTTAAAGTGACAATACTACCCAAAGCAATTTATATGCTTAATACAATCCCTATCAAAATACCAATGACATTATTCACAGAAATAGAAAAAATAATCCTAAAATTTACATGAAACCACAAAAGGCTCCAAATAGCCAAGGAAATACTGAGCAAAAAGAACAAAACTGGAGGCATCACACTACCTGACTTCAAAATATAATACAAAACTATAGTAACCAAATCAGCATGGTACTGGCATAAAAACAGACACATAGACTAATGGAAAAGAATTGAGAACCCAAGTATAAATTCATGCATTCACAGCCAACTCATTTTTGGCAAAAGTACCAAGAACATACAATGGGGATAGGACAGTACTCTCAATAAATGGTGCTGGGAAAGCTGAATGACCAGAAAAAATGAAACTAGGCCCCTCTCTCTCATCACATACAAAAATCAAATAGAAATGGATTAAAAACTTAAATATAATACCTGAAACTATGAAACTACTAGCAGAAAATACTGAGGAGGTGCTCTAAGACATTGGTCTGGGCATATAATTTTTGTGTAAGACCTCAAAAGCACAGGCAACCAAGGCAAAAATAGAAAAATTGGATAACATCAAGCTAAAAATCTTCTGCACAGCAAAAGAAATAATCAGAATGGAAAGACTTCTCACAGGTTGGGAAAAAAATCTTTGCAAATGATCCATCTGACAAGGGATTAATAACCAGACTATATAAGGATCTCAAGCAACTCCATAGGAAAAAAGGAAATAAATCAATTAAAAATTGACAAAAGGTCTGAATAGACATTTCTTTTTTTTAATTTAATTATTTAATTATTATTATTTTTTCTTTTTTTATTACACTTTTAAGTTTTAGGGTACATGTGCACAACGTGCAGGTTTGTTACATATGTATACATGTCCCATGTTGGTGTGCTGCACCCATTAACTCGTCATTTACATTAGGTATATCTCCTAATGCTATCCCTCCCCCCTCCCCCCACCCCACAACAGGCCCCAGTGTGTGATGTTCCCCTTCCTGTGTCCATGTGTTCTCATTGTTCAATTCCCACCTATGAGTGAGAACATGTGGTGTTTGGTTTTTTGTCCTTGCGATAGTTTGCTGAGAATGATGGTTTCCAGTTTCATCCATGTCCCTACAAAGGACATGACCTCATCATTTTTTATGGCTGCATAGTATTCCATGGTGTATATGTGCCACATTTTCTTAATCCAGTCTATCATTATTGGACATTTGGGTTGGTTCCAAGTCTTTGCTATTGTGAATAGTGCCACAATAAACATACGTGTGCATGTGTCTTTATAGCAGCATGATTTATAATCCTTTGGGTATATACCCAGTAATGGGATTGCTGGGTCAAATGGTATTTCTAGTTCTAGATCCCTGAGGAATCACCACACTGACTTCCACAGTGGTTGAACTAGTTTACAGTCCCACCAACAGTGTAAAAGTGTTCCTATTTCTCCACATCCTCTCCAGCACCTGTTGTTTCCTGACTTTTTAATGATCGCTATTCTAACTGGTGTGAAATGGTATCTCATTGTGGTTTTGATTTGCATTTCTCTGATGGCCAGTGATGATGAGCATTTTTTCGTGTCTTTTGGCTGCATAAATGTCTTCTTTTGAGAAGTGTCTGTTCATATCCTTCGCCCACTTTTTGATTGGTTTGTTTGTTTTTTTCTTGTAAATTTGTTTGAGTTCTTTGTAGATTCTGGATATTAGCCCTTTGTCTGATGAGTACATTGCAAAAATTTTCTCCCATTCTGTAGGTTGCCTGTTCACTGTGATGGCAGTTTCTTTTGCTGTGCAGAAGCTCTTTAGTTTAATTAGATCCCATTTGTCAATTTTGGCTTTTGTTGCCATTGCTTTTGGTGTTTTAGACATGAAGTCCTTGCCCATGCCTATGTCCTGAATGGTATTGCCTAGGTTTTCTTCTAGGGTTTTTATAGTTTTAGGTCTAACATGTAAGTCTTTAATTCATCTTGAATGAATTTTTGTATAATGTGTAAGGAAGAGATCCAGTTTCAGCTTTCTACATATGGCTAGCCCATTTTCCCAGCACCATTTGTTGAATAGGGAATCCTTTCCCGATTTCTTGTTTTTGTCAGGTTTGTCAAAGATCAGATAGTTGTAGATGTGTGGCATTATTTCTGAGGGCTCTGTTCTGTTCCATTGGTCTATATCTCTGTTTTGGTACCAGTACCATGCTGTTTTGGTTACCGTAGCCTTGTAGTATAATTTGAAGTCAGGTAGCGTTATGCCTCCAGCTTTGTTCTTTTGGCTTAGGATTGACTTGGCAATGCAGGCTCTTTTTTGGTTTCATGTGAAGTTTAAAGTAGTTTTTTCCAATTCTGTGAAGAAAGTCATTGGTAGCTTGATGGGGATGGCATTGAATCTATAAATTACCTCGGGCAGTATGGCCATTTTCACGATATTGATTCTTCCTACCCATGAGCATCGAATGTTCTTCCATTTGTTGGTATCCTATTTCATTTCATTGAGCTGTGGTTTGTAGCTCTCCTTGAATAGGTCCTTCACATCCCTAGTAAGTTGGATTCCTAGGTATTTTATTCTCTTTGAAGCAATTGTGAATGGGAGTTCACTCATGATTTGGCTCTCTGTTTGTCTGCTATTGGTGTATAAGAATGCTTGTGATTTTTGCACATTGAGTTTGTATCCTGAGACTTTGCTGAAGTTGCCTATCAGCTTAAGGAGATTTTGCGCTGAGATGATGGGGTTTCTACATATACAATCATGTCATCTGCAAATAGGGACAATTTGACTTCCTCTTTTCCTAATTGAATACCCTTCATTTTCTTCTCCTGCCTGATTGCCCTGGCCAGAACTTCCAACACTATGTTGAATAGGAGTGGTGAGAGAGGGCATCCCTGTCTTGTGCCAGTTTTCAAAGGGAATGCTTCCAGTTTTTGCCCATTCAGTATGATACTGGCTGTTGGTTTGTCATAGATAGCTCTTATTATTTTGAGATACATCCCATCAATACCTAATTTATTGAGAGTTTTTAGCATGAAGGGTTGTTGAATTTTGTCAAAGGCCTTTTCTGCATCTATTGAGATAATCATGTGGTTTTTGTCATTGGTTCTGTTTATATGCTGGATTACGTTTATTGATTTGCATATGTTGAACCAGCCTTGCATCCCAGGGATGAAGCCCACTTGATCATGGTGGATAAGTTTTTGATGTGCTGCTGGATTCAGTTTGCCAGTATTTTATTGAGGATTTTTGCATCGATGTTCATCAGGGATATTGGCCTAAAATTCTCTTATTTTGTTGTGTCTCTGCCAGGCTTTGGTATCAGGATGATGCTGGCCTCATAAAATGAGTTAGGGAGGATTCCCTCTTTTTCTGTTGATTGGAATAGCTTCAGAAGTAATGGTACCAGCTCCTCCTTGTACTTCTGGTAGAATTTGGCTGTGAATCTGTCTGGTCCTGGACTTTTTTTGGTTGGTAAGCTATTAATTATTGTGAATAGGCATTTCATAAAAGAAGACATACAAATGGCCAAGAGGTACATGAAAAAAATGCCCAATATCGCTAATTATCAGAGAAATGCAAATTAAAATCACAATAAGATAGCATCTCACTCCAGTTAAAATGGCTTTTATTTTAAAAAGACAGAAAATAGAGAAAGGGGAACCCTCCTGCACTTTTGGTGGGAATGTAAATTGGTATAACCACTGTGGAAAACAGAATGGAGATTCCCCAAAAAACTAAAAATGAATTATCACATAATCCAGCAATTCCATTGCTATATATATAGCCAAAGGAAAAGAAATCAATATATGAAAGAGATGGCTGCACTCCCATGTTTATTGCAGCACTATACACAATAGCCAAAATACGCAATTAACCTAAGTGCCCATTAATGGATGAATGGATAAAGAGAATGTGATTATATGCACAATGGAATATTCTACATTTATATATTAAAAAAAAGGATAAAATTCTGTCATTTGCAGCAACATGGATGAAACTAGAGGTCTTTATGTTAAGCAAAATAAACCAAGTACAGGAAGACAAATATTATGTATTCTCACTTATATGTGGAAACTAAAAAAGTGGATCTTATAACAGAGAGTAGATTGGTGGTTACCAGGGGCTGGAAAGGGTAGTGGGAAGAGGGGGATTAAGATAGGCTTATTAACAGGTACAAGTATACAGTTTGATAGAAGAAATAAGACCTAGTGTTTGATACATTTGTAGGTTGACTATAGTTTACAATTATCTATTGCACATTTCAAAATAACTAAAAGAGAATAACTTGAATGTTTCTCACATAAAGAAAAGACAAATATTTAAGGAAATGAATACCCCAATTTCACTGATTTTATCCTACAAATTACATGAATGTATTAAGTTATTACATGTATCCCCAAAATATGTACAACAATCATGTATCATTTTTTAAAAAGTGCATCCTATGGTCATGTGCATAGCATTGTATCTCCCTTGTAGGAAAGTGGGTCCCATGGTCAAATGTGATGTAATGCACAATCTTGTGTTGGTGAATCAAACACTCTATAAGGCAAACTCGTACTCAGAATGTGTGCCAGTTTCAATCAAGATATACAGTTGCCCTTCCCAAGTTAGAAGGGAGTTCAATTTAATCAACTGTAAACAAGCAGGTGGTTAGTTTCTTCATGGTATGATATCAGAGAATTATATTATATATCTTAAAATTATCACAGTCTACCTTCAAGTGATAGCATATCACTCCATGTATAGTATAAAAGCCTTTCAGCAGTATGCTTCCTTTCTCCCTTTCTGGCCACTGTACTATTGTTGTTATACATTTAACTTCTATAGATGCCATAAAGTGCACACTACACTGTTATTATTTTTTATTTAAGCAAGCAATTATGCTTCTAAGAAATTTAGATAAGAAAATGTCTATATTTACCCAAGTAATTACCATTCTCAAGTCTTTTAATTCCAAATTGTCTTCTAATATCATTTTACTTCTGCTTTAAGAACTTTCTTTACATTTCTTATAATACAGGTCTGCTGGGGATAGATTATTTCAACTTTCCTATATCTGAAAAATCCTTTCTTTTGTCTTAATTTTTGAAATCTATTTTTGCTGGGTTATGAATTTCAGGTTTAAAGTTAGGTTTTTTAAAATTTTTCCTTTCAATGCATTTTAAATGTTGCTCCATTGTCTTCTTGCTCACGTTGTTTCTAGGGAGAAATCTGCAGTCATACCTATGCTTTTTCCTCTGTACTTATCTTTTTTATCTGTCTGCTTTAAAATTTTTATCTTTGTCACAAGTTTTAAGAAATCTTATTATGATGTGCCTTGGAGTTATTTTCTTTTTTCTTTCTTTTTATTCTTGGAGTTTGCTGAGCTTCTTGTATCTGTGAATTTGTAGTGTGCATTAAATTTGGAAAAATTTTGGCCATTATTTACTCAAATATTTTTTCCATATCTCCCTCACTCATCCAGAGACTCCAATGTGCCATTAATCTCATCCAGCATATTTTTCATCTCAGACATTTTAGAAGTTCTATTTGGGTCTTCTTAATATCTTCCATGAGTCTATTCAACATGGTCAATCTTTTCTCTAGCATTCTTCTAGGTCTCACCTTATTTGTTTGTTGTCTCTTGGTAATCACCATCCTTCATTCCCTGCTGTCAAATGTCATGAAAATCATTGGATCACATTTTTTTCTGGGTTTTCAGATGAGAAAGTAAATCATGTCCCTGTTATTCCGTCTTGGCAGCAAATTAAAAATAGTCTAGGTTCTTTTAAAAATCTCAATCTTTTAAATGTAAATTTTATCATAAAGAATGACCAACTAAATTCCTAGCACCTCATGACAGATATTTATGGCTACCCACCTAATAACTATTATCCCTCTTTCCTTGCTAACAGAGCCAATTTTGCTTTAATTTGAAGGTTCTAATCCTCAGGGAATGCAATAGCTTGTTCCATGCCATGGGAAAAAAAGGAGGCAGTTTTATTATTCTTTGTTGATGATTTGGCCAAGGTGTAGGTATGTGTCCCAGTCTGCTGGGGGATTTCTGGAAAAGATTTTCTCCCAGATAAAACTTAGAGCTGAAGATAAAACAAAGCTTTCTCTTTCCCTGTTTCATTCTTTCATTTGAAGATTTTTGTGAGAGGATTTGATGCTTGGATGTGTCAACCAACTTACATCCATGTGGCAACAATCTAGAGTAATACTGTCAAACACAGAAAGTAAAGAGAGGAGAATCATAGAGAAGCTGACCCCCACATTAAACCACAGAACTATCCCTGGGCTCACCTACCTTTAAACTTCCTATTAGGTGAGATAATATACATTCTCAATACGTAAGCCACTATTTTTTAGGCTTGTAGCCAAATACATCCTACTTGATGTATTTTACCATGGCTCAGTTTCTCAGATTTATCCAACTGCTTTCTTCCACAATCAGAAAGATGATGTTCTGAGAATGAAGGCTGCCATCAGAGGAGGTGGAATCTTAATGGCATAAAAACTACTTCACAATTTTTTAAAGGAGTGGCATTGCATAGCCATAATCCTAGGCAGTCAGAGCCCTGTAGGCTTTGCCTCTTAATGTTAGAGTCATTTAACAGACAATGGCTATGCAGAAGTTGCAATGATAAGGAACTTGATGGTAATGTCCCCAGGAGAGCTGTATTGATTCTTGAGTAGAATACTAACTTCTAATGACCAAAATCCACAGGAAAAAAAAAGCCCTAGCCAAAGATACTTGAAATAATGTATATTAATACAGTTCCATCATAAATAATACATACTATTAATATGGTTTTAAATAATGTATAATGCTAGATTTGCATAATAAATAATACATAAATATGTAATCAGCCCGTGAAGTCATATGAAATTAGTAACCATGAAGGAAACAACCTAGTAACATGCTATGAGAGGAAAGGAGGCCTTAATCAGTGCTGCTGTGTCATCTTGTGGCTAAGAGAAACACCAACCTTGTATAAAGAATTTGATCTATATATTTTACTAGTGAAGAATAGTAGCTAGTAACAGACCTCAGTTACAGTTAATAGACTTCCTTTTGGTCTATAAAGAAAACATTGCTTTTTAGCAATGTTAAAATTAGAAAAAAAATCTCTAATCCATCACTGATTGAAAGGGTATAGAAGAGTTGCTTCCTAAAACTGATACAACACAAACCATTATCATTGACCCTTTCAAATTCTTCCATTTTTTTCAGGAATTCACTTGTGTTATCTTATTTAGTCTGTCTAGTAACCCTATGTGATGGACAATATTTTTCTCATTTTCCAACTCAGGAAATGATGGATGAGGGAGGTTAAGTAGTAAGTTACTTAACTTACCCAAGGTTACACAGCTAGTTGATGACAGAGACAGGTACTCAACTCTTCTGAAACTAAAGCCTATTGTTTTTCCACTATATTACCCTGTCTATCATTTTTAATGTATCTCTTCTCTGTGGATTAAGATCCTGGATATTTTATAATTCAAATTTAGCAAACCTTTGAAGAATTTCTTCCGTGTGCTTAACATGATGTTAGACATCTCACGTAGGTGATGTCATTTATCCCCCACAATAAACCTATTGGGTATTTGTATCTTCATGTTACAGATTAGGAAATAGAGGATTAGAAAAATGAAGTGCCAAAGCCTGTCCAAAGCCTCAGAGTGTGAACCAAAAGTTGAGCCCTGTGTCTCCATACCACACCACACTATATCTCTGGCAAAAGGCGATGAAATGTGACCCCTTGTTTTAGCACCAGTTTCCTGAGGAATTCTCCAAAGAGCAGACCCAAAGCCCAGGCTCCTTTAGAGTGTTGACTCCTGCCCAGCAATATTAATTGCTTTCTTCTGGAATAGGAAAGGTAATGTTCTAGGAGTGGAGGTTGCTGCCAAAAGATTGGCGGGGGGGCATTACCAACTGCAGACTTTCTTCACAGACTTGTAAAGACACTATGAGCAGCCTCAGTCAAGCCCACTCAAGGTACGTTAACAAACACTCAAATTCTTGAGTCCCTCATGTTCATGTTCCACTCCTCCACAATATGTAGTTGGCGAAAAGTCCCTACTCTTCTTTTAATAGCATTCTTGGAAATTGTGCTTTGAGATCAGTTCTTCTGGGAAAGACATAACCTGCTGAAGAAGTACTGAGAAAGGCTGAAACTGTAAATGTCGAGTCTACACAGGAGAGTAAATATAAACTGCTTGCATCTTTCTGGCTGACTTATAGCTTATCAAGCACACATTAAACCTTTAAGCCTTTTTTTTCTTAAGTAAGAATAAATCTAAGTTGACTATTCCAGCATATGTATTTGTTTTCCCTACACTGTCTATAAACCATGTCCAAGGTGAGTATTTATAAGCCTGAACAAAAACTAGACAAACAATTCTGAGAATAAGTGACAACTATAACAGTTCATGATAACACAGTCACAACAAAGGAAATGCTATGCATTAAGTGATTTTTCTTGCAAATCCTTTATACATATGTCAGGTTGTGTGCTGGCAGAGTGAAAGAGAATAAATCAAAGAGAATGCCCATATAAGAAAGGATTTTTAGGCAAATGATGTCTTGTATGCATAAATCAAATAGTTATTGTAAAAATTCAGAGGAATAGCATAGGTTTCTATGGAGTTTTAAACAATGAGGTTATTTAGCAACTGCACAACAATTTATTTTATGGAGCAGCTTACAATTATTTGCTCATTAAAGCTTATGCCATTTCAGGTAAGTAGACCCGTACCATTAGTTACTTTTATGGACAAGATAACTGAAGCAGGGAATTGTTAATAACTTCCCCAAGGTCACATACCAGGTATGGGTTGGGCAAGGACTTAACTTCAGAACTCTTCCCTTCATAATCCTAAGTTGCAGGTCAGGGTAGTGGTGCAGCTGCCTGTTAGCTCTCTCTTCAGTGAGGGACAGGCCATGGGGACATGCCTAGACATCTGGGGTTGGGTGATAAAGGCAAAGACTCCTGGCAGTAAATCTAGAAGTGCCAATGATTGGTGTTGCCGTTAGCATTTCAGCTGGACCGTGAACCCCATCGGGATGCCTATGAGAGGCAAACACACGTCTGTAATACAGCCTAGAGTGAGATGATCATGACAGTAGATCTAAAGCTGTAGTTCTCAATTCAGGCTGCAATACCAGGAGGGACCTTAAAACCCATGCTCCAGGATCAATTAAATCCAATTCTCTGAGATTGGGGCTTGGACCGGGACAATTTCAAAAAGTTACCCAGGTTTTTCTAACACGTGGCCAGAGTTGAAAACCATTGGTGTAAAGATCCTTCCATATTTGCTGGATGTGGTTGGGCAGGTTGTTCATTGCACAAGGACACCTAACTAAAGAAACCAGAGAGGACTGAAATTCAGCCCATACATAGTGTGTCCTAATTTGGGGGTGGCATTTGTTCTCAAAAAAGTCACTTTTTATCTGATTCCCACAAAGGAGGCCCTGGATCACTCTCTATTCTTAGGTCTGCATTGCTGCATATACTACAAATTCTATTTTCAGTTTATTATGCATTCTTTACAATTATATTGGCATCTATTATATGCTGGGCACTGGGCATACACTGGGGGTGCAACTACAAAATGATCACAGCTCTAGTCTTATTGAATCCCCATTGTTGGGCAGGACAAGTGATTACACAGGGAGTTACACAACAATGTGGAAAGTGCTCCATTGCGGATGACTACAGGAAGCTGGAGAGGATCTAGAAAGGGTGCTCCACCCAGCCACTTTGGGGCTAAGGGACCTCATAGTGGAAGTGGTGTAAGAGCTGAGACTGGAGGAGTCACTGGCAAGATAAAAGGAAGAGGTGGTATTTGAAGCTGAGTGACAGCATTTGAAGAAACTTGGAGTCAAGAGAATGTGGGTTATTGGGGAATGGACAGTGGTTCAGCCTGTCTGCCTGGAGCATGGAGGAAATGAAGGTAGAGGGAAGGGGGCTGGGACTAGGGTAGGTTCTGCCCATCTTCCAAGGGCTGGATTGGCCACTTGCAAGCTTAATCTCTGTGCCTTGCTCCTCAGTCCTACAACCCTTGTTCCATCTTACCATGCTCTCTCACTCCCTCCCTTCTTCTTTTCAGATACGGTTATTAAAGCAGAAAACACCTAAAACACTTGTAGTCAACTTCCTATAATCTATAACTCTAAGCACTAGAAAGAAACAAAAAGTTTGGAAGCAAAAAAAGGGACAAACAAGCACAAGATACAGATACAGATGCCACCTCTTCACTTGGTGCCAAATGGCACATCCTCACAATTGGCACAGATTCCTCCTTGCCCACTGCTCTCCTTCCTGGATATGCCTGATTTCACATTCAAAATTACCATCTCAATCCCTGGGCCAGTGGGGGTGCAGCAGGGTGGGGAAATGGGGTGGTATAAATGAAACGAGCTTGGTCATGAGCTAATAAAATTATTGAAGCTGGGTGATAAGTACACACGAGGATTTATCACACCAGTCCCTCTATTTCTTATTATGATTGAGATTTTCCATTATGAAAAGGAGAAAAACAAAAACAAACTTAAGATCCTCTGCTACTTCTTTTCTTCTTCCATTTTGGTTACCATTTCTTCTAGTGACACTCTGGTTCTTTTTGTTTGTTTGTTTGTTTTGTTTGTTAGTTTAAATCTGGTTTGATTTGACTCAGGTTCCATTTTTTTTTTACTTTAAAATTGTATGTTTTGGTTTTATTCATAGGACTATTTTAATGAGCCAAAATTCCCAGTCCATTAGAATTATGACTTGGCTGATCGACATACACTTCACTCCCTAAAGTTTAGGAGAGTATTGTACAATATGCTCATCCATTTGCCTCCTATTTGGCCCCTCACAATTCTGATAGATAGCTTTCCTTCCCTTCCTACTGGAGTCATGGCAACTTCCAGCATTCAGAGATTCAGTCAGGCCAGTCCTCCGTTTATGTGTCCCTTGTGAGATCAGAAATGTTTCTCCACTTACAGGTGGATAACCTGCAGTGGGAATGAAGAAGATGGACATATTCAGCTTTTAAGCAATTTCAAACCTTGCACCTCCAAGCCTCTCGGATCCCATTTCCACACATTAGCCTGCAGCAACTATGGAACACCTAAGTTCCGTAGATAAGAACTAACACTTGTAAACTAGAATGGAACTTTATACAGCCTCCAAGCCAAGAAGTCATTCACTTTGTTTTATAACATCTGTCCAAAGCCACATCCTAGAGTAACGTAAACATGTTTGCCAAGAACTGTGATCTCTTCTGGACAACCAAGTTACCTTGTACACACATCTACTATCCACAGGTATCACAGTGGGTTCTACACACTTTACATATGTTCTTCCCCATAGATGGAGCTCCTTGAGGACAGGGCCAGACAGGATTTTCTCGATCCCCAGTACCTGGTGTTCTATTTGACCATAGGTGATCCATGTGTGTTTGCTAAGTGAATGAATAGCCTAATTATGCTAAAATTTAAGCCTATTTCCTCTAATTTAGAAGAAAATTATTTGAAAATACTGTATTTGGAAATAAAGAATAAGTATATCTCATATTCAAGTTCTGCAGGCAAACATGGCTATGTTATACCCATCTTCTGAGGGCCTCTGCTTCCCAAACATGTGAGCTATGGCTTGGCTTCCTGAGGCTGAGTGTGTCTGACAGAACACAGTCATTCTGCCCCAACTCCTACTTCCTCCAAATCAGTCACTTTAACCAAATAGAGAGAAAGAAGAAAATCAAACTTCTTGTGCTTTTGTCAAAATTAAACAACCAGCTTATTGATGAAGCATTTCTATTATTACAACCAGTGTCTATAATTTCATGTGGCTACAACTAAAGTCTTTATGGCTCCTGTGTATTCACAAAGGCCAATTAATATCCCTCTGTGCTGTTATTGCCAAGGGACATGATATGGCTTACATCTGTGTCTCTGCCCAAATCTCATGTCAAATTGTAATTCCCAATGTTGGAGGTGGGGCCTGGTGGGAAGTGATTGGATCATGGGGGCAGTTTCTCATGGTTTAACACCATCCCCCTTGGTATTGTCATGGCAAGAGTGAGTTATCACAAGATCTGTTCCTTTAAAAGTGTTTAGCACCCCCACCCCCACCACACTCTTGTTCCTGCTTTGGCCATATAAGACGTGCCTGTTTCTCCTTCACCTCTGCCATGATTGTAAATTTCCTGAGGCTTCCCCAGAAGCAGAAGCCACTGTGCTTCCTGTACAGCCTTTAGAACCGTGAGCCAATTAAACCTCTTTTCTTTATAAATTACCCCATTTCAGGTATTTCTTTATAGCAGTGCAAGAATGGATTAATATAGGGCCCAAGAATGGGGTTGATGAGAGTATAAAGGAAGAACCTTCTCTGCATCAGGGAAATGGGGAGTGGGTTTCCTCCACCTTCTCTTCATTGGTTTCATCCCCAGAACACAACAGAAATAAATGAAGATTTGCAACCCATTAGGGAGGCACCCCTACGTTGCACTGCTGTGCACCTAGAGAGAAACACGATGGAGAATCAGCGGGCTCCGCCCTGCCATGCTATTGAAAAGCTACTAGATCACACAGGCATCCAGCTATACATTTCCTTCTACCAGCATAAAGCATACAAATGTGACAGAACTGAACATGTGCTAAAGCCAAATGTGTGTATTGTGATTCTTTTGTAATCTCCTTAGCCAAATCCTAAAATGAGAATTTCATAGTTTTTCCCCTCATTTGAAATCTTACATTTTCTTAATGGGCCTGAAAGGTGGGGGAGTCTTAGACAGCTGTAGCTGAAGCACCCCTCTTCTCATTTCCTCGCCCCTGCCAGTGTTCAGTGCCCTCTGACCACAGACAGCCCTCTGTCTGTGGAAGGAGTTGCACAGACACTGGCTTTGCCACTCCCCAGCCACTCAGTGGAGTTCATTTTACAGCTGAGAAACTGAGGCATGGAGAAGTTGGCACCATTTCCCTCACAGCATTGCTTGAGTATCTGATAGGTTCACCAATAAAAAGGCCATTAGCATAGGCTGCCATGCGCAAGGTGACCAGCAAACGGGAGGCGCCCCCTCCTCCAGGTTGCCCTCACTGATGTGCTGCTTCTCCAATATTTGGCAGACACATCTCCACTCTTTTCTCTGCCTCTGTCATTGCCCTGGCTGCTCCCCAAGGCCAGAGCCCATGTCTCCTCTTTGTCTCGTGGCCTTTCTCTCATTAGACACTCAATAAATGCTGTTGACAGACCGGCTGGCTGCCTGGCTAAGATGCCATCTTTCCACCAAGGGCAAGTGTCCTTCACTGCCTTTATTTATTGCTTGATGTCAAATCAGCATGAATTCATTTTCCTGAAATGTACATCAGGATTAATGAGAGAGTTAAAGAATTCAAAATTATTGGAGGGTATTGGCACTAATTAGTATCATAGCACTGTAACAGGGCTTGAGTAATGTCTTCCAGGTGTAGAAAGCTTTGGAGTTAAACACGTCAGTCTAACCCTGATTTTTATCTAAACATCCCCAATTTTTATGACATCATTTGTATGTATATCAGCAAATTTCCAACTGTGTGGTTACCTCCTATTACTTTAACTTTGAGAGACAAAAATTAAGTATAAGAATCACATTTTATGTTGTTTAACAATTGTTAAGAACGAACACACCAAATCATTCCTGTTTTTAAAAAAATTGAAGATCCTCTTTCCTTTCAGCACATTGTCAGCAGGCCTTGGGATCAAAATGAAGCCGTCTTGGTCCCAAGCTATGTTCATCAACATTCTTGCTTATATGATCTGCAAGAAGAGAGGGAAAACATATTTAAGTTCTATAAGGTTCTTGAACAGTTTTTTCCTTAGTAAAACATGAAATAAACACTCTTCCCCCCAATAACATAGCATATCCAGTTTTATGAGGCTTATGAAATCGTTCTGAATTTTAAAATAGCTCATCCATTTGTCACTTCCCCTTACCTGACATTCTTTTAAAACCTCCATCACCATTGCTTTCACAAACACTCCCCAAATGCTGTCAGATGGGTTATCACTGCCTTGCACTTTTGTTCTGTTGTTAATTTTGGAGAAAGTCCTAGAGTGTAGCAATATTATTGAACTCATTTCTGCTTAGGTCTCAAGTTTCCATAGCTCCTCTGTTACCAAGTGGCAGTGCACCCTATAGGCACAATAAATAAATAATACAACACTGAAGCTATAACAAATCACAAAATGCATTATTAAAAAATTAAGAAATAAATATCCCCCTCTTACTTAAATAGGGATTGATTTTATAATGTGGAATGCTGAGGAGAGCTGCTCTAAGATATATTAAAGCCTGGGGACAGGGAGAATACACTATAATGGGCATTTTGCTCCCTCAGCCAGAGGAAAAAAATCCTCAGAGTGAATGGATGTATTTGTGAAATGGAAGCTGCTATTCTCTGTTTGTTCACAAGCCGGGTATGATGCACTGCTGGCTTCGTCATGTGAGGGTAGAAAGACCTGCAGGACACATCTGTCTTTCCTAAGCACAAACTGTTAGTCTGGATGAGGGTTATGAAGACAAATGCTTTCCTGGAACTGAAGTTGGAGAAGCACTGTTTCTTTCCTTTAACTTTAAATCACAATTCTGGCTTCCAAAAAGATGTTCTCAAACCAGGATTCTGCCAAGCATCCTCCAAGGTGTCTTATTTAACAGGAGGATATGGCACAGATCTCTCCACAAGGTGTACCCTTCAAGAGGAAATATTACATAGGATCACTTCTCCAGAAACTTGAAGATTTTCTTTTCCTTTTTTTCTTTTTCTTTTCTTTTGGCCACTCTGTGGCCCAGCCTGGACAGCAGTGGCACAAACAAGGCTCGCTGCAGCCTCGACTTTCTGGGCCCAAGCCATCCTCCCACTTCAGCTTCCTGAGTAGCTAGGAGTACAGGCATGTGCCACCACTTCCAGAAAATTTTTATTTTTTGTACACGTGGGGCCTCACTATGTTGCCCAGGCTGGTCTGGAACCCCTGGACTCATTTCATCAAAGTTTTTGACTGGGGAAGAATCTGCTTCGAAGCCCACACATGTGGTTGTCAGCAGAATTCAGTTCCTCAAGGACTATTGGACTTACAGCCTCAATTCCTTGCTGCTGGTTGGCCAGGTTCTGCCCTTAGTTTCTTGCCATATTGGCCTTTCCAGCTTGCTTCACCAGAAACAGCACACATGAAGAACAAGAGAGAGGCTAGCAGGATGGAGTCACAGTGACATACCATCACTGTTACATATTCTATTTGTTAGAAGCAAGTCACTTGATCCAGTCCCCATCAAAGGTGAAGGGGTTACACAAGGACATGAATACCAGAAGACAAGGATCTTTGGGAGCCATGTCAGAAACTACCTACCAGCGTGAGTAAGAAATAAACCTCTCTTGTATTAAGTCACGGAGATTTCAGAGTTGATTTGCCACAGCAGCTAATACCTTGAGTAACACAAGAGAGAAGAGCAGCAGATGGTTCTGGTAAAGTGGAGTCAGGGCAGGCCAGATCCTACAATGCCTTATAAGCTCTGATTAAAACAAAAACAAACAAACAAACAAAAATGGCATTTATTCCAAGTGCAATGAGAGATCATCAAAAGATTTAAGCATAAGAGAAAGAATTGGGGTTTTGTTTTATGATTATTCTTGCTACTGCTTATAAATGCATTGAGAGGAAACAAGAGTAGAAGCAGAGAGGCTTGTCGGGAGGCTATTGTCATCTGATTCAGGATTGGGTAATAAAGAAAATAGGGGTTGAGTGGTTAATTTTATGTGTCAACTTGGCTGGGCCATGGTGCCTAGATATGTTGTAAAACACTGTTGGAGATGTTTCCGTGAGAGATTGTTTGGATGAGATCAGCATTTAAATCAGTAGATTTTGAGTACAGTAGATTGCCTTCAAAATGTTGGTGGGCCTCATCCAATCAGTTGAAGGCCTGAATAGAACAAAAAGACTGATCTTCCCCAAGCAAGAGTGAATTACACAGATGGCCTTCAGACTTGAACTGCAACATTGGCCTGTCCCTGGGTCTCCAGCCTGCTGACCAACCCTGCAGATTTTGCATTTAGTAGCCTCCATAATTGTATGAGCCAATTTCTTAAAATAAATCTCCCTCTCTCACTCCCTCTCCACACACACACACACACGCACACACACGTGTACATGCACATACACATACACTCTATTGGTTCCATTTCTCTGGGGAACCCTGACTAATGCAGCTGGCTTAAGCCCACCCAATACCCAGCAGTAGCAGCAGCTGTGCCAGCAGATTCTGCTGTTTGTTAAGTACCTATTCTGTGTTCCAGGCACTCTGCTAGATATTTTGTATGCATCATCTCATCCAATCATCTGACAAATATAGATTTTTACACCCATTTTACCAATGAGGAAATCAAGACTCAGAGAGTTAAGTGAATTACCCAAGGTCACATACCTTGTGGCACAACTGCCTGATCAATTTGTCAGGAGCCCATTTTTTTCAAATGATGGAATGAGAAAAAAAATAACAAAAAAAAGTTTTGTGCTTGAAATCTGAAATGCCATTTTGCTGATGGTCAAAGCAAATTCATTAAATCCAGTACAATTTCCTTATGTATTAAAATAACATTTGCAATCTGTGAGGGGCCTTTCTTTTTGCTAACGCATGGCAATTATATTTTTACACTGCAACTGCAAATCTGGTTTTTAGTTTCCCCATTTGTTTCCATACGCATACTTTTACAGCCAATTGTTAACGGATTAACAACTTTGGGTGAAATCCATCAGTCTGCTCTGGTTTGCCTCTATGGCTGGAAAGTCTGTTGACAAGTACAGAGCACAGAGGAGCTGGCTCTAGCTTGAGCAGGCCAAATAGAGCATTAGTTCCCTTGATAAATGTTTACTGTGCTTCTGCTATGTTCCAGAAACTGTGCTGTGCATTCTGGACACTGCCTCATAAGCAGCAAGGAGTCTTTCTGAATCTTCTGGGTTTGTAGAATATAAAAATGACCTCATTAGGAAATCAGCACATCTAAATAGCAAAGTGTTTAGTCTCAGAAATACATTCTATTTTATGTGTCCAAAATTTCTCCTATCAGTCTACCTAGCTATCTGTCTATCTAGCTATCCATTGAACCATCCATTCATTTCTCTCAACAGTTTCTATGCAATGATCTCTCAATGGCAGTATTTTGAAATAATCAACCAAATGGTAACATCTAAAACCCATTCTCTGCAGAACTTTTTTTCTGTAACCTGTAGCTCCCAAGAAAGTCACTCAAGAGCTGCAGTCATTTGAAAGGTGAGAATTGTTAATCCCCAGGATTTAACCCTCTGCCCGCCCCGCACCGCCCCCACCAACCCACCTCCTGCACATCTGCACTCCAGCTTCTGGGGCCAGGAAGTCAGAAAAAAAAATTCACATTTAGTTTTGTCCCAAATGGGAAGGATGGACGGAGAAAGTCAGATGGTATAAATACAGCAGGCTTTTATTCTTATAGTTTAAATAGATTTAAAAAGCAGAATGTATCAGAAGAAGGAAAACACAAAGACATTACCCAAAATACAAAGTTAAAATCCTCCTTGAGACCATTAGACCTCCGCTATGGCACGTGCAAGTGACCATCAACATCTAAAAGATAACATAAAATAATTCAGTAACAAAAGCCTAAGAAAGCAAAGAGCAAATCATGTTTAACTCCAGCTGCAGAAGCCAGGTGAGGTGGGAAGACTCAGAAAGGACTGTGATTGGATTATAGGAAGCTGCCATAGAGGAGAGGACTTTTGAGTAATCTAGAAGAGAGTAATCTGCAACATTGTTTTTTGTCCATAAAACCTTTCACCCTGTACTATGGCCAGAGTTTTACAGGAGGGTGTATTCACAGACAGTGGCATTTTGGAGGGAGAATTTGTCCCAAGTCATCAGAAGAATACATTCGTCATCTGAAGACAACACACGGAGAGCTTCACCTCCAGCACTTCAGTGTTGCTAAGAATTGTGCAGTCGCCAATAGGAACAGCAAAAGCTAGAAAAGAAATGCAAATGATGCGGTCTGCATAGTTCAAAAGGGAACTATTTATTCCAAGACTGAATTTTGAGAATTACAGACAGAAAGACTTGAGGTATCCAGGCTAGTACATCCTCTTTAGTACAAGAAAGTGGCCTTTCAGGTGGGGACCAACACGGATTGACATCAGAGGTAGGCAATGCAGATCAGCAGGCAGAAGTGGAGTCAAAGGCAATGGAGAGCCTGGAGATGGCAAAGGCTTGCTTCATCTATAATAAGAGTGTTTGAGGGCATGGGAAACAGACAAGGAACAGAGAAAGTCACTCTACATAGATCTTGCAGGGTGAGCAGGATTTCACCAGGCTGATGGAAGAAAGCAGGAAACATTCTAAGCAAAATGCAAAAGCACAGAAATAAAAAACAGTATGGTTCGTTCACCAGTGAATAGGGATGAGGGATAATAATAATAATTACACTTATTGAATACTTTTACATTCATTCAGTATCTCATTTAATTCTCCTAACCTATCTAGGAAATCAGCATAATTATTTTCATTTTACAAATGAGAAAACCAAGGCAGGGAACCCAAGAACTTGTTAAAGGTAATATATTAGTCAGTGATTGAGCTACAACTCAAACGTAATTCTACTCCATACTGCATATTGTTTCAGTTTACAATAAAAATATTTATGCTTAAACAAACTGTATATAATCCAATTAATAAACCCTTCCTGGATTTCTCAAAGAACTAAAAATAGGACTACCATTCAACCCAGCAATCCTACCACTGGGTATCTACCCAAAAGAAAAGAAATTGTTATATCAAAAAGACACCTGCACACATATGTTTATTGCAGCATTATTCACAATAGCAAAATCACAAAATCAACCTAAGTGTTCATCAACAGAAGACTGGATAAACAAAATGTAGTGTATGTATATATATATATATATATATATATATATATATATATATATATAAACACATACATACATACACACACACACACACACACATATATATATATATATATACCGTGTGTATTAGGGTTCCCTAGAGGGACAGAACTACTAGGACACATATATATGTTTATTAATGTATAGTTTTAATTAATTAATTAATATTAATAATACTAATAATATTTATTTAATTAATTAATACTAATTAATAGTTTATTAACTATTAACTTATATGATCACAAGGTCCCACAGTAGGCTGTCTGCAAGCTTGAGGAGCAAGAAGAGCCAGTCTGAGTCTCAAAACTGATGAATGTGGAGTCCCATGTTTGAGGGCAGGGAGCATCCAGCATGGGAGAAAGACGTAAGCTGGGAGGCTAGGCAAGTCTCGCCTCTTCAGGTTTTTCTGCCTGCTTTATATTCGCTGGCAGCTGAATAGATTGTGCCCACCAGATTAAGGATGGGTCTCCCTTCCCAAGCCCACTGACTCAAATGTTAATCTCCTTTGACAACATCCTCACAGACATACCCAGGAACAATACTTTGCATCCTCCAATCAAGTTGACGCTCAGTATTAGCTATCACAAGTCCACCCCTTGTCAACTTGAACCCATATACAACTCCTGAGATCATACATAATCTTCAAATAAAGACAATAATGAGGTCATAATTATGCCTAACATAATATAACTCTCCTTGGTACAACTGGAAACACACCAATCCCCAACCCAAATACTATTACATAAAGTTAATAATACTTAAAAGCTGATATGAAGTCAATAAATCTTATGCCACATAATAAAGGAAAGTGAAATAAAATGAAGATATTTTCTTAGTACAAGTGTATACGTACACAAACATGTTTTTAACAAAAGTAGAAGGAAATACTCATGACAGTTACAGTCCTCGTTTCTGCAGCTGGTCACGTGGTAGTAGCTGGTATTGATGACTACCTTCTTCTACTACCCATTCTGTATATCCTTTGCCTTAGGCAAGCACCTCAGCAGGTCATGGTTTTATTCCTGGTGGAGTGACCCAAACCTTCATTCCTGTGGGGTCTGGACCATTTGTAGTCCTGCCTGGATTGGGCTGTTGTAGTTTCCTATTGACCTTAATCACAGGACATGGTAATACTAAGAGACACCCCAATGGATCTCCTGTATTCCATGCCTGCTCTTCCTTACCTCTGTCGCGGAGTAGTAGACTGATTTCACCTTGATAGTTGGGTCAATCACTCCAGCCAACACTGTAACTCCCTTCTTAGCCTGTTGACTTAAAGGTAAGAGGAGCCCAAAGTGTCCAGGTGGCAATCTTAACTTCCAGTTTAATGGAATTGTTGTGTCTCCTGGTGGCAGTGTTCCTCCCTCTGGAACTAAGACCTCTAGGCCAGCAGAACGCAATGTCACAGAAACAGGAAGCAAAATTTTGCTAGTGGATCACTAGGGGTGATGGTGAGTGATGCCACTTCCACTTCCACCCCTTGATTCCTGGACCCGTGAATCCTGGCTATGGGAGAAAGAGTACCATATATTGGACGCTGATTCAGAGCATACACGGCCTTCAGGAGAACTCTGCCCCAGCCCTGCAAAGTATTGTCACCTAGCTGGCATTGTAATTGTGACTCCAAAAGGCCATTCCACTGTTCTATTAATCCAGCTGCTTCAGGATGATGAGGAACATGGCAACACCAGTGAATTCCATGAGCATGAGCCCACTGCCGCAAATTCTTTAGCCGTAAAGTGAGTGTCTTGGTCAGAGGCAATGCTGTGTGGAATACTATGATGGTGGATAAGGCATTCTGTAAGTCCACTAATGGTAGTTTTGGCAGAAACATTGTGTGCTGGATAGGCAAACCCATATCTGGAATAAGTGTCTATTCCAGTGAGGACAAACCTCTGCCCTTTCATTGATGGAAGAGGTCCAATATAATCAACCTGCCACCAGGTAGCTGATCACCCCAAGGAATGCTGCCATATCGAGGGCTCAGTGTTGGTCTCTGCTACTGGAAAATTGGGCACTCAGCAGTGGCCATAGCCAGGTCAGCCTTGGTAAGTGGAAGTCCATGTTGCTGAGCCCAGGCATAACCTCTGCCCCTGCCACCATGGCCACTTTGTTCATGGGCCCATTGGGCAACGACGGGGTGGCTGGGGAAAGAGGCTGAGTGGTGTCCACAGAACAGGTCATCCTATCGACTTGATTATTAAAATCTTCCTCTGCTGAGGTCACCCATTGGTGAGCACTCACATGGGATACAAATATCTTCACAGTTTTTGGCCACTCAGAGAGGTCCATCCACAAACCTCTTCCCCAAATTTCTGTGTCACCAATTTTCCAATCATGCTTCTACCAAGTCCCTGACCATCCAGCCAAACCACTGGCTACAACCCATGAATCAGTTTATAATCACACATCTGGCCATTTCTCCTTCCTTGCAAAGTGCACAGCCAGGTGCACTGCTTGAAGTTCTGCCCACTGGGAACATTTCCCTTCACCACTGTCCTTCAGGGATGTCCTAGAAAGGGGCTGTAGTACTGCAGCCGTCCACTTTCGGGTAGTGCTTGCATATCATGCAGAATCACCTGTGAACCAGGCCCTAGTCTTCTCTTCCTCTGTCAGCTGATCATAGGGAACTCCCCACGAGGCCATTGGTGCAGACTGGAGGAGGGAAGGCAGGGTGGCAGGAGTGGAGACCATGGGCATTTGAGCCATTTCCTCATGTAACTTACTTGTGCCTTCACAACCTGCTCAAGCCTGGTCATGTATATACCACTTCCATTTGATGATGGAATGCTGCTGTGCATGACCCACTTTATGGCTAGATGGGTCAGAAAGCACCCAGTTCATGATAAGCAATTCAGGTTCCATGGTGACTTGATGACTCATAGTCAAACCCCCATAACTTGATGACTCATAGTCAAACCCCCATAAGAGTCCAAGGGCTGTCTCTCAAAAGGAGAGTAGTTATCTGCAGAAGATAGCAGGGCCTTGCCCCAAAATCTTAGAGGCCTCTGCTGTGATTCACCTATGGCGGTCTGCCAAAGACTCCAAACAGCATCCCTATCTGCCACTTGACACCTCAAGCAGCATTGGATCTGCTGGGTCATATGGCCCAAGTGGCAGAGCAGTTTGCACGGCAGCCTGGACCTGTTGCAGAGCCTTCTCTTATTCTGGACCCCACTCAAAACTGGCAGCCTTTTGGGTCACTGGATAAATGGGCCAGAGTAACACACCCAAATGAAGAATGTGTTGCCTCCAAAATCCAAACAAGCCCACTAGGCATTGTGCCTCCTTCTTGGTTGTAGGAGGGGCCAAGTGCAACAACTTATCCTTCACCTTAGAAGGAATGTCTCGACAGGCCCCACACCACTGGGCCCCTAGAAGTTTTACGGAGGTAGGAGGTCCCTGAATTTTAGTAGGATTTATTTCCCATCCTCTGGCACACAAATGTCTCACCAATAAATCCAGTGTGTTTGCTACTTCTTGCTCACTGGATCCAATCAGCATAATGTCATCAATGCAATGAGCCAGTATGATATCTTGCAGAAGCAAAAAGCGATCAAGGTCTCTCCGAATAATATTATGACACAAAGCCGGAGAGTTGATATGCCCCTGGGGTAGGACATTAAAGGTATATTGCTGGCCTTGCCAGGTGAAGACAAATTGCTTCTGGTGGGCCTTATGGACAGGTATTGAGAAAAAGACATTCGCCAAGTCAATGACTGCATACTAGGTACCAGAAGATGTGTTAATTTGCTCAAACAATGAAACCACATCTGGTAAAGCAGCTGCAATTGGATTCACCACTTAGTTAAGCTTACAAGAATCCACTGCCATTCTCTGACTTCCATCTCTCTTATGCACAGGCCAAATGGGAACGTTCAATAGGGATGTGGTGGGAATCACCACCCCTGAGTCTTTCAAGTCCTTGATGGTGGCACTAATCTCCACAATCCCTCCAGGAATGCAATATTGTTTTTGATTTACTATTTTTCTAGGTACAGGCAGCTCTAATCGCTTCCCTTTGGCCTTTACCACCTTAGTAGCCCTTACCCTGACAGTCAGGAAGCCAGTGTGGGGGTTCTGCCAGCTGCTAAGTATGTTTATGCCAATTATGTATTCTGGCACTAGGGAAGTGACCATAGGATAAGTCCAGGGACCCACTGGACCCACTGTAAGTCAGACCTGAGCTAAACCTCCATCAATTACCTGACCTCCATAAGCCCCTACTTTAACTGGAAAACCACAATGACTTTTTGTGCCTCCTGGATTGACATCTGCTCAGAGCCAGTGTTCAGTAGTCCCCAAAATGTCTGATAATTTCCCTTTCCCTAAAGCACAGTGACCCTGGTAAAAGGCCAGAGGTCTCCTTCGGGAAGGATGGGAGAGAGATTCACCACGTAAATTGTCGGTAATGTAGTGGGGTCCTTCCTCAAGGGAACCCGGCTTCCCCTTCATTCAAGGGGTTCTGGGCACGTAGACTGGCTCAAGTCTGGAAATTGACTGACAGGCCGTGATTCTCTGTTTTTGTATTTCAAATTAGTCTTTTGTCCATTCGACCTAGAAGTTTTATCCTTATATAAATTAAATAGGAATGCAGTAGGCTTCCTATCAATTTTACTTCCAGGAACGCTGTGATTAATTAGCCAATGCCACAGCTCTACACAAGTTAGACTATTCTGATTGCTGCTTTGTCTCTGCTGTCCATTACAGTAGCTACGACCACCTTGCCTTTGACGGTTGAGTGCTGTCACTTGGCCCCTGCCACCTCAAGATCCAATTATTCCCGTTGTCTTGTAGTTGAGTGACTGCGGTTCCCACTGTTCGATCTGACATACAGAGAACAGCAATTACAGGGCTCTCCAAAGATGCAGGTGCTGCCCTCACAAATCTTTCACAAGGCATTGGTTAAGGGTATATCTTCTGAACACTCCCAGCTGGGATGAGTAGGTCTAAAGTGACTAATCCACTCTACCATCCCAATCTCCCTAAGCCTTTGGATCTCTTCCTCTACATTAAACCAAGGAAGATCAGACATTTCCAGCTCACTCACAGTGGGCCATCACCCTGGCACCTGGCTTTTTGAATACTTCAGAGGTCCCCTGAAGTGTCCAGAAAACAGACGTAAACAGGATTAGTTGACGTGTTTAGGTACATGGGATTGCTAAAATGATGCTCCATCTTCTTAGGCTATATTTTTGTGAATAATATTAATATATGTTCCAAAATTGCATGAGATTTTCTAAAATTCGAATGTCTGAGTGTATGCTATCAATCATAATCAAGGTTTTTATGTTAAGTTATTGTAAACTATGGAGATAACCAAACTTCTTTGTCAATCGTGTTTCTAACTGTAACTACCTTGGACATTTTGCTATTCACAAGCAACTGTTGTCTCGTTTTAATCCCTTTCAAAGATGGTTTATAATGAGCTATAGAACTTTAGCAGGTGCTCTCAAATACAGTTCTGATAACTTTAAAAATTAGCCATGATACAATTCAAATAAGTTCTTATAACCTTAAAAATTGTGACATTGGAATAAAGGAAAATGTACAGTACTCATAAAGAGCTGAAATATTCACGAATATCAAGCAAAACAAGAGTTAACTAAATGGACTGAACTCAGGAAGCTGAAGCAAATCTTTGTGACCTTTGCTTGGAATATTGCTGATCCTTGTTTTGTTTTTCAGAGTCAAGGAAATTTATTTTGAACTATTTATGGCATTTAATAATTAAGGTATTAAGGTATACTCCTGGGATCAAAATTTGGAGCATGTTTGTTTCTCTCTGCCTCGTTCCTCTATAATTTGGAAACTGTCTGTAAGTATTCTTAACTTTATGGTGATACAGTTGTTTGTATCAGTGCAATAAGCATCCATTTTTCTTTTGCAACAGGATACAATTGGAGAAAGTGGTTATTTTACCAAGGCTTTGACTGGAAGGATATGCTTCCCTTTAAGGAGTCAAGCTTGACTTACAGAGCTGATAGAAGCCCAGTGGGGAAACTGGCCTCATACCCTTGTCTATGCAGTCCCCGTACAGGGTTCCTGACCCGTGGTCAGTAAAGAATGTCACTTTCTAACAGGTCCAGGAGCTCCAAGTTTATTATGGGACCTTAAGAAGAAAAGATCATCCAACTCACAGGTGTTTGAGGATACAAACCCATGGTTAGGCTTGGCTTTAAAAGGTCTTATTTGAAATTCCTTGTGGAACTGAATTCCTTAAAAGCCAATCCAAAAGGCCTATGTAGAAATAATTATTCTTGCTATTTGTACTGTATGCAAAGAGTCAGGCCAAGCATAAAACTAAAGTCTATTTTGCAAACTACCAGTCCTATGATGATTTATTTTTTAACAAACGAGGACTGGAGAGTGAGAAATCATGTTTCAAAACTTATATTTGTCATTAAATTCTAAACTCACTAGTTGTTTTTAAGTTTTCACCTACATTTTAGACTAACCCTACTTGTTCCGGTGAACCAACTGGCAGTCCCTGGCTGCAGCTCAGAAAGAACAAAAGGGATGGGTGATGTAGAAATTTGGATCAATATTCTAGTTTTGAGCAATTATCCTGCAAATCCTGCCAGGTGATAGAATAAATAGGGTATAAATAGGGTGCCCATCATCGGAGGTTTCCTTTTGGGGAAAGTAAAAACAAGGGAACTAACCAAAGCCAAGCACCATGGACCCAAATCCTAGCAAGCATAACAATAGCTATCAGTTATCTGGATGTGTCACAAGATGTCCTTTCCTCTCCCTTGCTGGAGCACTCAGTTCCACAGTTTCACCTTAGCATTTGGCTTATGATAAGAAGTCCATGCAACTCCCTCCGCAAGATACATTTTTGTCCCAAACTCAATTCCAAGCTTCAAGTCAAAGCCCTAGGAAATAAAACTGGATCAGAGGGATCCAGAAACAGATGATAATGGAAGTTAAAAGGCACAGTGAACGTGAACATGACTGATTTCTCCCGATTAAGCCAACCCCAAGCTTCCTGTTTCATGGAGAAAGGCCACATAAATATCCATGGCATAAATGAGGTATAGGGAACTTCAAGGCTACTGACAGCAGGGGAGATAGGGCATACGTGGGTAAGAGTGGATGATTCCTACCCCCTAGGGCCCCCTGCTTCATGGGTGCAAGTCGCTTTAACACCTATGGCCAGTTCTGCCAAGGTCGCCAGAACTCAGGGATGCAAGGACTGAAGATGAAAAGAAGACCCTCTTCTCTCTCTTCCTCATATACCCCGGGTATCTCCTAGGAAGAAAAAGGAACCATGGGTGCCTGGTCCCCTCTTTCTAGAGGGGTAGCCATTCATCTTCAGTCTGTACCCCTTTCAAATGCATCCTGAACCCCCGGGACCCCCTTGAAAAAATGCCTTCTTTTTTCCTTTCTCCTCCTCTGTCCTCTCTTCACTGACAGGTAATTGTGTCTCTGTAATATGGGACACTCCCCTCAGATGCATCCTGCAAACTGGAAAGAGTTAATTTCCCAAACCTTAAACTGGTTGGCCTAGGATTGGGCTCAGGCAGGGGAAGGGAACTCAGAAGCCCAACATGCTGGCAAGAGGGTGAAGTTTTTTTTTACCAGCTGGGCTTTTGCCCTCCCTTTCCCCATGCAAACTGGTAAAAGACCTCAGAGTTTTTCAGTTGTTCTTACCCGCCCCCACTTTGTTTTGTTTTGATACATGTTTTCTAATAACCTAGTTTTTCTGTTCTTGAGTTCAGGCCATCAAACTCCAAATGGTCATGCAATCAGAGCCTCTGATGATGACCCCTTCTGCTGGCGACCCTTAGATTGGCCTCTGAGGGAGCTCTGACTGCCAGTTCCCCAAAACAGTGCCCCCTGTCAGCAGGAAGCAGTTAAGATTGGTCTTTGTCCTTATGCTTAACCTAACGACAGTTAGATATACTTCTTTAGAGAGGGGAATGAGACAGCCAGGTAGGACAAGGTCTCTGGTGAAACTCCAACCAGCCTGCCCACTGGGGAGGAGACTTGGGAAGTTCACACCCTTTGCAGTGGGGAGGAGCCTCGCCCTTCCTCCTTCTGTGTGGAACCTGGGATTCGAACAATTTTCACCCGATAAAACCCTGCTTTATTTACCCTTTAAACTGTCTGCGAGCCTAAATTTTCATGGCCATGGGACAGACAAGAAGCCCGTCTTTAGCTGAACTAAGGAAAAGTCCTGCAACACTAGTGAGGTGTGGGGTGCTCTTTAAAAAGTGCAAGCAATTTTCTATCTCTATCAGTAAAGACATCAAATTACCTTTGGAAAACACTTCCATTGTTTTAGGAAAATCATTGGAACGGATCCTCTTCTGACCTGAAAGTAAAGCAAATATGCACACCATTTTTGAAGAAAATTGTCACCCATTAATCTAGATGGAAATGCCTCAAACTGACATATTACACATTTTGTTTACAAGTACAAATTGGCGTATATTTAGCAAGATTGTGCCCTTAAAAAGATTTTGTTTCCTAAATTTGATTTTTTTTAATGTGTGGTCTCTGCACATCATTCTTTGTTCTTGGAATGCATGTATGTATGTATGCGTGCACACACGCACACAAACACACACAAGTTCCATCTTAAAATTACTCATCAAAGATCAGGAGCAAAAATCAGATGATGAGAGGATGGACAGGGTGATATATCTTTACCATAAGCTTGGGGTAGGGATCTAAAAGAAGCCAGATGGGACATGCCAAAGTCTGCCCTGGACTGAAAACCCACATGTGGTGTTATTTCAGGTGGTATACCCTAGACCTTGGGAAATCTACTGTCAAATTTTGATTGCCCTGTCTGAGCTCACAGAGCCAGACCACACACTGTGAGTAAGAGTAGTTTGCTCCTGAAGAAAATGGCTGTAAGGCTGAGGGAGGGAAGTTCTTATCTCTTGAGTGCCAGGAGCCCATCTGTCCTCTTGAGAAGGAGGGACATGGAAAGGCTGAGGAGCCCAAGACAAGGATCAGAGCCAGAAGGAAACCAGCTCTTAAAGGGCAAGACCTAGAAGCATGAGTGGAGCTAACCTGTCAATTATCCTCTTCTGTGTTGCAGTATCCCCAAGCTGTCTGAAGAAATTTTTCAGATACTGCTATCTGGTCTTACGCATGCTCTGTAAGGTTAAAGGAAACCTATGTGTCCATACTGGAATAAAGCAGGATGGAATGTAGAGAGCTGATGTAGTTCAGAGAAGTTAAGTGTGAGCTGGCAAGAGCTGGCTTACCTGGTGGTTATGAAGAAGCCATCTGGAGAAAGGAGGGCTGGTAGAGGTGACAAGTGACATCCAGGAGAGAGTAGTACAACATGTGAGCAAGACTGAGGAATTCCCAGAAATTACTTGGCAAGGAGAATCCAGTAGATGAATGAAATTCCAATGGCCTGTGGAGTGAGGGCTCAGACTTTATTAGCTACATATTAAATGAGCTAATCCATGAGTAACAGAGACTGGAACATTCAGCAAATATTTCATGAACTCCTCAACATTTCCTAGCACCTGTGCAGACTAGGGCCATGTGACTAATACTACTGCGTAGGCAGTGGGAGGAAGTGAAGAACCCAGGCACAATTTTGCGGGCACTCCTCCTATTTGAACGATGAATGTCTGTGATAAAGACAGTCATAGAAAGAATAACATGTCTGTTCTTGACTCTCTTTTACAGGTCTTTATTTGAATCAAACTAGGGAGGAATAATGTTTTACCTATATCTAAACATAGAGAGAGGACACTGGAAGCTAGAATCTGAAAAACTGAGTTGGTAACTGGTAAAATGGTGACTTCAGTTCTGGTGTCACAAGCAAGACCCAAATCTCTCTGAGCCTCCACCTCCTTTTGTAAAGGGGAAAGTAACATGTACTTCACAGTGCTGTTCTGAGTGTGTCAGTTAGCCTTGTAAATGCATTGCTTACAGGTAAGTTATGATTACAAATGAGCAGGCTTTTAAGTCCTCAGCTGGTTTTCTGCCCCAATCAGAATGAAATTGGCATGAAACACAAAGGTGAAGAGGCCTCCTCCACTGCATTCAGCCCTTGCCACTCCATGTTTTTCCCTTGTCTTTCTAAGGATTTACTTAGATGCATTTACACCAGTTTAACAGTGGAAATTTCCTTTGTAGAGGCCCAAGTGTAGCTAGAAAACCCTCAGACATCAATCAACTTAGCCCATAACAGGTAGCTTGCTTCTTTTGATAAACATATAGGCAAACAAACAAATATATACATTTTTTGAGACAGAGTTTTGCTCTTGTTGCCCAGGCTGGAGTGCAATGGCATGATCTTGGCTCACCACAACCTCTGCCTCCCGGGTTCAAGAGATTCTCCTGCCTCAGCCTTCCAAGTAGCTGGGATTACAGGCATGTGCCACCACGTCTGGCTAATTTTGTATTTTTAGTAGAGACAGGGCTTCTCCATGTTGGTCAGGCTGGTCTCAAACTCCTGACCTCAGGCATTCTGCCCACCTCGGCCTCCCAAAGTGCTGGGATTACAGGCATGAACCACCATGCCCGGCCTCAAACAACATATTTTAAAAATAGGGAAACAGAACCAATTTTTAAACCAATATAATCACCTTGGTTTCCTATAATAGACTAGAATGGACTGGGTTTATAATAAGATATAAGTGATCACATGAATTCTTTGCAATCATGTAATAGTTCCAATGGTGGAAAAGATATTTATTTTTATGGACATCTCTTTTTCCCCTTTCAAAGATGACAGTGGTAATAATACATTCAGCACTCTGGCTGAGCAAACGGACTCAGGGCTGCCAGCTTTTCAACACTGTGTGTGTATATATGGCTTCTGTTTTCAGGGTAGCAGGTTCAGCTCCTACTTCAAGGACCTTTCCATGTTGACAGTACTTTGTTACCTGAACTACAAGGCACCTTTGCCCCGAGTGAGTAGGTCTGTTCATTTATCTATTGCTGTAATTTCCCAGCAATCAGCAAGTTCCAGCTCCTTCTCTAATGATGACTGTGTTTTTTATTTGCCAGGCAGCAGGCAGTATTTATCAATTTCCCTGGTGCTTGCTTTTAAGTGATCACTGATCTATAATTCCTCTTTAGTTTATCACTCAGGTCTACTTTATAAGATGACTATTTATGAGGCAATATGAATGTTGGCTGGCCTTGGACAGCTACAGCAACAGTTCATTTCAAGTGTCCCATTGTTATAAATACATTTTGCTCTCAACTCAACTCATCACAAAGTGGAAATAAATAGAACAATGAATTTTCTCCATAGCTTTTCAGTTCTGTGAGCTTGTCTTATCTGGGCTTTTACTTCCCTGTCAGCCTGCAAGTAAACTCTCACCTTATAAGACACCAAGAAATCATTACTGGTTCTTTCTGAGATTCCAAACATTAGAATCAAAAACATATGAAATGTCTGGCGGGTATGTATTCAAATACAAGGATTAAATTGCAGTGCTGCAAAAATAAACATTTATAAGATTTTTCAAATACTCTTTGTCTTTTTTCCCCCAAATATAATTTGCATTTGCTAAATTTCTTTTGTGTTTTTTTAAACGTCTTGACATTTGAATCTCATGAGAGTCTATTAGGTGTTCCTTAATAAATTATTCTAAATCTCATTAATTTCTTATCTTCAAGGTGCTTCTTTTAACGAAAGAGCATTGAATTGTAAATCCTTTTCAAGGTATTTCTTAGGAGATACTGCTTTGTGACCTTTATGGCCATTATTTTGGCAGAACTGTTATAAAAATAAACTTAGTTCCGAGAGTGTTTAAACAAGAAGAATGTACTTCGGCTAACTTTCCATCTAAAATCATTCAAAATATACTCCAAGGATAGAGAAGAACCATTTTGTTTAGAAAGTCAATCTTTTTAATTCTGCTTTTTTTTTTTTTTTCTGGGTAGACTAAACAAATAAGTCACCAGAGGCACTGTGCATTTTTTTCTATTCCTTTCTCTTGGGATGAAATATGAAATAATCTACAAAGTAATTTGATCCAGCAATTAAAAACAAGGACATGAATTACACTAACAACTGTCACATAGAAAGAATTAATTCCCTCATAACACTGCTTGATGTTACAGACCCAGGGTGATTACAAACAGATTATAATTGGAAAAGAGCCAAACCAATTCAGGTATCTCCAAAACACAGGCGTAAGCCTCAACTCGCAAATAGAGAACATTTTTTACTACCCACAGGAGTATCTTTTTGCAACTGGTGCTCGGATGTTTACCTAGCGATTACTCAAGGCACCCAGTGATGCAGCCGTCCAAGGTACTGTATGTGGCAATGCCACTGATCCTTGCTGGAAAGCATAACAGCTTCTGGAGGCTGTGTTTCTAGAAATGATGTCCTCTGAGTGCGGACTGCTGGCTGGTTGTGTTTAGTTGTACAGTATGTCATTCTAAATAATGGACATTAGCTGGTGGTTGTGTCATTGGACAAAGGAGGTAGAAGATACTGATGCCTGATGATTATTGGTAGAAATTTCATTTTCTTAATGGCATGCAGGTTTCATGGCCCCTTTCTGATACTTCATCATTTCTGGTTTAAGGCAAGGTAGAAAAGCTCCTTACTGAAGAGAACTGTTGTATTCTGGTACTGTGGGAAGAACTTAATTTGGGGAGTTAGAAAATCTAGGGTGCTCCCCCCACTTATAAAAGGGGTACTAAGTAATTGGGGTTTTCAAGCATAACAAAAGATAAAGAAGAAAACAAAAATCCTTCATAATTAATCTACCTAGGGCAACCACTATTAACATTTTGGCATATATTTTTTTCCCAGTCTTTTTCACATTTTTTGAGGTTGGGATCCTTCTTAAAAAATTTTGTATCTTGTTTTGCTTTATTCTGTTTGTGTAAAATTTGTCAGATGTATTTTAACATTTCATTGAAAATCCTTCTGACATATAATTTATAACAACTGCATAATGGTCTATCTTTTAGTTGCTCCAGAATTTCTTTAAACAGTCTCCTGGTGTTGTTTTCATTTCTAACCACATATTTGTATACAAATCTTTGTCTACATTTTTGCCTTTTTCTTCAGATGATTTTCTAAATGGGGAATTAGGGGTCAAAGGATATGAGCATTTTTTGCAAATTTCTTCCTTTTGAAAGACAATTTTGTTTTCTATGGCAATATAAACTCTGCAAAAACAAACAAACCCTGACATTTAAAGAAGAAAACAAAATCACCACTATTTGTCTCTGCATACACACAATTCCTTCTTTCTTTTCTTCCTTCCATCATTCCTTCCTTTCCTTCTTTCTAAAAAATCAGGGATCATATTATAAAAAATTATTTCATAATTTGCTTTTTCCACCTAGCAACATACTGAAGACACAATGGACATAATATTTTTAGGGCTCTTGATATAGGTCAAATTGATACACAGGAAGGCCACACCAATGCCGACTGTCATCAGTAGGATCTGAAGTATGCATTAACACAGGGCAACCACCATTAACATTTTGGCATGTTTTTTCTAGCCATTTTTACATTTTTTGAGGTTGGGATCACTCTACTATTGCCATCACCAAATATTGACTCTATTATAATCTTCGCTATTTAGTGGTAACTTATTATAGCTTTACTTTGTATTTATTTGTGCATTTGTGAAGTTAAATCCTTTTTTCACTTTGGACCCTTGAGTTCCCTCTTTTCTAATTGGTCTTCTCCCTTTGCCTATTTATTGCTGTCTTGTTTGCATATTGATTTGAATGAGCTCTTTATATAATAAACAGTTTATACCTTTTTCATTATTGTGACAAATGTTTTTGTTTCTTATCTCTTTTATTTTGAAATCCAATTTAAAATATTATTCAAATTTATTTTCTTTCTCTATATCATTTTTCTCTTGTTTCTAAATGTAGACAATCCTTCCTCCATACAGAGAATAGCTAAATATTTGCCTTTTGTTTTCCCTTTATGATTTTTATTTCAAAGATTTTTATTTTAATCTACCTGGAATAGATAGCAGAACATAGCAGTAGATTAAAATCTACATTGAACTCTATTTTCAAATGTTCAATATTTCCTGCTAAATTATTATACTCTTTTATCAGATATAAAGTCTTATATATACAGAGGTCTATTTCTGAATTGTGCCTTTCCTTCTAGACTGTAAGCTCCATGCAGGTAGGCAAATTTATTGTAATCACCTCATGCTTATCATATACTATTCTCTGTTCAGCCTAAAGCAACCGAAGGGAGAAAATAAGAATTGAAAAATCCTGTAGGGAAATGAAAAGTAGCCCATACTAAACTTGGAAAAATTTATTCTTCCTTCCCTAAAATGCTACAGGTGTGAATAAAATCTTATAAACCACGTTGGAAAGACACAGAAGATAGACAGAAATGTCAAGTCTATGACATGCAATTGTATATAGAAAAAAAGAAGTCCATTTGAAATCTGATTGAATTTTAAGTACGTGGTACTTTCCTAATGAATAACCATGGCCCTTAAATTTTATCTTAAATGCTTAATCATAGGATTTTAATTCTCCTTATTATGGTTTAAAAAGAAAATGCAAATGTTACACTTACCAGCCATGCAAATAGTTGGGAGAATATATTTAAGGTCACATTTCTCTAGAAAGAGAGGCTGCTTGATTCACTTAGGTTTCCCAAGTAAAAGTTCAAAAGCACTACTTGCTTAAAGGTTTTGACTTCTCAAATCATAAAGCAATAAAGCAATTTTGGGTTTTAATTCTCTGAGTGTCTCCCCCTTTTAATCAAACATTACAGAGGCTACAATAATATTGGTAGAATATTTAGAGATAGGTCAGAGGTCTGTGAAGAAATAAACTGCTTCATTTCCAAGGTACTTCTAAGATGAAGACACCTGCTTCGAGGACGTGGAGATGGGTTGGGGGGCAGGAATTTGTCCCAGGAAAAGTACAGTCACAAGCTACCAGGTTTGCTTAAAGAGATTATGTCAGAACTGTGCTGGAAGACAATATGTGAAAAAAGAAAATAAAAAGTGCTTAAGCCTAGGTTACAATATCATTTGGGGTTAACACATTCTGCTAATTCACAGTTCATTCTTGCTTATAATCACAGAGTTAGTAGATTTCTTCTGAAATCACAACCAGCCATGATAAGACAGTACAGCTAATGCCTTACTCTGATGTTATTAAAACCTCTAATTCATAGTTTGGATTACGTAGCCATGCCGTGTGCAGCAGTGTTAATGCAGAGTGGGAAAAATTTGGACCCAAATTTCCTGCACCATGAAAATTCAAAACAAGAACAACATTGCCGTCAATCAAATCGGCAAAGCCATTCTGATTCAAAGACCAGATTTCCTGATTAAAAATTTGCAATCAGATCAGGTCTTGGAGGATGCAAAGCTACGTGGGGCAAGCATTATTAAACATTTCAAAGTTCCAGTATAACCACTCAGGGTTTTCCACTGTGGCTTCTGGCTTCAGTCACCTTTGAAGTGTTTGAAGCTGTGAGTCTCAGTTGCTTATTATTGGGACACATTTGTCTTCATTGAACAGTAAAGTACAAAGCTTCTAAAAATATGCATCTGAATGACACTGCAGGTACATGACTGCATGTACTAACTCTCTCCCCAAATTCCCACTGGGTCTATGTACAAGTATATTTATAATATGAATAAAAGATACTGTAAAAGATCATCTAGTTCTAAACACATACTTGAAGCAATACCTTTTTGAAAATCACCCCAGGAAAAAATGTGGCTATCCCTGTTTAAAACTTTGACCCCCTAGCAGCAATGACAGAAAACACCAAATAATTCTTTATGCAAAATATGTTGGGTTTGTTTTGTTTTGTTTGCAAAAAGCAATTTTTTCTTTTATAACCACAACTGCTTCAACTGAGTTTTCCTTGGGCACCAGACTTAAAGGTGATCTGCTAGTGATGGAAGCATGTCAGTGTATGTTCCCAGTAATAAAAATCTTCCTGGTATCTAACTTAAATCTCCTTTATTCCTGCAAGGTAAGTTCATTCACCACTTCCCTGAGGCTATTCTGTGTCCAGAGATGGCAGTGCTGCTGGAGATGAGAATACGGTCTAGCTTTATCTTTAGAGCATCTTTAAAATATAGATTACAAGAGAGAGGCTGACTACAAAGTGCTGCAGTGTGATATTTAGAGAGCACCCTGCTCTGCAGACCGAAGCCTGCCACTGTATTAATTCATCTCACACCATTTTCTGTTCTCATTATAATTTTATCTTAGGAATTAATACATTCTGCCATTTTCTATTCTGGCTACAATCTAGAGAAATCCGTGAGGCTGAATACATTTTGTACCACTTTGTTCTGCTTATAATGTTAAGATGTTTTCAAGAATGGATTAGTTCAATGCCACTTTCCCTACTTTATCTTGAGAATGAGAACTTAAAGAGTTAGAAAACTTCATCTAGTAAAAAGATTGTATAAAGAAGAGAAAATAGGCAAATAGTTTTATTTGCCTTTGTTTTAAGATGCTTTGACCTCCCATAAATTTTAAAGAGACTGCACAAAGGGCATATGTGAGTAGTGTTAGACATGTAACAAAGGTCTTTAGAAAGAAAGAGAAGTTTTCCTCATGAGTCACTCTCCCAATCAAAGCAAATGGAAATCCTTCCATCAAAATTACATTAAAAAAACTAACAATTGAAAAGATACAGAAATTCTAACAAGGATTAAGATTTAGCATAAAATGTAAAAATATCTTCTCAATACAACGATTACCAAAATGGCCAAGTCATTTTGAAGACTCATGGAATAACCAAGTTCCTTTGGTCACCAAAATCAAACTGGTGAAAGTGATTTTTTACATGGGATTAGGGATGGTGGCACACAAAATCGTGGAAAAACTACACAGTTAGGGTAATGTGACAATTTTGCCTTGTTAACTTATGGGACAAGTTCTTATTTTGACAGAAAGACAAAGTTTAGTGATGCTGTGTTTCATATACAAGATGAAACTAATGATTTGCCAGGAGGAGGTTTGCATATTGAATATCATCTTGAGCCATTTTCCATTCTTTACCTGCTGCTTCTCCCTCCCAAATGCTCTAGAGGCTTCCATAGCTTCTCATCTGCTTCCTTCTTTTGTTCAACAGTACACCTTTGTGACATTAGTTGGGGGTATGTGCCATGCTTGGGAAACAAAGTACAGTTAATTGGCTTCAGTATCTCCAGTTCAATTACTTTATTCAGCCACAGACATGACCCAGGTAAAGCCCTTACCTCCACCTATCTAGTTAGTTTCCTCTCCCATTGCCCTTGGTGGTTATTGCCGATTTTGACCTTTTAAGAACAGTCTTCATTTCCAGTTTCTCCCTTATTCTCTGCAGAAAATCATAACTTCTCTTTGCAGAAAACAAAAACAAAAACAAACAAACAAAAAAAACATTGTAGTACTCTCCCTCTTCTATCCTCTCCCAGAAATGTATGTAAATCGATTCCTACATTTGTTTCCCTCGCACCAACCCAGGCATTGGGGTAGGCATTCCTTCTTGCCTCTGGAGGTCCTCCATTCATCTGGTCACAGGTTCACCACCTCCAGGACCTTGCTCCCTTGGTCCCTGACTCTCTTTCCTGTACATTTGATCTCCCCTCCTGATACACAGGCTGGACCCCTTACAATAAATATAATCAATCTCAGGCCTCTCAATTCTCTAAAACATAAGAAATGGGATTTTTAACCTCAAATACCATTCCAATTACCTCCCTTTTTCTTAATTCCCTTCACAGCCAAATTTTCTTTCCTCCCACTAATTTCCAACACTTTGCAGTGTGGCTTCTGCTCCAAGATGCCACAACACTGCTTTCCTGACCCTAGGGTCACAAGTGGCCTCAGTGTTGACATACCTACTGAACACATTCACATGCTTATCTTACTTCTCAGTAGTATTTACACTGTAGGCCACTTCTTCCTGCTTAAAACAGTTTTTTTGTTTTTTTGTTTGTTTGTTTTGAGACAGAGTCTCACTCTATCGCCCAGGCTGGAGTGCAGTGGTACTATCTTGGCTCACTGCGACCTCTGCCTCCTGGGTTCAAGCAATTCTCGCCTCAGCCTCCCAAGTAGCTGGGATTACAGGCACACACCACCATGTCCAGCTAATTGTATTTTTAGTAGAGATGAGGTTTCACCATGTTGGCCAGGTTGGTCTTGAACTCCTGACCTCAAGTGATCCACCCGCTTCGGCCTCCCAAAATGCTGGGATAACAGCTGTGAGCCACCCCACCTGGTCTGAAACTGTTTATTTTGATTTAGAGACACTACCCTCTTTTAATACTTTGCCCTCCTGGTGGCTGTTCCTTCTCTTCATTCATCCTTTTGCTCTCCCTTGAAATGCTGCTGTGCCCCAGGGATCCACTATCAGCCATCTGATCTTCCTATGTTCTTCATGGATAAGTTTGCCCAAACATATGGCTTCTTTATCTCTCATAACTTTATACCTTCCAAATCCAAGCTTTCCTTCCAACCTTGCCTGCTGAGTTCCTGAATTATTCCCTTCTATGTATCTGTTTTGAGTATCTTGGTGTGATTGTTAATTTTGTATGTCAACTTGGACTGGGCTAAGGGATGCTCAGATAGCTGGTAGAACATTGTTTCTGGGTGTGCCTGTAAAGGTGTTTCTGGAAGAGACTAACATTTGGCTCAGTAGCCTAAGTAAAGAAGATTCCCCCTCACCAATGTGGGTAGGCATCATCCAGTCCACTGAGTAACATCCACCATCTCCTATCCTTGGACATCAGAGCTGGTTCTCAGGCCTTAAGACTCTAAAACTTACAACTGTGTTCTCTCTCCCTCTTGGTTCTCAGGTCTTCAGACTCAGACTGAATTACACCACCACCTTTCCTGATTCTCCAGCCTGCAGACGGCAGATGATGGAACTTCTCAGTCTACATAAGCATATGAGCCAATTACCATAATAAATATACTCATAGATAGATAGATTGAGGGAGAGAGAGAGAGAGAAAGAGAGAGAGAAATTATCCTATTGATTCTGTTTCTCTGTAAGACCCTAACTAAAGTACTTAGGATTAGCATAATTTCTCTCATTGAAATCACCACATCTCCCTTAAGTTCCAGCCAGTTTCACCTTGGCTGGATGTGTTGAGGGTAAGATATGGGAGCTCATGTCACTTGTAAACTGTGCTCCAAGTGATGACTCTGCTTTTTGCAACTGACCAATTTCACAACAAACAAATAAACAAGAAAACACCTGAATGACTCAATTGCTGCTATTTCTCAAGCTATTGTACCAGAACACATTGTGATTTACCCAGTTATATCAGGCTGTCTTACAAATAACCTAAAAATTAATATGATCAACAAGTATCTTACCACATCACAGAATCCTACCCATCCCACTCCCACTACCTGACTACTTTCAAACTCGACGTCTTTGGTTCTTGGATTCTTGAATTCATAGCCAGAATTTCTCACTGGTAAGAGTTCACTCCAGTAACACGAGAACAAGAACAGGAAACACAATCAAGGAATGATTCCAAAGATCAGGAGGAAATGGTTAGTACAACAGTAATCTTTCTTAAGAATTTTCCAGTAACACTAGTTTTGCCTGTCAGGAGAGCAAAGAATTAAACATCTTAAAATCAACTCTCAAGACACTTAACATCCATTTTATACACAAGGAAGACTTCAACCAGCTACAAGTGTATAATTTAAAAATTCAGCTTATTCAGCAGAGTGAATATGGAGAAGGTAATTGCATGTCACCAATTTAGAAACATCAATCGGAAGAGAAGTTGTCCACAATCTTTTGTGGTGTTTTTCAGGATAAGGTTAAAGTGAAGGAAATATCTTTTATAAATATGTCAGGAAAAGAGGTTAGGATTATTTCTATCCACTATTTATATTTAATTTCCCCTTTTATTCTTTTTTTTTTTTCTTTTTAGATGGAGTCTTGCTCTGTCACCCAGGCTGGAGTGCAGTGGCGTGATATCAGCTCAATGAAAGCTCCACCTCCAGGGTTCAAGTGATTCTCCTGCCTCAGCCTTCCAAGTAGCTGGATCTACAGATGCACACCACCAAGCTAGGTTAATTTTTTTTTTTTTTTTTTTTTTTTTTTTATTTTTAGTAGAAACAGGGTTTCACCATATTGGCCAGGCTTGTCTCAAACTCCTGACCTCACGCAATCTGCCCACCTCAGCCTCCCAAAGTATTGGGATTACAGGCATGAATCACTGTGTCTAGCCACCCCTTTTATTCTAAAACTATACCATTGTTGCTATTTGAGCCTTAAATACAACCTACAATAAACAAGGAAATGGACAAACCATTTATCTAAAATGTCCAAATACAGTTTTAAAAGAGTCTCCAGTGAAGGCACTTTTGAAGAGCCAGCATTGACTTCTTGTTGACCAAATAAGTAATTGTTAAAGTAAATCTACCATCTGAAATAACTCAGACTCAATGGAACCCTTTGAAAAAGATACTTGATTCTCATTAGAAGTAGAATCGTTGATTTTCCATTCCCTCTTTTATGGTTTGAACACAGATGAGACTTTAATCAAACATAATTTGAAATGACAATTTGAAATTCTATGAAAACATTATTCTGTGTGAAAAGCAAGACTTTGTGACTGAACATGAACAGACACTTTCACGTCTTCCATTCATTTTTCTCTAGATTTCCAAAACAGGTTTTTTATCACCCTGGGAGAAGAACGGTTCTTAGCTGCTCAGGGACTACCTTTAGCAGTATGGGAAAAGTAGTTTACTCTCCCATCTCATTCAATCCCTGTTCTTGGCTGTAATAGTGACAATTAACTTTAATTGTAATGGCAGCCAGTCTGATGAAGACTGTGGACAGTTAGGGACAGAGCTGAAACCACTATACACTCATTTCCCCAAAGACCATGTACCTTCAGGGGGTAATGACTTTGTGTCATTATATCCTGATCCAAAATTCAGCTGATAGACTAAAGGGTAACAGTTCTATTTCCCATTACCAAGAAGCCCAGGCTAGTGGTTCCTATTCATGTTGTGATAGTCTCCAATAAGCTTCTTATTAAATTTCTTACTGCTTGAAGCTTAGAAGACTTTCTTTTTAGTGGTATACCACATTTTATCAGGAAGGTATATTTTAGAAAAGGTAAAAAAAAAAAAAAAAGAATATGAAGGGTATATCAGAGCAAGACTAATAGATGGTAAGACACTTCTTTGATATATTTAAATGAGAAAAAGAAAAACATAAATATATGTCAGCTCCGGCAAAGAAAAAAAGCCAACATTTTTGCTTTTTTTCTACTATATTACAGCTTATGTCAGTAGCTAGAAAGATTATAAATTTTTTTTTGCATTTCAACCACTCTTTGAACAGTATATGAAAAGCACAGGCATAAACATATTATTTATTTAAAACTAAGCATCCAGTTATAGTCCAGAGATCACTATAGAAAGTTGGTAAGTGGATCCCCGAGGCAATGGAAACCAGATTTTTTTTCTGTCCCCACAAGACTCATTTCCAAAGCCCATGGGGGTTTATCAAGCCCAGTTTCAAGTGTCCTGATCCTTTCAGACTCCAATTAACTTGTGCTGTTATGCTGGTTTTAATTCAGGCCTGTGTTGCTCATCTCCAGTGAGGAAAAACCAACATAGGCAATGAGGTTAAGCAAAGTGGTGGTTGGGAATTTGCAAGGGGAAAATAAAGTCCCCAAGAGAGAGAACACACATTCCAAGCTACCTTGACTATTATAAAGAGTCTCTGATAACCTCATAGTGCCTGGGCTAAGGGTTGACAACAAAGGTAGGCACCCACCCAATGGCTCTGACAGAATCAGAGATCGTGTTTAGCAGGCCTGCTAGAGGCAAACATGTTTTAGTTTCAATTTTTAATTTTTTTATTTCAATAGGTTTTGGGGGAATAGGTGGTGTTTGGTTACATGAATAAGTTCAAGTAATTTAGTGGTGATTTCTGAGATTTTGGTGCACCCGTCACCCAAGCAGTGTCCACTGTGCCCAATCTGTAGTCATTTATCCCTTGCCTCCTCCCACCCTTTTTCCCCAGAGTCCCCAAAGTCCAATGTGTCATTCTTATGCCTTTGCATCCTCATAGCTTAGCTCCCACATATGAATGAGAACATACAATGTTTGTTTTTTCCATTCCTGAGTTACTTCATTTATAATACTAGTCTCCAGATCAGGCGCAGTGGCTCATGCCTGTAATCCCAGCACTTTGGGAGGCTAAGGCAGGTGGATCACTTGAGGTCAGGAGTTCAAGACCAGCCTGGTCAACGTGGTGAAACCTGTCTCTACTAAAAATACAAAAATTAGCTGGGTGTGGTGGCATGTGCCTATAGTCCCAGTTACACAGGAGGCTGAGCCAGGAGAATCGCTTGAACCTGAGAGACAGAGGTTGCAATGAGCCAAGATCTTGCCAGTCCAGCCTGGGCAACAGAGTGAGACTCTGTCTCAATAAAATAAAATAAAAAAGAATAGAAAAAAATAAAAATCTCCAATTCCATCCAGGTTGCTGCGAATGCCATTATTTTATTCCTTTTTATGGCTGAGTAGTATTCCATGGTGTGTGTGTGTACATATATATGCGTGTGTGTACATATATATACACATATATATGTGTATATATACATATATGTGTATATATGTATATATATACACATATATATGTATATATATATCACATTTTCTTTATCCACTCGTTGATTGATGGGAATTTGGGCTGGTTTCATATTTTTACAATTGCAAATTGTGCTGCTATAAACATGAGTGTGCAAGTATCTTTTTTGTACAGTGACTTCTCTGGGTACATACCTAGTAGTAGGATTGCTGGATCAAACGGTAGATCTACTTTTAGTTCTTTAAGGAATCTCCACACTATTTTCCATAGTGGTTGTACTAGTTTACATTCCCACCAACTGTGTAAAAGTTTCCCTTTTTTGCCACATCCACACCAACATCTATTATTTATTGATTTTTTGATTATGACCATTCTTGCAAGAGTGAGGTGGTATCGCATTGTGGTTTTGATTTGCATTTCCCTAATCATTAGTGATGTTGAGCATTTTTCCATATGCTTCTTGGCAATTTGTGTATCTTCTCTGGAGAATTGTCTACTCATGCACTTAGCCCACTTTTTGATGGGATTGTTCGTTTTTTTCTTGCTGATTTGAGTTCCTTGTAGATTCTGGATATTAGTCCTTTGTTGGATGTACAGATTGTGAAGATTTTCTCCCACTTTGTGGGCTGTCTGTTAACTCTGCTGCTGGTTATTATTATTATTATTATTTTGCTGGGCAAAAGCTCTTTAATTTAATTAAGAAGTCCCATCTATTTATCTTTGATTTTGTTGCATTTGCTTTTGGGTTCTTGGTCATAAAGTCTTGAGGCAAACAGATCTTTACAGCACACATCAGGGACTGGGGAGAGCCTGAGGAGGGCTGGCTTTCCCTACTGTGTCCCCCTCCTTTTTTCTGCCTTACATACATGTCTCTCTCATTTCATTCCTGTGAGTCAATTCTGAAACTGTTGAAAGAGGATTGGCTATACTTCCCATCAGCCACCTAGCAGCCCTCAACCACAACCAGCTTTTCTTAAACTCATGGCTGGCTTCAGAAGAGAAAGCAAGGAGAAAAAGACAAAGAAAAAAGGTAGACAACATCCAGACAGCAGGGAGGCAGCTCTGAGGCTTTTGCATGGAAGATACTGATTCCATATCAGCAAGCCAAATAGGCACTTTGAAGAGTGCCTAGACTTGAGTCAGTCATGGGTAACAATCTTTGAATAGGATGACTACAGCTGGTCATATACTTAAGCAAGGTTTAGACTAAACATTGTGGCCTGTGTGCCTTTTTTAGTGTTTATTACATTCCATTTGCACTAATCCCCTTGACATTAAAAAAAAAATCTTCTATGGATGCAAATTCATACTATATTATTTCCATGCATGTAAATAATCATATATATGGCAATAACAATATTAGCTAACATATATTCATATTTGCTGTGGCCACATACTCAGTATTGCACTAAGCATTTCACTTGTCTTATCTCAGTTTATTTTTACAACAAACCCTATAAGAAAATGTCCCCCCAGGAGGCTTATCTGTGAAATACTGTACAATCCCCGCACTCAACTGATGAGAAGACTGAGGTCACATAGCCAACAAGTGGTAGAAGAGTTGGTACTCAATCCAAGGTATTTCTGGCCCCAAAGCCATTTTCTTAATCCTTACCCAATACTGCTCTGAGAACAAATCTCAGATCTCATTTATCTGAGCCTCAGATTCCTCAGTTTAATGAGAGGACTGAATGGTACTATCTGCCAGCTCTGAAATGCTCTACTAAATGAAGGCTTGCTAACTTTGCAGGAAAAAAAGCCATTGAGTCAGGATTTACAATCACATCTCTCTTTTGGTCAGAACTTCAGGTATGTTTCTGAATAAGTGTTTCCACAGTTTCCTCCTGTGTGTGGTGAGTCTGAGAATGTCCTCTTTTGTTAAAAAAAAAAAAAAATCCTCCCCTAGATTCCACATACCAGCTGTAACCTTTTTCTTTGCCCCTTTTATAACCAATGCCTCATAACAGTGGTCAATACTTGCTGCCAACCCTTCCTCATTGTCCATTCTTGCCATCCTGCTCCAGTTTGGCTTTTGCCCAACAATCCACAGAAACCCCTCTTATCAAGGTCTCCTTCAGCCTCCATGATGATCTTCACCTGGAAGGAAACTATAGTTCCATGATACAGAAGAACAGGCAAAAGAAAAAAAAAAAGTCATCTACAGAACAAAACAACATTTGTGAACTATCTTCCCTGAAACTCTTAAGCTAAGTACAAAATGCAAATACACATCATTAGACATATATTCATTATTTTTCATAAAATATCTTAGTACCACAAGAGTTTCTTTTCCTTATTACACTGGTAGTTATTGTGTTCAGGAAAACTGTTAAGTAGTTTAGATTTTATTTGAACAAATATACCTATTTTGCTATTGCTATATATCACCTTAGCATATACTAGGATTATATTACATTTGTTGAGGCTGCCTAAACTAAAGAACATTTCAATATTTTGTAGCCATAGGAGATCATCTGAATTGCCTTCCTTGGGCTTAGGTAGGAAAACAGGCTGAAGGATTAATGACTCACCTAATGTCACATAACTCATATTGGTAGACCTGGAACTAGAAGCCAAATCTCAGAATTCAAATCAAGAATCATGCCATAATACCATTCTCCCTTGATATATTTCAAAAGAGGAGTGGATTTGACACAGTGAGATATGCCTTTTACTAGTCAGTAAGTGACAAGACAGTACTTAAGAAGAATTCTGAATCTCTCCTTTCTAACCCGCCTATTCCCACCCTGTTCTCAATATGTGCTTTGGCCACTTGGGAAGTGGTCCCAAGTCATTGTTTAGTCATGTTAGCTACAGTAATTAGATTTGCAAATGTTTCATCATTAAAAAAATTAGATTAGATTCAAAGTTATATCAATAATAACACCATTTTTATTCATTTTCATTCCAGTATGCTTTTCGGAGTAGAAAATAATACGGGAGGTACAGTTAAAGCTAGTACACCAGGAACTTGGCCTGACATGCAGGCTGTCTTAGGGATGCCTCAGCCTGTCCTCTAGGTTCTACCATAGGAATGGGAATGCCTGTGTACAATTGTCACCACCATGTATGGCAAAGCAGTGGTTTCAAGATGGCCAAAAGGCAGCTCAGATGTTTGGTATGAGACATTCTCACATTGCTTTGCTTTCTTGTTACTAAACATACTACATATTGGGCAGATAATTCTTTAGAACAGAAAAGTTTGGAAACAAATTTTCCTAGATGTTCATGGTTGGAGGATCAGTAGAGGACATAGCTCTCCAACCAAATCCCATTCCATCTGGTCATGAGCCAGATAAGCCAGCCACCGGCTGGGCAAATAGCATTGATGAGATGAAAAGATGTTCCCTTTAGACTGAAGAGATTGGTTTCATAAGAAACCAACCCTGACAAATTTTTCTGTTTCTTTAAAACACAATACTACATTTAAAATGGAGTTGGCCTATGTATCTTTGACCAAATCTTGTTTTCACTTCTGAAATTAGAAGCAACAAGGGAGTTGGGGGGAAAAGCCACCCTCCTCCATCTCCCTGAAGGCCAGAACAGCAGGTGTGCCTATTTTCAGAGGTAAGTGAAATATTTGCCAAATCATTTGGCACATTTCAACACAAAATGTGCCAAATTACCTGTCAAGGCTAAACGGCCTTTTTAGAAGAAAGATAAATGGCCTTCCATACACATTTGCATGGACCCACAGTGCCATCCAGTGGCTCATTATATCGGTCACAAGTGTGCAGGGCTCCACTTGTCTCCCAGGGTTTGGTTCCAAGCTGACCATCCTTGTTATGGCATTGGTTTATTTGGTACCCAGAGCCTTTGGGACTTGGTAAGGTGCAATGCATGCATTTGAAATGAGCTGGGTTGGAGGAGAGTTGGTGTCAAAGCTTGGATGTCTTGCCTATGGTGTCTTGGTGACAGCGCAAGTTTTAGAGATTCTCCAACTAGCAAACATCCATGTACCTTCTTGCATTGAATCAATGCCAAGAACAACTTACTAAACATGTCTAAACATCCCAGATCTTTGTGTTTAGTCTCTAGGCTTTGTCACCTTATGGGGACTGGGCCAGCCAGAGTATAGCAATCAACTTCATTTTACTTCCACTTGGTAAACAATTTTAAAATTCTCTACTCGTCCAATTTCTCCTTTACAATGCTTTTTTTAAGGGACTGAATTTCTCTTTACCAAGAATTCCAGGACTGCTGGGCCATATAAGTTGATGAAAAGTAAGTAAAGAGGAAGGAAGTTAGGAAATAAAAGAGGGAGAAAGAAAAAACAGAGAAGACAGGTTTGATTCTCCTCTTTTCAGACAACTGAAGGGTCAAGCTGACACTATCTCTTCAAATGTCAGTTTCTATAAACTGTAGAGCAAACAGGGTTTTTTAAAGGAAAATGGATCGTATGGTAACAGCAGCAGCTGTATGTTCCCATAAAGAGGTAGATTCCTTTTCAGATAGTAGCTGTGCAATGCTTGTAACAAAACACGGAGCTGGACCAATCAAAAGAACTGAGAACTGCTTCACTCACTCACCAGGTTGTTTCTAAAGGGGTCAGAGCTCTCACTGGGGGAACATTCTGGAAAGGAAACAAGAATCTGAACAGAAATTACAGATCGCTACAAATAGGTTGATTCTTTTCCCATTGGCTTTCCCAGCACAGCTGGACAGTGACCTGTAACATGGTTTAGCTTTAAATTATCTGAACCTGTCAGACTAGATTTAGACATTTTGGTTTGTCACTTTTTCACCTTTTTTTTAAAGGTTCCATCAAGCAAATCCACTGCTCCGATCAGCAGCCTGTTTCCTTCCCAAATAATTTAAATCCATGTGGTTCTAATCTTGACAGACCTGGGTAGACCATACCCACTGGGGCTATAGCTGCCATTTTCCATTTGCTATTTAATTTTATTTTATTTTAATACACTATTTGAAATAATCAGAATTGAAGGAAACATGAAGACTATTAACTAGGTTAATATCCCCATTTTACAGACATGAAAATTGAGGCCCATTTTCCAGTCTTCCTTTTCTAAATGAATACAAATCTTTGGCCTACAGTAAGAGGACATAATAGAAAAAGAGTCAGTTACTTTCACATTTTTTACATTAAGGAAATATCTCCAAACTTGATGTCTTCAACAAATATAATCTAAGAGTTTGGTGAAAAGATTAAGAGAATAGTGTAACTACATTTGTGTCCCCTCCTGCTGCATTCCGGGAGAGGATGTGGAATCTTCAGTGATATGTGGAATGACACACCCATTTGTGCTCTGGTAACAGAGATTCTGAGTTGCCCAGTTCTGGTGTCACTAACAGTAGGGCTGACTCTTTTGGACTTTGAAGCCTTGTAATGGAGAAATTGTGGTTTTTCTGGATTATTCCATCTGAGATGAAAAAAGGCTTAAAAAACAAGTTCTGTAAACACAGTGCCTGATCAAAGACTTGGGAGAATGATATTATATAAATGCCTGTCTGAACAGTATAAGCCCAATTAGGAAAGGACATGGGAAAAAAACTATTTAAAGAAATCATGATTAGGCTACTGGCTGCCAAGAATGTCTTGCTTAACAGATTACAGATGATTCCCTATTGGAAGAAGGCCTCCTAAAGCAATAGCCATAGGACAGAATGATGGAGAACTGCAGGCCAGAGCAGTTGCTTAGCTGAGATTCAGGGGAGGGGCCTTAAAGTGAAAATCGGTACTGTGTATTCTCTTTTAGAGTCTCTGTCACATCAAGATTCAAGATCTTGTGGTTACAGTAGAGAAATACCCACTCTAACCAGTTCAAGTTAAAAAATAAAAACAGGCTGGGCACGGTGGCTCACGCCTGTAATCCCAGCACTTTGGGAGGCCGAGGCAGGCGGATCACGAGGTCAAGAGATCAAGACCATCCTGGCTAACATGGTGAAACCCCATCTCTACTAAAAATACAAAAAATTAGTCAGGTGTGGTGGCGGGCGCCTGTAGTCCCAGCTACTCGGGAGGCTGAGGCAGGAGAATGGCGTGAACCCGGGAGGCGGAGCTGGCAGTGAGCCGCCATCGCGCCACTGCACTCCAGCTTGGGTGACGGAGCGAGACTCCATCTCAATAAATAAATAAATAAATAAATAAATAAATAAATAAATAAATAAATAAAATAAAATAACAATCCCAAAAAGATGAGTCAGTTATTGTTAGACCTCATCTGACAATCAGACACCCATGGGCATAAAGCAAAGTTCAGCTGGATCTCAATAAGGCCTCAAACTTAGAACTCAAGAGTCAGTAACTGAGTACTGATAGAGATATCTCTCTCCCCTTCCTTCCCTATCAATACATATTTATGGACACCTATATTAATAAGCAAAATATACAAAGATTTCATCCTTGTGTAGCTTTGCATTCTAACTTTCCTGCCCCATCCCCATTTCTACACCTCCCTGCCATCTGTTATTTGTTCCATTCTTTTCTTTACAAATGAGCTTTCCTGACTTACTCTTAGTCTCAGCTTCTCTATAACTTCAGCAGGGATTGACTTTCACTATGTTACAGAATCCAGCTCTGATTCTCTATGACCTTCTATCTGTAGAGTTTTCCAACTAAATGCTTACAGTTAGCCACCTCAACCATTGGCTGGCTTTGAGTAAGAAGTCATTCCTGATGAAAGTTATAAGGTGTAAACATGGTGGCCTAGGCTAATCTCTTGGTCTCAAGTCACTAATGGATGCAGTCATTGATAGGGTCCTTGATGGACAAAGTTCTCAGAAAAAAATGGGCTGTTGTTGAGGTAGACATCCCAAAATACATCTACCATTTAATTATATATTTGTTCAAGTTTATATGAATATTCTATGATAAATTTTAGAATATGTCCCTGACTATGCTAGACTACTAAATCTTCCTTTCATAGCACGAATTTCAAGATGATGTGGTCAATTTATGCCAAAATGTCTATCACTTTCCCATCACTAGCCAGTTCTTCTTTGTTGGTCAGGATTTAGAATCAAGTAGAAATTTGCCCAATTGCTTTCTCTAACTTCTAAACTATGAAATTATCAACAAGACAATTCAACAATTTACCAGATGCTCTGCTTTTAGCAGAATGACACTTGCAGCATATGTCCAACTAGAGTAATGAGGTATCTCAGCAATCTTGTTTCTGTGCCAAATTTCAAAAAAAAGTCATCCATATTATTGTCTAAGATTCTTCAAGTCTATGTCTAGTTTTGAGGCTGTGGTAGTGGTTATGAAAATCATGATATTACTTTGGTGTCTCTTTTCTGTTGTCCTCTAGCAAGTTCTTTGCCAGGTCTTATCCTTATCCTAACTCTCAACAGGGTTACTTTGCGGAAAAACTCCTGTAAATATCAATAGATACATTTACTCATTTAGGAACAAGTGACAGATATGATATTATAAGACCTCAGCAGTGATTTTCTGTTTGCTGTTGGAACTGCCCATTTTAAGAGGTTTTGCCTGGGCTTGTTATGAGCCATGTAAAATCCTTTCCACTGCATTTCTGCTCCAGAAGGCTATCTTGCGACACCTCAGTGACAGTGATAAAAAGGGCCAAAATTGGGTGAAGCTCAATTGTGCATTCAGATATATGCAGAAAGTCAGGTAATGTGGTCAGCCTTGGGATGCCATGCTCAGAAGGAGTCTCTGTGAGCATCAGTAGTGTGAGCATCTTGTTGGGTATGTGAAGGATGAATGGGATCATTCTGAAATGAAACTAGAGCTAATTTGTTGAGCGGAATCACAGACAACTGACAACAAGCTTTACAATATTAAGAGTCTTCCATTTGAACTTCACAAATACAGGTACGCAGACATCCACCATGACAATCAACTTGTCACATACTGGTACAGCTGTTATACATCTGTCTGGTTCCTGGCAGAATAATTTTCTTCATCAAATTTGTCAAAATGGGAAATCCATCTGTTGGCTGATGATAGTAGAAACTTTCTGTGCAAGGCGAAGTATAGGATCATCAGAAGGTTACCAATAATTTGGGAAAGTTTAGGGCCTTAGACATAAATGATTTCTGCTGATACTGTCACTCTTGAATGAGCAACACTCTAGAAGACTGAGCTGAGAAGCTTTTTCTATGAGATATCTTCATCAAAGTATCTGCTTTTACATAATAGGATAAAGTTTATGTTGCCTGTAATTGTATCAGCCATAACCTACTGCAGTTTTAAATTGACTTCTGCTTTTTAAATAGCTCCTATATGAAGATATCACTGAGTCCCCACAATAACCCTGTGAAATGTTAGAGCACTTCATAATGCCTTCATTTAGTATATGAGGATACTGAAAGGCATGACAAATTATACAGCTTGCTCAAAGGCTCTAGAAATTGCATGACTTTCTCAAAGTCATATGCCCTTGTTAGTGAGCAAAGTGACTAGAACATTCTAGGTATTCTGACTCCTGGCCCAACACTCTTCACCACAGCACTTTATTTTATTTTCTTTCACATTGAGCAAATCTCATCCAATGGTTATTCTTTTGGTCCAAAATGGCTGCCTCAGCTCCTACCTTCACATTTGTCTCTCAGCCATAAAAGTAAGATATGAGAAATTTACTTACCTTCCACTGGTTAAAATTTAGCCACATGGTCACATACAGCCATAGATCACCTGTAAAATTTAGTCTTTTTTTTTTTTATGAACAACCATGTGCCCTGCTAAAATTCAGGGGGAGTCTATTACTAAAAAAAGAAAGAAAGAATAAATTTGAGGAGACAAGTGCCTGCTACAAGTATCCAAAGAGAACACCAAGTAAAAATGGCTCCACCTACATCTTGTTTGGGATGATATAATTTTAAGAGCAATGTTTTCTGGGTTGAAATGGGGCCTTCTAAATGGCTCTCGGAATGTCACCAAGAAATTGCTTTCCTGGACCACTCAGTTCTCAAAGAATTTTAGTATAGGAGACTTAGGCACAGCTGTAGATAGCACTTTGTAGTTTATGAAATTATATAATGATCATTTGATCAACATTTTAGCAAAGTTATCCAATTTCAATATAGAATGAACAGGCTTACACTAAAATGGAAAGGGTGGGCCATGAGAAAGAGTGGATGTTGTGCTGAAGCCCATCCCCCCAAAAATAATTAAAGAGCCTTAGTTCTATAATGTTTTCTTATACCTCTAATCTCATGGTTCCCCAAAAGATTTGTCATTGAGGCCCTTGGTCTTGGTTCTCATTGTGAAATAAGGATGGATCCTAGAGCCTTCAACATTCTTCCACTGGGAGAGCAGTTTCAAAAGAGAAATCCAATAGGCCAAAAGAGAAAATCTGATGAATAATGAAGCACAAAGAAAGGAGAAGCTGAGAAAATGGTTTCATGGAGGAGCTCAGTATAAGAAGGGGAAATGCACAGCAAATGATGGTGGATGACAGATACAATTCTTTCTCTGGCTACTTTCACCTTTCTTTGAGATTTTTGTTTCTCTCATTCTACTTACATTCACCCTTCCTCTCATTGTGATTTCTGTCTTTTCAGTGGATTTTGAATAATCTGATCTTGAATCTCTTAAATATGACTATATCAGTAGCTCCTTTGTAGCAACTTTGTGTGTGTGCACATATAAAAGAAAATCCTATGGCATCTCAAAAGGTAATGACTGGATTCATTCAATTAGAGTCAAGAACACTGTGTTTCTCCTTTGGGAATTTCTCTGGCAGCCCCAGTGACAAAGCAAAGGGAGCAATGGGTGAGATGAAATTCCTTCTTTTGCTAAACCACAAGGGCCCTAGCTTGCCATTTCACAAGGCATTGCCTTTTCCACTCATCAGAGTAAGGCAACAGCCCCCAGAGCAATCTTGTAATTATACACAGCTTTGCTCTTACAAGGTGATATGCAGATTGAGCTCATTTATCAACTCTTCACTTATCAAGGATGATTATTTTAAAGACAGTAAAATTTGCTGCCTTTTAAAAACATGGGGGATAGTTTCTCCACTGATAGTTTCTTCTGAATAAAATTATATTGGAATATACAACTCAGCCTCTAGGCAGAAATAAGTGCTTTTCACCAGCTCTGTCTTTGTCATCCTGGAGCACAGCTATCATTTGTTTTTAGTGTGTTCTTGTAGATGAGCCACCCCTGCTCATCATTTCAGCACTGGAATCCTTTGGAATGTTCAATCTCCTGAATTTCAAATGCACTGGAAAGCCCACTGCTCATCTCCTTACAGGGAAAGTGAAGCCAAAAACAATGTATCTGCATGGAGCTGTAGAGATTATGGGCTTCCAGATGTATGTGGACTCCTGATGCCTCAGTTCCTCCACAGCTCTCGCCTATGCCCCTGCCTCTTTCAGATGGACTGCAAACTAAAGCCCCTCCTGTCAGACCTGGGACCTAGGCTCAGCCATGGCTGCTGGCTTCCAATATTGGCCTCCTATGGGGCCCTCTTTTGCAGAACAGCTCAAAATAATGCAGTGTTCCCAAGGAGCTCTGGGTTCCTGGCATGCTCTGGACTCCTGGTTGCTCACCTTCTACCCCTACCTACCACACTGGTACAGCACCAGCAACAGGCTTCAGGTTGAGGCCTTCTTCTTAGTTTTGACAATTCCCCATCACTGATGCCCCTGTAAGATGAGACAATTATTGAACCCCCCATTGGCAGGAAACTGGGATGCTGTGTCATCCTCCTGCCAGTCTTCAGGGCTGGGGTCCTGCCACTTAAATACAGATTCTCTAGAGAACAATAGCCCACCCTCTTGGCTACTGAACCTCAATTGCCATAAGAGGAAAAATAGCACACACTAGACCCTGAGCTAAGCTGGGATTTGTTCTCTTATAGCAGAGAGTCTCATACATGTTGGCTTTAATCTTCAACCTCTTAAAAACATAAATTGCAGTCAAGTGATATCGTATATTTATTTAATTTAGATAATTCAAGTATGCATCCTCTCTCAAAAATTAAAAAATATAAAATATTTCTCACATATGATTTTATATACTTTATTTAATCTATATATTTTGTTTACTCTCTATATTATACATTTATAAATATATATTATGATACAATGCAAATCCCAGGCACAGGGCCAATCACTGATAAATAGCAGGCGATCTCTTTGGACTGTCAAACCAGCCATGTCAGAACCGCACTCCACTTCGTTAGCCTGAACCACCAGGCAAATGGGTCCCCAAGTCCCTGCTCAGCCCTCTTCCTACCAAATGCCTAATACTAAGGATGCATGATGCCTGAGTTGCCAGAAGCTTTGTCAGCTGACAGTATACCAACAGGGCCATCATCTTATTCATAACACCGAGTACAGTGAAGCACACTTAGAGCAGCTGGTTTGGACACCACTTGTTTGTACTGGCCCTGGAAAGAGAGAAATATTTAGCATTTTGCCACTAACCACAAAGAGGCACTATTTGAATACTATACTTGGGAAAGGAAGAATATTCATGACTGTCATTTTCCACCCCTTTCTGGATTCTCATCCCAGCTGTACCTATAACTAATTCTCAGGAGCTAGAGCAAATCATCTAACTCTTCCAGGCCTAGGTTTCCTTATCTGCATAATAAGATGGTTGAGCCACTTGTTCTTTCTTGTTCCTTCCAACTCTGACGTTTTGTAGTTTCTTACACACTCACACAAACACACACACACACACACAAAGATTTTTCCCATCAGACACCTGGTTCCTGTAGTTTCCCTAAAGTAGAGCTTGAAACTTGCTAAAGAGCCCCAGAGCATGACTTGATGGAATGTCTTCCAGCCCAGACTTGGTGGTTTGTCCACATCAGAGCCTTAGGTGTTATCTGATATGTACCTGTGAAATCAGGGGGCTTCCTCACTGTAGGGAGATCCTGCCCAGGATGAAAGCTATGGTGGTCACATTGGGGAAGATGACCTCTTTCCTGTCAAGGGCAATGGCATGGTTATTATTAATATCTTTCTTTAATTTGTTTCACATCTTTTTGCACAAAGCCAAAATAAAGAAGGAAGGGAGGAAGGGAGAGAGGAAGGAAGGGAAAGGAAAGGAAGGGAAGGGAAGGGGAGGGAAGGCGAGGAAAGGGGAGGGGAGGGGAGGGGAGGGAAGGGGAGGGGAGGGGAGGGAAGGGGAGGGAAGGGGAGGGGAGGGGAGGGGAGGGGAGGGGAGGGAGAAGGAAGGGTGGACAAGCAGGCCCAAAAGAAGAGTAAATCTTATTGAAAGTCAATTTGAATTTCTTTCTGGGTATAAGACAGCTTCACAAATGGAAAAATTATTATCTATGAGTACAACTTTTCCACTTTAAGAGAGTCAGACAACTTAAGGCCAGAGACTCTGCACAGCAAACAGCTCCTGCATCCAGGCTTTCTGTCCCAGTAACTCCTATCCAGGTGATTTGAATGAATCTGAAGGCAAAATTTGATTGGATCATTTACTTGCTTTTCTGCATCCAAGCCACTCTGGTACTTCTCCAACTTCTCTGAACTAATGCATCTCATCAAGCCGACTTGATGTGCTGCTCTGCCCAGCCTTCAGCAGAACATCTCCTGGGACTATCTAAAAGCAGATTACCCTCTTGCTCCTTTTGAATTTGCATCAAGATGAAATCCAGTTCAAGGAAACAGCAAAGGCAGCCTTAAACAGGGAAAGCAAAGGAGATTTTGCAAGACAGCAAACAGCTCTCTGAAGACCAGAGAGAAAGAAGAGGGAATTGACTTCTGCTTTGGTTGACATTAATTGACTTCCCAGGAGTCTATAAGACCAACTGATCATCTTCTGCCCATAACATCCAGTCCAGGTGTAATTTCCCCCATAAGGTCTCTTTGGATGCCTACCTTCTTCCCCATCCTCTTGGAGACTGGAAATATTCTTTCTCTCTCCCCTCCTTCACACTCTCAGAGCACTTAATATTCCCTACTGTGTAGACTTACTAGTATTATAATATCCCCCTTCTAGATGGTAAGTTCCTTTAAGGGCAGAGATTACTTGAGAATCTGAATATAACTTAGAACTAAATATCATTTATGTAGTTATATAGCAGCTATAGATATAGAAATATGTTCCACTGTGCCTGAGCACAGTAGGGACTGGATAACTATTTGGCAAAATAAAAATGAAAGAATAAATAATAAATTCATTGAGCCTGTTTTTGACCCCCTTGCTCTTCTCTCATCATATGAGCTTTTATTTTCCTTAAAGAGATAATTTACCAAAGAGGAAAAGAAAAAAGTCTAAAATAAGGGATCTACAACTTCTCAGCCCATTTTTGACCAAGCCTGGGAGTGGTCTCACTGTCAATTTCTTGCTTTTCCTCCTCTGCTCATCTTTGCATTTGAGAAGGCAAATACAACAAGCAGGAAAGGGACAAGCTTACCTCCCTCCCTTGCATGCTCTTTGCAGCAATTACCCTCTTGCGAAAATCTCTCCACTGGCAGATTAGAAGTTCAAAAAGCCTCGCCTCATTGCTGACCTGAATAGAATTGTGGCAGCTGATAAGGCCAGGCAGCTCTGGGGTCTGCAACTGGAGGCTGGCTAGGGAAGGGTCAGGAGCCACCTCTGCTTCCCCAGCATCCCTGGGCACACAGTCTGGTGGATTATTGACAATGCTGAGTGATGTGGATGGCATTTATTAGTTTTCAATAGCTGCTATAAAATGAACTTCACGCCATCTGCAAAATTAGGATTCAGAAGCAGCCCTGGATATTAAAATATTTGTGGCTGCTTCTGCTATTATATAAGATTTTACATTTTATAGACTCCCTGTGGGACTCAAAGTGTAAATTAAGATACATATTTAGAAGGCAGTAAATAAACTTACGGAAGCAGCAGTACAATTAATGAATGGACAAAAAACTGCATATGGGAGGAAAAATAGTTATTCTACATAGAGTCAAAAGCTAAATGGGATTTAAACATTCTCCTGACACCATCGTTAAGACATAAATATCAAAAATAATATACTAGAATTTATAAGGAAGATTTTTTAGCAAAGTGAATAAACAACTCTATGTATAACAGAGAGATCCAGAGAGTAATAGGCTTCCTCTTCCTTACCATCCCACTGGACTCTGGAACTTGTCTAATTATTCAAAAGCCTTCTATAATATTATCTCCAACAGAGCAAATGTTTTGATCAAACAGATTCCATGGAAAGCATTCCAAGGCCTTATTCTAACGTCACCCAATTTTCTAGGATAATTACCATATTGTGTCACTTTCTCTTTACCCAACATTCCTAATGAAGACACAATCACAGTATGATTCAAAGATGTAATGGCAAATCACAGTCAATCACTATTAGTTTCCTAGGCATCCCGGTTTGACTTGCAGATCCCTCGTGGGCAGGACCATCACCCTTTTGAATGAGGGGTGCTCATTGTGGTGTTGGCCCTGGGGTAAGACCAGCTGCAGAGGGACAAGTCCCTGCCTCTGGTAGGATTTTAAAAAAGAAAAAAGAATAACAGTAGTTTTAGTATTTGTCTAGAAAGTTCTCTCCAACATTCCTTCCATGTGCCCTTTGAGGTAGCACAGGTAACACAGAGGAAAGCTGGTCTCTCATCTCCTCTAGCAATGCAATAGTGTGTTAGCCCATGTTCATCCATGATGGCTGTGATCATGTCTGATGCCTCAAAACAAATGTGTGTTAGGGTGCCCATCCCCATGAGACCAGCCTCACAATCAAGACCAGGAGCCCAACTGGCAGGGAAACAGGCAACAGTGGGTTACAAGAGAATAACTGATTCCATGGATATTTTCATGCTGTGGCTGCCCAGGACGAGGCCACCACCCATGCCCTCACTCTCTCTCCCAATCCGCTCTTTCCTTCTGGCCACACTTCCATTCCACATCAATCAAGCCCCAGCCTCAGGAGGCTGGCCTCTCCTGATTCGCCTCTGAAATGCTACTGGTACTAATGGCAGTTGGAGCCTTAGGAAACCATTCCCTGAAGTATCACTCAACTGAAACGTAATCCAGAGATAGAAATGGTTCTGGCCTGCTGCTTTGTATTAGAACAAAAATAATCATGGTAATAGCTTGCATTCTCCTTGATACCTTTCATTCAATAATGTCAAGCAATTTGTACGCAAGTAATTAAGAAAACACTCCTTTGTGGTAAGTTACTAATTTAGCTCCCATTTTAAAGAGAGACAGAAAGAGACTTAATGATTTTCCCCATGGGAGACCAGAGTAGGTAGCAGAAGCATTGGGTATGCAGTGATTTGTGGCATAAGATCTCTCATGTTCGTCTCTAATCCCCAATATTGGGCTCACAAAATTGCTTCGGAGCGGGAGTTGGTCTTGAGTCTCTAGGGTGGTGTTGTGTTCTATTCAAGAGCTGCCTGGTTTTGCTGTGGGGGCAGTTGCATTTCATAGCTGTTGGTGCATATTTTTGTACTCTCCTTTCATCACATGATGTATATCATTCCCCTCGCTGGCATTTCCAATCACTGAGAGCAGCAGAACCAAGGAATGAATTGGAGCACTGTAATTTTTCCCCTTCATTGATTTGCGGGGAGGAAGAGAGGGGCTGGGGAGGGGAATGGGTAAGGTGAAATGTTCTTTCAAATCTCCCACCCGCATCACAATTCTGTGTTTCTTGTACCTCAGGACTGTTCATTCAGGCTCCCCCATCTTCCCATTCCACCAGCCTCTGTCAGGCTCCCAACAGGCCAAAACTGCTTTGGTCCTCAGACCACTGGGGGCATTGGCCCAGAGGGCACCATGCAACCCCGGACCCGGCTGCTGCCTGCCTGCCTGCCTGCCTGCCTGCCCCTTCCTGCTCATAAACTTGGCTGTTTGTCAGAAAGAAGTTTAGAAGTTTAGATTTAGGGTAGGAAATGACATTTCATATTAGAAATAGCATTATTTGGTGGTGGTGGTCATTATATGTAATTATCCTTTTCATGTTGATATGCCACGTATTTTGAGCCTGTTGTTACTGGAAGATATGCCATTAAACGCCTATTTCATTCATATGAAATTTAAGCAGACAAAGGGAAAAGGACAATTACTAGATTGCTTTTAAATGCATTTTTTTACTCCAAGGCCAACCAAGAACTTGGAGAAAATTGGGTGGAGGTATAAAAATCCTTTTGTGAAGTAGACAGAACTTGGAGAGGGAAGATGGAATTTATAGTTGCTATTAAAATGGTTGTTGGTGTTCTTGAAGGTAACTATGAGCTCTGTTCTTAAATAACCTCGATAATTATAGCACTAATTAGCACAGGTAGGCACACATGAAAGTGTAAGTGTAACATGCAAATAGATAAATATACTGGCAACTGTATCGATAAAGCACTCTGCAAACATAAACTGCTATATAAATGGGAATTAATTACATAAGTAGGCATACAGGATGGGATGGTTATTCACATAACTGCAAAGATAAACAGTATGCACAAACAGGCAATGCATGCTTTTGAGAACGAAGCTTCTCCACACCTCCCATCTCCCCAGCCTCCCTTAGTAGTAAGTAAACTGTCAGGGAAAACGGAGGCTCTGGCCCTCTGTGGTCCAGTCTGATAGCCAGTGGTCACATGTACCTGAAGAGCCCTTCAAATTTTGCAAGTCCCAAATGAAATATGCAGGAGTTTAAAATAGACAACAGATTTGGGGTGGCTATTTGGTGTGGGACAGGGAAAAGAATGTAGACTACCTCATTAATAATTTTTATATTGATTACAAATGGAAATGATAATATTTTAGATATCTTGGGTTAAACAAAGTCGATTATTAAAATAGATTTTACCTGTTTCTTTTTACTTTTTTAATATGGCTACTAGAAAATTTACAATTATGTTTGTGGCTTACAGTACATTTTTATTGGACAACATGCTCTGGATTCATGAACTTAAGTCTGTGGGAGCTATAGAAGAAGTCAAAGATAAGGAGCACCAATCAGCTCCCTAGGCTATGTTCTGCCTTGTAATCTCCTGCCTGTGAAATATAAGGGAGGCTAAACGAAGGCTGTTTCTCCATGCTGCGAAGGTTGGTGGTGAACAAAATGGTCAGGCAATCCTCATCAGCCTGGGACGTGCAACTTTTGGCACCACACACATACTAAAATAAAGCAGCCAGGGGCATGACTGGCTATTTGGGCTTCTTACCTGGGCAGGTGGAAGAAAGAAAACTTCAGGTTTATCATGCCTGCATTTTGGCAGACTCCTGTCTGACTGTTAGGCATGCCAGCTGTTAGTTATTCATGAGCAGAGAACGGGGTTGGGGCAGATGTAAGGGAGACTTACTTGGGAGTGGGAGATGGAAATGCTGGTTCAGTGTAGTTGCTGGAGGAGGTCTGCCTCAGAAGCCACCATACACTGGCCTTGCAGGGCACCTATTTGTCCCAAATGAAGAGGACTTACAAGAATACATTTATGTGTCACCTGACACAGTGTTTAATTGTTAGATAAATGTTGGTAATTGTGAAGCAAACTCTAGTTATGGTGCTAACTATAACTCAGGTTATCGTGCTCTAGTCCTCTTTGAGTGGGTTATTGAAAGCACTTGAATTCTTATCTGCATGTTATTTGCATAAACTCATGTAGTAAGTTCAAAAGGCTGTAACTCCAAGAAAGCACAATTCAAGTAGATTAACTTAATTAGAACAATACCCTACAATTGAGTGCAAATCTCATATTCGAAGATCAATGCATTTGAAGAATATAACAGATTTGTAAACCACTGGATCCCATTCCAACTCATACACCACGATACACAACCTGCACAGAGCTGACAACAGGTGCCCTTTTTCTGACATCATGTCTCCTGTGGGCCATCAGGCACAGAAGAATATTTTTAAATGGTCTACCTTTCTCAGAAATGTTTATCTTCCAAGGCAGTTAATGTTCATCCAGTCCAATCTCTCCCTGATCCTGAGTGACCAGTGAGGGATCTAAGCCCAGAGAGAAAATCAATTTGTCCAAGATGACATAACCACCAGAGGCTGGCCCAGGACCAGAAAATGTCCCCTGGCCAGGCCCGCTTCTAATAATGGTGATGCGGGGGCTGGAATGGAACACTAGAGAAGGTTCACACACCCCAGGGATAGCCATCCAAATGTCACAACTCCCATTCTCCTCCCTCAACAATATACCTTCCTAACATCCCAGCAGGCCAGGTTAAATGCTATAAATCTTGCATTTCGCGGGGTATTCAGAATGTGATCCAGCCACAGGGGCATTGCAGGTGGCCCTGTAGATTCCTGTCCCCATGTGAGAGACACAGCCAGAAGAGTGCCAGAGTGAGGTCCTCCAAAGTGCAGCCCGAGCAGGACCCTGGCATCTAGCATTGAAGGAGGTTTCTTCTCTGGTCCTGACTCGCAGTCCTGCACGTCTTTCTGTCTTGCAATACACCCTTCCATACAATTCAGTGCACAGATGACTCTATTTTATTCTGATACTAATTATTATTCCTGACAAGGGAAAGAGTTCTTGGATCTCAGAAAAGAGCAAAAAAAAAAAAAAAAAGAGTAAGTTCTGATTCCCTTGGTGCATTCAGGTCTCAGTGCTTCCCTACATCTTCTCCTCTGTCACCGTGCAACCACATGCACATGCACACAGACACACACACGCACACACCTGGATGACCCTATAAGTAGGGTCAAGAATCCTCCAAGAGGCACAGGAATCACTCTTTCCTGCCATTTGTTTGTTTGTTTGTTTGTTTGGATTACCCAAAACTATACTGATTTGCATGTTGTTTTCATAAATTTGCATAGCACATTCAAGAGGCCCTCTCTCTTCAGCATCCCACACTGCTGTGGAAATGTGGCCAGTTTTCCCTGTGTTGCAAAGGCATACAAAGAAAAGCTTTATTTCTGCAAACATTTATTACAATGAAGCTTTTAAATGCTACAGAATATAGAAGGACTTTCTTTTAATTAAAGTACCAGTGTGAGGAGTTTTTATAAAGCCATCCTTTTCTTACTGTGGTCATTGGGCAGCTTGGCAGCATGAGAGTGGGTGGCCAAGGGAGGTGCAGAATGTCCTGCTCTGGGAGGGATGCATTTAAATGATCCATCTGGAACAGTCTCTAGAAATCATCTCAGCCCTGTCTGTCCTCTGAGCCTCTGAAATCCCGCTTGCCCTGTGGTTTGTGCCCCAGAACTCCCACGGTAATGTTGCCAGCAATGCTGGGCACCCCTGCCCATCTGGCTTGGCTCAGGGCTTCCTGGTCCACAAGTGAGGCTTGGAAAACTGTGTGAACTGTTGATGTGCCTTTTAGGTTTCATTTTTGGAATAATAAACACACTGTGCAGGACCACCTGATTCCAATCATTCAAAAGAAGTGGGAAAAAGGTTTTTTTTCAGCCTCATACATGAATGTGATATTATAACTCTTGTTGAAAATACGTCATATGTGTACAGCCCTCATAGTCTCTCCCATAACAGCCTTGCCTGTGTGCAGTCCTTCCCTCCCTACTCCTGCCTAATAAGTCATCCATTCACCTTTGCTGTGTTCCTCTTACCTTTTAACAATGGACATTGAATAGAAAGTCAAGAGAAAGGGGTAGAGGTTATACAACCCAATTCCTCATAGTTCTCCAGCTCTTGCACAAGGAATGGCCAAAAAAAGAAATGGAAGAGGCCTAGCATACTGCCTCACGCCTGTAATCCTAGCACTTTGGAAGGCTGAGGCAGGAAGGAAGATCACTTGAGCCCAGGAGTTCAAGACCAGGGAGGCAACATAGGGAGGTGCTGTCTCTACAAATAATAAAAGAAAAATGGCTGAGCACAGCGGCACATGCCTGTAGTCCCAGCTTCTCCAGAGGCCGAGATGGGAGGATCACTTGAGCCTGGGAGGTAGAGGCTTCAGCGAGCCATAATTGCCACTGCATGCCAGCCTGGGTGACAGAGCGAGATTCTGTCTCAAAAAGTAATAATAATAATTGAAGAAATGAAAGGTTTACCGACAGAAAGAGGGAAAGAACTGAAAAGAGAAGAAAAACAAAGAGACTGACCTTCCCCCAGGCCATGGCTATGGGAGTTGATATGGCTTGAGGTCATGAATCATGGTTTATTTCCAGTGGAGGACTGGGTAGACCACAGGCCTTCAAGCTGCCCTGGGAAACTCCTGGCACTGCCATTGAATGGCTGTGTGATCTTGGCCAACTTGTTTAGTCTTTCAATCTGAATTTCTGGATCTCTAAAGCTGGGATGATAATACTGCAACACCTCTGTTTACTCCACAGAGTAACAGAAAGGATTAATTTATTTAATGTGTTATTTTTGACAGAAACCTATGTTGGGCTTTCATGAGACTGCTTCCTTCATCCTTTACACTACTTATCACAAAGTAGCTATAAAAGGAGCTTGAATTCCAGTACATTTTTTGTTTCTTTTTTTAAAAAGTCAATCCACAAATATTTCTGGACATTCTACCGTGTGTTCAACCTGCACCATATAAACTGTGATATACAAAGGTACCAAATGTCCCCCATTCTAGGCGCCCCCAGGCCCAACTGCCCTCCTCCATGGCCGGCTGCTAAGGTCCCAGCAGGCTTCAAGGCTGAGACCATTGTGAGCAAACGTTAAGAGTGGCTCGCTCATGTTCAAGTCATTCACGTAAATTTTTTTTTTTTTTTTTTGAGACTGAGTCTCACTCCATGGCCCAGGCTGGAGTACAGTGGTGCAATCTCGGCTCACTGCAACCTCCGCCTCCCAGGTTCAAGCCATTCTCATGCCTTAGCCTCCCGAGTAGCTAGGATTACAGGCATGCATCTCGCATGCCCGGCTAATATTTGTATTTTTAGTAGAGACAGGGTTTCACCATGTTGGCCAGGCTGGTCTCAAACCTGACCTCAAGTGATCCGCCTGAATCCATCTCGCAAAGTGCTGGGATTACAGGCATGAGCCACCACGCCCCACCTCAAGTCATTCACGTGAATTTTTAATCTTTGTGAATGCACGCAAATCCATACAAATTTCAAGATAACATTTTCAATACCTAGACTATGATTCAAGTGATCTTGCCTGGTCTCCAACCATCACCATCCATGTGACCAGATTCAGTGAACACTTCTCTGCTCTCATCTTATTTGGCTGCTCAACCAATTTGTCCACTTCCTCTTTCCTGGAACACTCTCTTGGCTTTTCTCACACTGCTCTCACCCTTTCTTCACCTCAATGCATTTTTCCTTTTTCTCTCTCCTCTCTTGTCTTTACCCACCCCCACCCTCAGTTTTACATTGCTCATCACAAAGTAACTGTAAAAGGAGCTTGAACTTGAGTCTATCCTCTGAAGAGTTGATACTCCTCAGGGCTTAGTCCTACCCTCCTTCCTCCCTCCCTCCTTCCCTCCCTCCTTTCCACTCTTTCTCCTTCCCTTCTTTTCCTGTCTATACTTTTCCCCTATGTAATCTCATCATTTCCAATGTTTAATTCCATGATATACTAATGAGTGCCCAGTTTATAACTTCAGCTCATACTTCTCAGAGATCCATATTTACATATTCAACCACCTAGTTGACGTTCTTCACCTATCTCAGAAATTTCTCAGATTTAACATTTTTAACATTTTCAAAATAGAAACCTTGGTTTCTGATTCCCAAACCTGCCTTTGCTCCTCCACATATCTTCCATATACATCCACCCAGCACCCGGCACCAAACCATGGGATCACGTTTTGTTCTCCATTTCCCTCCACACCCAGCATCCGATCTATCAGCAAGTCCTTTCAAGTCAACCTGAAACATGTGTCATGAATCTGCCTCTCTCCCCCACTGCCATGCCAGTCCAAACCACCATCATTTCTCACCTGCTCCACTTTAACACTTCCCAACTTGTGTCTCTACTTGCACTGTGCCCCCCAACACAACTCAGTCCACTCTCCACACAGCAGGACTGTAAGTTATAACACAAATCAGATCAACATCAAATATAAATTGAATCGTGCCATTCCCCTGCTTCAAACTTTTAATGGCTTTCTAGTTCATGTGAATAAAATATAGTGTCTTTACCATAAGCTCAGCATGATCTAGTCTCCACCTATCTCCCCCACCTTATCTCATGCCAAGCTTTCCCCTTAATCAGTGATTTCTAGCCACACTGATCTTCTCTTAGTTCCCCAAACACATCCAACTCATTACTGATTCACGATCTTTGTATGCAGTAGTTTTTCCTACCTGTAGCCCTTCCTCCTTAAATTAGAATGCCATATCCTCAAGAGGCCTTCTCATAGAACCCTATCTGAAGACAATATCCCTCACACTTTCCTTACTTTCTGCATTGGCTCATTGTTTCTTTATTAAGCTTGTCATAAATTTAATTGTTTTTATTGAACAAGGTTCTGATAAAACTTGTTTCTTCTGTGTCTTTCAGTAAAATGTGAGCCCCATGAAGGCAAGAATGAATCATGTCTAACTTGTTCCCCATTATTGTATCCACACTGCTTAGCACGGAGGGAATGAATGAAGTAATGAAGATCAGATAATATTATCAAAAGTTTTCATAAGCCTGTTCCTCAAGCTGCAATACCAGTTTGGGACATACTTTAGCCATCTATTCCTGTGGAAACTTCTAAATAGCTGTCCTTGGTAGATGCAAGTCTCTTACACACCATAGTCTTACTGACGAAAATTAGATACCCTGGAAAATTACTAAAGTTGAAATGACACATGATTTCTAATTTGACTTTTCCAGGGAAACAGTGTTCTCAAATAGCTTTTCATAGAGCTAACCATTAGCCCAACATTTAACTAACTGAAACAGAATAACTATTGTCTAAACCAGGATACTTCTAAGAGTAAAAAGGTTTACTTTTCACTTTAAATAATTTAGGAACCATAGGTGTAAATTAAGACTATTCCAGGCAAATCAGGACAAGCCCTAACATTTAAAAATATTCTCTTTGACTATGTGGTTTATTCTTCCTAGAGCTTGCAATTAAACAAGTTAATATACTGGCAAATGATAAAATTATATTCAGATAATATGGCCTAATAACCTATTCCACAAAGTTCCTGCCTTTTTCTCCACAATGATGATCTATTTTGTATGACAACAAATCACCAGGTAAGGCAACACATTTTTAAATATGTTGGGATCCAAAAGAGTCTCTTTAGGGAGAATTTGATAGGCATCTTTGAGGGAATATTTGAAAGAGATTTGCAGTCCCTTGACAAATAACTTTTTGATAAATCAATAAATATCAAATATTTAGTAAATATTTAGTAATATTTAGTAAATTTAGTCAAAAACCAGAACCACAATGCAGTTCTCCTGATTCCCAGTTCAGTATGCAGTGATGTACAAATAAAATTCAGAATACAGTATCTTTAGAACAAAAATAATAGTTAATATTTACTGAGCCCTTATCATATGCTATATCTAATGTAAAATACACCTTACATTTCTAGGAAAATGAGTACTCAGAACAATATTCAGGGGTACCTAGTATTAATCTCATTTTGCATATAAGGGCCCAAAGTTTCAGAGGTTTTAACTAATTGCCTAAGATCACAAAATAGCGGCAAAGCCAAGATCACCCCCCAGATATGCCCTTCTCCAAAGCCCAGATTCTTAGCCATTGTTTACCTCTAAGACTGTTTATATTCCTGACTTCCTTTTCTGTTGCATTTCAGAGGTCTGGCTGCCATTCACACTGGGGTGCTCTTCTTCCACTTGGCAGGGTGCTACTTTACGTGCTATGATGGAACATTAACAAGGGTGTCTTTGACAAGTGCCCAGGGATTGCTACCGGTTGAGGCCTGCCTGTCTTGTACCTGCCTAGAGGCAATGAACCACACAGTGTTACAGCTGAAAGGGATCTTGGATATTCCCTGGTTCCACCTCCTGATTTTACACATGAGAAAATGAGAGAAGTGAATGGACTTGCCCAAGGTCACATAGCCTTGTAGTCAAAAGCCAGAACCACAATGCAGTTCTCCTGATGCCCAGTTCAGTGTGCAGTGATGTAGAAATAAAATTCAGAATACAGTATCTTTAGAACAATGATCTCATGTAAATATTTTATAGACTGTATGGTACATCTCATGTAAATATTTTATAGACTGTATGGTACATAATATACATTTAGGAAAACAGTGTAAATATTTTGTAGGCTGTGACATAATTGTCAAGTTTGGGATTAAATCCATGGTCCCAAAGCAATGCAGCACATGTATGGTACAAAACAATATGCTGGGGTCTGAGCAGCTGTCCCTAAACTGTGTTTGCATTTCCTAGAGTGGCAGAATTCAAACTGCATAGCCAGCTCTGAATTTGCACAACTGCTAGGGGAGTGCGGCCTGTGGAAAAAGAGCTAAGCAAAGGGATTGCACATCCCTAGGAGTTTCAGACTACCAAGAGGGTAAAGCCCTGGTCACACTAAAGGACCCAGATTGAAAAAGCAAGCTGTGGCCAGATATCCCAGTCCACTCTGGGATGCTGTAGTCTCACCAGTGGCCAGCTAGAGGCTGCTCCTTTAACCCAGTGTGAAAGTAAAGGTAACCATGCTGCAGCATTGGAGAAAGACCCAATGGCTCAGAACTGCTTGGGAGTATTCTTCTTTTCATCTTTTTTTAAATTTTTGTGGGCGCATAGTATTTGTCTATATTTACAGAGTACATGAGATGTTTTGATACAGGCATGTAATGTGAAACAATCACATCATGGAGACCAGGGTATCCATCCCCTCAAGCATTTATCCTTTGCATTACAAAAAATCCATTTACATTCTTTTAGTTATTTTTAAATGTACACTTAAGTTATTATTGACTGTAGTTGCCCTGTTGTGCTATTAAGTGGTAGGTCTTATTCATACTTTCTAACTGTCTTTTTGTACCTATTAACCATCCCCACCTCCCCACCCATTCTCCACTACTCTTGCCAGCCTCTGATAACCATCAGAAATTCTTGCCTAGACCAATGTCCTGGAGATTTTCCACAATGTTTACTGTAGAAGTTTCATAGTTTGAAGTCTTAGCTTTAAGTCTTTAATCCATTTTGATTTGAGTTTTCTACATGGCAAGAGATAGAGGTCTAGTTTCATTCTTCTGCATGTGGATATCCAGTTTTCCAACTACCATTTATTGAAGAGACTGTCTTTTCCCCAGTGAATGTTCTTGGCACTTTTACCGAAAATGGATTCACTGTAGGTGTGTGGATTTGTTCCAGGGTTCTCTATTCTGTTCTGTTGGTCTAAGTCTCTGTTTTTATGGCTAATGCATAAAAACATTTGGTTACTATAGCTCTGTAGTATAATTTTAAGTCAGGTAATGTGATTGCTCCAGTTCTGTTCTTTTTGCTCAGGATAATTTCAGCTATTCTCGGTCTTTTACGGTTCCATATGAATTTTAGGATTGTTATTTCTATTTCTGTGAGGAATGTCATTGGTATTTTGATAGGAATTGCAGTGAATCTGTAATAAAACCCATATATGACAGACTACAGCTAGTATCATACCAAATGGGGAAAAATTGAAAGCCTTTCCTCTAAGATCTGGAACACTACAAGGATGCTCACTGTTACCACTGCTATTCAACATAGTACTGGAAGTCCTATGCTTTGGGTAGTATGTGTTTCCACAACACAGCTATTTTGAATTCTGTCTGAAAGGTCACATATCTCTGTTTCTCCAGGATTAGTCACTGGTGCCTTATTTAATTTATTCAGGGAGGACATGTTTTCCCTGGATGCTAGTAGATGTTTTTGGTGTCTAGGCATTGAAGAGTTAGGTATTTAATGTAGTCTTCGCCGTCTGGAATTGTTTGTACCCAGTCTTCTTGGGAAGGCTTTCCAGGTATTTGAAAACACTTGGGTGTTGTGATCTAAGCTGTATCTGCCTTAGGTGGAACCCTAAGTCCAGTAATGCTGTGGTTCTTGCAGACTCGTAGAGGTACCTCCTTGGTAGTCTTAGACAAGATCTGGAGAATTCTCTGGATTACCAGACTCTTGTTCTCTTCCCTTACTTTCTCTCAGACAAATGAGGTCTCTTTCTTTTTTCTAAGCCACCTGAAGCTGGGGGTGGAGTAACACAAGCACCCCTGTGGCCATCAACACTATGACTGTGCTGGGTCAGACCTGTAGCCACCACAGTACTGGGTCTCACCCAAGGCCTGCTATAACCACTGCCTGGCTACTGCCTTTGTTTGCTGCAGGCCCTGGGACTCTCCAATCGGCAGGTGGCAAAGCCAGCCAGGCTTGTGTTCTTCCCTTCATGGCAGCAAGGTCCTGCAAGCCCTGGGTGGGTCCAGAAGTGCTGTCTAGAAGTCAGGGTCTAGAGTCAAAAATCTTAGACGTGTACCTGGTGTTCCAAAAGCAATGGCAACAAAAGCCAAAATTGACAAATGGGATCTAATTAAACTAAAGAGTTTCTGCACAGCAAAAGAAACTATCATCAGAGTGAAGAGGCAACCTACACAATGGGAGAAAATTTTTGCAATCTATCCATCTGACAAAGGGCTAATATCCAGAATCTACAAAGAACTTAAACAAATTTACAAGAAAAAAACAAACAACCCCATCAAAAAGTGGGCAAAGGATATGAACAGACACTTCTCTAAGAAGACATTTATGCAGCCAACAAACATATGAAAAAAAGCTCATCATCACTGGTCATTACTGAAATGCAAATCAAAACTACAATGAGATACCATCTCATGCCAGTTAGAATGGCGATCATTAAAAAGTCAGGAAACAACAGATGCTGGAGAGGATGTGGAGAAATAGGAATGCTTTTACACTGTTGGCAGGAGTGTAAATTAGTTCAACCATTGTGGAAGACAGTGTGGAGATTCCTCAAGGATCTAGAACCAGAAATACCATTTGACCCAGCAATTCTATTACTGGGCATATACCCAAAAGATTATAAATCATTCTACTATAAAGACACATGCACACAATATGTTTATTACAGCACTATTCACAACAGCAAAGACTTGGAACCAACCCAAATGTCCATCAATGATAGACTGGATTAAGAAAATGTGGCACATATACACCATGGAATACTATGCAGCCACAAAAAATGATGAGGTCATGTCCTTTGTAGGACATGATGAAGCTGGAAACCATCATTCTCAGCAAACTAACACAAGAACAGAAAACCAAACACCACATGTTCTCACTCATAAGTGGGAGTTGAACAATGAGAACACATGGACACAGGGAGGGCAACATCACACACTGGGGCCTGTCTTGGGGTGGGGAGCTAGGGGAGGGATAGCATTAGGAGAAATACCTAATGTAGGTGATGGATTGATGGGTGCAGCAAACCACCATGGCACGTGTATACCTATGTAACAAACCTGCACGTTCTGCACATGTATCCCAGAACTTAAAATATAATTAAAAAATTTTAAAAAGAGGTGTACCTTGTATTCTATTGCATTGCAGCTGAGCTGGCACTCAAACCACGAGACACAGTCCTTCCCACTTTTCTCTCCTCTTTCCAAAGGCAGAGGAGCCTCACCCCATAGCCACCACCACCACAGGCCACAGGGAGTACTGCCAGACTACCGCCTATGTTCCCTTAAGACCCAAGGGCTCTTCAGTCAGCTTGTGGTAAATACTGCCTGGCCTGGGACTCACCCTTCAGGGCAGTGGGTCCCCTCTGGTCCAGGGCAGGTCCAGAAATGCCATCCAAGAGCCAATCCTGGAATCAGGGACCCCAAGAATCTACTTGGTACTCTACTCCCCTGTGTTTGTGTTGGTACCTAAGGTGTAAGGCAAAGTTGCGTTTACTTTTCCTCATGCTTTTCTCAAGCGTAAGGAGTTTCACCCCATAGTCACCAAAGCTGGTAATGTGCTGAGTCTCACCTGAAGCCAACAAGTCTCAGAGGCTCACCCAAGGCCTTCAACGTAGTACATGGGAATCGCTGCTGGTTATTCAGGACCCAAGGTTTCTTCAGTTAGCAAGGGATGAATGTTGCCAGGACTGGGTCCTTTCCTTCAAGGCAGCATGTTTCCTTCTGGCTCAGGGTGTGTCTAGAAATGTCATCAATGAGCTAGGTCCTGGAACGGGGGCCTCATGACTCTGAGCAGTGCCCTATCCTGCTGTGGCTGAGCTGGTATCCAAGATGCAGGACAAAGTCCTCCCCACTCTTCCCTCGTCTCCTCAACCAGAAGGAAGGGACCTTTTTTGGAGTCACAAGCTGTGCAGCCTGGGGTTAGGGAAGGGGTAATGCCAGCATTCCCTTAGCCACCCCAGCTGGTGTGTCAGTAGGTTGTTTGCCCCCACCGTCCCCCAGTCCACTGTCTCTGGGCCTAGTTCAGCACTAGGACTTACTCAACAGTTACAGTCCTTGTGGGCCAGACTGCTTTCAAGTTTACTTAAAGACCCAGAGTACTTGATTCCTTGGTGGCAAGGTTTGTGGGAAATGGAATTCTGACCACTGTGATCCACAATTCCCCTCCGGCTAGGGCTGCTTTAAATGCTCCCCCCATGGGTGGGCATCAGCTGAGTTTGGACCAGTTTTCCTTTCTGCTCTAACAGGGCTGCATTAACTTCAGTGCCTCACAATTGCTTTGCTCCCCCTCCATTAATGTCCAGAGATGTTCTCTGAACCACCCTGTCACTGCTGAGTGGGAGCGAGGAGGGAGTGGTATCAGTGATTTAGGACTGTTTTTTCTACCATTTCAGTGCCTCTTTCAATGATGTGAACTTAAAACCAGGTACTAGGAGGGCTCACCTGATTTTTGGTTCTTATGAAGGTGATTTTTCACATAGATAGTTGTTAACTTGGTGCCCTTGCTGTGGGGATGATCAGTGGAGCTTTCTATTCTGCCATCTTGCTCTGCCTCTCTCCTGCTGACAGTATTCTTACTCTGGAAGAAATCCCCTTGCCTTACTTGTCCTTTACCCAGATCTTCTTTCTCCCTCATTCCTACTGCACTGGCCATTTCTCCATTGTTATAATGTTGGAGGGAAGTGGCCAAAAAGCATAGACAAATGGCCTTCAACAAAGAAAACAGTGTTTTATTGCTGTTAACAATTTGCAACTGAGTTCATCCTAGAACGGTAAAATGTATATCAAAAGAAACAGTAGAAACTTTTAATGACTGACAACCAGTCCGTCTCCTCCCCAAGTCCATATCATACTTCCTTCCTTGACTCTCACATTATTTCAACTTTTAACCATTGAAAGGGTATTCCTGCGGCCTGCACCCTACCCAGCTCCTGGTTCCCCATCTCCTTCTACTCTCAGCTGAGTCTTCCAAACACTCCCCTAAGAAACACCAGCCAATCTCAGGCTGTGAAACAAGCTGGTCCTTTCCCATCAGACATGGGAAGTCCACGTAGAACACACAGAGCCCAATGACATAAGCCCATCTTGCTGCTAATCCCCAAGTTTTAACCCCAGTCCATGCTGGTGGCTTGGCCTCTGCCCTCTTCCTGAGACCAAGGTCCTGCCTCCTACTCTTACTTCAGGAACCAAGCCCCTGTCTTGGTCTTTATGACTGGGTCTCTCTTGATAAACCATCATCAGGAACAGATCTAGGAATTTTTAGAGGCCTTAAGCACTCCAAATAGCATGTAATTCCTTCACTTTTCCATCCAATTTAAAATTCAAAATAAAAAATATTATATCATAAAGTTTTTGAAATGACAGAAAATTTACATAAATACTGATGTTAAAATAGCTTCTTCCTAGAGTTTCTGTCTCTCTTTGTGTATGTAAATATGTGCGTGCATGCACCAATGCTCTGCTGGGGCCTGACTGGGGCCCAGCTTCACCAGTCCTCATCCCTAACTCATAGTTTTCTTTTTCTTTCTAAACCCCAGAAACAAGGTCAAGCCTTGTGGCAGTTGACAGCAAGCATGCCTCCTGACTTGCCTCCTGTGACAGAGACTGGGCTATTCGAAACATATGCTTCCCTTCTGTCATATTCAGTTGTAAGTGGAAAGTGGCTGTCTGTCCCAGGATGCTTGCCTCCAGCTGTGGCCATGTAACTAGTTCTCCCCATCAGAATATGTGAATGCCATGTGTCTCTTCCAGGCCAAATATATAAAAGCAGGCGCACTTTCTCTGTTCTCTCTTTCTTCTTCCACTGGTTACATAAAGACAATAAGAAGGCCTTGGAGGGTAAGGGAGCCATAGATGGAGTGTCTTGCTCCCCAAATCATCCCATGTAGGAAAGCTTTAGCTGATGAGGAGAACCCAATTTGCTCTGAGATGTGGGAAGTGAACATCTATTGTGTTTGAGCCATTACCTACTTGAGGGTGCATTTGTTACAACACTTTAGCCTACCCTTACACTATCTAAATCTACACCTATCACCTGCTTTTAGACTTCTTTTTGCTTTGCTCCACAGTAATTACTTCTCAGAGTGTTGTACAAGCAGTACCGCCTTTGGAATCAGGCAAATCTGGTCCAGAGGTTTTGCTACTTCCAAGGAATATGACCTTGAGTAAATCACTTAATCTCTACAAATATAGACTTTAATCTCTAATATGAACATAATGACATAAATTTAAGTGAAGAACAAATAATGTATAATATAAAGTATATAAAGAGCCTATCAAAATGCCTACGTGATAGATACATAACAAATAGAGTTCTCTCCTCCCCCTTTCATTGGTCACTCCCATTAAATGAGGCCAATCTCCCAAACATCTACTGCCTTCCCAGATAACCACTTGTTGCTATTGGGATAATTATCTCCCTCTTTCTGATAAAACTTAGCCCATCAGTTTCAAGAAAGATGGAAATTAATGTATTAACAGATTTAAGATAATGTTCTCCAATCACCTTCCAGGCCTCAGTTGTCTTCCTCTCTCTCATGGCCTGACCATTTGCTTCAGGGTAATGAACCATGATTTTTGACAATACAGATATGATTCAACAAACATCTTAATATCAATTTGGGTGACAGCAGGGCTGTTGCCTGAAATGACAGATTTGAGGAATGGATCTGCCTCAGGTAAGTGGCACTGAGCTATGAACAGAAAATATCTCTGATGGTGCAGCATAACATGTAAAGAAGACTGCCACAACTGAGTTTTTCCCTTGTGCAACTGCTTCACTAACTTCAACTAGGGGGATCCTCATTAGTTGCTGAAGATCCCAATCCCCTTTGAGAAAGAAGTTTGTATATCTTTCTTGCAGTCTCCCGCACTGTGACTTGCCCAAAGGAATTACTAGTCCATAGAAGAGTCAGTTTCCAAATGAGAAAGAGGGAGAATTTGAAAACCCAGCCAAGCTTCTGATGCCATCATTTCTCACTACCACGTGGTGTGTTCCTGTTGATGATGGGGCCTGCACTGTGCCACAAAACACTCATTCCTTCAGCAGGGATACACTTGCTGGTCTAGACATCTGCACAAACAGATTAGCACCACACTCTGGTGGAAAAATACTCAACTAATAGTATTTGGGTCAATAGAGAAGTCTGGCCTTGGTTTTATATTACACCAGAACCAACTCACCCTCACCAAAAGAAGAGGAGGGTGAGGGAGAGAAGTTCTTATATTGAGCTAGTTTTCCTGTCTAGGCTACCTCCATCCTCCTAATAACATCTTTATTGGCGTCACTGGTTAATAGTATTGCCTGCTGGCCTCGTGTGCCTGTGTATCAGTGTATTCCCTCTCAGATCCAAAGTTACCCTCATTACCTGCTTAACAATAATGTAGCTGGACTCCGTGAATATTTCTCCCTCACTAAGCAAAACAACTTACCTTTCTCAGAAGAGGGCCCTGGAGAGACATTGGATCAGAAAATGTTTCTCCTCCTCGTTCTGGTGTCCTTTCTTGAGGCTCATGCAGCATGCATTTTTTTTTTTACAAATCCAGTTCCCATAGCATGCAGTTTCTGTAGCACCCAGCTCTTGCAGCACATAGCTTCAGCAACACTCTACTCCTACAGCATGCTATGGTCAGCAGCATATGGTAGCCAGTAGCACACACCACCTTCCTATGGGGAGCTTTCTTCCATAACCTCCCTTGGGTGGCTTCAGAGTGGAGTGATGGCAGTGGAGTGCTAGTACCTTCCCATTAAATGCTTCCCCAGGCATTTCAGAGACTATTTCTCAATGAGTGATGTGGTCTAGGCATCTTCCCTTAGAGGATTTAGCCCAGAACCCTGCAGAGTAGCTTTGCCATGAGTTCTAAGGCACAGTACCTCAGTGAACTTCTATACCATTCAATGAACCTGAGCTCTGCCCTCACCAATGAAGTCTGGATATCAGCTTTGTGGGGAAGAGGTGCCTCTCTCTGGGGCACTGTACCCCAGCTCTAGGAATAGTGGCTACTCCATATATGTTACTCTTGTATTCCTCAGCATTCTTTTTACCTCTTATTAACTAGACCCTCATTTCTCCAATCCTCTCTTGATAATTCTTTATATTGAATTTTCATTATTCAAATTACTGTATGTTTTATGTCTCAGGATTAGACCCTGATGGATATAAAATTGGTTCTAGGAATAGTTCCAACAGATAGGCCAGAAAAGATGGGATTTGGGTATTTATTTGGTCATGTCCTCAGACTTGAGTGCAGTAGTGAGCTCTTTGCCAAGGGAAATGGAATGTTAAGTAAAATGCAGCATGCAGTGAAATCATAACTAGTTAAATTAACACCTATGGTTGACTGGGATGGAGTGCCCATTAAAACAAGTGCCTTGGGAGCTCAGCTGGCTGCTACATTTGACCATAATGGCAGCAACGATGACTACAAGGACTGTGGTGCAGGATGGATATTTTTAAGTGTGCTTGAGTGCTTACAGAAAGAAAACAACAAACTCAGATTCTTTAAGCCCCAGTTCAAGTTAAAATCTGAGAACTAGAAAGCCTTCATGATATAATCCTTGAAGCCATGGTACTAACAGTAATGAAAGACAAACAAAATTTAGTTGTTCATGTTACTTAATTACAACAAGAATTCATAGTCTCACCAAGTGTCTCATGAAAGTCAGGGCATCTAATGAGAAAGATGGGACATGGAACTTGGAATAGGGATATCTGCTTGGACCCAGATGAAACTGACAATCCTGAACTCCCAAGTCCCTTCAGCCACCCTTATCAGTGGAAGTAGCTTGCCCTCTGGTGTTTGAGAAAACTAGCCTTTCTTTGCTTAAAATCATGTGCTAACTTCACTTGAGGCAGATGTCTTGGAAAGGGATCCTCATTCTCTTCAAGACCCACCACAGACCCCCTCATTGTCATTAGACCCACAACTGGGGTTAAATCTCAGCATGTTCCAGGGGCACAGATCCACACTGTGACCCATGAAGAAATAGTTTACACACCAAAATAATTACAATAATGTTCAATAATATATGGGAATGTATTAAAAAACATGTGTGGGTATGCATTATAAGGATGTTTGACCAGGAGGATGGAATACCCCACTAAAACAGGTTAAATTCATTGATATGACTGAATTTGCTAAAGATTCCAGATTTATAATGTGTCTTTTTGTGCTGAAAGTAGGTATAACACCTTGCTTCATTGGTTAACTGAAATATGGGATCAGCAGTGCCCTACAGTTGATAATATTGAGATGCCAGAGCTGCCCCAGTGTGATGTAGAAGAGGGAATTCAAACACTTAGGGAGATAGGAATGTTAAGTACCATTTATCATGCATACCCACTCCCAACTATATTCCACAAGAAGGCCAAGGGAGCACTTTCTTCACTAACAATGAGAAATAAATTAGTAAGGGGAGCATCCACATCATTGAAAAGCTGTATGGTTTTTCTGTCCTGTAGGCTAGGTATGACTGTGTGGATGCCATCATTGAGATGAGTTCCTTGATTTCAATAGGGATGATGAGATCCTGGGGTAGCAACTGCCAAAGACGAATTGGGTCCATCTTCCTTAAAGGGCTGCAGAGACACAATAGTAATCAGAATGTTTTGACCCACAAAGATCTTTGGACATAGCTAGTTATAACAACGTCCTGAGGAAGGAAATAGATGAGAAGTCTATTAGGTTATTGCTTGAGCTATGTAACTGGAAAAAAATCTAAGTCTGGCACCCAAAAACTTGATTGTAATGCCAAAATGGTGAGTCACAGCCTTACTCCCAGATTACATAGCTAATTCAGCTCACAAACCCAGAGCCCCTTGATTGAAGGAGAAGCTAGATCCCCTTGAAGGACTCTTTGCCATTACCACAAATATATACCATAAATCTTCCTACAAGCCTTCCCCCAAAAGATTGCTGCCATTTGCCAGAGTGATTACTCACCGGGAAAAGTCAATACCCAGACCTTTCAGGGACTGCTAGATACTAGCGTTGATCTGATGCTAATTCTTGGGGACCCAAAATGCCACCATGTCTCTGTAAGTGAGGCCTTGCTGTGGTCAGGTGACAGATGGAGTCTAAGCTCCAATCTGACCCACTTGTAGGCCCCACAGTGTGGTTGTTTTTCCAGGTCCTTAGTGTATAATTAGGGAAGGCATATTTGTCAACTATGAAAAACTCTACCTAGGTTCTCTTATCCATGACATGAAGGCCATAATACTGAAGGGTTAAGAGGAAACCCTTGAAACTTTGCCTTCCTCCCAAGAGAGTAAACCAGAAGTAATGCTGTATCCCTGGGAAAGGTGCAGAGATGAACACCACCATTAAAAACTTGAAAGAAGCAGAAGTGGTGGTACCCAACATATCCCCACACTTTGGCCCGTGTAAGTCAGACAAAACATGAAGAAAGACCGTGGACTATTGTTCACTTAACCGGGTGGTGACCCTAATTGCAACTGTTATCTAAAACCTACTTTTTATTATTCATATAAAAATATTATTATTATTCAAAATGTAATATATTTGCTTGAACAAACCAATTCAGACTCTGGCACTTGATACACAGCTATTGACCTTTCTATTTTTTCCTCAGATGTTGCATGTGATGCCTGGAGGTATGCCAGCTATTTTGAAATCCTGAAGATAAAAGCAACAATAAGGAAAGCAGAACAGGAAGGTTAACAGAGCCTGGGTTTTTGATCATGTCATTTATCCACCATACTAGCCCTGATTGGCTCAACCCCTCAACTTCTCATTGAGAAATAAACCTATTACTTATATATAGTTGTTTTCTGTTACTTGATGGTGAATGCAATTATAACTGACACAAAACTTCAAGAACAGAAGGCAAAAAGAGATTTCTCAAACTAAAAGGAAGATGGCTTGGCAATTTGCAGGTTCTATCAGTATAAGAGACACACACTTAGCTCCTTCCTACAGCTCCAGAAAGATAGAAAGATCTCCAGAAGAATACTTCCCCTATTAATCCCAAACGTGACAAGGATTCTTGACTCAAGTACTTAACACAGAAGCAGCTAAGCTATTTGCCTTTAAGAGGCTATGAGGTTTTGACGAGGAATGCATTAGCCAGATGACAATTACTTATGGAATACTTAGGTGGCCAGTATAGACTGAGGACCAGAAAACCTTCGCCGATGTTCCACACTGCCTGGGACCCACGGGGTCTTAAATGTCCACTGAGAAGGGAGGGAGCTCCAATAGGGATGGAATTTTCTGTCAGAGGAGTAGGATGAGGGCTCAAATTCATAATTAGAAAACTAAAGACATGTTATGTTTATTGCACAGCTGAACATGTGGAATAAAATTCATAACTATTATGACCATAAAGTAAAAATATAAATTCCTATTTATCTTTAATTCCCATTTCTGACAAAATGCTTCTAGTATTTTTCTGTTTGACATGATCAAGAAATCATTAAAATATAGTCCTCAGAATCCTAGAAATTAAGCTTTATATGGAGCACATGAAACTACCAAGCCTTACAGAAATTTTAACTTTAAAAAGATCTTTTCTACAGCCTCCTATATCCCCCAAACTTGTCACTCAGCACAAGCTGCAAGGAGATAAGTTATGAGATCTTAGTATTCTACTCTTCACCTGTAAGAATTCTGAAATAAACCATAACACAGTCGCATCTTACTTTTATATATCAGTATAATTTAAATATGTATTTATGCCAACAAACTACATATGTTATTCAGAAGTCACTTGAATACACTTCAAAATTGAGAGAGGCAGACATTTGTATTTCATGATTGTGTACCTAAATGCACACAGGCATCAGTTCTCTCTCTGAAGAATGAGTAGAAATTCCACAGGTCTTGGCAGCTTCATCTTTTGGGGGTTACCATTCCCTCCCCTGCCTCGGGTGAGTAAGACCTTTTCTGGTTTCTGTAGTGTAGTCAACTCTTGTTTGTATCCAGAATTAACTAGTTTGTGGATTAACCATGGGGAAAAAATTATAACTAGTAGATTAATTTTTAAAATGCAGCAATGTATGTCAACAAAAATATCTACATTTTAAAAGAGGCCAACTGCTTGAAACTACATACTAACAATGCAGGGCCACTCCTATCCCAGCCAACTGTAAACAGTCTTATCTGCTTGAAACCCCATGTTTACATCCTGCATATGGAAGGAAGAAGTACAAAGTCTTACCAGCAGTCTTGAGAATTCTGGTCAGTTTTAAACACATTGGTGCACAGTCCCTTTCTTTTAACTTTTTAGGGCAGCCAGAGGGTTCTTAGCCTGCTCCTCAAATGTTATATGATTTTAGTCTAGGATTAGAGAGAAAGAAGGGAGGTATGCTTTTCAGAACAAAACTCAAATTTTTTTGCAAAAAATCCAGGACCTGAAGCTTTTAATTTAGTGCAGGCACATGGAGGGACCAAGGTTGCAAAGAGCGAGGGGGCACATGAAGAATGGGAAGGAAAAGCCACTGAAGGAGCCGACATTAAGAAGTTGGGTAATTTAACTTCAGAGCTGTGTGGTTTGACGGTGATGCATGTGACCTGGGGTGTGAGACACTGAGGGATGACAAGATGGTGAGGTCGCCTTGTGGAGAGGAGGTGAGTGATCGCAGCAGTGCAGGGTAGAGGCTGCTAGCAAAATATGAACACGCTAGGGCTGCACTTTATCACCTAGACCATCTGCTGGATGCTTTAGGAAGCGGAGGACCATTTGCTAAGTGACAAACTGATGTCACTTTATTCTAATATTCAACAAAAGAAGAACTCCGCCAAGCAGCAGACAGTAACAACAGACTATTTTGCCACTTTTCATCAAGCAATTTGTGTGATGTTTTGAGTCCCTTAAGTATTATTCTTGCATTATGTTTATACTTTGATAATATCTGTAGAACAGGAAATGTGTCCCTAAATATTAGATGTCATTTTAAGTAAATTGTCGTTCATTAAATCCATTGTTGACACTGTTTTGCCTGAGTTTGCTTAGCTGCTTCTGAGGCTTCTCCATAACTCCTCCCACCTTTCTTGCTCTTATCCTCTCATGCACATTATCATAAACACCCAACAACTGATAGACCATGAGTACATCTCACAACGGTGCCCGTGACTTTGACTTCACATTAGAGCTGGGCATCTGGAGCTTCAGACTGGTGGTCTGCACATCTCAAAACAGAAGCCAAGTCCTTAGAAATTCCACAGGACTTGTACATGCTGTATTTTTTGTCTTTGAGAAATATATGCTTACTCTGCTATAAATGAAGAATATTGCTTCAGAAGAAGACGGCTTTTCCTCTGTATTCTGATTGATATTACTGTTGACCACACATATTTTTACACCACATATACACACACACACACACACACACTTCCACACTTCTAAATGGTCATTTCTTTTTTTTTTTTTTTTCAGATGGAGTCTCACTCTGTTGCCCAGGCTGGAGTGCAGTGATGTGATCTCGGCTCACTGCAAGCTCTGCCTCCCGGGTTCACGCAATTCTCCTGCCTCAGCCTCCTGAGCAGCTGGGACTGCAGGTGCCCGCCACCACGCCCAGCTAATTTTTTGCATTTTTAGTAGAGACGGGGTTTCCCTGTGTTAACCAGGATGTTCTCGATCTCCTGACCTCGTGATCCACCTTCCTTGGCCTCCCAAAGTGCTGGAATTACAGGTGTGAGCCACCGCGCCTGGCCTCTAAATGGTAATTTCTTATGCAAGATGCTTTGCCCTGACCTTCTCTACTTTTACTATTGTCTTTGTCACTGAAACATCTATGTGTAGCTTATAATAGCAGATTTACAAGTGATTTAAAGATAAACTGTTATGTTTAAGCAAATGCACACTCTTTTTCTTAAAATTTAGATTTCTAGTTCTCAAGCAAATTGGTACAACTGTCAGAGCTTGTTGAGATTAATGCAATTAAAAACTTCCTGCAGACAGGCTATTCAAACATACTGCTTTGAGACAGACTCCTAGCTGTGTGGGCTACTGGACACTTGTGCTTTCTTATGGAAAGCTCCATGATGGAGCCACACTGCACCTGCACCACACAGCCCAACAACATCATGGTAATACCATGGTGAAGACAGCAGAGATCGGCCTTGGGAAAAATGCTGCTAAAACTATATTTACTGATTATTGAGAAAAGACACCCAGAGCCACCTCCCACCAAGCACCCCTAGCTCAGGCTGAGAATCCCTGCAAATGCCACCCAGTCCCAAGACAGCCTCCTCTGACCTGCTGAGAAAAACCACAGGACTTATTGATTTCTGAATGATCAATCAAGTTCCTTGATATCAGGAGAAATATTGTTTTAACAGTTCCTGGACTTCATTCTAGTGGGTTGTGGAAAGCCTACTTTTTCAAAGATAGCCCTTCTAACTTAACCAACACCTTATACCCTTGTATCTATAGGTCTTCTACAACCTGGCCAGGCCAGAGCCTGGGGTCTGAACAGATCTACAGATAATTCCTGTGTTCTACCGACTACACACTAGACTGTGAGTTCCTTGAGTTCAAGGACTGGTTTATTCATCTTTGTAGTCAGACACAAATATTTTATATGTGTATACTATAAAATATAGCGTATGTATATGGTATATAGTAGATTCTCAATAAGTATTTGCACAAGTTAAATGTTGACTCTCTTGGCAAGAACTTTATACCTGGGAATTATGGTTGAGCAATTAAGTTAGAAGTGACTTGTAACAATATATCAATTTTAATTCATCCAACGTTAGTTGTGTTCAAATTTGTGTGTTATAACCTGGGTATATAGTATGATTAAAATTAGCTTTGGTCCTAAACACTATAATTCATTTGAGGAATGTGTCATCTTACCAAGTCAAATTCATGGACATTGTAGTAAGTAGTAAATATGAGTACCACAAGTGTGAGCAACATGAGGGAGGGACACTTAGCTATTGAGACCAAATAAATGCCATTTGGGTGAGTCAGAAAGTGCTGGTGAAGTGTGCTTCATTATGAATATCATTTGCATGAAGATCCTGCAATATGTCATCTAAAATTCCCCAATTCCGATTTTGAAACACTAATAATAGCTAATATTCTTTGAGTCCATTCTACAAGCCAGGCATCATACTAGGCTGCTTTGGGAGCACATGTTACTAACCCCCCAGAGAATCCCTATGAAGGAGATATTATCACCATTTTCATTTTACAGATGGAGAAGGTAGGTAACGGAGGGATTAATGAACACGCCCAGTGTTACATAGCTAGCAAGTGGCTGAGCTGGAATTTAAATTTAGTGACCTAACTCCCTTACCAATGTGCTCATAGTTACTAGGTGGGCCTAGTAACACAGCTCTGCAATATCCTTGAATAGCCTGGCTTCCTCAGGCTTTTGATTTCATTTACAAGATTGAGATTATTGAGTGATGAGTTATAGGACTGGTAAAAAGCTGAATTCCAACAGTCTCACATATGGAATGTCTTAGCTTTAGAAGAAGTAGGAATATGGGAAGATAGGGTGATGGTAACTTCTACAAAGTGCTTTCAGCTGAAAGCCTGAATAGGTCTCCTACTCCCTCTGCTTCTGCCTACTTCCAGAGAAACCTCTTAGCTTAAGAACTACAGGGATCAGTAAAAAGATAAAACTCTTCCGAATTGGCCACAAGTGTGGGTCTGTTTCAGGACCAAGATCTGGTCTGTATTCCGTTGCTTATCAGTAATCCTCTAAAGTGGATTTACCCTAACTGCGGTTGTTTGGTACCTCGTTCTCTGTGCTAGATACTTATCTGGGGGGAAGAGATCCTCAACAACACTATTCTTTATTGCACAGGTCAGCAAACTTTCCTATAAAGAACTCTATAGTAAATATTCTAGGCATCGTAGTCCATGAGGTCTCTGTCATAACTACTCAACTCTGCAGTTACAGAGCAAAAGCAGCCATAGACAATTTGTAAACAAACGAGCATGAGGGCTGGGTTCTAATGAAACTTCATGAATGAAAACCGCATTTTGAATATCATATACTTTTCAGGTGTTCTGAATTACTACTCTTTTTTTGGATTTTTCTCCAGCCATTCAAAAATGTAAAAGCCATTCTTAGCATGTTGGCCATACCAACCATCCCAAGGTTTCAGAATACCAGCAACTTATTTGCACACATGGGAACCCCTCTTTGCAAAGTCTACTCAGCTCTCCCAAAGGCCATATAACCCATCTTGAGGCACAGTGTTTGGCACATAGGACATGTTGGAGGAGGAGGAACTTACCATCACTCTTCTTTCTGTGCTACAGTGAGCATCTCTATTAGAGGGGACATCCTGGACTGAGGTTAGCAGAGTAGTTTGTGGTAGGAAGAAATGCTCCCCGCACCAATCACTGTAGTCAGTATCCCTGAAAAGTAGGAATCACAGGTTGCTCATCTGTCAGATTAGGTTTCCATGAATCACAGATTATATTAATGAGCATCTTTGCAAAAGCTCCCTGTACTATTTGCCAAGAAATAATCTTCACCCTGACAATAGCAATTAGCAATAAATGTTCTTTCTCCTTCCTTTTAAAAAATTGGGGTTTGAAACTGATGTTTTATAGGTTAGTTATCTTTTTCTGAAAACAAAGGTGGATGCGGGTGATCTATATGTTCATCTCAAGTTTTCCCTTACAGTCTCTGAGAACTCCAGCCTATGTTTTCAGGTGGTTGTGAAGAAGAAGGAAGCTTCTTGTTTCTCCTTTCTTAGTAAAAGCCGAAGAGATAAGATTCAAAAGCATTAGAGAGAGGCTATTAACTATGTTGGTGCCTGCCCACAGGTCCATCCTTACCAACTTAGGGCATGAAACCAGCTGATTTTCAACTGCCAGGACTGACCTCTTTTTGTCTGAGGGGTCCTTGGCACCCTGGCACACTGGTACTGAAGCATTTTGTCCACCACTGCAGCAGACTAGAAATGCTAGAGAATCATTGCCCTCCCAGAAACAGCCCTCGACCGACTAGCAGGGATTGATGTATAAATATCCCAACTTCCTCACTCCTTAGATGGGATAATGCTGAGGCCAATGTCTTACACTGGCACCCAGGGTAAAGTTTCCATTGCCCCGGATAACTGGATTGATAGTGCACCCTTTATAACCCTATAATCAGCCTACTAGTTGGTTGTGAAATGTGGCCAAGGACAGTGGCTCCCTCAGTCCACTTCACGACATCCCAACATACGAGGGGAAGGAGGAACCAACAAATCCCAAACATCCAGAAAACCTTCTAGAGAAGGACGTATATTCTGCACAAAACCCACAAGGCCCGACACAATCTCAGCCTCCATGTCCTCTCTAACCTCACCTCCTCTGGCTCTTTACTTGGATGGCTCCATTCCAGCCATTCTGTCTTCTTGGCTGTTCCCAAAATATGCATGGCATAGTCCTGCCCCAAGGCTTTTGTTCTTGCTGTTGCCCTGTCTAGAACACCCTACCCCAGGTATCAGCATGGCTCCCTCCCTCACCTCCTTCCACAAGACTTTGTTCCAGTGTTACCCTCTTACTGAGGCCTTCCTGGACCACCTATGCAAAATTGCCACCATCCCACCCTAACACCCCCATTCCCCGGCTCAGCTTCATTTTTCTCCACAGCACTTACTGCTGTCCAGCTTGGCCTGCCCCAGGCTTGTCTCAGAAATTTGGTAGGCAGTGAGAAGAGCTTATATTTAGTGGGTTGCTTTTTGTTTTTAACTTTCACTAATTCTACACTATTTTTGCTTCAGGCTTTTAATTGCCTATTTAACTCAATACATTTATACACAGAGAAATTACCTTGAAACTGTTCTAGGAGGTTCTTTACAGGAAAGTTTAGACTCCAATAGAACCATTGACTTTTGTAACCTGTGTTTGAGTCCCAGCCACTTAGTAATGTGTGGACTTGAGCAAGTTCCTGACCCTCAGTTTCTGTATCTTTAAAATGGGGGCACTAATACCCACTTTGCAGTATTTTTGTAAAGATTAAATGAGATACAATAGTAAAGTGTGCTTAGCAAGTGGGCACATAGCAGGCACCCACTCAATGGCAGCTATTTTTATTATTGTTTAAAGTCATTTTGAAAAGGTGGCCCTGGCCTTTGAAACTCTGCTGTCTCTTGAAGATCATCACGGGACACAGCAGAGAGTTCAAATCTCTTCTCAAATCCTAAAGTCTTGACAAGAACCACTGAGCATTCTTTTACCTCTAAAAAACTATCAACCTAGGTGTCCAATAACAGATGACTGCATAAAAACCTGTGGGATAAATACACAGTGGAATACTCTTCAGCCATTAAAAAAAAAAAGGAATGAAATCCTGTCATTCCACAGCAACGTGGATGGAACTGGAGGATATTATGTTAAGTGAAATAAGCCAGGAACAAAAAGTTAAACACTGCATGTTCTCACTCATATGTGGAAGCTGAAAAAAAGTTGATCTCATACAAGTGAAAAGTAGAACAGAGGATACTAGGGGCTGGGAAGAGTAGAGGAAGGAAGGGATAAGGAGAGACTTATTAAAGGATACAAAATTACAGATAGGAAGAGTAAGTTTCAGGGTTCCATAGCATGGTAGGATGACTGTAGTTAACAATAATATATTAGATGGTTTCTAAACACTAAAAGGAGGATACTGAATGTCCCCAACACAAAAAAATGATAAATGTTTGAGATGATAGATATGCTAATTACCCTGATCTGATCACTATACATTATATGATCGAAACATTACTATGCTACATACCCCATGAATAATAGCACAATTATTATATTTCAATTAAAAAATTTAAAAAATTTTAAAAGATTATCAATACACTTGTGATAAAGAGAGTCATGCAAAATAGGGCAACATCCAGGGTTAAATTCTGTGGTGTGGATCCTCATGGGCTGCCAAGTAGCTCAGCAGAGGGGAAGCTTGAGAGAGCTGGACCACCCACAGAAGATGTCAAACAAGAGGGAGGAATTGCTTTGGGTCTTAAAAGATGGGCCAGACTTCATGGCAAAGAACAGTGTGGATAACATTCCAACTGAGGCAGAAGTGAGCATAATGAACTCAGGACAGGCAGTGTGGGGGTCAAGGATGCAGGGACCCCAAGGTTGAACCCATAGGACTGGGGAGGACCCAGAAGGTCAGAAATAGGAGTTTGTGACCAACCGAGAGGTGATTTGAGGTCAAAATCCATTTGAATAATGCGAGTCAGATAGCTGAAAAGGACCCAATTTGCCATCTGCCATTGTATCAAGGAATTTTTGGCCTTTCAAGCACCAAACTCTCCCTCTTTTGCCCTTTACTTCCCACATCCACTTTCTCTTTCCCTCTCCCACCCCCAGCCGCCGCGGAGCCTATATTGAAACAATGTGTACTGATTTGGTAAGATTCATTTATTTCCCCGTTTTTATTCGTCAGAAATACTGAGTTGTCCATTATGGCTTTGGGTAAACATGAGATGACCAGTGTTTTTGTACCAAGCTAATATACTTGTAACCAGGAGCCTCTAGGAGGCTGCACAGAACCCACCTCAGAGTTGTCCCACCAAAGGGTGAGGAAATTGGAATATTTATCTACCTGCTTTCCTCTGTCATTTGTGAGGGCTGCTTCTAAGGGTGTTCACTTCTGGCCTTTTCCAGGTGAGCTGAGAAAGTTCCCAACCTGTGAATGCTCGATGGAAGTTGCAGGCGTCTGTAGAAGAAAGCTGCTGCCTTGTAAGGGAGTGGTGAAAGCCAAGCAATATGAACAGGACATCAGAAGCTCCTACTATTCCTGGTGTCTCTAACAATTTGACTTTTCCCAGCATTGTCACCTTGGAGCCACAGTAATGTCCCATCAGAAGAGCTCAATCAGAGGAACACCAATGCAAACTCACAAGCGGTACTGCCAAGCTCAGAAGGAACCTTTAAGTCTGGACTGCTCCCCACTCCATGTTCCTGCTTAGCCTTCAGGTCTTTCTGTTGCTTGCTTTCTGTGGCTTCTTGTTTGTTGACACTCCTGAAGCCGTGCTTCCTTTTTAAATGGCATTTTAACACCAATGTCCCCAGATAGCCATGGTACTCCCCTCGGCTGGAATATGCAGGGTGTATGGGGTGGAAAATTGTTGCAACTTAAATTAGAAGCATGAAAACAATGCAGGAAAATTCCATCTGAGGCTGTGTCTCTTGCTTAGTAGAAATCTCAGCTTTCAGAAGAACTGATGCTCGTTTTGGTGAGCCAGTGGTGGCAAAGGTTTCACTCTGATTTCACTTTCATTGCCTTTGGAAGGTCTTAGTCAGCATCTTGCCTCTGCTCAAAGACTCAAACCAAGAGTGCGATGAGGGTTAACTGCACAGTGTCATATTTGTGTCACGACAGATCGATGAGCTCATGGTTAATTCGTTGACTGTCTGTTTCAAGCAGCCCTTTGGTTCATCTGTTCCACTCTACCAGCCAGGCTCTGCCTTGCTTCTCCTACGACAGTTACTTGGACTCTGGTTTCAACTGCTGATCATGATAAGGATTCTAGTACAGAGGATTCTCTGGCTGTTCCATATGCATTCGTTATTATTATTCAATCACATTACTGTTTATTTTTACTCTCCACTTACTTAACTCAGATGAATTGGGAGAGGTTGGTAGAGCATCCTCAAAGTTACTTCCATCCCCACCTATCGCCCTTTCTTGGCTAGGCAAGTGATCTTTGATATCTAATTTATACCATTAAATACATGAAAGTAGAAAAATGAAATAAAACCAGTATTTATATCTTCCATTCAATATTCTACCTACAAGAATTTAAAAAGTCTGAAACACAAATGTATCTAAGAGACAACTATACTATTTTGAAATGTCTTTATAATTTAATAAATTATGGGCTTCAGTAGCTTAACTGAGATATACACTCCTCCCTAATTCCTTCTATTTCCTATATGTCCTGTCCCAGAAATGCCACCCCAATGATACTACTATGTTCGATTCCCCACATGCTTTGTCTGCATGTTACCGAAGTCTTCAAGTCACTTCCTCTAACTTGAATACCTACTCCCAATTTGACTCCTCATTGTGGCCTCCTCGTTCACAACACTTCTACCTAATCTCTAGGTAGGCAACACAGAAGAGAGGTTGAAGATGTGCATTGGACTGAGATAAAACTTAGGTTAGACAGCACTAGGTTCAAATCACAGCTTTGCTGTTTGTTAGCTGCATGACCTTAAACCAGTTACTGAAAACGCTGAGCCTCAGTTTTTTCATCTATAAAATGAGACCAAATGACCCATTTATTTATTTACTATTTCCTATCTCCTAATCTCCATGCACATTCCAAAGGAGTTCTAATGTTTTCCATCTTTGGCATTAAATCAAAGATCTTACTTATTTTAGTTGTGAATGTAAACAAAAAGTTAATATCATAAAATAGGTGCTCTGACAGTCATCACTTAAGAGGAATTTGTATACTTCATGCTAAAAAGAATCAGTTTCCAAAGCAAATGCTGGTCTTCTTACTGATCATGTGCCTTGTCTTTACTTATTCTAGAAATCCCAATCAATTGACGGTTTAAGAATAAAATGTTCTACAACTTACATGGAATATATATATATACATACACACACACACACACACACATACATATATGCACGTATGTGTGTGTGTGTGTATATATATATATATATATTCATATATTCCTACTTCACAGAACTAGTCAAGACCACAAGAGGTTCAGTATCTACAAGCAATACTAGAAAAACTTGGGTAGGCCAGTCCATTCACTAGGATACCATACAGCCAGCAAAGGAGGAAGAGACCTGTTTGTTTCGGAAACTCCTGCTCCCTAAGGAACTACCAAGTCGAGGTGAAGGGAAGAACCACAGTTGTGTGTAGCAATAGCATGGTAATGAATCTAGCCTTTGACACTGACCCCAAGTTTGTGGACTAGCTGAGGTTATGAGCCCCTCTGGGTTCCTTCTTGAGCCCGGTTCTGGGTTTTCCTACCATAAAGGTCTTCAGAGCAGCCATTGCATCACCTGACACTATTTTTCATGGAGGCCCTAATCTGTAGTCAGAGATGCAACAACTCCACCATCTATTGGGGCCCTATTGGGTGCAACGAGTTGTACAGGTGCTTATGTAAAATTATGGTTCTCATCATTTTCACATCATGGTCTATGTAGAAAGTGGCAATATTTTCACAGCACTCTGGTATAAATGGATGAAGCTGCCTGGCTGGGGAAGACTGGCTCAGAGTTCCAGCCACTCTAGGCAGGAGTTTTGAAGGCTGAAAGGACAACATCTCAACTCACCTTCTTCTCTTGTACAATAAAAAAGTGTGTCATGGTTCTGATAGAGTACCTTATTTACTCCCCACAGTAACACTTGGAGGCAAACGTTATTATCTATGAGTTGCTTCTCAAGTTCACACATTTAGTAAATGGTAAAGCCAGGATATGAATCTGGATCTGCTTGATTCCAAGCTGCATTGCATCTACCATGAATTGACCTGCTTTTATAGCTGCCAGTGCTGACCTGGGCAGTCTTGGAGATGTAGATGATGGTCTTGGTAAAATGGGGGAGGACATGGGTTTTGAGAGTCAGGCTAGTTCCTAGGTCAGGCATCAAGGAGACCTTAGCCAAAAAGTAAATGCCACTGCTTTTTATGGAGGGCCACGGTCTTTCAGGGGCAGAAAGAAAACAAATAAAAGAACAGATATCCAATGTTACAATTCTTTGTCCCCGATTACTCAGTATTGCCCAGAGGTCATTAGAGTGACTTCATCTAATGCCCATGTCAAAACAACATGTGCCATCACCTGTCAACCAGCGTCCTAATATCCCAGCATCCCAGATACCTTGATAATCTTCTAGCTCAGAACAACTGAAAAAAAAAAAGTGTATTGGTAAAAACTTGCAGCCACTGGTGTGTTTAACCTTGGATGTGTTTGAGAATAATCTGGTATGCTTCTGCTTCTGGTTTTATAATTTTTTTAACCCAAAGTATAGACATTCAGCTTTAATTGGCAACAAAAAAGTAATGGACCTCACCCACATTCTCCCCCAGCCAGCTGAAAAGAGAATACCAAATATTAGATCTTTTTATTTGACTTCTGGGATTATTTATGCATAGTATAATTACCATGATGTATGATCCTGAGTCTTTTAAGGGCACCTCTCCCGTAGCCATAATTTCTTTCCTCCTTGTGGCTCGGGTACAGCTAACACAATTAACTGGGCACTGACTGGTGCTCCCTAGGGCGATTTCAATCCCTGCCTGGCTTCATTCCCTGTTGTAGAGCTTGACAGGGCCATTCATATGTGACTTGGAGTGAGACTCTCTTCACTTACACTTCTTCAGGGGGTAACTGAATTTCTTCTGGAGCAGGTTTGCTGGTTATGTAGAGAGATATGGGTAAGGCACAAGCAAGTGCACATTTCTCTCTGAACTTTAAAAAAAGCCATAGATTTCAAAAGAAAATGTGCTATTATTATTAATTTTTAGATGGAGTGAGACTCTTTCACCCAGGCTGGAGTGCAGTGGTGCGATCTTGGCTCACTGCAACCTCTGCCTCCAGGGTTCAAGCAATTCTCCTGCCTCAGCCTCCCAAGTAGCTGGGATTACAGGCTTGCACCACCATGCCCAGCTAATTTTTTTTTTTGTATTTTTAGTAGAGATAGAGTTTCACCATGTTGGCCAGGCTGGTCTCGAACTCCTGACCTCAGGTGATCCGCCCACCTTGGCCTCTCAAAGTGCTGGGATTACAGGTGTGAGCCACTGTGCCTGGCCAAAAATGTGTCTTTTAATCCCTCTACAGCTAGTCTCCCTTTTAGTAAATAACTGGCATTTAAAATGAACCGTTATTGAACATGCCTTTGAAACCCTTTTGTAATTGTTAATAAGAACTTCTCCTCAGAAGATAAGTCCCATTGTGAGTATTTAAGCAGAAGTAATTTTTAGTCAAAATAGGCAATTATTTTTATTTCCTCTTAAGCTTTGCTCACCAGAAGCAAAATGGACATTATGCCAAAATGCATTGGTAAGCACCATAGTCAGTTTCAGGCTTTGAGCACTCCTGTCAGAATCTGTTTATGGGAAAGTGGTCCAGAGAACATTATGGAGACCACCTGTCAGCACCTGCCAGTGCAGAGAGCAGGCGATGAAGTTCGAAGGATCCCAGCACCCACCTTCACCATAACCAGTTAGTTGGCACCAAAGGGAAAATTATATCAGTAACAAAACTGAACCAGAAAAAGGAAAATACAGGTACTGATGAATAACTCAAAAAGAAATATATCAAGAAAACTATCAAAGTTTACTGAGAAATATAAACAAAGGCTTAAATGTAAATACTGGACATAGTATTTCTAAGTGGTAAGACTGAATAGAGCAAAAATGTCAATTCTTTCCTCTTTCATATTTACATTTATGTAATTTTAATTAAAATAGCAATAATGTAATAGTATTAAGAGGTAAAAAAATAAAAATAGCAATCAGATCGATGGGGTAGGGGTTTACAGGAGAGACAGAGTTTAACAAAACTATACCAAAGTTTATTCAGAGAAATAGCTGAGAAAATGTGAAAGTGAACTATTCTGTCTCATCCAGTGTCAAATCGGCTAACGAAGTCACAACAATCAAAACTATGCGGGGCCAACGCAAGATGGGACAGAGAGAGTAGACTTGTATAGACAGCCCTAAAACTGAAGTCAATGTAAGACAACTTTTCAATAACGGTGTTGTGAGAATTGGCTATTTTTTTAAAAATTCAAATTCTATCTTCACATCTTACCATACACCAGAATAAATTTCACCTATAAAAACATTAAAAAGAAAATATACATGAGCATTTGACTGATAAATTGAGGACTTCTAATGCAAAAAAAAAGTATAAACAAGCATATTATTTTGACTATATACAAATTTTAAAATTTTACAGGTCTAAGTCTCTCCTCATTACCATGCTACTGTACCTAAAGTTCTATTCTTTATTTTAGAATAAGGCATATTTTTAGAATAAGAACAAGAACGCAGGAGTGTTCTGTTAAAACATAAAACCTTCAAGAGTTAGAGAAGCAACACCATGAGGTGGTATCAGTTGTTAATGTATTGAAGCACTTCTAACTGACAAAGAGCAACCTATTCCCAGACCCTTCCAGCACTTTCTCTATGCCATCTAACCCACAACAGTCCTTCCCCCAGCTCCCCCTGAATACCCCAAGAGCCAGCAACTAAAGGAGTAACACCTGGTACAAAAGGGCCATCCAAACACAGAGCCTCCACCAGTGTCCATTCTGATTCATCCATGCCTGTGCCAAGTCAATTGTTAGACCTTTAGACTATCACCTCTGCTAAGAGATATTCAAAATGGAGCCACTATCAAGGTTTGGTTGATGTAGTAACTGCCATGTTGGAAAGAAGGTAGGGCCCTGAGAGCAGAGGTAAAACGTAGATACACTTTGGCCGGGCACAGTGGCTCACGCCTGTAATCCTAGCACTTTGGGAGGCCGAGGTGGGCAGATTGCCTGAGCTCAGGAGTTCGAGACCAGCCTGGGCAACACAGTGAAACCCCGTCACTACTAAAAATACAAAAAATTAGCCAGGCGTGGTCGCATGTGCCTGTAGTCCCAGTCGCGTGCGCCTGTAGTCCCAGTCGCGTGCGCCTGTAGTCCCAGTCACGTGCACCTGTAGTCCCAGTCACGTGCGCCTGTACTCAGGAGGCTGAGGCAGGAGAATTGCTTGAACCTGGTGGGTGAAGGTTGCAATGGGCCGAGATTGGACCACTGCACTCCAGCCTAGGTGAAAGAGCAAGGTCTCCAAAAAAAAAAAAAAAAAAAAAAAAAAAGTAGATACATTTTGATGAGTGTCTGGAGAAAAAGCAGGTCTCAGCCAGAGACTTCTAGGAGTGAGGGAGGCATCCAAAGAGCAACCAGGTAGTTCAGGATTTGTAGGAAAGCCTGCAGAAAAGGAAAACATTGTGAAAAAGGAATGCTAAAAAATTCTGAGGATAGACTCCTCCAATTTCATCGTTTTACCAATGGCTAACAAGGTAACTGGGTCAACTTATAGCTTCCTACTCCAGCATTTCATTCCGGGTCAATTAAAATTTCAACAAGTCTGGAGGCCATAGTCTTTTTGGAAAGTGTGCCTTTGGAAAAAGACACAAAGTGTGGAGCCTGACCTCACCCCAGTTTGTAGGGAGAGGAGAGAGGGCAGGTAGCAGGTGCATGGGCACCAGGAACGCTAAATGTATGCCCTGCTTGGCACAGGGCACCCTGCACAGAGAAAACTGTCCCACCAAAATGCCAATATCACTCCCACTGAGAAGCATGGTGAAGGAAGTTTGATACTATTTTGGCTTTATACACCTTGATGGCTGAGGTTTGGCATTTCTTTTTTGTTGGGGTAAGGGAGAAGCATTCCTTTAATACAAAATAATAGAGTTTGAAAAGTTGGTTTTTTTTTTTAAGTAAAAGCATTTTTTTTTTACTTTCTTTGGTGTTGAAAGAAAAAGATTCCAATAATGACATTTTGTGCCAAGAGTCATTAGACTAAAGTATCTGCCTGAAGCAAAATTTTATGGCCAAGTTATGAACCTGCAAACAGAACCTTAACTATTGTGATAGGAGCTGACTGTGGTCATAAAAATGAATTTGTTAAATAAAATACGTTTATAATTCACTAGGCTTGGAATCAGGTAAGTGGGAAGAAACCTCCAGTGAGCCGTTATGATTTTGCAAAATAGTCAAAAGAACAGTTCACTCCGTAGGCAGGTAGAGGAGTGCGTGCCCTATTGTCATTATTACAGTGTGTGATTTCATTTATTCATGGGGTGCCAGGGATGCGTGGCCCTTACGAGCGGCTAAAACACAGTGGACAAAAGCAAGAAAATGAAATGAAATCCTGGTCTTAAAGAGACTACAATTGAAATGTGTGAGCCAGTCCAGTTTGGTGGATGACAAGAAACATTGGGAGAACATTAATGTAATGAGCTTTTGCAGATCCTAGTGGGGTTTAGTAATGAGTTCGAAAGAGGACAGAAAGGGGAGGATATAGATTCATTTGGAATGTGAAAGAAAACAAGCCTGGCCACGAAGTAAGAATCTCACTGGGGCATAAAGACTAGAACCAAACAAAAGAAGGGAAAAGGTTTCATGTTGGACGCAGAGCATAGAATTCAAATGCTCTTTTATTACAGGAAAAAAAATCTTGCCTAGTGTAGAAGAAAAGCTAACTCTGGCTTTTCCCAGAAATGGATGGCCCATATAATCACCATCAATAAGTGAAATGAGGATCAAACTCAGGGGAAAAGGGCATAGAAAAGAGAATCAAAACTTAGGGAAGTTTGTGCTCCAAACAAGCCCAGATATTTCTAGTTTCAGCATGTTTAATATCAAAGCAGATATAAAAAAGGAAAGAGAAAGTTATGGACTGATGGTATCCCCCCAAATTCATATGTTGAAGCATTAACCCCAAGACCTCCGAATGTGACTGTATTCAGAGATAGGGCCTTTAAACAGGTGGCTGAGTTAAAATGAGGAAGTTAGGGCGGGCTCTAATCCGACTACTGGTGTCCTTCTAAGTAAAGGAGAGTAGATCATGCAAAGAGACACCGGGAATGGGGAAGACCACGTGAAGACATGGTGAGAGGGCAGCCGTCTCCCAGCCAAGGAGAGAGGCCTCAGGAGAAACCAGCCCTGTGGATGCCTTGATCTCAGGCTTCTAGCTTTAAGAACTTTGAGAAAATAAATATCTGCTGTTTAGGTCACCCAGTCTGTGGTATTTTGTTAGGGCAATCCTAGCAAACTAAGAGAGAGAGAGAAATTTGTAAAAAGAAATTCATGTTAATAGTAGGGCTTAAAGATGACAGAGAAACAGAGCTCTATGACCTTAGAAACCACCATTTTACAAGAGGGAAAACTGAAGACCAAATTACTACGCAAAGTCATCATCAGTTGTTTGCTGTAACACCAACATTAGAACTCAGGTCTCCTGACAGTGAATCCTGAGCTCTTGTCACTCACCCTCATGGCCTTGGCCCCGTCATGGACTTGATGGGGACAGGGCTGAGAGCTGTTGCACTTTGGGTCTCCTCTACCCATTCTCCTGCTATGAGCAGGGCAATTTTTCTAAAACCCAAATATCACCTTGAAATATTCTCACTCATAGCAGCCCCCCTTTGCCCTGAAGTTCAAGTTCAAATTCCTCCACAGACCTACACCTCTTCCCAGAAGTCATTATTTTGGGTCCCCAAGCAGGGCAGTGCTGGCTCTTCCATCTAGACCTCTTATTGCCATTCTTCGGTCTGGAACACTCCTTACCCTCCCTTACCCCTCAACCCTCCATTCTTGGGATGATAAGCTCCTATTCATTTTTCACCCTTCAGCTCTTCTGTAGTGATTACTCCGTCCAAGAGCCCTAACTCTGGATTCACTGCTCTTCTAAAATTCTCCCTGAATTTCCCCCAGGTAGTGCTTATCCCATACTGCAGTTGAGACTCCAGTAGACAATAGGCTGGACAAGGGCAAACCCAGGCTTGTTTCATGCTTAACAAATATAAGTTGAGAGAATTATGTGTTATACATGTTTTGGAGATGTTAGATTTGCACTGCCTCAAGTTTCAGCAGGCATTTGTTAATCTGGCTAGCCCTTGTATCCTTGTAGATGCTTACTAAATACCAGTTGAATGAATGAAAAACAAGTTAATGCAATATGTTTTATCAGAGGTGGGGTGCAGGTGGGAGGATAGTGCAGCATATTCTAGCTGCCTCACACTTCACCAATAATTTGTTAACCTGACCCATTTTGCCCATCCTCATCCAAAAAACTGTGAGGCCACAGAACATAGGATGATGAGGGTCCTTGAAGGTCATCCAAGACATGGGCCTGCTCAGAAGGGGGTTGAAAACTCCAGGGAAAAGGTGGGAGACAAACAGCCTCTGGAAGAGATGTTTAAGGACATGTCTAGCCCCTGGCCATGTCAAGCTGTACTGACAACATCCTCTGGAGGCTCAGGGACAGGGAGCAGCAGCAGAGGTGGCCATTCACAAACAGGCTTCAAATCTAGCCAAGCCCTGAGGCGCAGAAAAGTTAGGTGACTTCCAGAAGGTCATGAAGCTAGCAAGGTAAGAGGGTGAGGACTGGGATTTGAACCCAGAAAGTGTGGCTCCAGGGTCCATGCTACTAACTGCTACGTTACATGGTAGGATGGATTTCCTGAATTATTGCTACCAATAAGAAATGGTGGTTGGGGGTCCTAGACTCAGACTTCCCCACTGGAGTTGCTGAGCTATTGCCCTGCCTTCTTGCACACTGGACATGCTGGAAAAGTCCAGCAAGCCCTTTCAGAAGGAAAGATTTTTCTTTCTGCAGGTCTGGATTCCTACCAGTGGAATGTCACCCGTCAGAATAGGCAGGTGGCAAATTTAAGCAATTAGTGAAAATCAGGACTCACAGTCTTAAGAATAATTAATGTTGTCTTCTAATCTCTTTCCTCTGGGGAAACTTTGCATGTTGCTTAAAAGAAATGTCATCTACGCCTCACTGTTCCCAGAACCTGACTGTGAATAGCAGCACTTTTATTTCAGAGCTCTGCAAAAGCATCGTTTAAAGGGTCTTTCCCTCAATTACCAGCCAAGTCCACACATTTCCCAGCAGATATGATACTAGGTAGGCCACTGTAATGGTAGAACAGCCAGGAATGGTCAGAAGAGTGCTTTCAAAGTGACAGGAAGCTTCCTGTTCCTATCACCCCATAGTGCCCCCACAGCCAGATGATACATAAAGGACAGTGATGGGGCCCAACAGAAGAATGTAGCACAAATTTCTTGAGGAAACACAAAGAACTTCATGCAAAGGACAGCTCATGGCATGCAGCAAAGGGTGGGAAGAATTTCACAGATGAAGAGGGGCAGAGATTGTAGAAAGAGGAAACAGCAAGAACAAAGGAAAAGAGGTAAAAATGCAGGGAATGGACAAGGAAGAGACAATTTGCTGTAGTGTTGGGTTTTCCAAGTTGAGAGTAGGAGGAAAAGAACTGCAAAAGTAACCTGTAGCTATTTTTCAGTAAACTTTAACATGAGCCAAAGAAATGGGTTTAATTTGGAAGGCATTGGAGAACCACTGAAAGTTTTAGAGGAGAGACTGGACAGAGTGTTATCATCTCAAAACAAGAAGGCATCTTAGAGATGATCCAACTCCCTCATTTTACTGTTGAGGAAACACAGAAGAGAGGAGACTTAGCCAAGGCACACCCAGAACT